>NC_000008.11:60927265-61552265 GCF_000001405.40 Homo sapiens | reverse complement strand
GCCCTGCTGGATGGCAAAGCCCTCCTTTCCTGTCCTGCTTTATTGCAGGGGTGAGAGCTGGGCTCTCCTTAGAGTCAGTGGATAAAAGGGTAAAGTGAGACACTGAATCTTTGTAACCATTGCATCCCATGTATGTAATAAAGTGACATCTAAGGATAATACAGCTTCAGGTTTCTAAAATTAGTAAGAACATGGAATCATCTGGGGAATTGAGGGTTCAGAGAAGTGAAGGGGTTTGTGATAACGTAATTGTCTGCTAGGAACATGAACCAATCTGGAGGTACTAGAGGTTCAGATAATTGACAATTTTTGATTTATACATGTCTATTTATCTGTACCTTTCCCCCTCTAACCTACCAGTCAACTGAAATGGAATGAGATATTAGAATTAAAGAGAAAGATGGGAGAAGAAATTGCTGATTAGTAGTCCTTTTTGCATCGCATTTTTCTTTTAGATGTAATCACTCAGAACTCCTTTGAATGAGAGGGATAAGAAAGATTTTGCTACAACATCTAACACTGGATAAATGTTCATGTCTGACTACTGTAAATGTAATCATCACTAATTAATTTATCTTTGAACATTTCAGAGTCCAGGGCAAAGACAGATGAAAGAAGCCTATGATTTATCTCACATCTTAGATGAAAACAGCCGTTACTTCAAGGGCAAAAAGTTCATTACTATACACTTGTTAAGGGCTTGGGATTTGAACGTATGGGACTGTTCTACCAACTTAATTATCATGAATATGCAAAGAACAGCACAGTTCTTGAATTTAAAAAGTTCAGAAGGATTCGTTCTTACAGGAGAACAGAAACAAACCTGTAGAAACTCCATGTTAGTATATTCCCAGCATTAGGTGTTGAGTCTGACTTGGCTGTCGTGCTCTGAGTTTGCATGTCAGGAAGTAAACACCTTTCACGTTTTTATGCCTAGAGCACTGCTCCAACTCTGAAAGAGGATGGATCTGCAAAAAGCAAAGCCACAGCCTCTGTGCTGCAGAGACTGACAAGAAAATGGGTTGTGAGGAAAATTTTTCTAAGTGGTCCGTTTAGTATGGGCAGGAAGACGGGGGACAAACCATGAGGGTCTGCAGCAATTCAGATAGCAGTTCTCGGTATTCCCATAACTTCCAAATCCACGTTCTAGCTAGATTTAGTCTCCTTCTCCAAGTCCCCATTCTCATGTCTACTGCCAGCTCAGTGTCCCACACGATGGCACAGAGACAACTTACTTGTCTTTCTCTAAACCGTTTTTCCTCCTAGGTTCCTTCTCTCATTCAATGATATTCCCGTCTTCCCAGGATCAAGATTTGAGTGAGCTTGAGCTCCTCCCTCTCCTCCTTACTCCAGTCTAGTCAGGGCCAGCTATGGAGATCTGGTTTTCTCATGTTTTTGGCATCCCCCTCACCCTCCCTCTTGCTCAGTCAGTGCTAACTCCTGTCTTTGTCAACTGCGTCCTCAATGATAGCTGTGAGAACCTGGATGTTGTTTCTTGCTTGGTCTCAGTTTATTTCAAGCCACCCTATGCTCAAAAAGCCTACCATGCAAAATAACATAACATTCTGTTTGCACGCGATAGCATTTACAATCCTTAGGCAAGTTGCAGCCAGCTCTTCTCACCAGAAGTGTGTCTCTCAGGCCTCACTGGACAGTGGGCTCCAGGCAGAACATACCCCAGCTGGGGCCACTTATGACAGCCCATTCCACAGATGTGGCCTGGGCTTTTCTGGGATCCAGTCATCTGACATACTTTCTGTCTCTGTCTCTCTCTCTCTCTCTCTCTCTTTCTCTTATGTGTGTGTGTGTGTGTGTGTGTGTGTATGTACATGTGCATAAAAACCATACATAGCAACGATTGGAAGAAAGTAGAGACAACATTGATATAAAATATATTTAACTTCTTAAATGTGGCCCAGGGGCTCTTACTGCCCCTGTGTCCCAGGGCCTCCTACTGTCTATTTTAATATTCCTAATTGCTGATTAGACAGGAAAATTGCTGATCAGACAGGAAATAGTAGAGAAATTTTCAGGGGATTCTAACTTGATCTTTGATTTTATAGCAATTTTTTATTGTAAAGTAGTTTAGGTTTTTTTTAAAAAGCACTCTAGCTGAATTCATTGGGTCCCCTGTGTCACATATTATTAAAGGTGATTTTTAAAAATTTCTGATATATCACTTTCACAATTTTGTTTCTCCTAAAATTTATATGACAGGAGAGTGAAAAATTGAGTCCTACTTGATGCAGGATTACTTACTTTGAGTGTCAGAAAAGACCTTATAGATAGTTTAAACATGCTGTTGTAACTTGCCCAGACATCTAGCATGTCGAGGGCTAATTAAAGGCCGGAACTAAAATCTAAGGCTTCCAACTCTTGAACTACAGCTATAATGTTTGCTGTTTTTATTTTTCTACAATAACTTCTTTTCTCACTATTCTAGCAATACACTTTATCCTTAAAATGAATTGTGATGACTCAAAAATGGACTGTCAGATTTTTGAAAAAACAATCTGTTGTCCTTAGTATTATTGTTCACTTTTGCCCTGAAAAGCATAGGAAGTAAAATCCTAAATTTTAGTTGGACAAAAATAACCACAATAGTCAAATTAATTTCAGAGATATATGCTATTTTTTAAAAAAATTAGATAACAATTAGCCATTTTAACTTTCTAGTTTTTAAAGGAATTCTGGCTACAACTTACATGTATTGTAAGGAAAATATTTAAGAATGATTTGTATATGCATTCTTAGTTTCAGATATTAATAAAAAAGATAACTAAATAAGAAAATCATTTTTCATAGTGTTTGCTAAATGATATAAATAGGAGGAGAGTAGAATAAGTTGCCAGGAGCCCCAAATGCTAGTTCAGAAGATTTAGCCTTTATAAACCTTAGTTTCAACATTTGTAAAATGGAGATATTTGGGGTTATTGGAAAAATCAAATGAGATAACACATTCAAAGAAAGTAGTCAATGTAAAGTGTTACTGAAAATATGAGGTGATATTGCTATCCCCCTTCAGTCTCCTAATGAGGGAAAATTTGAAAAGTTAACATTTTTTACATCTAAAGTGTATCTGGTGATTTACAAAGAAGATATTCAAGTTACTATGAAATGCTTATTTTTATTTATCAAAAATACATTTGAATTATCTCTGTAAAAGTAATCATTAGATCAGGTTTGCAGTAGTGGAGGGGATAATATTAAGTGTACCATTAGAAAGCCTTCCATTCAAAAGACAATGGAACATGCATGGTGCAGGAAGTGGGCAGGGCTCCTTGGAGAGCATATGGTGAGGGCATCATTTAAAGGAGCCATAAAGAGCGTCATGCTCCGTAGCCAGCTGTCCCTGAAAAGGCTAGTCTTGGAGGCAAGTAGTATCATGTTGCAGCTAGCCTAAAGCCACACATGTTATCCCTTATGGCAGAAAAAAATATATATTATGAACAAAAATTCCTTCTTTAAAAATCTAAAATGGGCTATCACTGTATTTATTGCCCACTCAGAATAATTTTTCCCTTCTGTCTACTTAATTTAATGGAGGGTTTGCACTCTGACGCCTTGGTGTGACCTTCTTAAATGTGGACATGGAAAGTACATGTGAAAAGAAGCTGCTTTTATTTTAGCATTCTGATTCAGTAAATGCAAATATCTTTGAAGAAATTATTAAAATCATAATCTTTTTCTAATGGAAATAGAAAATAGAAAAGGCCCTTTGGTGTCTTATTTATTCATTCAAAAAATAAGTGCTCGACTCCCTGCTGGACACTCGAGGGAGACCAAAATGTGTAGGGCATGAATCCACTATCCAGAGAGACTGCAGCCTAAGGGGGAAAAGAAAATGTACATGTTCATTATACAAATAGGTCATAATCAGAAACCCAGTGAAATAACAATATTTTCACCAGATTTCAACAGATTTGAGTACCTAGCAGTAAGCTCTTTATTTAAATGTGTCAAAGTAATACCTTATTTTTAATGTTTTCAATTTTAAAATTAATAAAAATGCTCTGTTGAAGGAACAGTTTGGAGCACATTCTTTCTGTTCCTTCAGGCATATAAGTGGTATGAGCTTGGGCACAAGAGAGGACACTTTGCATCTGTCTGGCAACGCTCACTCTACAATGTGAATGGACTGAAAGCACAGCCTTGGTGGACCCCAAAAGAAACGGGCTACACAGAGTTAGTAAAGGTAAGTATAACTTAGACATCATCCTCACCAGATCTTTGTCTATTTCCTCCTCAAAATCAGAAAATGTTTATCATAAAAAGGAATGTCAGGGAAGAGATAGATTTTATTTCTAGTGACATTTGCAAAATATAATGGAAAAAGAATTGTCATCTCATTAACCAAAAGTTTCATTTAGATGATGAAGGGAATTTGTGCGGAACTTAGGAGTTCTCAACCTTTTTGGCCTTAGGACCCTCTTATACTCTTAAAAATTATTGACTACCCCAAGGAATGTGGCTTACATCTACCAATATAATCATTAGACATTAAAAGTGAAAGAAAATTATATATATATTTATGAATTATTTAAAAATAATAACCTCATAACATGTCAGTATAAATAACTTTTTAAAAAAATTATATTTTCAAAACAGAAAATGTAGTGAGAAGATTGGAATTGTTTTGTATTTTTACAAATCTTTTTAGAGTCTGGATTAATAGACAACAGGAGAATCCTCACATGTGCTTCACACATGTACCTGTTAGAGCTGTGATGTCCTACCTCATGTAGCTTCTGGAAAACTCTACTGTGTGCCCAGAAAAGAATGAAAAGAGCACATAATATCTTTGTATTATTAAGAAAGTAGTTTTGATCTTGCAGAGCCCCTAAAAGGGTCTAGAGAACTCTCAGATGTCCTTGAAACACACTTTGAGAACCACTGGCCCTGCAACTATGGAGAGAAAACGCAGTTATAAATATTGTTAGAAAATGCTGTGGCAGAAAATGTTGTAGCATTTGGAGAAACTAAGTGATTCTAAATAGCTATAAAAATAATTGGAAGGTTTTATATTAGTAGGTTAAACCTGAACTTTAACGGTCTCTACTTGGTGACTTTGGTAGGGACTGGTCAGAAGTTTACTTTTGCTTTGGTAAGCCCCCTCTTCTTAGACAGTCATAAAATGAGACTCACAGTTAATTAACTCATAGTTCCAATCATGTTGTTTTCTACTCAAAATGTAAAAACTTCATGTATCTTACAGGTTAGATGGCTTCAGGGTTTTGACCTCAGACTCTAATTGCTATTTGTACATGGTTTATATAAGAAAATATATTCTGATGTTCAAACAATTGATTTTACATGTGCAAGAAGCAGGGATGAAGAGGAAGAGTGACAAAATATTGATAATGTTAGAATCTGGCTGATGGATATGTGGAGGTTTGTCATACTGTTCTTTCTTCCTTTAGGTATATGTTGAAATTTTTCATAATTTTTCTTTTAAGTAACATCTAAAATAAACTGTATCTATAAGACTTACAAGACTTCACTGATTAATTTGGTCTACTTGGGGAAAAGAGGTTTTCATGTACTTAGATTATGTCTTACTTGACTGTGTTTATTCTGTATGTCATTATAAAAGCATACTTTATAATCTTCATAATCCAATTGTAAAATAGGCTGCCATTGGTTAGCCTTTGAATATTTTATAGCTCAGGGAACCATGGCATGGTGACAATTAATACAGATTGATTTTTTAAAGTTCCATATCCAGATTAGAAATAGCACAAGAACAACATCTTCCTTGATAGGTCGGCTACATTTAGCACTGTCGGGTTTTTTTGTTTTGTTTTGTTTTTGTCAAATTTCACCCTCCCTCAGATTGGATCCCATCGAACTCTTCTGATTCTGCTTTACTATCTTTTATTCATGATCTCTTTGTGAGTTCATTTCTCTACTGTACCTTTTGGGATCCTTTCAAATTCAAAACACGGAAATGCAATTCAAACCTGGCTTAAACAACAAGAAATGTTACTGATTGACATAGCTGGAAGCCTAGCAGTAGGGCAGACTTCGGGGCAGTATAATCAAGGGAAGATGTTCTTGGCTCTGCACTTCCTCCTTGGTCAGCTTTGTCCTTGTGCTGGCTGACTGCAGGATGGCTGCCAGCAGCCACTGGAAGAGAGGGGGAGAGAGTGACATTGCTGAGCTACCACCCCAGCCGTAAATGGCCTTCTGGAAACCTCCTGGCAGACCCTCTTCTATTGGTGGGAACCATGTCTCATGGGCACTCACAGTTACAAGGGAGTCTGAAACACCAGATGGCTGGCAACAGTCTGAGGCAGCCAGCTTCCAGGAGGAGAGAGGGTGTACCTCTCTATCATCTAAGGACCAGTAATCTTTCCTTTCAGTCTTATTGAGCCAATTTAAGTCAGATTTCCACTCTAGATGAATTACTGGCAGGGGGATATGAGATTATTCTTAAACCAACAGATCAAACCCTACAGCCAGAAAAGGATTAGTTTCCTCTAAATCAAATAAATGGTTTATCTGGAGGAAGGTGGACGCTCAAAGTCAGACTTTTGTTAAGAAGAAAGAAGCATGATTGATTGTGTGAAGGCAGTCTACTATGGGCTGACATGGACCCAAACATTGTTCTTTGCTTTCTTTTCTCTTTTTCTTGCCATTCATTTTCTAAGAAATCTTCTCCACTGTGGTTTAACTGCTGTGAAAATTCTACCAAAGCTATGTTCCCCAAATGGACTTCTCACTCTTTCTATTCTATGTTCAGCTCTATTAAAACATTAACATTCGGTGTGAACATTAACTCACCACGTAACCCCTTGGTTAATATCGTTTTCCAGCTTTCCAGTTTTGGTCAGTGTCTTAGTAGTCCATTTAAGCTGCTGTAACAAAATGCCATAAACTCGGTGGCTTATAAACAATAGAAATTTACTTTGAGGAAGTCCAAGACTAAGGTGTTAGCAGATTCAGTGTCTGGTGAAGGCCTGCTTCCTGGTTTGTAGATGGTGCTTTCTTGTTGTGTCTTCACATGATGGAAAAGAGAAGGCAGCTCTCTGAGGCTTTTTTTATAAGGACAATAATCTTACTTGCCTAAATCACCTCCCAAAGGCCCCACTTCCTAACACCATCACATTAGTGATTAGATTTCAACATATGAATTTGGGGGACACAAACGTTCAGACCACAGCAGTCAGTGATTCAGCTTTAGTCTGCCTTTATCTCTTACCACTGCCCTTTACCATCCTCATTCCAGACAAAATTCTTCCAACAGACCTTCCCATACGGTAGCCCTCTTTCCTGGAGGACTCTTTCTTTACCTCTTTCTGTTTTCCTTCTCTCATATATCCTTCACAGCCAATTCCTTTTTATCCTTCAGATGTTAGAGAAATTGTCACTTCTTCTAGGAATATCAGTCCTTTGCATAAAGCCAAAAGCCCTTTATACTTTCTTTTTAAATAGCACACTATATTCTAAAGTCTCTTAGTTCTCTGAGATTGTGTCTTCTAAGATGACAGGGACCATGTCTCTAATACATGATGGGTTCTCAAAAATTAGGTTCATTGTATGACCTTCTATAAACTTTCTTTTCTCTAGTTTTTTCATAAATATGTTAGAAGCTCCAGGGATTTAAAAATGTTACTACTGAGCATTTCTTACATATAAGAAGTTGCAACAGTTGGTATCCTTGGTTTTTCCTGAATGTGAGGAAAATTCTCCCTTACTGCACTGCACCAGGAGAGGAAGGCCTAGAGAGAAAGAAAATTATCTCTACCTGCTATTTTAGGAGCAAGGGACAAAGGTATTCATTTTCTTGAAATTGTTACTGCTTAAGAAAGAAGGATATTTAGAATGTTCTCAGTTCCTGATGAAACCTCAAGCATTTAATTGCTTATAAAACATTGTGTAATGAGGCAGAACATCAGAATGGCAGAGGGAATGTCTTCATAAATCTACCCCTCCACAAAAGCACTGAGAAAAATTGTTAAAATCAACTTCTTTAGAACTCTGTACATTAGCAAAGACATACAACAATTAGAGGAATATTTATTGAAGGAAAAAGTGCTGAACCTGAATAAGAATAGCAGGGTTTGTGGGGTGGTAATTTTAACTGCTCCCAACCATTCTTCCCCAGTTCCAGGGTAGCCTTGAAAACTGGCAATCTCAAAACACTAGAGCAGTGAAAACCATAGCTTTCCAGGCACTAGTGGGGCCACATCACATTTTTAGTACCTCACAAATTTCCATACCCAGAGCATTGTCACCATTTTAAACCTCTCTCTTTCTACCTGGAAAGCTGCATTCTCAGGACATTGTTGTTATTTGTCCTCACTTGCAAGAAAAGCTCTATTCCCAGGCTATTAGTCAAAACAATTATTGGCAGGTATTTTTTTTAACATTACAAGTGCCCAGAGCAACTACAGGTAAGGCTACAGGCAATAGAGATTTCACAAAATTAATCCAGAAAGTCAGTAAACAAACAAATAGTGACAACGATAACAAAAATGAACAACAACGAATTTTATGAGAGGGACCGAACTGATTTCCAGAATTGCCACATTGTATTATCTAAAAACTGTCCAGTTTCAACAAAAATTATATGACACACAAAGAAATAGGAAAGTATATACATGCACAGAAAAGCATGCAGTCAATAGAAACTGCCTGTGAGGGGCCCTGATGCTGAACTTACTAAACAAAGGCTTCAAGTCAGCTATCGTCAGTATGTTTTAATAACTAAAGAAAACTATGTCTAAAGACTTAAAAGAAATTATTACAATGACGTCTCCCCAAATAGAGAATTCCAATGAAGAGACAGAAATTATAAAAAAGAACTAAACAGATAATCTGGAGTCATAAAGTACAATATCTTAAGTTAAAAAACTCACTAGGGGGGCTCAACACCAGATTTAAGCTGGTAAAAGAAATAATCAACAAATTTGGAAATAGGTTCTTTAAGATTATCCATGCTAAGGAACAGAAGAAAAAGAGAATGAAGAAAACAACCTATGGAGCACGATCAAGTGTACCAGCATATGCATAATGGAATCCTCAGGGGAAGAAAGAGAGGTGGCAGAAGGACTGTTTGAAAAAATAATGGCCAGAAATCCTCCAGATTAGATAAAAAGCATTAATCTACACATCTGAGAAGCTCAATGAATTATAAGGAGGATAAACTCAGAAACATACCTAGACACATCACAGTCAAATTGCCAAATTTAAAATTTATTTTCACTTTCATTTTATTTTTTCAAATTCTAATCTCAAATTGACAATCAAATAAAATGAGATTCTTGAAAGCACACAGAGAAAGAGGACTTATTGCACAAAAGGAACCTTCCTTTTAAGATGAACAGCCAACTTGTCATCAGAAACCATAGAGGAGAGAAGGCAATGAATGACATTCAAATACTGAAAGGAAAAGACTGCCAACCAAGAATTCTATATCTAGCAAAATTAAGACATTTCCAGATATATAAAAACTGGGAGAAGTTAATGCTAGCCAATATTTCTTGCTCTACAATAGATATTAAAGGCAGTTCTTTAGATTGACATAAAAAGATACCAGATGGTAATACAAATCCACATGAAGAAAAAAAAAGAGCATCACTAAAGATAGTGGGTAAACATAAAAGGGATAATATATGTGTTTTTATTAGTTTTTTCTTCTATCTTATTCCAAAACCAATGCATAAAGCAATAAATGTAATATGTATTGTTTGTGGACTTATAGCATAGAAAGATGTAATTTGTATGATAATAGTGCAAAGGAGGAAGGGGAAAAGATTTATGTTGGAGCAAAATTTCTGTATGCCCTTGAAATTATGTTAGCAATAAATTGAAATTGATTGTTTTAATTAAAGGTATTAATTCTAGTGCCCAGGGCAACCACTAAGAAAATAACTCAAAAAAGTAGGGTAAAATTAACAACAAGGTAATTAAATGGCACACTAGTAAATATCTATCTGTTGTAAAGGAAGGCAGTAATGGAGGAACAGAGGAACAACAACAGCAACAAAAAGGACATTAAAAATGAATAACAAGATGGCAGACTTTATCAGCAATTACATTAAATGTAAGGACATGAAATACTGCAATCAAAAAGTACAGATTAACAAAATAGATTTTTAAAAAGTGATCCAATTCAGGTCCACATGAAACATTAACCAGGAAAGACTATACACTAGGCCATAAAACAAGCCCCAACAAATTTAGAAGCACTGAAATCATACAAAGCATGTTTACTGACCACAAAGGAATGAAATTAGGAACCATCAACTAAAAGCTCTCCTTGTCCTCAAAATCTGTTTGCTTGCCAGTACCCCACTACTGCTGTCAAAGTTACTGACTTCTGCTTATATATCTTGTGTCCTTTTCCTTTTTGATATCAAGTATTTTATTAAAATTCTTATTTCCTTGGGCTTTTTTCTTTCAGCCCTGCCTGTCTTAAACTCTGCTTTATTTAAGAAGAAAAGCAAGATCAGAGTGTGAATCATAGAATTCTCAGTGCATGGAATCTCAGTGTGTGTGGCATCTCATGGTTACAACTCCATGCTGTGTGATTGTACTTTGAGAACTATATTTGCAGGAATGTTAATTTATGACTTAAAAAAAAAGTAACGTCAGGATGACCACTTGACAGTAGTGACTGTGACATTAAGAGAGCTGCTGTGTGCAGAAACCCAGAGTTCATTGACCGTTTAGTTGACAGACCCTGGAACATCAAGATATTCTTCTATTGTAATTTTCAAATTACAGAATTGAATATTATGAGTCATGGAACATCACCCAAGTATTGACGTCTTAAAGTGGAAACCCTCTAGATTTAGTAGCTGCAACATTTGGCCAAAATACTTTTAGAATAATTACCCAGATTTTGGCCCTTGAGTGACTTTTAACTACCATGAATAGGGCATTTCCCTTTTTTTTTAGACGGAGTCTCACTCTGTTGCCCAGGCTGGAGTGCAGTGGCGCAATCTCAGCTCGCTGCAAGCTCCGCCTCGCGGGTTCACGCTATTCTCCTGCCTTAGCCTCCCAAGTAGCTGGGACTACAGGTGCCCACCACCATGCCCGGCTAATTTTTTTTTTAATATGAATTATATCTTTACTCTTATAAAAGTCATGTTGAATAAATAAATTCTATCTTTTAAAATACAAAACCATTATATTGCCTTAACTCTAATTTTTTGTATTTTTTAGTAGAGACGGGGTTTCCCCTTGTTAACCAGGATGGTCTCGATCTCCTGACCTCGTGATCCGCCCACCTCGGCCTTCCAAAGTGCTGGGATTACAGGTGTGAGCCACCGTGCCCGGCCTCTCATTTCCCTTTCTTAATTTTTTTTTCAATTCTTATTTTTAAAATTATAAAGATGGCGTTTCACCATGATGCCCAGGCTGGTTTAGAACTCCTGAGCTCAAGCGATCCACCCACCTCCGCCTCCTAAAGTGCTAGGATTACAGGCATGAACCACTGCGCCTGGCCTGATAGCACATTTTCATTCAACTTACTTCTTGCTCTACATTACAGTGAGAGATAGAGTGCAGTTTTCCTGAAGGCAGGGGACAGTGCTCAGTAAAATGCATCATATGTGTTTTCCCCTTTGGTTGAATTTCTGTATGCCCTTGAAATTATGTTAGCATTAAACTGAAATAGTCCATTCTTGCATCGCTATAAAGAAATACCTGAGACTGGTATTAGTCCATTCTTGCATTGCTATAAAGAAATACCTGAGACTGGGTAGTTTATAAAGAAAAAAGGTTTAATTGGCTCACGGTTCTGCAGGCTGTATAGGAAGCATGGTGGCATCTGCTTCTAGGGAGGCCACAGGAAGCTTTCAATCACAGGACGCTTACATGGCAGCATGAACAGGAGCAAGAGAGCTGGGGCAGGTGAGGTGTTACATACATGTAAACGACCAGATCTCCAAGAACTCATTCACTATCACGAGGACAGTACCAAGAGCGATGGTACTGAACCGTTGATGAGAAATCACCCCCATGGTCCAATCTCCTCCCACCAGGCCCCACCTCTAACACTGAGGATTACAATTAACATGAGATTATGAGATTTGGATGGGGACATACATCCAAACAATATCACCCCTCATTGTGTAAATATAATTTGGCAGCTCTAGCACTAGGAGTGTGGAGAGGCTATTCAACTCAAGGAAAACATTAGTGAAAAATATTCCAGTAGAGTTTTCTCTTTTCAGCTTATTTTCCTTAAAATTGAGTAGGTTGTTGCCCAAATCACAACTATCAAAGCACCAAGTGCCTTGGGCTTATTTAACATAGAAATTGAAACAAAAATGGATTAAAATCTTTGCTAGGGTAAAAATAGAAAAGATGTCCTATAGTTAGAGAAAAGCCATTAAAGCTTAAGAGTTTTGCTCTTCCCTTTTCGGGATTAACTATTTGATCCACACTAATTTAGATGTAAACACACATTCATAGAAAACACTATAGTAACATTGAAAATAAACAACCAATAGCAACTCAAAACTGTTAGAGTAGGTAGCTCGTCAGGCATAAGCAGCGCAGGAGAGGGACAGACACACACACACACACACACACACACACACACACACACACACCCCAGAAGTGTTAGGTGACCATCACATGATGGTCAGGCGGTTGTTAACTTTTCTCTAAAGTAATAATTGGTCACAGCCGGCACCAGGGAAAGGCAGTCTCCTAATAGATAGAAAACACCTGAAACTGATCAGCAGCTTCCCAGTAAGGTCTCAGGAGTGGGGAGAAGTAACGCAAGATCCTGGAAGTATAACCCCAAGCCGAGAGGTCAAGCAGGGCATTTGATCTCTCAGCCTGCTTGGCCCTCATCCAGGTGTGCTTTCCTTCCTTCCTTTCTTTACTGTTCTAAAGCTTTTTAACAAACTTTCACTCCTGCTCTAAAATTTGCCTCGGTCTCTCCTGCTTTATGCCCCTCAGTCGAATTCATCCTTCTGAGGAGGAAAGAATTGAGGTTGCTGCAGACCCATACAGAAAACTACCGCTGATAACAAAAACTATAATTTTAAATATATATATATTTTGAGATGGAGTCTCACTCTGTCGCCCAGTCTGGGGTGCAGTGGAGTGATCTTGGTTCACTGCAACCTCCGCCCTCCGGGTTCAAGCGATTCTCATGCCTCTACCTCCCAAGTGGCTGGGATTACAGGCGCCTGCCACCACGCCTGGCTAATTTTTGTATTTTTAGTAGAGACGGGTTTCACCATGTTGGCCAAGCTGGTCTCAAACTCCGGACCTCAGGTGATCCGTCTACCTTGGCCTCCTAAAGTGCTGGAATTACAGGCATGAGCCACCACACCTGGCCTAAAATATATTTTTTGTATTTGTTTCTCCTGCTGTCTAACTCTGCATTCATCACTGAGAAAAAGGAAAACTGCATTCTTTTCCCAGTTTTTCAGCGCAGCTGCTTGGATATAAACACATCCAAACAGCATCATAAATAAGTTTTGTGATCCAAAATAGCATCATATATAAGTTTGCCTTTCTTCATATTGTAGTTTTATTACAGCTGGAAGAGTGCCCAGTAATATTTTGCCAGTGATGTGACATAGTGCATTGGAATGATTGATTAGAATAGCACTCTGTCACTTTCCTTCACACTGTGGCTTTTATTAATTAAGAAATCCATTGTGTATGAATGACTTCGCCTAGACAAAAATAAGACTTACACAGCACTAAATTAGTGGTTCAGCATTTCTTTCTTTGTAATTAAATACTTGAATGTTTTCACTGGACTGCTTTTGAAATGAAATAATTTGAGAAAGCAAAAATGTCAGATTTATAGTGGAATTAAGCTGTAAATTAAGAGGATTAATAATTTATATAATTTACTTTTATGTAAAAGTAAATATAGTATCAAGAAGTACTGAAAGCAATTTCTTAAGATTAACATAATAGCTTAGTCTTATCTTTCTAAATCAAACTTTAAACTGTTTGGGTTTCGATGACACTTTCACTGAAGATGTCAACAAAACAACAATTGGAGTGTGGAGTTTGATAATTACATGATTTAACGGTGAACTTTTTAAAAGGGCTCCATAATTAGAAACAGATTTGTTTTGCTGTCAGCTCTGACACTTTGGGCAAGTCCTTTTACCCATCTGAGCCTGTTTTTTTGTTGTTTTTTGTTTTTTTATCTCTAAATTCAAAATAATTACCTCAGCTCCTCTTCTCCCGTGACGTTTTGGTAAGGCTTAAAACACAAAACAAAATGAAGCCTTCCATCATGGATGTTCCTGTGTGCTATTTAGATATGAGCCCTTAATAAGAGTCCACACGGCTGAGGCTATAGGGTGGCCTATGATGCCAATTATGGCAGCAGAGCAAAGGAACACAGTGTTTTATATTCTTTGAGTTATTTCATACAAAGAGGCTTTTTTTTTCTGAAAGCAAAATCAGTGAGTTTTTATTATTTGTCAATGTGGGAGAAAAAAAAAGACCTACAAATTGGCTTTCTCTCTGACCCTCTTTGGGAACTTACAGCACAACGTTTGATATTTCAGAATAATTGCAAACTATACCTCTAGGTTGGTACTCCATTTGGGGTTCTAAAATGTCTAATTCAGTAGGTCATGATTTGTCTCAATATGCTACACAGATAGATGTCTTAAATATGCATATGCCCTTTGGGAGGCTGAGGCAGGAGGATCACTTGAGGCCAGAAGTAAGAACCAGCCTGGGCAACATAGCAAGACCTGTTGCTACAAAATAATAATAATAATAATAAATTAGCCAGGCATGGTGGTGTGCACCTGTAGTCCCAACTATTTGGGATGCTGAGGCAGGAAGATTTCTTGAGCCCAGAGGTTTGAAGCTGGAGTGAGTTATGATTGTGCCACTGCCCTCCAGCCTGGGTAACAGATCAAGACCCTGTCTCTTAGAAAAAATGTGCATATGCACATACACATTATAGGCAATTTGTTTATCTCTTTGTCAAGAAATTTGTTGCTTATATACACATAAAGTTTCAGCTGCCTGAGATTAGTGACTGTGGGGCTGCTACTCTAGCATCACTCAGGATGTCCCTTAGTGCACTGTTTCCAGCTGGTAGGTGGGACATGAAGTCAGCTCCCCATCTTCCCTTTACCTTCTCTGACTGATAGGGCGGACTGGCTTCCCTGCCTGTCTGAGCCAATATATGAGGAATATGGTTCTCCTCTGCCATCTGAGTCCTTGAAGCCCTCAGGCTGGTTGTTTGTCCTGGCAACCTGGATTATCTTTTCTCCTTCCTCTCAGGTGAAGCAATCCTTTTTCTCTCACTCACTAGAACGAGCAAAAGTCATTTCTCCAAGACTCTCCTGTCACCCCAGTGCTAGCTAGGTGCCTCATGTTATCCTTTTCCTTCAGCAAGGATGATGAGAGGCTGAATTCACAGTCAGTAGCCAGACTATATGTAAAAATAGAATTTTGACCCACAACCTGCAGTAACCTGCCCAGGAAACCAATCCCTTATCTATGATAAACAGCCCAGGAAACCAGCATGCTATAAGTCAGACTTGCAGGAAGCCAGACTTCTGTATCTAGTAACAATCCAGGGAGCTACACAATCAATTCTGTAACAATCAGAATAGCCCCAAATAGCCAGGATTTGATTAATAACTGAAGGCTTCCCTGAATTTTGTCCACAGTTCCAACGTAAGCCCAACCAGAGAGAGCCAAATATGCACCCTCCTCTAATCACATAGGATGTCCTGCTTCTAGTTAGCCACTTCTAGCTTCCTTAGGCCAACAGCCCCCACTCAGAGCATGCCTGAAGCCTTCTCTTCCTATTATAAAGCTTTCCTACTCCTCTGCCTGCCTTTAGAGTGTCTGCCAAAACACAAGTGACAGTGGCTGACTCCCTTGCTGTAGCAAGCTTAGAATAAATAGGCTTTGCATTTCTCACTTCATTGACTTTTATTTCCACAATAAGAAATGTCACCTGTTGGTTGGGTGCGGTGGCTCACGCCTGTAATCACAGCACTTTGGGAGGCTGAGGTGGGCAGATCATGAGGTCAGGAGATCGAGACCATCCTGGCTAACATGGTGAAACCCCATCTCTACTAAAAATACAAAAAATTAGCCAGGCATGGTGGCGGGCACCTGTAATCCCAGCTACTTGGGAGGCTGAGGCAGGAGAATTGCTTGAACCTGCGAGGCAGAGGTTGCAGCAAGCCAAGAGCATGCCACTACACTCCAGCCTGGGTGACAGAGTGAGACTCTTGTCTCAAAAAAAAAAAAAAAAAAAGTCACCTGTTTTCTTTTATCTGTATATTCACACTTGAAAAACAAGGAGATCTAATCAAAGTGTATTAGGACCAGTGAGAGATTACACTTTAATGCTAGTAATTTCCTTAGCGGTGTTGTTAGAAGTATTGCAAAGAGAATTTGCTGCAATAGCATTACAGTCCCATGGTGTTTGATGTAATAACCTCGTCTCAGCACCCAGGGGGATCCCCGCCATCCTGGGATGTTGTTTCTAAGGCAGATTACACTGCTACTCGTCTTATCATGTTTAGAGTATAGGCATGTTTTGACTAAAATTTAAGCAAGCTGATTTTATCTCTTAAAAATAAGATACATAATTCCTCAAATAATAACTAATGACAAGCATATTCTTAACCAATTAGATAAAATTTAGTACACAGTATACTAATGCACCATTGTTATCAATTCATTCTAACTCCAATTTAATACACAGACTTTGCCAAGAATAGCCTTTCACAGCATCCCTTTCCTCAATTTAGAGTCAGAAACTTTCAAGGAATGTATAAAACTCTGGGACTTTTCTCAATTTCCAGTGTCTGTTTTCTCGATGCCTCTTTTTCTTAACAGCTAGTCACAAACAGTTACTAACCTAATCTTGCTTATGTTACACTGAACCCTAAGAGTTGTTTTGTTCACATGTTAAAAACAGCTCTTCCTGCATTTCTTCAAAACTGTGTTTTATTTTGCTCCTGCGAATTTACCTTTTCCTATGTTGATGTGAATATATTCTTGATCCCCTTCCATCTGCTGTTTGCTTTTGTAGCTAGAGCTTTTTCAAACTTGAAGCTATATAAGTGTTATGGGCTGAACTGTTGCTTCCCACAATTCCTACTCTGAAATTCTACTCCCCACGACCTCAGAATGTGACTGTATTAAGAGACTGTGTTTGGGTCTTTAAAGAGATAGTGAAGTTAAAAAGAGGCCATTAGGGTGGACCGTAGTCCAATTTGATTGGTGTCCTTATAAGAAGAGGAACTTTGGAAACAAAGAGAGACACCCAGGATGCATGTCCGCCAAGGAAATGCCACATGCAGACAGTGAGAAGTTGGCCCTCTGTAAGCCCAGGAGAGAGCCCTCGAAAGAAACCAAACTTGCTGACCTTGGTCTTGAACTTCTAGCCTCCAGAACTGTGAGAACAGAAATTTCTGTTGTTTAAACCACCCAGTGATACTTTGTTATGGCTGCCCTTGCAAATTACCATTAGTGACTTTCCTTCGTAAATCCCGTTACTGAAATGTGTACTAACTGCCTCAGCAAAAACTTTTCTCGGAATGGTCCTATTTTCCCACATACAAGAAAATATTTAAAGCTCAGACCAATTATGATTGATTAGAACAAAATTAAAATGGTTTAGGTCAAACCTCAAGTATCACTTGTATCATCATCTGAGTGTGTCATGGGATTGAGGATATACTAACTAAGTGATGCAAGGAAAGTGTATAGGCCAAGAGGCAAAAAGAAACCAGGTCAACAAGAAATCAATATATGGATTAGCAGAGTTTGATTCAAAATGTAAAATATGCTGATACTTTTTTTTTTACTTTCTACTGCATATCTCTAGCATGTGGAATATCATTACTTTGAGTTTGATGATCTCTTAAAAACGAATTTGAAAGACTAATAAGGGGTTTTGCCGGCTAATAGGATTTTCTTTCTAAGCATCACTAGATGGTTGGATTACATATTACAAGATTTGACTAGTCTAGGAGAAAAGGAGGTAAAAGTAAAGAAAGAAAATTCAATTATTAGAGATATATAGAAAATATGAGTGGGCTGGGCATGGTGGCTCACGCCTGTAATCCCAGCACTTTGGGAGGCCAAGGCGGGCGGATCACCTGAGGTAGGGCATTCAAGACCAGCCTGACCAACATGGAGAAACCCCATCTCTATTAAAAATACAAAATTAGCTGGGCATGGTGGTGCATGCCTGTAATCCCAGCTACACAGGAGGCTGAGGCAGGAGAATTACTTGATCCCGGGAGGCAGAGGTTGTGGTGAGCCGAGATCGCGCCATTGTACTCTAGCCTGGGCAACAAGAGCAAAACTCTGTCTCAAAAAAATAAAGAGTCAAGAAGGATTAAACAAACTGAGCACATGCATTTAATAGCACCCCCCACCTGAAACCTCACTTAAATGACAATACAAGAATAAAATGGCACAAATTGTATTTTTTAAAGGGAGACAATAGCAGATGAACAGTGTCAGCGTGTAATTTTGAAAGTGGAAAACAGAAGTAGATGATTTGGCAGATCTAAGACAGCAGAAACTGTAGCAATTACAGAGAAGCTTCCAAAGAAGAAATTCAAGGCACCTGGTACTACAGCAATTCAAGAAACTGCATGGCCTCAGAGAATAGACTTATCTACGCTGACATTTTAGGATCCCCAATTAAAAAACAAACAAACTGGCTTGACAATGCACCCAACATGGAGGCCTGTCAGACACAGGCTCTGCCCTTTCACAAGATGTCCAATTGTAGTCTCAATTTTATAGGACTGACAGCCAAGGATCACGAAACATTAAGGAGATTTTTAACACGAAAGATGAACAAAACAAAAAGAATGATGTAGCTTGTGGGAAATCGAGAAAATGTAGGGAACAAAAGAAAAACAAAATAATACCTCTAATATACTCAGAGCAATAAGAGAAGATGTGTATCTGTAAAACAAGTATGGGATACTGTAAAAAGGAAGAATTGAAGACCCAGAAAGGGCTCTCAGAAATTAAAAAGTGTGATTTGCAGAAATAAGAATTTAAAGCAGTATTAGAAGCTAAGTTAAGGAAATCTCCCAGAAGGAAAAACAAAAAGGCAAAGATGGAAGATAGAAAACATAGGATGATTAGAGGCTCAATTTAACATAGCTGACATTCAGATAAAAAGAGTTCCAGGGAGAATAGGCAAAAAAAAAAAAAGAAGAAGAAATGAAGAAATGAATAATATTAGAAGATAGTTCAGAATAGAAAAAATGTGAGTTTTCAGGTTGAAGGGTGCCACTGAGTACCCTGCCTTTACATTAAGGCATATTGCCATGAAATTTCAAGAAACAGGAAAGAAAGAGAAGGTCTTAAAATCCTCATCATCATCATAGCTATACTTGCATATAGTGCAAGCACTTTTCACACATTTAATTCTTAAAGGGCCTCTTGAGAAAAGCTTTATAAACTAAGGCACAGAGATAAGTAATTTGCCCCAAATCACACAGCAAATAAGTGGCAGAGTCAGATCTCCAAACATGCAGTCTGGCTCCAAATTTTATACCCCTAAACACTATACTATCCTGACTCCTATAAAGCTTCTAGAGAAGGAAGGATAGGAAGAGGGAGAATCTAAAAGTCATCAGGTTTCCAACAGCAACACTAAAAGTTATAATGTAATGGACTAATCCTTTCAAAATTATAAAAAGACATTCCTCTTGGCAATAATTTTGTGGATATGACATGGAAAGCACAGACAACAAAAGCAAAAATGAACAAGTGGGACTACAGCAAACTAAAAAGTTTCTGCACAGCAAAAGAAACAATAAAATGAAAAAGCAATCTATGGAACAGGAGAAAGTATTTGCAAACCATATATCTGATAAGGGGTTAATAACCAAAATATAGAAGGAACTAATGCAACTCAATGGCAAAAAAACTGAATAACCCAATTTAAAAATTGGCAAAGGGCCTAAGTAGACATTTTTTCAAAGACCTGCAAATGGCCAACAGGTATATGAAAATGTGCTCAACATCACTATTCATCAGAGAAATGCGAATCAAAAGGACAGTGAGATATCACCTCATACCTGTTAGGATGGCTATTATGAAAAAAATGAGGTAACAAGTGTTGATGAGGATGCAAAGAAAAGGGAACACATGTACACTGTTGGTGGAAATGTAAATTGGTGCCATAATGGAAAACCATGTGGAGGTTCCTCAAAAAATTAAAAATAGAATTATTATACAATTCAACAGTCCTACTCTAATTATATATCTAATGGAAATGAAGTCAGTAACTCAAAGAGGTATCTGCACCCCCGTGTTTATTACAGCATTATTTACTATAGTCAAGATATGGAAACAACCTGAATGTCTATCAACAGGCAAATGAAGAAAAACTTTAGTATATAAACACAATGGGATATTATTCAGCCTTTAAAAAGAAGGATATCCTGCCACATGCAACAACATGAATGAATCTGGAGGACATTATGCTAAGTGAAGTAAGCCAGATATAGAAAGACAAACACTGTATGATATCACTTATATGTGGCATCTAAAAAAGTCAAACTCATAGAAGCAGAGAATAGAGCAGTGGTTGCCTGGGAGTGGGGAGTGGGAGAAATGGGGACATGTTGGTTGAAGAGTACAAACTTTCAGTTATAAGATGTATATCAACTCATTGATATATATTGCCCTTTGCCTTGTTCACTTTGAATATATTCAATCTCTGTCAACTATACATTTTTAAAATAAAAATAGTATCACACTAGATAACAAGAAAAAAATTATAAAACAAAATTATTTACTAACTAAATAAATTTACAACCTAAATACCTAACCATACACACTCAAACCTTCAATCAGGTATAAGAGCTTGAGACACTTTCAGAATTCAATTTTACCTGTGGTGTGTCCTTCCTCAGGAATAACTAGAATCCAGTAATTAGGGAGCCCAGTACCAGGCAGAGGCCAAGGGGAGTTCCATGGCCATCATCATCTAGCAAATTCAGACAGTAACTGATCCAGATCAGAGCAAGGCAAATGGCTGCGGGAGGGTTATCTTCAGAAAAAGAGAAAAAGCAAGAAAGTAATCAATTTATAATGTTTTTGGCAAAAGGTAGAATAAAAGCATCAAGGGATTTAATAGCACTCTTTCAGAGTTAGTGAAGAAATAGTATGAAGTGCATTACAAAATAAAGCCAATGAAAAGGGGACAGAAAAAAAATGCTGCATGTGACATGAAGTGTAATCATTACAACTCAAGTATGAATGATACCTGATTGTCATACTATTATAAAACCTGAATGTGAATTTGCACTGATATGAAAGATTTGTGAAATTAACTGTATTACAAGGATGGAGAAGGAAGACATTAAATTGTTTAATTGTTAACCTTCTATAATAGATGAGTGATAATGCCTCAAATTAATAAATCAAGAATAGCAATATAACAGGCTATTTAGATATAAGCAGGTTAACAACAGAAGAAATATTTTAAATAATTAGCCGGGAGTTATACTGAGGATTGGGGAAGAGTTGGAGAAGAGACTGCAATTCTCATTATAAGACCTGTAGTAATATTTGACTTTAAAAAATGTGTATTTTTTAATTGAACAAAAACATTAGTAAGAAAAATAGTTAAATAAAAATGAGTTAGGCTTTAGTTTGCTTCTCAAAAGAAAGACTTTCTGCAGGAAGTCAATTTTAAGAGAAGATTTTAAAAATAGGACTTAATTTGATGTTACAGAGAAAAGTACAGCATCCAGGTGGCATGAGCAGGCTGTCTGGGGAGATGAGGAAACTGCTCCTAACTGGATGCAGGTCTGGGATTCAGGAGAGCTGGGGCAGGATGTGGGATTCATGAGGTCAGAACTGGGAAGGCCATTTATAGATGCCTAGAGTGAAAAATATAGCTAAGGTGTAACTGGTGAGGCACATGCTGAGATGGCTTTATGAAGCCATGTGCTGCCGTAGAAAGAATCAAACCTGTGCTTTCTAAAGTCTCTTTTGCCACAAGAAGAAATGGGAATTAGAAACTGGTGTCTTTCGGGCAACCAACTGAATACTGATGCAATTAGTTTCTCTTTCAGTTTTATGAAATAGATGAGTTTAGAGTCAAGGGAGTAATATTTCAGAAGAGGCTTTTAAAAATGTAGGCATTGCCTGCTGTTTGTGAGCCTTCAGGTTTTCTGTTGGAATTTCCTAAAAACTGGATTATTTGCCATTGAAGACAAGTGGGTGGTATTAGTGTAGAGAAAATTCATATTCTCTCTCCCTCTCCCTCTCTTCTGCACACACATACGCTGATATGGTCTGAATGTTTGTGTCTCCCCCACATTCATCTATTGAAATTTGACTCCCAAGGTGATAGTATTAAGAGGTGGGGCTTTGGGTGATGATTATGCCTTAAGGGCAAAACATTCATGAATGAGATTAGTGCCCTTACAAAAGAGTCCCCAGAGAGTTTGGTTGTCCCATCCACCATTTGTCGAGGCAGCTAGAAGGTACCATCTATGAACCAGAAAGTGGCCCTCACCAGAATTGAATCTGCCTACATCTTGAGTTTGAACTTCTCATACTCCAGAACTGTGGGAAATAAATATCTGTTATTTATAATCTACCCAGTTTATGGTATTTTGTTTTTGTCCTGAATAGACATACACATGCCGAGTGTAATTAGGATTGATCTTTAATTTCCTCTAACCATGTGAATATTATATTACGTGATTCCTTGGTTTGTGCTTAAAAACAGCATTCTTAGGTCCCATCCCGGATTTCCCCCCAGTGCCCCTAAAGGCCCCTGGTTTGTCTTTCCAAAGTTGGAAAACGCCTTCAAACACATGTCATCAGGTTTAACTGGTGGGATTTTTTGGTTCCCTCAGTTTTCCCCATTTGCCAAAGATGTTGAACTGTCTTGGTGGCATGCCCTCTGCAGGGCGCTCACCAGGGAGCATGTTGCTCTCTAAGCACCTTGCAAGTGCTCCTGACCAGTACCCACAGTCACAGGTACCCAGTAAATCTCTGAGACCAGGAGGCTGGGGTACCTCGCAATTGCTCTTTTGCTCGAGGGGAGCAGGGCCCCTTGAGTCCACTGCAGCCTGAAATCCCTGTGCCTAAATGTGACCTTCTCTAATTGAGGAGGAGATAGTACAGAGGGGTTTTGGCACCACCTGTGCTGACCACCAGACTGTGGGATTTAGGCTCATTAACCACACAAGGAGTCATTTCATCATCCCTAAACTGAAGAAATTTCAGCTAGATTAACAGTATGGTTCCTTCCCAATGTAAAATTCTGTAAGAAAGTATTGAACTCAAAAGAGAAAATAAGCGACTGTTTTATAATCAAAATGGACTAGATAGTACTGAGTTAGTAGTACTAGTTAGGACTGAGAATGTCTGGTGGCATATTAGGGCATGTGTTCAGAGAGACCCTTCTGCACCAGTTTGCCCCTTTTGAGCACGAGTCTGTCATCCAGTACATGTGTGCCACATATAACAAGGAAAAGCCAAAACATTTCTTAAAAAATTATTACTATTCACGAAAAGTACCTTGGCAACACTTCCCAGGGGAGGCTGTGGGTGAAGGGGCAGGAAGGGCAATGTTTCATATATAAAAGATAGTCTATTCTTAAGTAAAAAATGTTAAATTATATTGAGTGATGCAATCACTTTAACATTTTTCCCTAGGGCTTTGTGCCCTATTTTTAGTAACAAAAGATCAGCTGTTTCCAACCATGCCCCTAAATCAGCTTTAAAGAAATAAAAGAATCTTCTAAAATATCAGGAGGGAATAAAGGAATAGGTTGTCCTTATAAGGCACCAATAACCTCATTTGAAAAGTAATTTTATGTGTTAGAGGAGCAATTCTTCCCTTGTCTGTGTGTCAATTTAACAAGAATGTAACAGATTTATCTAGCAACTTAAACAAGTGACAATATCCAGAGTGAGTGTTGGCAATTGAGGTGCATTTGGGAAGATGTGAACATACAGCGAAATCCTAGGGTGCATTTTTTTCTTTTCCATGGTCTTGGGGTTTTTTACAAAATGGTTGTATGCTCTCAATCTGTGGATCTGACAAAGTAAGGGCTTTTGAATGTCTCTTTATTGAAATGCGATCTTTGCCCTGTTCTTCATGAACTGCCCACTTGGGATGAAGTAATATGGAACCTAGTTGGTGGAACAGAGCCCTAAACATGGATAAATGACCAGGACAACGCCAAGCTGGGCAATGGTAGTAGCAGGTGTAGATGTGGTCAAACTATGCCCCCAGTTGGCAAACAAGATGAACTCCCTCTGGCTCAAAAGTTAAAAGCAGAACTAAGAGGCCATGTCAAGGTGAGGAGGCAGTCACGCTCTCTGTGTCCTTGGAAGGTGTTTCAGAATTTGTTTTTCTGCAACCAAGTCAAAGAACAGTTTTTGAAAACAACTACAACTGGAAATTCCTCCATCTGACCACCAACAAGACCACCTAGCACCAACAAGCCAACCAACCACCTGGAACCAGCCAATTAACCACCAGAGACTGGTGATCTGGGGCTGAAAGGCCATCCAGCCAACATTCTTCCTTGCTCCCAACACTCCTCACCTGCCCTGCCCTGCAGTTTTGGCCTTTGTCATCTCCTTCCCCCCGCCACCCTTCCTGGGAGTGTACTTTCCAAAGCTGCATCTCCCTAATCTGCAGATTGCTTTTGAAAAATAAAGTTCTCCTTTGGCCTCCCCACATCTCATTGGTCTTCCGTTAACAATATTAACACAAATTAATGCATACATATCATAAAATTATAAAATCAACCAAAATCTCTTTCTTGCCCTAGAATATTTTAATAGCTAGTGTTTTCATGTGATATAAAAAGTATTCCCTTGTTTGGCTGGGGCTGGCACCATGTTTCCACATAAATCTCTGTCTATATCACAGCCTTCTGGCTCTGCAGCCATCCTGATTCCATATCACCTTCTTATGTGGAATCATGAGTTTATAAAGCAGGACTTGGTAAAAAGACACTCTACACATTATCTCGTGCTTTGCTCTAACCAATAATTGATCATTTTGCTTGACCAATTCAAATGATAGAGAACCATGATTTACAAAGAAACTCAATCAATCTTTAGAATATTCTACTGGTTTTCCATTTTTCCATAAAAATCTGTTTTTTGGTTTGTAACCTATTAGTTCTAGTCCCATGCTCTTGAGTCACTGAAAATAGATCTGCCCCTGATTCTTGTTGAAATCAGCTAACATGTTCCTCCCTGTCCATGAATCTATATACTCAACTATTTCATCCATTTCTCATAGAACACAGAAATGATTGAAATTATTAACATTTCAAAATTCTGGTGTATCTGTACAGCTTTGTCTCTGTCCTGAAGTAGGAAAGCTGTTTTTATGCTTGTCTCCTGATGGAAATCCATCTTAGTTTGCTGCTCAGATCCTCACCTTTGCCTTCTCCCCTACCCACCCTACTGTCCCCCACCTCCCACTCCTAATCAACACCCAGTGTGATGGTGCAGATTGCCCAGAGGATCTTCCACAGGATCTACCGTCACCTGCCCCTCCACTCCTAGTCTCTACTGGTCATAAGCTCCCTTTCTGGCAGGGGCTAAGGCTCCCTCACAAATGAGAAGTCAAGGAAATATTTTTGTTTGGCTGAATTCTAAACACTAGTGCATTTATTTGTTTTGGTTTGCTGTTAATGTTATATATCAAAAATCCTCCAGTGGATACTCTTCTGATATGTTGAATGTTTAACTTATATTGACCATCTTTAATGGCATCTTTGTGAGGAACTCTGTTGAAAGGTGAAATTACGTCTGTGATTTCTGTTCCAGTTTAGAGGCTGGAGTGTCACATGGAAGTTATTACAGTGTACTGATGTAATCTGATCAACAAGATCAGTACTCTTCTTAGGTTGTGGTTTCAAAAAAAAGTCTTTAGGCAAAACAGATTGTGGAGAGGGTTATTCTGTGAAGTTTCTAGGAGTTATTGAAATTGTTATGTTATAAAAACTTTTGGTTTGGAAAAGTCATGAGATTTGGGGTTTTTATAGCTGTGACAAGAAGTCCCAGAGGAAATTGAAATATAAGCAATCTAGATAAGGCAAAGAATTAGTTCCTTTCTGAGACGAACCTCAAAAAAAACAAGAGTCATTATGAGGTGCTCCACCAGGCCCTTTTTCAGTCCAGTAAAGCCAGAATCTTCCCTCTAGTCTTTAGAAAGAAACTGGAAGTTAATCCGAGATGAAGGCCTTGCAGTGATGGATAAAGCCAAAGGTCTCTTCCTGCCTGAGGATGAAAACCTGAGGGAAAAAGGGGACTGGAGCCAGTTCACGCTGTGGCAGCAAGGTGAGTTTCTGACTTCTAGATGGTTCTCTGCAGCCCAAACCTGATGGGAAGTGGGTACTGACAAGAGTCTTCTGGTGATGCTTCCCAGAGCTGGGATTCCCAGGCTTAAACGAGGGGCCCAAAAAAACCTAGATTTTTGAAATCCATTCATTGTTTTTGAAAACTACATCTGAGCCCTTATTTGTATGTGTCCAGGTATATTGCTGTGTGTGTATATCCATGTGTGTATTTGGATAAATATTCATGAATAGTGTTCTGATTTTTCTGGTCTTTCCTGTTGAATGATGTGTTACTGACTGTAACCCTACTGTGTAGGCATAACTGAAAAATCTAGCAGGTGTTATCAGTGTATTAGAAAGTTATGTCCCTGAGCATCATTTGCTCCTATAAAATGGAGGTGACGTTGCATGGCAAAATGATATCAACACGGATGATGGTAAAAATGGTAACACACCAGCTGGTAAAAATGGTAACACACCAGAGTGACAAGACAATAATAACTGCTGTCTCAGCTCTTCAGGAATAGGAAGTGGCTCATACTGAACTTCATATTTTTTTAGCTTAACCCAGGTACAGGCACACATATGGAGCTCCAGCGTGTGTGTATGTGTGTGTGTGTGCGTGTGTGTGTGTTTTCAGTGAATTGATATATTCATCTATCTTTAAAATGAGGAGCATTTAAGACTCCAATTTTCTCCTTGAAAAGTGGAGTTAGCCTGGATTAACAATAACTATATAAAAGTAAATTTATTTTGAAGACTAAACAGCACGTGCTGCATATCTTCAGCTACAGAAAACAAATTCAGATTGTAATATGCATCTAATTTACACTAAAGGACAAATAAGGACAGTGGTTTATCTCAATTATGCTTTCAGAATGGTTTCTATGTAAGAATAAGAGGAACTACTTTAGTAATGTTTTCAGGGATACTTCCATCTAAAGAGAGAGAACCATAAAGAAAAGTGTCTATCCACTTTTTGCCAACAAGAATTTTTTAAATGGAGCTATACAATCCATATTTGGGCAATATGCTAATTTACCTCTGACATGTCACTAAGATGAGTCCATTCTATTGGCACTTATGTGTTCACCTTGTACTTTGATTCCATTAACATCCTTATGCATCACAGAACCTACTGGGCCTCCTAGAGCAATGCTTCAGAATAGCAGGCATCCTAGCACTAATTTCTAGAAACTGTAGTTTCTGCCAAAAAAAAAAAAAAGTATTTGATAAAATTAATATGCAAAGTATTATAGGATATAAAAAGCATTAAGCAAGAAAGAAAATAAATTATGGAGTCAATAATGTTGTTGGAGGTAACATTTTGTCTTCTACATTTTCACATAGGTGGAATATACCTGATTTTCCATGAACTACTTAACTTCTTAGAATGTGTTTTACTTTCTTAGTATCTTTGTTAAATTCTTATTCCCATTGAATGGAATTTACATGTTCTTTCTTTCTCTTTCTTACATGTGATAGAATTGTGTCTACCCTGTTGTTTAAAAAACTCATAAAATTATTTCTCACTTACATGATTATGATTATATTTTCTAATTCCTGAATTTGTATTTTCTCTTCCTTCTCCTGTTCTTTTTTGTTTTGTTTTATTTTTCTTTTAAATATTTTGATTGGAATTCCTTAGTAAATTTATTTTCATTCTTTCTTATTAATAATAGCATTTAAAGCTATGCACTGACCTACAGTTACAGGTTTGGATGTATTCCCTACACTGTAATATATGGTATTTTTACCTGAGTTATTTTCAAAAAAAGACTGCATTTCTGCCCTGGTTTCCACATTGACTTAAAATGATCTATATGTATATGTGCCTGTGTGTGATTGAGCATGTGTTTTCCAATCTGTTGTAGTTGCTTCAACATTGATTGATTGATTGGCAGGATCTTGCTCTCTTGCCCAGGTTGGCGTGCAATGGTGCAATCCTAGCTCATTACAGCTCCAACTCCTGGCCTCAAGCAATTCTCCTCCCAAGTAGCTAGGACTACATGTGTGCGTCTACATACCTGGCTAATTTTTAAATGTTTTTATAGAGATAGGGTCTCACTATATTGCCCAGGCTGGTCTTGAACTCCTTGGCTTCAAGTGACCCTCTTACCTTGGCCTCCCAAAATGCTGAGATTACAGGTATAAGCCACTCCACTCAGCCTGCTTCAAATTTTAAAACTGAATTTCTAGTTTTATTTTATTGTCATAAAGGGATAAAATTCACATAGTTTCCCTTTTAGGAAGATTTTTTAAAGTTCTTTATGGTCTTTGGTTTGTGATTCCATGCTTCTAGTGGGGGAATCCAGTAACTATTTTCTAGAAACAAATTCATAGTTTAAAGAATAAATTTGGGGCTCGGTGTGGTGGCTCATGACTGTAATCCCAACACTTTGGGAGGCCGAGGCAGGCAGATCATTTGAGGTCAGGAGTTCAAGACAAGCTTGACCAACACGGTGAAACCCCATCTCTGCCAAAAAGACAAAAAATTAGCTGGGCATAGTGGC
Source organism: Homo sapiens (assembly GCF_000001405.40). Classification (NCBI taxonomy): domain Eukaryota; kingdom Metazoa; phylum Chordata; class Mammalia; order Primates; family Hominidae; genus Homo; species Homo sapiens. The sequence continues at coordinate 61,523,464 of NC_000008.11, read as the reverse complement.
ACGTGCCTGTAATTCCAGCTACTCGGGAGGCTGAGGTAGGAGAATCACTTGAACCCAGGAGGCAGAGATTGCAGTGAGCCGAGATCATGCCACTGCACTCCAGCCTGGGCAACAGAGCGAGACTGTCAAAAAAAAAAAAAAAAAGAAAGAAAGAAAGAAAATAATAAGTGTGATGGCAAGTACTATCGTAGCTTATGCTGAAGCAGGATGGCATCCATGTCAGGTGCTGTGGTTCAGAAATAGAGGAGAAGAATTCTGGAGTGGAAGGGACAGGGGCGGACGTCATAGGGAGGGAGGTGAGTGACCAGTTTGCTTAGCCACATTGAGAACTCAGATTCAGAGAAAAAGGTGATGAATATCTGGCTCAGTAAAGATTTAGCCGTTGTCTAGTTAGCAAATCATGCTGCTGGGTAGTCGAATGCCTAAGGCTGATGCTGGAAGTTTTGGGAAGTAAAATTACGGTAGGTCTCTTCTATGGACTGAACTGTGTACCCCGCAAAATTCATATGTTGAAGCCCTAACCCCCAGTGTGACTGTATTTGGTGATAGGGCCTTTAAGGAGATAGTTAAGATTAAATGAGGTCATAAGGATGAGGCCCTGACCCAATATAACTGATTCCCTGATAAGAAGCGGAAGAAACACTGGGTGTGTTAGTCTGTTCTCACACTGCTATGAAGAAACACTAGGTAATTTATACCAAAAAGAGGTTTAATTGACACATAATTCCACATGACTGGGGAGGCCTCAGGAAACTTACAATCATGGTGGAAGGCACCTCTTCACAGGACAGCAGGAGAGAGAATAAGTACCAAGTGAAGGGGGAAGCCCCTTATAAAACCATCAGATCTCGTGAGAACTAACTCACTATCATGAGAACAGGATGGGGAAAACCACCCCCATGATTCAGTTATCTCCACCTGGTCCCTCCCATGACACATGGGGATTATGGGAACTATAATTCAAGATGAGATTTGGGTGGGGATGCAGCCAAACCATATCACTAGGGATGAGAAAATGACGTGTGAGGACACAAGAAGAAGGTGGCCACCTAGGAGCCAAGAAAAGAGGCCTCAGGAGAAACCAAGCCTGGCCACACCTTAATTTTGGACTTTCAGCCTCCAGAACTGTGAGAAAATACACTTCTGTTGTTTAAGCCACTCAGTCTGTGGTATTTGCTTGTGGCAGCCCTAGCGAACTGATACAGTATCCAAGTAGTTTCATTAGGACTGAACTATGTTTTTTTAAAGGACTGGCTTTTTAGAGTTGAAGGAAAAAACCAGAATCAGCAAATATAAATAATGATTTTGTTCCCCAAAAATAACTTTTTAAATTGTTATGTGAATATTATGGAACGTCTATTTTGCTCTTATCTTAATAAGTGCCACCAACAGTGATTAAAATATGCCACACATGTGCAGTCATTTTTTTCTTCCAGAGCCCATGGGAAAGGTGCTAACTGACCCCAACAGCCTTTCTGAATAAGCTGAGGCTGAACCTCTAAGTCCTTCTCAACGCAGTGTTCTAGGTGGCTGCTAGCAACTGATCAGAATTGTCATGCAAGATGGAACCTGTTGTTGCCCCAGAAGCAGAGCCTTGAAATTTATAAAAGATACAACCCAGGATATCAGTTCCATGAATAGCCCTCACAAAGTATATTCATGTGTAAGAAGTGATAAATTTAAATGATTCTTCCAGATTTGCATTGGCTGTTAGATCTCTTTCTAGAGCTATTTTCCCAAAGAAGCAAGGTTTATTACTTCTTGAGGGTTAGTTTAACGCTGGTGAGAAATAATCAAACGACAACAAAGCCACAGTGAGTTGCAGATGCTGGGCATTCCTCTTCAGGCTGAGTTAACTGGTTTGCTCCTGCACAGCTGCCTTCTAACTTACAATGCAACAAAATGAGAAATTATGCTTTAAAGCATAGGCTTTGGAAACCAACAATCCTAGGTTAGAGTCCTGGATGCACCGCTTGTTAGCTGTGTGATGTGTGCATGTCCCTGAATCTCTGAGCTTCAAATCCCTCATCTGAAAAATGGCAAATAGTGCCTCAAGTATGGGGTTGTTACTAGGATCAGTGAGCACTAGATGAAAGACTTGGCACAGTTATCCAATATATGATAGTAATATTATATTTTTATGGTCTAACAATAGCACATGATGTAATAACAGTAGTGGAGAGGTGGTCTCTGGTCTGGTTAAGAGCATGAACACTGGGTCCAGTCTGGCTGAATTGAAATTCCTGCTCTGCTGTTCGCTATGTGACCCCTCTGTGGCTCAATTGCCTTTCTATAAAATACAACACTAATTGAGCCTTCTTATGACATGTTGTAGACATCAAATGAGGCACTCTCATCATGCAGAGTGGTTCCTGGCCTGTCGTGAGCATCAAGGAACTGCCGTTGCATTCCTTGGACCCTCATGATCAGACGTGAAGAGTTAAAATGACCAGTGACAGTGCATGAATGCCCAGAGTCTACTGCACAGAGAATCTGGGTTTACAGACCAGAAAGATAAATGTGTCTAAAGAGCTAGAGGTGTTCTCTAATTCCTTGAAAATCTCAGGGACACAACCCATTTGGTTACCCATTCATCACCTGTCATTCAGGTAAGGCACATCTGTTCTCCAGGTAGCACATGCTCAGCCACCTGGTGCTTGTGAGAACTCCAGGCCACCTATGGTTGTTCCCCAAGCCACCAGTTTCACTTAACTGCTGCCTGGACAGCACAGAGCTCAGAATTGGGGACTCCTGCCAAGCAGCCCCAGGCCCTGCATACCAGAAGACTTGGAAAGCCCAGGCTCAAAAACACTTTACGGTGACTCGTAGGTTTATGTAATATTCACCCAAACTGACATTTATTGTTCATTTGGGGAACTCCATTAATAACTAAAAATAGCAATTAACATTTTATTCAATTAAGAGCCAAAAAGGTTACTTAGAAAAAGCTAAGTTGTTTTCTAAAACATTGAGCTCCATTTGATTGGGGTGAATACCTTTTAGTTGCGTTTTTTGTAACTCTTATTTTATTCTCAGTATGTGATTATCTTAGGACACAATTAACATTAATTAAATAAAATTAAACTCAGCTTTAGATGTAGCAGTCTCTTTTAGGAATCTTGAATAGGGAATTAAAATGTCTCTGACTTTTAAAAATCCCATTGTTTTACTCCCCCGTTAGAGCAGATGACATTGTGTACATTCTGAGCACATCTTCCCTAATAAGCAGGGGCTTTATAGAGTGTAAAGAAATTTGCATAGTTCAGGATACTTAAATGACATGTCCCAGAATCTGTGCTCTTGACAGTTAATCATAGAATATGTCCCCTCTCAAAGACGCCTTCTTCATTTAAATCCTATTCTTTATCATCATATAAAGGATGATCTGGATATGGAAAAGACATTGAAGTCCAATAAAAATAGTGTTTTGGCAACTAATATAGTCCTAGAAATGCATTTCTAAGTTAGAAATATAATATAAGCTATTTTCCTTCTTTAGGGGATGTATTAGTTTCCTGTGGCTGGTGTAACAAATTACCACAAAACTTAATAGCTTAAAACACAGACACATTTATTATCTTATAGTTCTAGAGGTCAGAAGTCTACAATAGATCACACTGAGCTAAAATACAAGTGTCACCAGGGCTGTATTCCCTCTGGAGTCTCCAGCTTCTAGAGGCTGCCCACATTCCCCGGCTTGTGGCCCCCTTCCATCTTCAGAGCCAGCAGTGGCCAGTCAAGTCTTTCTCATACTGTATCACTCTGACACTTACTCATCTGCCTCCTCCCACATTTAAGGATGCTGTGATTACCTTGGGCCCATCCAGGTAATCTTGGATAATCTCCCTATTTTAATGTGAGCTGATAAGAAATCTCAGTGCCACTTACAGCCTTAATTCCCTCTTGCATGAAAGACAACATATTCACAGGTTATGGGATGAGGGTATGGACATCTTTTGGGAGCTAACTATTATTTTTCCTGTCACAGGGGAAAAAATAAGTACAGTTGGCCTTTGAACAACGTGAATTTGAATGTTATGGGTCCGCTTATGTAAGAATTTTTGTCAATATATTGGAAATTTTTTTGAGATTTGTGGCAATCTGAAAAAAATTTGCAGATGAACCTTATAGCCTGGAAATATTTTTTAAAATTAAGAAAAATTAGGTATGTCATGAATGCATGAAATATATATAGGTACTAATCTATTGTATCATTTACTATATATATACAAATCTATTATAAAGAAATAAAATTTATCAACATATGCATGGAAGCACTTACAGACCATACATAGCACCATTCATAGTCAAGAGAAATGTAAACAAACATGAAGATGCAGTGTTAAATCATAACTCCATTAAATTAACTGTAGTACAGATTATACTACTGTAATAATTTCATAGCTGCTTCCTGTTGCTATTCGGCAAGCTCAAGTGTTTTCAGTATCTGCTTAAAATACCATGTGATACTGTCGTCTCCATGTGAGCAGTTCCTCTCTCTGGTAAATTGCATATCACGGTGAAAAGTGGTCTCTTATGGTTCTTGTGTATTTTTCCTTGTGTTTAATGCAATGCTGCAAACCTCGAATAACACCATGGGACCTATACAAAGAGCAACTAATGATGATGGACACGCTGCCAAGAAGCAGAGAAAAGTCATGACCCTACAAGAAAAAGTTGAATTGATTGATATGTACTGTAGATTAAGGTCTGTACCTGTAGTTGCAGGCCATTTCAGACATTCAATTCATCTTGTAAACAGATGATGTAAACTTATGGTATCGATAAAATACCGTACAGTACTGTAAAAGTATTTTCTCTTCCTTATTATTTTCTTAATACCATTTTCTTTTTTTCAGCTTACTTTAGTGTAAGACTATAGTATAGAATACATATAACATACAAAATATGTTAATCAACTATTTATGATATAGGGTAAGGCTTCCAGTCAACAGTAGGCTATTAGTTGTTAAGTTTTTGGGGAGTCAAAACTTAACATGCATGGAGGATCGAAGCCCCTAATCCCTGTGTTATTCAAGGTCAAAGGCCTTTAACCTGTGTCTTGTCTGTTAGACATTCTTAGTCAAATAGTCCAACACCGAGTGAAGAATTTGGATCCCTGCTCTGCCAGTCACTACCTATTGGAGCAAGACACGTCTTCTTTATTGATAAATTTTTATTTATTTCCAATAAGCCTTTTGCATTCCTACTTCATCTTCTCATGTTTACTCAATCTTCTCATTCCTGCAGTGAGGATGACATATAGCTCTCACCTCATCTAAATGGGATAAGTTTAAGCTTTACTGTGATTTGTTTCCAACAATTATGTTATTTATTCTAGGAAGAAGAAATGAAAATGCCTGCAAAGGAGCTCCTAAAACCTGTACCTTACTAGAAAAGTTCCCCGAGACAACAGGATGCAGAAGAGGACAGGTACCAAGAGTGTCGTGCTGGGGAGAATACAATTAATTGTTAGGAATAAGGGCGTGTTGACCTTTACAAAGAAATGGTTGTTTCCTTTGGCCCAATGAATGCCTCTTTTTACATGCCCTTTTTACTGAAACATAATTTTATGTGGTTGACGTCAGAATTGAGGGTGGAAAATGTTCAGTGTTTATAGCTTTGTGGAAAATGTGAGTGCTTATTTTTAGTTCCTTCACAAAGAAATAAGACTTGAATATAAATATTAAATCTTACAAAGGCTCTAATCCAAACTGACAGTAATTTTGTACTGTCACCTTAACTTAGCAGTTCCTCCACACCTTGATAAATGGCTGAATGGAGTGTCATGTTTTCTATGCAGATCAAATATTCCATCATGCACCCCGGGACTCACGTGTGGCCGCACACAGGGCCCACAAACTGCAGGCTCCGAATGCACCTGGGCTTGGTGATTCCCAAGGAAGGCTGCAAGATTCGATGTGCCAACGAGACCAAGTATGGGTCCTCTGTTATCCGTCATATCCGTCACCTCAGAGGATGAGAGTTTGTTACAACACAGTTGTGTTCCTTTGGATTACTTATCTTCTTTTGTAGCTGAAGTAGACTGGAGCAAAGTGATATTAATCCAAACTCTTAAGTCTATATCCCTTCTTGGTGCTTTCTATTAGCCTGGAGACATTGCCCAGCTCTAGGGCTGCCCTCCTCCATTATTTCTCGGCAGAGTACTTATCTAGTTGAGGAGCTGCCTTGTTTCTCTCTCTGGGTAGACAGATGTGCATTCAGAGTCAGCCAACATGCATTGAGCCCTGCAGATGTTATGCATTGTGCTTCCTGCTTTGCAACTTGACTTATTCATGACTACAAGAAGTACCCCTAACTGAAGAACTCACCCCATGATATTTATACGTTTTGATATAGAGGAGATGGTATGGTGCAATGGAAGCTGGCTGCCTTTTTCAAATCCCAGCTCTAACACCTAACCTGTGTAACCTTGGCTAGTTACTTAATCCCTTCAAACATCAGCCTTCTTGCTTATAAAATTGGCAGTGATAACATCTACTTTGCAGGGTTGTTGTATGGATTAACTGGAATAATGCCTATAAGGTGCTCAGTCCATGTTCTGGTATCAGTCGGGACGTGATGAATGTTAGATCTCCTCTCCCTCCCTTGCGTGTTACTTTCCTAATCCTGACATGTTTATTCATGATCTTTTGAACAAACCATACTTGCTCTGGCTTCTGTACCTATGATGCTGATAATCTCTGTCCCTAGAATGCCCGTCTTTTCACCTGTCCAAAATAAACCTATTACTAAGATCCAATTTAGTTTTATAAAAATAGAACCTCTCAGAGTATATATCCTCAGTAATCCCATTCCTATCTTCTATTACTCTTTATTCATTAATATATATTACCCTTATCTCCATAGCAAGCTGTATGTAAGCTCCTGGAGATCAGAAAGCAAGTTATTGTTGTCTTACACATTTCTTATTGTTCTTAGTAGAGGTCTGAGTGGAGGATGAGTGTTCAGGGGTCTGCAGAATTGTCTATTTGATTATTGGCAGATAACTGCCCTGGGCAGCCCATGGTGCTGTGGGAAATTCAGAGATGACTCAGAAGGGGCCGTCCTCTTCTGAGGACACCTAGCAAGGTGTGTCTGCTCAGGAAGATAACACAAGATTGAAGGCCACCGTGGTCATAGAAGAGGTACTACAGATGGCCTCTCTACAGATAAGCTAAAAATACTACAGATGGCTCCATGAGCAGGAGCCTCACCTGCTCACAGACACTCAACTTGCAGAGTGGTGGTTTTTAAAGACAAGAAGGATTCGGACATTGAAAGCTAAAGAGGGGTATTCTGGAACAGTATCCATTAAAGGCACAGAGGCCAAAAATTATGGCCACATATGAAGAATATTGAATAATAATTCAGCAGCCAGCAGTGTATGGTACATAAAGAATAAGGTTGCAAAGTGAAAGAGTCTTTTAGAAACTAAATCATAGGAGGCTTTGAATCCCAAACTAATGGGATCAGACCTTTGTTAGGAAGTTACTGTGGAACCCATGGGTGAATCCTATGGGGACAGTGGGAAGAACAATTAGCAGGCTGTCACAGCAGCCCACCCAAAAGATAAACAGAGCTGGAATTGGGATGCTGGAAAGAAATGGAGACTAGAGAGCAGATGCAAGAGGTGACTCTTGAATGTGTGATACAGGAATGGGGCATCCAAGATGCTGCTGCAATTGCAGTCTTTGGACAGTGGAGGGTGGCGATGCTTGAGCAAACCTTGGGAATTTGGGAGGCATGAGGCAAGTTCAAGGAAAGGAAGATGAATTTAGTGCTTATGTATTTTATTTAGTTGCTATTGGAACACACTTGTAGAACCATCCAGGAGGTGGCTGGAAATAGAGACCTGGCACTCAGGGGAGAAGGTAAGTCTAGAGATAAAGATTTGAGAGTCAGACTTATCAGGAACTTCTAGAGGAAGCTTGAGACAATCGAAGGATGACAGAAATGAAAAGGTTCCATGAAAACATCTGTATTTAGAAGACGGAAGGAGGAAGGAGAACCAAGAAGGAAATGGGGCAAGAAAGGCAAAATCGGGTAGACCAGGAGGAGGAATCAGGGATCACTGGACAGGCAGAAGTTTCTTCAGGCATGGAATGAATCTTGTCTTACACTGGGAACTCGGTTTGGGTCTTCAGGGTCTCTCTGCCAAAGTGAAAAGGAGCAGGGACACATTGGAGGATGCAAGGAATTCAGAGAGGAGGTTGGAGAATGCTGGAGCAGGCAGAGATTGACAAGGTAACTCCTTGGAGATCACATGAGAGCATGAGGCAGTGGAGATGGAGAAGAGCACCCAGCCTCATGCCTCAGTGCTTCTTAGGCTTTTACAGCCTATTTGTTCTTTCACCAGCTCACTTGCTCTCTCCCTCACCTCCTACCTCCTATTTTTTCTCTCTCCCTCCCTCCCTCCCTTCTTTCCTTCCTCCTCCCTCCCTTCTTTCCTTTCTGCCTGCCTGCCTCCCTCTCTCCCTCCCTCCTTCCCTCCCTGTCCACCCGCCTCCTGCCTCCCTGCCTTCCTGCCTTCCTCCTTCTCTTCTATATTCTGCTTGTAGATACTTGGAACAAAATCACTAGAGAAAAATCCACTTAGGACCAGGCAAGGTGGTTCATGCCTATAATCCCAGAACTTTGGGTGCCCAAGGCAGGAGGATTGCTTGAGGCCAGGAGTTCAAGACCAGCCTGAGCAACACAGTAAGACCCTGTCTCCACAAAAACAAGTTTTTTTGTTTTTGTTTTGTTTTGTTTTTGAGACAGAGTCTCGCTCTGTCGCCCAGGCTGGAGTACAATGGGGCGATCTCGGCTCACTGCAAGCTCTGCCTCCCAGGTTCACACTATTTTCCTGCCTCAGCCTCCCAAGTAGCTGGGACTACAGGCACCCGCCACCACACCTGGCTAATTTTCTGTATTTTTAGTAGAGACGGGGTTTCACCGTGTTAGCCAGGATGGTCTCGATCTCCTGACCTTGTGATCTGCCTGGGCCTCCCAAAATTCTGGGATTACAGGCATGAGCCACCACGCTCAGCCACAGAAACAACTTTTAAAAAATTGCCCAGGAGTTCAAGGCTGCAGTGAGCTGTGATTACACCACTGCACTCCAGCCTGGGTGACAGCAAGACCCTGTCTAAAATTAAAAAAAAAAAAAATCTACTTAGGCATAGGCAGGGAGAGGAAGAGAGATGGAACTGAGCCTAGTCTTCAGTAGCCTGATGCAGAAAGAGAAAGCCAAGATTGGAAGAATGGGTGTGGCAGCCAAGAATGGGAGCAGGTGGATGGTGCCAGGAGGCTTAGCACAAAGTCACAGAGGGCTTAAGATGCATGTTGGGCATGGTGGCATGGGCCTCCAGTGGCTGAGGCAGGAGGATCACCAGAGCCCAGAAGTTTGAGGCTGCAGTGAGCCATGACTGCGCCACTGCACTCCAACAAACATAGTGAGACCCCATCTCTTTAAAAAAACAAAAAAACAAATGCAGGAGTGATGCTGGGAGACCTGCCTCAGGAGCACATTTGTAGGTGCATTCCCCACCCCAGGCTCCCAGCAAACACCTTGTGTCCATGCTTGATAAAGAAAACAACCACCAACCCCTCCCCTAAAGCTTAAAACATAATTAGGTTAACCATCTTCACCTAGCAGAGGCAGAGGAGGGTTAGAAGGACCACTCCAGCCTACTCAGAGGGGGGTCTTGAATGAGAATATTAACTTGGCAGCCCCTCAGTTTCTGCTGAGGTAAAACACAACCTACTTTGTGTGACAGGATGGAGCTGCTGATAATAATAATTTGCAGACGATGTATTTTGCAAATCCACAGTGATTATTTAAAAGTGCTTGCAACTCACCTGCCTATTGTTGGGCCAGGGAGACTGCAATGCTTCTGTCCTCTCCTCCCTGAAGAGTTGCTGAGCACAGGGGTCCTTCTGCCTCACCATGACTGCTGGTCAGCAGCCCTTCTCCACGTTCTTTTTATTTTACCAGCTTTATGTTGTGTTACATTCTCATCCTTAATATTTCTTAATTCAAGGGTGGTTGAGTTGGGCTTAGCACTTCATTACAAAATAGTGCTTTTCATAAGAGAAATGGGTCAATTAAAGTGCTGTGCAATGCTTCCAGTGAAAAGAGCTAGAAATCTGATAGTAGACAGTTTATAAACTCTGAGGACAGAAAGAGTCTAGTATGAAATCTGGAAGTTCTGTGCTATGATTGTAGAAGTACTTTTGGCATGGAAAGAAAAACACACATGCCAAGAAATCAGTTTCCTTGTGCTAGCCAAAGGCAGCAATTTTTCAGACTGTCTCAACTTCTAAAAGAGGAGGTTATCTGTAGCAATTTGTACATTGTTCTTTTCAGGTATTAATAATCGGATTAAGATTTCCACCAGTGTGTATACTGTTTAAATATTCCATCCCTGCAAAGCGTAGCATAGCTCTCTGAGGATGAACTGGCAGGTATGCAGCCCTTACCACTGTAAATGAAATTATTATTTCAAATTAATAAATGCCTTCTGATTAGAAAACTGATACACGTCCCTCACACATAATTTGTATAACACAGAGAAGCTCAATAAAAATGTATTGTTTTATCCCAATACCCAGAGCTATTGCCAGGTGCTTCTCAATGTCTATATATGTGTATTGATGATAATGATGATAGTAATAATATACATTGTTCCAAAATTATATCTGTGTCAAACACAGCTCTAAGCACTCTACATACGTTAACTGATTCATGCTTATGGCAATCCTGTATAATTAGGATTATTAAAATTCCTGTTTTACAGTGGAGGAGACTGAAGTATAAAGATAAGTAACTTGCCTGAGGCTGACATTTATATATGTTTCCTAAGGCTGCCACAACAAATTATCACAAACTGAATGACTTACAACAACAGAAATGTATTATTTCGTGGTTCTGGAGGCCAAAGTATAAAATTAGGGTGTTGGCAGGGTTGTTCCTTCTGGAGGCTCTAAGGGAGAATCTGTTCCCCTGTCCTAGCTTCTGGCTGCTGGCAGCCCTTGGTGTTCTTTGGTTTATAGACACGTCACTTCAGTCCCTGCCTCTGTGTTCACATTGCTTTCTCCCTGAGTCTTCTCCTCTTTTCTTTTCTAAGAACATTTATCATTGGATTTAGGGCCTACCCTAATCCAGGTTGATCTCATCTCAAAATCCTTAACTTAATTCAATCTGCAAAGATCTTTTTTCCAAATCAGGTGATAGTCTCAGGTTCCAGATGGATCTATCGTTTTTAGCAGGGAAGGGGGACAGGGCGGCTTATGGGGACATTCAGCCCACTACAATATTAGTAGTGGGTTCAGTCCCAGGCATTCTGGCTTGAAAGTTTGTGTTCTAGACATGATCACATAGCCTTGCTTGGGCTTTTTGGATTTTGTTGTAGTTTATAAAATTAGGATCATGCTGTACTTATAAGGTGATCACTTCAAATGCTGGGTTTTGTTTCCAGACAAGTAGAGAAAGCAGCTGGGAGTTTCCCTTTCTGGGCCTTCTGTTCATGTCACCTCAGGGGGACCATGCTTTGTGGTCTGTAAAATAAGCTCGTTAGAGCCGGGTGTGGTGGCTCACACCTGTAATCCCAGTACTTTGGGAAGCCGAGGCAGGCGGATCACTTGAGGTCAGGAGTTCAAGACCAGCCTGACCAACATGGTGAAACCCAGTCTCTACTAAAAATACAAAAATTAGCCGGGCATGGTGGCTAATGCCTGTAATCCCAGCTACTTGGGAGGCTGAAGCAGGAGAATCACTTGAATAATGGAGGTGGAGGTTGCAGTGAGCTGAGATCACACCATTGAACTCCAGCCTGGGTGACAAGAGTGAAACTTCATCTCAAAAAGAAAGATAAGCTCATTAGCAATTTTGATCCGGAGCTGAGTAAACCTGAGTCAGGGGATAAACATGTCCCCAGCAAGTGGGAATTAATTATTATACTCAGGAGGTGGCTGAGTTTGTGAGCTTTGAATGATCCCAGAGAGAAATTCATTCTTCTGAATCTCCAAGGGCATTCCACAATGTGCTGGAACTGTGCTAAGAGAAGGAACCGTGACCTTGGAGCTCTCCTGCAGATTCAGCATTATTGCCTGCCAATTACTAGCCTGAAATGTTGAACAAGACTGATAGGTTGTCAGGAAAGCACACATCTACATTAGCGTCACTTAGCGACAGACTGAAAAAATGAATTGGCAATCAATCATTTAATCCTATAGAATTCTATATTGCTGTAGAAATAATGGCCTTCCTCCATAGACCTCAAGTATTTTATAACATATATTTTCATTCATTTCTCAAGGTTCCAATTAGGAAGATTGTGTGAAAGTCATGCTAAAATATTAACAGTAAGAGAGACTTAATTTTTTTAATTCATCATGAATTCCTCATAGACAATAATTGTTTAGTTTTCATAAAGTGTCCAAGGAGATAATTTTAAGACTGTCTTAAAATTTTTGAATCACATGTGGAAGCTGCAATTTACCAAATCATTTAGAGCCAAATATTTTCATCCCTCCTTTCTCCTTTTTTTACTATTCTCCCTGAAATCATAAACCTTCTGTTCCACAAGATATTCTCCCATCTTCATCTGCATTGCAGTGTGACCTTATCCACAGGTCATCACTGAAGCCTGCCCATCTAGGACAAAAAGGACAGTTTTTAACCAGATAGGATGTTTTCCTGAAGGTTTGTTGTTGAATAGTAACATTTTTTCCTCTTCTTTCATTTGAGCAACTTGGTGAGTTAAACACATCCATACCATGTCTTGACCCCTGCTCTGTGACCCAATGGTGTGTCTGTGGCTGTTCCTACACATGAGTACATAGAAAGTGCACACATACATTTCTCTACCTCCACAGGGAATGGCATTTCCCATATGGAAAATGGATTATGTTCCAAACATTTGTTTGTTGAACCGATTGGTGAAAAGGTGGGATCCATTTTTCTCTGGCAATAGTAAATGATGTGTGGTGGTTTCTAGGTCAGCTCCCAGAAGCTTTTTAACTAATAATCTTTATTAATAGGGCTCTAGAACCAGTGACTATTTATAGTAATGTTTCTGCAGGAAAAAATGCATCCTGAGCTTTTATTTCAGATTTTAGTGTTATGTATCTTCATAAAAACATATTCAGAACATTGAAGTCTCATGACTTGGGTTCAAATCCTGGCTTTCCCTCTTGTAAAGAGTAACTCTATACAACTTACATAACCTCATTAAGCCTCAATATCCCCATCTGTATATTAGGAAGAGTAAAAGTATGTCTTTGTATGGTTTTGAGTATTAAAGTAATCCATATGAATGCACTCAGAACTGTATTTATAAAGTGTTGTGTGGTAAATGCACTCAGTATATTTGAGCTTTTATTATCCTCCTGTCTGATTGCTGCAGAAATGGAGACTTCTGTCCTTACGTTCCAGGGAGTGAGATCAAGCACTCTCATAACACTGGAGGTGGTGCTTACAGCCTGGAGTGAGTACTTTGACAGCGATGGGGGAAGGGACTTTAAGGAGTTAGGAAGGAGGAGTGAAATAGGAGCTGGTCATGTGGGCCAGGGCAGGTGAAGGAATGGTACAGATAGGGGCGTGATTTGATAGGCCTGGAGCTGGGAGGGACCCTGGAGAAGGGAGGTGTGACAAGAATGCAGCAGAGACCCTCCCCCCCTACTCACATCTCTCCTTTTTCTCTCTGTGCCCCTACCCTGGAACTGGAGAGGTAGGGGAAAGGAGGAAGGCATCCCATCTCTACAGCCCTATTGTCAGAGGCATTTGAACCAGAGCAGCTCCATCTTGAATAGGGGCTGGGTAAAATGAGGCTGAGACCTACTGGGCTGCATTCCCAGATGGTTAAGGCATTCTAAGTCACAGGATGAGATAGGAGGTCAGCCAAAGATACAGGTCATACAGACCTTGCTGATAAAACAGGTTGCAGTAAAGAAGCCGGCTAAAACCCACCAAAACCAAGATGACCATGAGAGTGACCTCTGGTCGTCCTCACTGCTACACTCCCACCAGCGCCTTGACAGTTTACAGATGCCATGGCAATGTCAGGAGATTACCCTATGTGATCTAAAAATGGGAGACATGAATAATCCATTCCTTGTTTAGCAGATAATCAAGAAATAACCATAGAAATGGGCAACCAGCAGCCTATGGAGTAGCCATTGGAGTATCCATTCTTTTATTCCTTTACATTCTTAATAAACTTGCTTTCACTTTACTCCATGGACTCGCCCTGAATTCTTTCTTGTTTGAGATCCAAGAACCCTCTTTTGGGCTCTGGATCAGGGCTCCTTTCCAGTAACACTATGACTTTTTCTTTCCCTTTTCCCCTTCTTTTTCCTCCTCCTTCAGTGCCTTCATCTGAGTTACAAACCCCTTAAATACTGGTGACCTGGAACTAAGAGGAGGAAGGCAGAAGTTGTTTGTGTGTGTTAGAAGGGGAGAGAGAGAAGAAGAAGTGTGACAATGCAGTTTTACGTTTTGCTTACAGTGTGTGCCATCCCAGGGCTTTCAATGGAGTCTGAACTGGGGAATTTCAGTAGATCAGAATGAGTAAGAGCTGTGTCAAATATTCTTATTGACACAGTAAGAGCTGTGTCAAATATCCTTATTCCTGAGCTCTCTGACCCTTTTCTGTTTTCAACTCAGCCTGTTTCATGCCTTGCAGGCCACCTCAGCATGTCATCTACAGACACTAAGAATGTCTCTTGACCATGGTCTTAAGTCAATGTGTTGGGCTGTAATGACTTTCTGCTTCTGCCACAGAATCACAGTGTCACTGCAGACATCTGAACCTGTTTCCATGTGATTCCTTTGCGTGAAAATCACAGTCATGTCCTTTGCCTATCTCAGAACATTTTAGCAAAGATAGCTAAGATATTATCTATAAAATTTGTAGGTAGAAGACTCTATAAGCACCTAGTATCATTACTTAGCCTTATTAATATCAATGGTAATTCTGTGACCAAATTATAGTTATTAAATATGCACTGCCACCATTTTATCATTATCATTATTTATAATTATAATAATTTGAGAAGTTGACAGATTATGGAATACTGTTTTATCTTAGGACGAGATATTCTTATATCTTTTGACAACCCAGAGAGAGACTTTCTTCTCTTAGTGGTAAGAAATTCTAACAGAAGGCCAGGAACAGTGGCTCACACCTGTAATCCCAACTCTTTGAGAGGCCAAAGCAGGAGAATTGTTTGAGCCCAGGAGTTGGAGAGCAGCCTGGGCAACATGGGGAAACCCCATCTCTACAAAAAAATCCAAAAATTAGCTGGATGTGGTGGCACATACCTGTAGTCCTAGGTACTCGGGAGACTGAGGTGGGAGGATCACCTGAGCCTGGGAGGCGGAGGCTGCATTGAGCTGTGATGGTGCCACCACACTCCAGCCTGGGTGACAGAGCAAATCCTGTCTTGAAAAAAATAAAGGGTTAGGTGGGAGGAGAGAAAGAGAGAGAGGAAGGGAAGGAGGAAGTTCCAACAGTGAGCCAAGCTTCCAGGGATGGAGAGCAGTGCCCACCCCCAATGCTGCTTCTCTGGGTCCTTAGACAAGGCTGTAACAGTACTTCCAGGCAGACCTCTGTCACAGGCCGCTCTGAAGATTGTTTCTCCAAAGGGCTGATTGTATGTCGTAATTCGAGTGTAACTTAATCTTATTTGATGGAGCTTTGTTCACAAAGCAAGTGGCCTGAAAACTAGTTCTTTGCATTCTAATGAGAGTCTTTGGTTTTCAGTCAGAAGCGATTTGACATCTTTATGCTCCTCTCCCTTTGTTGTGGAAAAAAAACATCCTTTCCCAAGCATGTGATACATCTCGAATTTAACCTGGAGTCACTTAAGTCTGGACATGGCTTGTAGGATGTTTTATTGTTCTTCATTTTCCCCTTTTAGGTGAATCGTGACTACAGTTTTAGTCATTCTATCTCTAATAACTGATTGAAAGACACCATTTTTTTAAGAATTCAGAAGAAATCTACATTAAAAAATCTACATTATGTTATTGACTATCTTTGCTATTTTCTGGGGAAATGTATGAAAGAAAGTGGAAGGGCAAATAAGTCCGACAGCACTCACTTTCCCCATAGAGTTTTATGACCCTGAAACAGGCCAATTAACAACCCTTTGGTATACCTCCCCAAATTTCTTATTTATACAATTGGTTAATTAATGGTTTACACTGATCTGTATTGTACTTAATGTATCTGGAAAGCTGCAAGCCTGTGGTTCTTAAGTTCTACTTTTATATGCACTGATGTTCCATGAGTGACCAGCGTGTTCCGGTGCTAATAACTTTTCCCAGTTCTCAGGAATTTAATTTAATGAATGGAATGCTTAAGGCCTTTTTCCCAGAAAACAATTCTAGATCTTTGGCTTTGTTATACGTATCATAATCTAGTGAAAAATGTCATTTTGTGTGGGCTAGAATTTTCTATTCAGTTATTTTAATTACTTCTAGTGTTTTAAGTAGTTTCCAGGTTCTCTGCCACCCAAAAAACTTTGAAAATCACTTGTCATTGCTGTACAAACTACATTTCACAGATGCTCTGAAGATGTTTTTATATCTCATCTCCCTTGGAAGTTTTTAGTTGTCTCAAAGGAAGGCAGACAACATCATAAAGAGTGATGCATATGTCATTTTTGATAACATACCACTTCCCAACATTTCACCTCTGTCTTTTATCTTTTCCCTATTTTTCTTTATATTTTCATTTTTCTGTCATTAATTGAATATCTACTATTGCCAATCATATGCTAATCCTCACATCAATTATGCCGATGAAGACACAAAGAATCAATTATGCTAAGTAGCTCACCTTAGGTCCCATAAGTAATAAATGCCAAGGTCAAGAGGATTCCCCTCAAAGACCATAAATTTCCATCTTCCTGTATTGCTTCTTTCTTTCTCCTCTACCACATGCTCTCCTTTGCCTTTCCCTTTTTTCTCTATTTAATTGTAGTAAAATACACATAACAAAATTTACCATATTATCCATTTTTAGGTGTGCAGTTTAGTGACATTAAGTACATCCATATTGTATAACCATCAACATGATCTATCCTCAAAACTCTTTCTAACTTGCAAAACTGAAACTATACCCATTAAATAACTCCCATTCCCGTCCTCCCACCGGCCACTGGCAACCACTCTTCTCCTTTCTCTCTCTGTGAATTTAACTACTAGTCTAGGACCTCAGATGTGTAGAATCAACTAGTAATTATCTTTTTGTGTCTGGCTTATTTTACTTGACATAATGTCCTCTGAGTTCATACATGTTGTAGCATGTGTCAAAATTTCCTTCCTTTTTAAGGCTGAATTAATATTCCATTGTATGTGTATACCACATTTTGTTTGTCTGTTCATTCACTGATAGATACGTGGGTGGCTCTCACCTTCTAGCTGTTGTGAATAGTGCTGCTGTGAACATAGGTGCACTGCCTTTCATTTTGAGTACACTTCCTCCCTCATCTTCTACATAAATTATAGGCTCGTTTGTGGTACCCACTGACATTGCTTAATCCCGGTGACAACACTGAGACCTAGAAAATGCCTGCCTAACTGTGGAAGCTGTGGACTGTTTCACTGATTTTTCTTGTCAGCGTATTTCCCCGCCTTGGTTTTGCCTTTCTTCTCAAGTTAGATTTTGCATGGTAATGAATGCATATTCTGTCATTTTCTCCTAAGTCCATAGATTTCTGTCTTTTGCTACCCTTGATGGAACTCCAATGGAACTCTAAAAACCTTCAGAGGAGTTGTAGAAGAGCCAATCAACATGTGTGTGTTGAATGCAAGAGATGAGGCAAGGTGTATTAGTCCGTTTTCATGCAGCTGATAAAGACATACCTGAGACTGAGAAGAAAAAGAAGTTTAATTGCACTTACAGTTCCACATGGCTGGGGAGGACTCAGAATCATGGTGGGAGGCAAAAGGCACTTCTTTTTTTTTTTTTTTTTTTTTGAGATGGAGTCTTGCTCTGTCACTCAGTCTGGAGCACAGTGGCATGATCTCAGCTCACTGCAACCTCTGCCTCCCAGGTTCAAGCAATTTCCTGCCTCAGCCTCCTGAGTAGCTGGGATTACAGGCATGCGCTACCACGCCTGGCTAATTTTTGTATTTTTAGTGGAGATGGGGGTTTCACCATGTTGGCCAGGCTGGCCTCGAACCCCTGACCTTGTGATCCACTGTCCTCAGCCTCCCAAAGTGCTGAGATTACAGGCGTGAGCCACCGCATCCAGCTGAAAGGCACTTCTTACCTGGTGGCGGCAAGAGAAAATAAGGAAGATGCAAAAGCGGGAACCCCTGATGAAACCATCAGATCTCATGATACTTATTCACTATGATGAGGACAGTATGGGGGAAGCTGCCCCCATGATTCAAATTATCTCTCATCGGGTCCTTCCCACAGCATGTGGGAATTATGGGAGTACAATTCAAGATGAGATTTGGGTGGGGACACATCCAAACCATATCACGAAGTGTATGAGATAGCACACTGGGTGGAGGTGGGAGGGTGGGTAGTAGAAGTAGAGGTTCAGTTCCCAACTTCAGTGAACTTTCAACTTGCAAATACTCAGTACTTTATCTGTTAGTTTACATAACTTGGAAATTTTATTATCAGACTTATTCAGTATGTCAGTTATTTTCCACTGGAATGATTTTTGCTCCTGCTCCCACCCTGGACATTTGGCAATGACTAGAGATGTTTCTGGTTGTCACAACTATGGCAAAAACTACAATTACTTTTGCACCAACCTCATGGTATAGGGAATGCTACTGCCATACAGTGGGTGGAGGTCAGGGGTGCCGCTAAATATCTCATAGTGCATGGAACAGCCCCTACAACAGAGAATGATCCAGCCTAGATGTCAGTAGTACCACGGTTGTGAAGCCCTGCAATATATGTAGTATTGCTCAGTTTATATTAGTTAATCACCTGATATGGAACATAAAAATTCACCACTAGTTTTCGCACAGAAAACCTCTTTATGATAATATAGTAACTTGAAATCAAGCTAGCATTTCCCATGCTATAATAGTCATTATTTGCTAATCCAGGATGTAAAATTTTGAAGGCTTAAGTGGCATTTTAGTATCTAAGGAAAATTTTCTAGCAAAAATTTTATTTTAAAAACATAACTTGGTATTTAATATATTGGCAGTTAATATCTATTTTTAAAATAAGGAACCATCAGTGTCCCTCATAAACTCTCTTTGGATTTGAAAAGCATTGTGTTACTGCCTCCTGTATGTTTCTCTCTTAATAGACTAACACTATATTTAGATCGCAGTCCCTATACAGATATCTTATGAGGTAAAGTTGGAAGCTCTATAGGGTGTTTTGCAGCATTGATTTAAAATATCCCATGGATAACCCACTTGCATAGAAGATGATAC
This sequence comes from Homo sapiens, assembly GCF_000001405.40. Taxonomy (NCBI): domain Eukaryota; kingdom Metazoa; phylum Chordata; class Mammalia; order Primates; family Hominidae; genus Homo; species Homo sapiens. The sequence continues at coordinate 61,504,056 of NC_000008.11, read as the reverse complement.
TAAAAATATAAACAAAATTTATTCCCAATCTGCCCATTTTCTTCAGCTGGAATACTAGCTAGGAAACTCCTAATTTAGTTTTCTGCTTTATGGTACTGTGTTTAAGCAGATTCCTTTCTTCCATAAAATGAAACTTGAACAAGTGGAGTGAGCTGAAAAGACAATTGATTGGAAGTGTCTTGAGAGGCATAGAGATGCCTGAGACCCAGTCACTGCCCATATGTCTAAACCAGAATAATTGCAAGACATGTAATAATATACAGAATAATTGCAAGGCATGTAATGAGACCAATATGTCTTCATCACAAATCCTCTGTTGTTTGTACATCTCCAGCACTGAGCAATGAAAACTGATGTTCATAGCAAGATTTCTGAAATTCTTTCCTAATCATCAAGGGAAGAATAAACTTGGGCTTGATGTTCTAGTTATTTGGTTATGTCCCAAAGGTTGTTACCAAAGGTAGTTCTCGCACATGGACAGGAATCGATCCTCAGACATCTGAACCACACAAAACTATATTCAGGAATCCTTGTCTTTCTGCTGCAGGACCTGGGAGGAAGGCAAGGTGCTCATCTTTGATGACTCCTTTGAGCACGAGGTATGGCAGGATGCCTCATCTTTCCGGCTGATATTCATCGTGGATGTGTGGCATCCGGAACTGACACCACAGCAGAGACGCAGCCTTCCAGCAATTTAGCATGAATTCATGCAAGCTTGGGAAACTCTGGAGAGAGGCTGCCTTTCTGGTTCCATCTCCTTGGGTGTGAGGATAGAATTTCGAACACCAAGAGTCAATTCCCTTGACTTGCAGCCCGAGTAATTCAAAGCCTCCTCCTAGGGTCAGAAGACACTAAAGGGAATATTTGCCTCGCTGCAATTCATTTAGGAAACACCCTGCTGTGTGTCATCTCATGACAGCACTGGTCTTCTGCCAGTATTTAAGGTGAACATTTGATAGCTTCTACCTTACCAGCCAAAGATATTTTTTCCACATAGAATAGGTCTAATTCAATGTATAATGAGAACATATGTAGAAACTGTGAATGGATTGCTTTAGTTTGTAATTTTTCTATGCAGTTATATTTTTCTAGTGTAGCTAGACTATTTTGTCATCATGTACCACTACATTTTTGTTTATTTTAATGACAAGCTGTATAAATGCTTTACTTCTAGCTATTTAATGGTAGCATTACTGGGGAACTCAGACTTCCCTCTTTTAATTCTTCTTAGTAAAAGATACTCATGAAAAAAGCAGTTTTATTTTCCTAACAAAAAAGAAAGAGCTCATTATGTCAGTGTCTATGAACTGTACCCATCCCAACTCTCAAATCGTTTGGTTTTTTTTATCTTGATTGAGATCCTCTTCTCACTATGCTAGTGGTGGAGATATTGACAAAATCCTATTTCTTTCAAAGAGGAACTTTTCACACCGAAAAAAGAGCATGGAATTATTTTATATTGTTATAAAAATCCCAGATGCAAATTTTTTTAATGCCAATTATTAGAGCTTCTGGGGAAAAAGTATAGTTCACGGAAATAAAACTATGTTCTTTCAGGGTTGGGTGGATAGGTGGCTGCTAGGGTGTCTGGCTCCTGGCGGCTTTGCCATCCATGAGGCAAGGGCTGGGAACACAGTGTCTTTGCCTATGGTAGATCCATGTGAATGTCAGGAAGCCAGCTCTTCAGTCTTGGAGATGATTTCTGCTACAATTCTGTAGAAAGATTAAGGATGGCAGAGTAAAAGGTTACCAAGAATGCCAGGATGTTTTTCTTGGGCGTAGGAGGTCCAGATTACTTTCCTTTTTGATGAAAGAGTTTGGAAGACTGTCCCATCTCTCTGGCTTGAGAAATCTCTGCCATTTTAAACATCACTGTGAAATAGCAATTATTATCATCTGTATTTAGTTTTAACATTACCCACAACATAGAAATAATAGGTAAAAATCGTCTTGCCTACTCATTCCAAAGATGATCAAGTCATTAATCTAGCAAAGTATTCATGTATCAGATTTTGTATATTTTGAATCAAAGCTAACTAGGAATGTTAGATATAAGAATGTAATGATATTCATGCACTGAATTCTAAGCCAATATGAACAAAAATGCTGCATGAATGGCACATATAGGTCACCAAAGTTCATTCACAGGTAGAAAAAACTTGTGCTTTCTTTTCCATCTAAAAACAAAAGGAGACTTTCTTTATCTCATTTAAAGAACAGCTCTTTGAAATTGAAATTGACCCTTTTTGCTTGACCTTAAGGAGATTAGCTTCCAGTAGATGAGTTTGCAAAATACTTTTCCTGTTCTTTTGTTTTGCTGGTATTGAAAACATCCCACTAAATCAGATGAAGAGGCATGGGAGGAAAAATATCCAAATTAATTACTAAAATCGAGAAGAGAAGGCAAACTCTTGAAAAGTAAAAAGGTGTTTGTGACCTTCAGTATTTATTGAACAGAGGAAATAACTGACAAGGGCAATACAATTCAATGTTCATGTAGTAACATTCATGTCACTTGTTGAATTTGGTTCTCATATGTATATTGCATACACATAAATTCAAACTATAAGTCGTCATTTTTGAGCCATCATCTTACATTCATGTAATGAAATTATGGAAGAGAGTAAAAACTAGCTCTTAACTTAGTAAATATAATATGGTATTTAAAATCAGGTCACTACAGTAAGGTTCTAAGTATTGCCAATTGAAAAGCTAGAAATGGTATTACTGTTGCAAAGTGTTGTCAATAATTGACTCCAATAGCATTGTAAATACTTGTATCCCACAACTATTTTAAACCCAAGCAATAAAATGGATTTTCTAATTCACTTCAATTCTTTATTTCTCTTACCTATCTATGTCTTGGTACATAAGAAAAGTGTTTCCATCACTGCATTGGTAGAATTATTTCAGTGTTATTATTTTTGTGATTTCGTATGTCTACACAAAAATGAATTAGTTTAATTTATATTGTGATACAGTTGTTTGAGAAATATTTTTAATTCTGTTTCAACTTTATTTCTCCAAGTGTATAATATAAAAATTACTTCTGTTATTGTTCTCTACCAATAGGGGAAAAAATTAAAACATTAGATCCATTGAGAAAGAGATGATGTAATAAATAATTAAGATTAGTAATAATATTATCAGGGGTGATTATGACCAGTTGAATAATCTCTTTCCCTTGAATTATTTAGCTAACAAATTAACTCTCCCAAATATTTAAAATAATGTAAAATCATATTTTACTGCCCATTATTAACTAAAATATTTTTGTTTGACTTTGAGCACCAACTGGTAATACTAATAAATACCCATGTCATGCAGATGGCTGGGCGAATAAGAGATGTCTAAAAATATGCACTGGTCTTGGAAAACATGGCACAAGTAAGGATATCATATATGATGTCTGTTTATTTTATGTCTGATTTCTTTTGAATGAGTAGTTGGGGACTCCATTTCTAAGGAGACTAGGTAAATAAAATGACCTTTGACATTTCATCCTGCATTTCTAGTCTTCTCTTACTTCAGTACTTGCATATTTAGCCATCCATATGGGTCATGCTCCATGATTGAATATTTACCCTCTCAGCAACAACCATGGTCTTTCTCCACATCTTTAATGGTTGCAGGAGGGTTGTGGGGGCAAGGGTAAATGGTTTGATAGCACTTTTCTTTGCTGTAGTGACCCAGTTGAGGCAACTGGAATGGATTCATTAATCACTGACATGTGATTTTCATGAGACATCTCCTCTGCAGACACATGCTGCACTAATGGGCTTTTGAGCTGCCTGTGGTAACTCACATTGCTCAGATGAAATAATCGTATTTCACGTCCATGTGTCTTCCTTTAACGTCAGCTCATGACAGTCAGCTAGTGACCTGACAAGAGATGTGACATCAAAATAATTTTTTGCAGGATATCATCAAAATAAGCAAACTTTGCAAATACCCAGACCTATGAGAACATGCTCTTAGGCTGAACAATTCGATGCTGGTGATGAGGTCAAAGGAAATAATTCAGTAAGAATGGAAATTACTGGAGATACTATTGTCTCAGGGCTTTGTACTACATGAAACTTGACAGTGGTGTCTGTACAGTTTAACTCTGATACATTTACTTGGAAATGCACTTAATTTTCAAAAACTGGAGAGGGTCCCTGTGTGATACCTCAGAAAAATTCTTGTCCTAATGCAGTGTGTCCATCAAATTTAGTCTTTATTTTTTCAATTTACTACAATAAATATGAAAGGAGGGAGAATCTTTTTTACATAAATGCCTTGCATCATCCTCCAGTCCCCTCACTGGGGGAAAAAAAAAGCATCTCTCAAGTCTTTGTCCAACTTTGGCTGCTCAGACCGATGGCTGGTGACAGTCACTGCAGGGGTTCAGGAGTGGAGGACCTTGTGTCAAGCAGAACACACGTGTCTGCATGGGTCAGTTGTGCATGTGCTTCCTGGGTGGCTGATACCACTGAAGGCCAGTGTGCAGGAGCATTGGGGTGACTCAGGGTTCAGTCCAGAGCCAGGAGTGGCTGGGTGTTCTCATTCTCTCCCTTCTCCTCATGTTTCAGGGTCCCAGCTTCTACCACAGACTGAGATCTAACAAGAGGGGAGGGAAAAAGACAGAATTACAAACAATTCATGGTGACAATTTTGGAACCTTTGAAGACATCCGGATTTTATATTTCTCTTTTTAATAGACACTCAAAAATTAACTGGGTGCAGTGGCACATGCCAGTAGTCCCAGCTATTCAGGAGGCTGAGGTGGGAGGATCGCTTGAGTCCAGGAGTTTGAGGCTGCAGTGAGCCATATTGTGCCACTGCACTCCAGCCTGGGTGACAGAGGTAGACCCTGTCTCCAAAATAAAAATAAGAAATAAAGACACTCAAAATAACTACATAATATATTCCCTTTCGTATCTCTGTTTTTCTTACTTCTTTTGCTTGCTAAACCACATTTTTACGGCAAAAAAGCATTTTGGAGTACTGGAATAATCTTTGCAGTGATCTCTTCTCTTGGTAAAAGGGACATATGTATTCTAGCCACACTCTGCCCCAGCATCTAAATATTCTGTGTACCTTCAGATATATAAAGTTTGTTGAATTTTTAATGTTTTAGTGTACCTTTTAAACCTTTTGTCTCTCAGAGTCATTGGAAACTACCATGCATGATGTTAAGACCATGAATCAGATGGTAAAGTTAGACTCTGTCCCTTACTGGCTGGGAAGCTTGGGGGAGTTCTTAAAACTCTCTGGACCTTGATTCTCTCACCTGTATACTAGAAGTATTACCTACTTCCCACAGTTGTTGATAAAGACGACTACAACTAATAATATGCATAGAGCATTTGGCATGGAATTATAGTTAAAACTTATGAAGCACTCTTATGACCAACCACTATTGCAATACTAGTAATGATCATTAGTTTTTGATGTGTCCTTTTATACTGGAGTAATAATGATTTTTTTCTAAGAAGTTTATAATATGAATTAAACCAAATTATTTTCCAGCTTACAGAGAAAAGGTTATAAAAAGAGCTACGCAGTAGATATTTAATAAATGTTCACAACTAAAAACAAATTATCATGAAAATGGTTAAATTGTTCAAATAAGTAAAACTTACATATATGTGCAGTAAATTGTTAACTCGGTAGACCTGGGGTGCCCAAACCCTACACATTACAAGTTTTCAAGACTGGCCTTTGGCTCCTCTGAGCCCTTAGAGTAGTCTACCTGATAAGGAGATCTTTGTATATCTGAGACCTGACTTCATGCCAAGTAGTTTATGCTAACAGTGTGATTTATAGTGCATGCTTGGTTTTGTATGTCTGGGCTTTAGGTCACACTGTATCAGTTTGACCCTTTTAAGGCAGTAAGAGTGTCAGAGGTGCTTGAACCAGAGCAACTCCATCTTAAATAGGGGCTGGGTAAAATAAGGCTAAAGCCTGCTGAGATGCATTCCCAGAAGGTTAAGGCATTCTTAGTCACAGAATGAGATAGGAGGTTAGCAAAAGATACAGATCATAAAGTCCTTGCTGATAAAACACGTTGTAGTAAAAAAGCCAGACAAAACCCACCGAAACCAAGACGGCGATGAGAGTGATTTCCAGCCATCTTCACTGCTACACTCCCACCAGCACCATGACAGTTTACAGATGCCATAGCAACATCAGGAAGTTAACCTATATGGTCTAAAAAGCGGAGGCATGAATAATCTACCCCTTGCTTAGCATATAATCAAGAAATAACCGTAAGAATGGGCAACCAGCAGCCCTCAGAGCTGCTCTTTCTATGGTGTAGACATTCTTTTATTCCTTTACTTTCTTAATAAACTTGCTTTCACTTTACTCTATGGACTTCCCCTGAATTCTTTCTTGCATGAGATCCAAGAACCCCTCTCTTGGGGTCTGAATTGGGACCACTTTCTGGTAACATCTTTCTGATGAACCATGAAGGGACAATACTGAGGAAACCCCTGACCCAAAGACTAACTTTGAGTAAGTAAGTGGTGGGGCCTGGTAACAAGAGGGAATGGTGGAAGGCTGAGGACTGAGCTGTTAAGGTCAGTCACAAAGGTACTGCATGCCCATGAGACTGACACCCCCCCCCCAATAAAAACCTGGACACCAGGGCACAGATGAACCTCCTTGGTTGACAACACTTTGCAGATGTTGTCACACATCATTGCTAAGAGAATTAAGTTCTGTTCATGTGATTTTACTGGAAGGACAACTGGAAACTTACAGCTGGTCCTTCCTGGACTCCTCCTTATGCATGGCTTTCCATTCCTGATTGCAATCTATATCCTTTTCTGTAGTAAACCACAACTGTCAGTCTTAACAACTTTTCTGTGTCCTGTGGGTCTTTCTAGTAAGTTAGGAAGACATTATCAAAATTATCAAATACAGAAAAGGGTGGTCTTGAGGACCCCCTCAACACAACATACTAAAACACTATGTTTGTGCATGGTATTGTTCTAAGAAGTTCTTGACCTATATTAGCTTATTTCATTTTCATAACCCATAGTTGTATATTAACATGTATTTACATTGACATATATTAACATTTCATTTTCACAACCCTTAGTTTTTTCCATCTAAAAAACTAAGGGACTGAGAAGTCATATGATGTATAGAAGGCAACACAAATAGAAAGTGGAGATGTTGACAGGTTTATTACCAACCCACAGTTCCTGGGTATACCAAAGGCCACAGAAGCGTTTAGCTAAAACATCGAGTGTTCCTTCCACCTCACCATAAAAATCACTGTTGTTTTGCCTAAGATTCCTGTCTCCTTTCAAGATATGTATGTACTGTAGAAAGGATAAAATTAAGAAATCAAGAAGCAAATCAGTACAAGTGTCTCAAAAAAATTTATTTCTACTGTAACTATCAATCCATTCAAACAGTCCAACCTTATATACCAAGCTGAACCTTTGAAAGCAAAATGGACTCATGGACTCACTTATTGCTGGGATAGGGCAGAGGAAGGAAGCTCTAGGTTGTAGTTTAGCCCCAGCCCCCTAACACATTTCCAGTGCATTTTTCTCTTTGTTTTAGTTTAAGGCCCAGTGTGCATGTGGGGAAGGGAGAAGTGTAGGTTTGTACGAGGAACAGGAAAGCAGAAAATCCAGAGGCATTAAAACAAACAGCAAGCATGAAGACAACCAAGAGAGCACAACCAGAGACACAGGCCAACCTCCCTCCAGCACCTTGGACAGCTGCCTTCCTGCTTTGACCTACGGACCCTGTGGAAAAGGAAAATACTGATGGCCATCTACTTTTACAGACCTTAAACTCCATTTACCTTCTGTCATATGACTTCACTTTATTTCACAACATGGCATGAGAACCACAGCCACAGAGTTAGAGGGAAACAGTGACTCATCTAGACCAACCTGATAGGAAATCTTCAGTAAGGAGTTGTGCAGCCTCTTCTTGAACATAACTAACTTGAGGAACCTGCTCCTCCATGCCCCTAAACAGTCAACTCAGCTAGAAAATTCTTCCTTACATTGAACTCAGCTCTGCCCTTTCTAAACTTCTATGTACAATTTCTGATTCTTTCTCCTGGAGCCACCAGAGTAGACACAAGTACCTTTTAGCCCTCCCACACCTGCCCAGCCAAGGCTAGCCAGATTCCTCTTGTGCCAAGGTTTCTAAAACTGGCCACCTTAGCACTATCCTGTATCTCTTCATCAACTAGCTGGGTTGCCCATAGACTCCTGGTGTGACCTCAGAATAAAATAATTGCTTCACTTTCTTGATTTTTGGTTTGTTTTTTGCTCTGTTTGCTTCTGTTGAGGCAATTTAGAGTTGCATTAGCCTTTCTGGCACTGATACAACACAACCAAAGGGAAATCTGGCTGTATTTACACATGCTGCCATGCTGCTGTTAACAATTTCTCTCCCATCTCAAAGGTACATGGTTGGGTATTAAATTTCATTTTCTTGAATTTGCCTCATGTTTCCAATCTATCTCCATCCTTTTGGATCTTGAAATTTGTTACCCATCCAAATGATTATCTGGGACTTTTGTGTCTTGGATCTGTTTCAAAACTTCCCCTTTCCCTGTTTTGGGAGCCACTATGAAAAGAAAATCAAATTCTCAAATAATGAGTTTTTTAAAAATCACTTATTCACACACTCACACTAAGAAAGATTTGTGAACATCTGCTGTATGCAACGGACTATGAGCAATGTGCCAAAACCTTTATGCTTTTGTGGAAACACTGCTTCAGTTATCCAGCCATAGACCCACAAACAGACTTAAAATCATTGTGACAGGCACCCCCATTACCCAGTCAGAGGAGAGGCAGTTTTGGGGAGGGAAGGTGTTAGACATGAAAGGAAAGGAATGAAGAAAAAAATTATCTTTCACACATTATTCATAGTTCTTATTCAGGTAGCCAACTTTCACTTCCCCCTCCACATTGAGTCAAATTGGGATCTACATGATTTCTTCTAATAGATGTACTGGCAGCACAGACCCAGAATGCAGGCTCTCTTAACTCTGCCAATAAACTGTGTGCCATGGTTGAATGGTGAGTAGCAATAAGACAACTCTGAGATAGTGAGGCCGAGGAACCAAACATAACTTTTTATTTTCCTGGTTTACATTTTCCCTGAGTGAGAAGATGACCATACAGTCTTTTTACTTTCAGCATGACATAATTCTAGTTACCTGGTCACACAATAAACATTTGATATAAGTAGCACATTATGTTATGAAGTATTTTAAATTCACTGGAAAAAATTAGAAAGTAAATGTTGCTTTTCAAAACCTCTAGAAAAAAAGAAATAAAGCCAAGAGATACAACCTTTTAAATCTTGCCCTCAGTATATTTGGCTGATTCAAAATGCTCTCAGGGAAGACCAATCAACTGCTCACTGAAACATGTCTCCACCACTTCTGAACAGAGTGCTTAGGAATTCTGCACTTAGTACATTAACTATCGAGAAGCCACTTGCTTTGAGGCTTTGTTGTCCAGATCACTCTTGGTGGTAATCTCTTCATTCGGTGGCTTTGTCTTCTCACAAGAAGCTTAACATGTCTGCTAAAACAAACATTTCTCTTGGGTTCTCTTTCCAACACTGAAAGCCAGCTTAACCCCAAGGTCAGGCAGGGGAGTGATTTGAGTTATTTCAGCCATCATTATCTCAGTGGTGTAGTAGGCAACTCTAACAAGGCTTCATTCTAGCCTAGATAGCCACTTTTTGTTTTCCTGCTATTCTCTCTCTCTCCACCCTCCTTTATTCTACCCTCCCTTACTTCACCATCTCCCTTTCTCTCTTTCCCCTTTCTTCCCCAAAATTGGAACTTTCCCCACTTCATTAAGCATCTATGGCTGTGGTTTAATTTTTACTGATTCTAGTTGTGATCAATGCTCATGAAGAACGAGATGAAAATGGAAAATGTTGGCCATGATTCAGTCCATTCTGCACAGACCTACAACTGGACTGAGAGTTCTGCTCTCAGGTCTACTTTTATGTTCAAAAATTTATTTAGCTACCTTATCTCAACAGCTAACACTCACCTTTTCTTCTTCTTACTAATGCCCTGCATTGCCTTCTTGAGCTATGTGGACCCCAACAAAGGGACAGGAATGCTGCTCTCCAACCCCAGGCATTCACCAAGAGTCATAGAGCACCCAGCTACAAGGAACCTCAGGAGTGATTCAGTCAAACCTGCATTTGAATCAGGTTCTACCCATCTGTTTTCCAGGACCAACATCATCATTCCATAAGGAACTATTCCACAGTACCAGCTTTCTTTCTTAAAGTCAACAACAAACTTGGTTTTATGGAATAACACAGAATTGCCTAATAGTGAGCCTATGTAAAGGCTTCTAAACAGGAAGAAATAAGTTTTTATAAAGGTGTCTTCAAATAATTCTAAGTAATTCTGCTCAGATTTTTCCCCCAAATAACTTTAAGTATCAAGGAAATTCCCCAGAGAAGCTCTGGCCTGGGCTTGAAGAATGATGGGTCCATCACTTGCTTTGTGATCTTGGGTGAATTCGGCCTCCTCATGTGTAAAAATGAAGATAGGATAGTGGCCACATCGTGGGTGCTGGGGATGATGAGGATTAGATAAATTAAGGTGTGGAAAGTGTTTAGCTCTGTGTCAGCTGGGTATACACATTTATTCTTTTTAGCTCTTATTATTCTTCTCTATTTGCAGATAAGAAAATTAAGGTCCAGAAATATTGATTGATATTCATTTGCAAATTTAGCCACAAAGCATGAATCAAACTCAAAATTTCCATGGCACCACTAAAAGACTTACAAGAGACAATTGTGTGTACTGACACATTATGTAATGTGATTAATAAATGAAAAACTAACATTTCAAAATGGATGAAGTCTAGTATTTTAAAAAATCAAAATAATTGATAAAATAATTTCACATAAAAGCTAACCTTATTACCTTACTTAATATCTTTAAATTTTTAGAAGTAACACAGAAATTTCCATCTGCTTAATAATTATTTATGTAGCTTCAGTGCAATATAGTTATGGTTGTTTTCAACTGTGTAAAGCTACGACGTTTCTTTCTACTATAATGCATTCGATAGTGACCTTGATAAGGAGTCTTAAGGAATATTTGTAGGACATGTATTCTTCTGTTCAGCTACCAAACTCTTCATAATCAGAATCATCCTAGCAGGCAAAATGATTGTGCTCACTGGGAACAATTAATGTTTACTGAACCCGATAAATAATTTTTTTAAGAGAAGCCTAAGCAGCAAATCTTTTCCCTATCAAAGTAAACAAAATAATAAGTAAACCTCTCTCTGCTTTGACAATAAAATTTTCCACAATTTACTGAACTGGAAATATAAGAAAACCAGTCCAAAAAAATAAATATTCTATTATTTTGAAGCAAACTATTTTTAGAGTGAGCCAAATATTCAATTCCCAGCTCTTGCCTATATGTACTATAACTCATGTATCATGTATTTCTACCAAAATGCAGTGGGCTTGGACATTGACTGCCCATCTTGTAACAAAGAAGAAAGACCCCCCCAAAAAAACATGTGCACCTTCAGAAAGGATGGAAGTGCGTGGCTTTCATGAAGAGCTGCACTGTCCGGTATACAGCCCTGACCACAAGAGGCTACTGAGGACTTGAACTTGGGCAAGGTTGAATGAAGATGGACTGTAAAAGGTAATGTACACACCAAATTTTAATGACTTTTAGTACCAAAAAAATGTAAACTATCTCATTAATATTTATTTAACTCACGCAGTGAAATTATACACTAGGTGGATACATTAGGTTAAAGAAGACATTAAAATTAATTTCACCTGTTTCTCTGTATTTTTGTAACATGTCTATTAGACAACTCAAAATTACATATGTGACTCACGTTTTTCCATTGGATAGCATTGGTCTGGAGCCTCATTTACTCCATTATGCTTGTGGCTGAACCTAGAATAATCTAGTAATCCTTACTTAGAAATCTATAGTCATGTTAAAGAGTTTTGGTGACAACATCAGTGTCTGTCATCACTAGCACTCGCTGTTCTAAACCCTTTCCATGTATTAGCTCATTTAGTTCTCAAACTGACACTCACAAAACCCTCCTCCTGCCCCCATGATAGGAGACCCATGTCCTTAGTATCACTGTTGTTATTTAAATTCTAACTGGAAAGAAACTTTAGGTTAGACTCCATTCACCTGTTATCATTTAGATAAAAGTGAAATTGTACTTGTAATTTTATCTCAAAATAAATAAATAATATGAATAAAACTCGAGGAAGTAACAATCATCTGTGCTTTTTCCATTTGTAAGTGTTCATGCTATTTTGTTTAGCCAAAATATTATTTCTCCTGCTTTTTTGATCAGGCTAACTCCACCTAGTTTTAAGGACACCTGAAGAACAGTTAGCATTCTTAGCTCTTTAATATTAGTTTCCCTCTTCTGTGAGGTTACAGCATCCAGGGAAATTGCTATTGCAACATGTAGTGCAATATAAAGAAAGTTTGAATTTAATCTCTCTTAATAAATTATGCATTTCTTATTTAAAAAGCTTCAGGAAGTAATATAAACTACTTAAAAAATAAGTTCTTTTTGAAGTTGTTATAGCAAAATTAACATTAACTTTATGACTGCAGATGACTGGCTGCTCATGATAAGGGCCCTCTGAGAGGTAGATAAACTAAGAGCACTGGGCTATGGTTTGGGCACCTCTTCTTGTCACTCATGTCACTAACTTGCTGTGCCAGTATGAAGCAGTTCACACAGCTACTCTGATCCCATGTAAAACAATGATCTTGAACAAGATCACATTTTTTAGCCACAAGTTTCTGTGCATACTACTAGACTGGACTACAATCACCAATTGTTCTTGAAAATAATTAGATTTTATTTTTCAAAATTCTACAATTCACACTTTAAGTTAATTTGTTCAAATAGTCTAACTCTTCTCTATCTCAACATTTGCTTTAACTTCCTTCTAGAAAAGCCTAGAAAGTCTCAAAATTACAGAAGTTTGGCCTTTCCTAAAGTTAGGATGTGCCCAATACATTTAGGCTTCATGAGTCAAAATAATTTCTTTCTTTCTTTTTTTTTTCTTTTTTTTTTTGGAGATGGAGTCTGGCTCTGTTGCCCAGGCTGGAGTGCAGTGGTGCGATCTCGGCTCACTGTAACCTCTGCCTTCCAGGTTCAAGCTATTCTCCTGCTTCAGCCTCAAGTAGAGTAGCTGGGATTACAGGCACCCGCCACCACGCTCAGCTAATTTTGTATTTTTAGTAGAGACGGGGTTTCACCATGTTGGCCAGGCTGGTCCTGAACTCCTGACCTCAAGTGATCCACCCACCTCAGCCTCCCAAAGTGCTGGGATTACAGACATGAGCCAAAGCCGATTTACCTACTTTTTTTTTTTTTTTTGAGACGGATCTCGCTCTGTCACCCAGGCTGGAGTGCAGTGGTGTGATCTCGGCTCACTGCAGTCTCCGCCCCTGGATTCTCCTGCCTCAGCTTCCCGAGTAGCTGGGACTACAGGCATGCGCTACCACGCTCAGCTAATTTTTTGTATTTTTAGTAGAGATGGGGTTTCACCGTGTTGGCCAGGATGGTCTCAATCTCTTGACCTGGTGATGCACAGGCCTCAGCCTCCCAAAGTGCTGAGATTACAGGCGTGAGCCACAGAGCCCGGCCCAATTTACCTTTTATAAATGTTTTTCATTTCCATAAATTTCTTTCCTTCTTTTTTTTTTTTTTGAGACGGAGTTTTGCTTTTGTTGCCCAGGATGGAGTGCAGTGGCGCAATCTTGGCTCACTGCAACCTCTGCCTCTCAGGTTCAAAGCATCAAAGCATTCTCCTGCCTCAACCAACCGAGTAGCTGGGACTACAGGAGTGCACCACCACATCCAGGTAATTTTTTATTTTTAGTAGAGATGGGGTTTCACCATGTTGGCCAGGCTAGTCTTGAACTCCCGATCTCAAGTGATCCACCCACCTTGGCCTCCCAAAGTGCTGGGATTACAGGTGTGAGCCACTGTGCCCAGCCTGACTTCCATAAATTTCTAAACGTTAAATTGAGAGCTGCCACGTGCTACTTAATAGCCATTTGCCTGTGTCCTTGTTAAAAACGTTTTAGTTTCTTTAAAGTATTGTATTGCTACAAGTAGTCTGCCCTCAGGTTGCAATTTCCTGCTGCAGAGAGTAGCTCCTACCAAGCTCTTTTAAGTCTGAATTGTAATCACCAAGCATATTCCAGATGTGCACCACAATTCTAAGCAGCACTCAGTAACCCTTGTTTGACATATCGAAATCAGTCTGATACCATTTTGGAAAAGATGATTTCAATATACACTTTATTTGGATGTTTTAAGAAATATCTACAGGAGTGTTTCGTATCTCCACAGCTGTTCTTCATCATCATCATCAACAACCATTTGTTGAACACTTACTACATGCCAGGTTCTGCACTAAGTATTTCGTCGCATTATCTTTATTTAATCTTCACGACAATCTTCATCTGTCATGGTTGTAGTGTAAAAAATAAAAACAAATCAATCAATCAATAAATAAATCTTCACAATAATCTAAGCTGGGTATTGTTAATTCCATTTTGCAAATCAGGAAACTGAGCCTCCAAGAAGGTAATGAATATGTGCAAGATTCCACAGTAAGTTGTGGAACTAGAACGGGAACCCAGATCTGATTCTACAGTCCACATTCTTAAGCACTATCTCTTGTGCTATACTGTACAAAAAATACCTATAACTTGGTAAGAAACCAAAGGGCATAAACATGCATATTCACATTAGTAAATGTTAATATTGAAGTTCTCATAGAACCATTTCTCTCATTGATGTTAATGAATCCAATAGTTTACATTAATCAGCTGTTAATTTATAAAATGTTTGTTTTAGGCGCAGCAAATGAAATAAAAAATAGATCATTATTGAGAAAAAAGTTTTCTAAGAATGTATAGGTTATAGAATCGTACTTTATCCCTAATCACCAGCAGGGTATTATTTAATAATACTTCAAGATCCTGTCTTCTAAATGTACTGCATTCACCCAAATATCTGGCAGCATCTATAAAGAACTGCAATCCATCAACACTGAACATTGATGAGAGTAGAGAAAGGGAGTGGATTAGACTTAACTGAGAACACAGTTCAGCTGCCAGAAGACACACCCATCCTGGAACTTGCAGATGGGGAGGAAGGAATGGGAGAAGGGAGCCAGGGAAGGCCACCGTGGAAACTGGCAGCCGCAGCTGGACACTCTGCTTAATTTACCTACAAAAGGGCTTATTGCTCTTTATGAAACTATGCATTCCTGCCATATTAGCTAACTCATCTCAGTTTTTCATCTGTAAAATGAGGATAAATGATTGCCATATTCTCCACAGGGCCATGAAAGATAAAAGATACAATAAAGTGCTTGGAGCTCTTTGAAGGAGAAATTATTTAAATTAGAAGTGTTTATCATTTTACAACACTTCCTAGAGTATCATATTTCTGAGCATAAACTATTGATACTCTGCCATATCTGATAACAGAGATAGCCATATTTACCCACTTGAAGAAAATCAAGGAAAATACAAAAGACTGAGAAAATAGATATGGAGCAGTGGATTATTTATATTATAAAGTTATTCTTAATTTTACTGAGCAATTCAACAAAAAAATTCCGTTAAACAGAGTCACCCTCATAGCTTGAAGTGTGAGAGCATTCAAGGTCATAACTAGCTTGCGTTGTGCCCAAATCCTTTACAGGAACCCCAGGTATCAGCATGAGATGTATAGAAGCCTTAGAGTTTCAAAATTCTATGCGTATAGGTTTATTGACTTTTGAGGAGTGGAATGCGCTACTACATACGTTTTTGGTGTGGGTTCAGGTGTTCTGAGATGGTCAGAAGGAGTGTTAAATCCATGCATTTCAATCACGTGGATATTTCTGGAAGCTTTTTTACTACTACCAATCATAACAGAAAATGACTACAGGTGCTTACACCACCCGCTTTGAACAGTCATCTTCCATTAGAATTAGACTGGCACAAAGAGCTGCCAGTCAGTTTCACAGCATCCCTAATTATCATACTCCCTCTAAAGCTGGGGTGCACATGCTCAGTGCAGTTACTTTGGTAGAACAAACTGTGGTGTTCTGAAGCAGGTAGAAAAATGCCAGAAGTTGGCAATGGCTGACGAAATGTTGATGACTCATTCCCTCTGCAGGATGAGTTTGAAAAGGATGGCTAGTGTTACCGGTAAAAAGTAGGTTTCATAATTATGTTTTTTTAGTCAAATGACAGTATATTAGTGGATCTTCTTTGGCATTGCCAGATTAGCCTAAATATAAATTTTCTTCTTGTATATCTGTATCCTCCCCACTAGGGATGGGGTTTGGGGAACAGTGCAGTGCACGAAAATTGTGATGGAGGAATTTGCTTTTCAACTGTCTTAAAGACAGGATGGAATTTGGGCTGCCACGAATGAGAACATACATCCAAAATAGTAGTTTAAGCAAAAGTGAATCCCCAAAAAAGATACTCTATAAACCACTGAAGAATGAATGAGTGAATACACAAATAGTGTGAGAACACGATGTAGGAGACAGCATTTTACTTAGAATAAAAATAACTGAATTTAAAATATTTTGCCACCTACTAGCTCTGTGATCTGAGGTAAGTTATTTAACTGCTCTGTGCCTCAGCCACTTCATCTATAAAATGTGGATAATAACCTATCTATTCTTATCTAGTTTAAATATATTTTTTAAATCTATATTTTTTATTTAAATTCTCAAAACTTGAATGGCTCAGTTTTCAAGAACCCCCAGAACAAGTCCAGGGAACATCCATATTGCAGTCTGAAATGTGGGAAACGACTACACTCTAGGGCCTTGCCACTCATACTGTGGTCCCTGGGCCCTCAGCAGGGGCAGAGCCTGGGAGCTGGTTAGAAATGCAGATTCTCAGACCCAGCCCAGATCTACTAAATCAGAATCTGTATTTTAACAAGATCTCGGTGCTTTGTATGCTCATTAAAATTTTCAAAGCTTTGCTCTAGAGCTAGCAACAACTCACACATAGGTAGGAAACACTCCAAGTGAATTGGAATAGTATCTTAATCAAATCAACAAA
Organism: Homo sapiens; assembly: GCF_000001405.40. NCBI lineage: Eukaryota > Metazoa > Chordata > Mammalia > Primates > Hominidae > Homo > Homo sapiens. The sequence goes on along the minus strand of NC_000008.11, from coordinate 61,486,943 downwards.
TATTTCTCAATCCCTTATTAGCACCAGGCATTAGTTTAGGTGCTGGGCCACAGGACTGCACTAATCAGATAAGCCTCAGCATACACAGTTGGTGGGGGCTGATAGAGACAATGAACACATAGGCAAACAGGAAATTTTGGAAAGGGTAAGTGCAAATGAATCAGGGTGGCAGGGAAAGGGGTGATGATACTTTAGTGAGGATGTACCTCCACCAAGAGGAGTCTCCAGCAATGTGATGCACCTGTAGCAGGACCAGTTATTCCTCCTCATTCTTTCACCTGGAGCAAGAATTCAACGCTTCCTTTCTGCTATTGATCCACACTTACCTCCTCAACTCCTCCATTTTCAACACTACACTTCATTATTCAACTGCAAAGATGTATTCTATCCACAGTTTAAGGTACGTGAAGGATTATTGAGATTCAGTTTGAATCATTGTTTTACATTGGTTCAAATTAAAGGTTAATTTCAAAATAACGTAAAAGTCAGATTTTACAGTAATACCTCCAGGTCAGTAGCCTGAACTATGATTTTAGTCAAACACCAAAGACTAACTAGATGAGTTCTTGTAAGAATAGTTCTACTAACATTGTCCCTCTTTGCCCATTAATTCCTTCATTTATTCTTCATTAATAGAATCCGTACTGGACATTTATTTTTGGCCTGACTCTGAGCAAGGCATGAGAAAAAAAACTAAGCAAAAAGCAAACATGCCACCTGTCCCATTGAGTACCTCTTTCAAAGCTGAGCTCCTTGTCTGTGTTCTTGTTCCCATTCCCTCTGACCCCACTGGAGGCATCACTCTCCCATTTATTTTATTTATTTATTTATTTATTTATTTATTTTAATTATACTTTAAGTTGTAGGGTACATGTGCACAACGTGCAGGTTAGTTACATATGTATACATGTGCCATGTTGGTATGCAGCACCCATTAACTCGTCATTTACATTAGGTATAACTCCTAATGCTATCCCTCCCCACTGCCCCCACCCCACGAAAGGCCCCAGTGTGTGATGTTCCCCACCACCCATGTCCAAGTGTTCTCATTGTTTAATTCCCACCTATGAGTGAGAACATGTGGTGTTTGGTTTTCTGTCCTTGCAATAGTTTGCTCAGAATGATGGTTTCTAGCTTCATCCATGTTCCTACAAAGGACATGAACTCATCATTTTTTATGGCTGCATAGTATTCCATGGTGTATATGTGCCACATTTTCTTAATCCAATCTATCATTGGTGGACATTTGGATTGGTTCTAAGTCTTTGCTATTGTGAATAGTGCTGCAATAAACATACGTGTGCATGTGTCTTTATAGCAGTATGATTTATAATCCTTTGGGTATATTCCCAGTAATGGGATGGCTGGGTCAAATGGTATTTCCAGTTCTAGATCATCAAAGAATCGCCACACTGCCTTCCACAATGGTTGAACTAGTTCACAGTCCCACCAACAGTGTAAAAGCATTCCTATTTCTCCACATCCTTTCTAGCACCTGTTGTTTCCTGACTTTTTAATGATCGCCATTCTAACTGGTGTGAGATGGTATCTCATTGTGGTTTTGATTTGCATTTCTCTGATGGCCAGTGATGATGAGCATTTTTTCATGTGTCTGTTGACTGCATAAATGTCTTCTTTTGAGAAGTGTCTGTTCATATCCTTTGTCCACTTTTTGATGGGGTTGTTTGTTTTTTTCTTGTAAATTTGTTTGAGTTCATTGTAGATTCTGGATATTAGCCTTTTGTCAGATGAGTAGGTTGCGAAAATTTTCTCCCATTTTGTGGGTTGCCTGTTCACTCTGATGGTAGTTTCTTTTGCTGTGCAGAAGCTCTTTAGTTTAATTAGATACCATTTGTCAATTTTGGCTTTTGTTGCCATTGCTTTTGGTGTTTTAGTCAAGAAGTCCTTGCCCATGCCTATGTCCTGAATGGTAATGCCTAGGTTTTCTTCTAGGGTTTTTATGGTTTTAGGTCTACCATTTAAGTCTTTAATCCATCTTGAATTAATTTTTGTATAAGGTGTAAGGAAGGGATCCAGTTTCAGCTTTCTACATATGGCTAGCCAGTTTTCCCAGCACCATTTATTAAATAGGGAATCCTTTCCCCATTGCTTGTTTTTGTCAGGTTTGTCAAAGATCAGGTGGTTGTAGATGTGTGGTATTATTTCCAAGGGCTCTGTTCTGTTCCATTGGTCTATATCTCTGTTTTGGTACCAGTACCATGCTGTTTTGGTTACTGTAGCCTTGTAGTATAGTTTGAAGTCAGGTAGCGTGATGCCTCCAGCTTTGTTCTTTTGGGTTAGGATTGTCTTGGCAATGTGGTCTCTTTTTTGGTTCCATATGAACTTTAAAGTAGTTTTTTCCAATTCTGTGAAGAAAGTCATTGGTAGCTTGATGGGGATGGCGTTGAATCTGTAAATTACCTTGGGCAGTATGGCCATTTTCATGATATTGATTCTTCCTACCCATGAGCATGGAATGTTCCTCCATTTGTTTGTATCCTCTTTTATTTCATTGAGCAGTGGTTTGTAGTTCTCCTTGAATAAGTCCTTCACATCCCTTGTAAGTTGGATTCCTAGGTATTTTATTCTCTTTGAAGCAATTGTGAATGGGAGTTCACTCATGATTTGGCTCTCTGTTTGTCTGTTATTGGTGTACAGGAATGCTTGTGATTTTTGCATGTTGATTTTGTATCCTGAGACTTTGCTGAAGTTGCTTATCAACTTAAGGAGATTTAGGGCTGAGATGATGGGGTTTTCTAAATATAAAATCATGTCATGTGCAAACAGGAACAATTTGACTTCCTCTTTTCCTAATTTAATACCCTATATTTCTTTCTCTTGCCTGATTGCTCTGGCCAGAACTTCCAACAGTAGGTTGAATAGGAGTGGTGAGAGAGGGCATCCCTGTCTTGTGCCAGTTTTCAAAGGGAATGCTTCCAGTTCTTGTCCATTCAGTATGATATTGGCTGTGGGTTTTTCATAAATAGCTCATATTTTGAGATACTCCCATCAATACCTAATTTATTGAGAGTTTTCAGCATGAAGGTTGTTGAATTTTGTCGGAGCCTTTTCTGCATCTATTGAGATAATCATGTGGTTTTTGTCTTTGGTTCTGTTTATATGATGGATTACGTTTATTGATTTGCATATGTTGAACCAGCCTTGCATCCCAGGGATGAAGCACACTTGATCATGGTGGATAAGCTCTTTGATGTGCTGCTGCATTCAGTTTGCCAGTATTTTATTGAGGATTTTTGCATCAATGTTCATCAAGGATATTGGTCTAAAATTCTCTTTTTTTGTTGTGTCTCTGCCAGGCTTTGGTATCAGGATGATGTTGGCTTCATAAAATGTGTTAGGGAGAGGAAATATTCCCTCTGTTTCTATTGATTGGAATAGTTTCAGAAGGAGTGGTACCAGCTCCTCTTTGTACCTCTGGTAGAATTCAGCTGTGAATCCGTCTGGTCCTGGACTTTTTTTGGTTGGTAGGCTATTAATTATTGCATCAATTTCAGAACCTATTATTGGTGTATTCAGGGATTCAACTTCTTCCTGGTTTAGCCTCAGGAGGGTGTATGTGTCCAGAAATTTATCCATTTCTTCTAGATTTTCTAGTTTAATTGTGTAGAGGTGTTTATAGTATTCTCTGATGGTAATTTGTATTTCTGTGGGATTGGTGGTGATATCCTTTTTGTCATTTTTTATTGCATCTATTTGATTCTTCTCTCTTTTCTTCTTTATTAGTCTTGCTAGTGGTCTATCAATTTTGTTGATCTTTTCAAAAAACCAGCTCCTGGATTCATTGATTTTTTGAAGGATCTTTTGTGTCTCTATCGCCTTCAGTTCTGCTCTGATCTTAGTTATTTCTTGCCTTCTGCTAGCTTTTGAATGTGTTTGCTCTTGCTTCTCTAGTTCTTTTAATTGTGATGTTAGGATGTCAATTTTAGATCTTTCCTGCTTTCTCTTGTGGGCATTTAGTGCTATAAATTTCCCTCTACACACTGCTTTAAATGTGTCCCAGAGATTCTGGTATGTTGTGTCTTTGTTCTCATTGGTTTCAAAGAACATCTTTATTTCTGCCTTCATTTCGTTATATACCCAGTAGTCATTTAGGAGCAGGTTCCTCAGTTTCCATGTAATTGAGTGGCTTTGAGTGAGTTTCTTAATCCTGAGTTCTAGGTTGATTGCACTGTGGTCTGAGAGACAGTTTGTTATAATTTCTAGATTTGGTCTTTTCACATAGTCCCATACCTCTTGGAGGCTTTGTTCATTTCTTTTTATTCTTTCTTCTCTAAATTTCTCTTCTCACTTCATTTCATTCATTTGATCTTCAATCACTAATACCCTTTCTTCCAGTTGATCAAATCAGCTACTGAAGCTTGTGCATGTGTCGTGTAGTTCTTGTGCCATGGTTTTCAGCTCCATTAGGTCATTTAAGGACTTCTCTACACTGTTTATTCTAGTTAGCCATTCGTCTAATCTTTTTTCAAGGTTTTTAGCTTCTTTGCAATGGGTTCGAACATCCTCCTTTAGCTCGGAGAAGTTTGTTATTATGGATTATCTGAAGCCTTCTTCTCTCAACTCATCAAAGTCATTCTCCATCCAGCTTTGTTCCATTGCTGGTGAGGAGCTGCATTCCTTTGGAGGAGAAGAGGCACTCTGATTTTTAGAATTTTCCTCTTTTCTGCTCTGGTTTCTCCCTATCTTTGTGGTTTTACCTACCTTTGGTCTTTGATGTTGGTGACGTACAGATGGGGTTTTGGTGTGGATGTCCTTTCTGTTTGTTAGTTTTCCTTCTAACAGTCAGGACCCTCAGCTGCAGATCTGTTGGAGTTTGCTGGAGGTCCACTCCAGACCCTGTTTGTCTGGGTATTACCAGTGGAGGCTGCACAATAGCAAATATTGCAGAACAGCAGATGTTGCTGCCTGATCCTTCCTCTGGAAGCTTCGTCTCAGAGGGGCACCTAGCTGTATGAGGTGTCAGTCGGCCCCTACTGGGAGATGTCTCCCAGTTAGACTACTCAGGGGTCAGGGACCCACTTGAGGAGGCAGACTGTCCACTCTCAGATCTCCAACTCCATGCTGGGAGAACCACTCCTCTCTTCAAAGCTGTCAGACAGGGACATTTAAGTCTGCAGAAGTTTCTGCTGCATTTTATTCAGCTATACCCTGCCCCCAGAGGTGGAATCTACAGAGGGAGGCAGGCTTCCTTGAGCTGCGGTGGGCTCCACCCAGTTAGAGCTTCCCAGCCTCTTTGTTTACCTACTCAAGCCTCAGCAATGACAGACGCCCCTCTCCCAGCCTCGCTGCCACCTTGCAGTTTGATCTCAGACTGCTGTGCTAGCAGTGAGTGAGGCTCTGTGGGTGTGGGACCCTCCAAGCCAGGCATGGAATATAATCTCCTGGTGTGCCATTTGCTAAGGCCGTTGGAAAAGCGTAGTATTAGGGTAGGAGTTTCCAGATTTTCCAGGTACGATCTGTCACGTCTTCCCTTTGCTGGGAAAGGGAATCCTCTGACCCCTTGCGCTTCCTGGGTGAGGTGATGCCCCACTCTATTCTGTGGGCTGCACCCACTGTCTGACAAGCCCCAGTGAGATGAACCTAGTACTTCAGTTGGAAATGCAGAAATCACCCATCTTCTGCGTCGCTCACACTGGGAGCTGCAGACTGGAGCTGCTCATATTTAGCCATCTTGGAACCTCCCCCTATTTTATTTTTTATACACCAAATTGCAGAGCTAGGGCTCAGGGAGATGGACAGCTGCACATTTTCCATTAGCTCATATTAGTCAGTAACTGGTAATGTGTCTACCTCCTTACTCAGCCCTCACAGGTCAACAACACCTATGTCCCCTTATGTGTGAAGCCTGTCCTAGTTTCCTTTCCTTTCCTCTAAACCAAGAATGCATAATCAGGCACTTCAGTCTTTCTCTTGGCCATACACTGAGCTCCTTTAATCAAATCCCAGCTCTGGATGACTCCAACAATATTCCTCTTCCATGTCAGCTTCAGAGCAGCTGAGAAGTGCGGATCACACTACCCAAGAATAGAGAGGTCACTGTAAACTCATTATTACCCCTCCTACCAACACTTAAAACAGCATTCCACGTTCAATGTTTCCCCCAAGGCAATTTCAAGCCCATGCACGTCTGTATCATCTTACCTAAAAACCCTTCTGTACCCTAGTCTAATCTCACTCTTAAGACTTGCCCTGAGGGTGGAGCCAAGATGGATGAATAGGAACAGCTCCAGTCTACAGCTCCCAGCAGAAGCGACGCAGAAGATGGGTGATTTCTGCATTACCAACTGAGGTACCGGGTTCATCTCACTGGGGAGTGCCGGACAGTGGGTGCAGGACAGTGGGTGCAGCACACCATGCATGAGCCAAAGCAGGGTGAGGCATCACCTCACCTGGGAAGTGCAAGGGGTCAAGGAATTCCCTTTCCTAGTCAAAGAAAGGGGTGACAGACGGCACCAGGAAAATCAGGTCACTCCCACCCTAATACTGCGCTTTTCCAATGGGCTTAACAAACGGCACACCAAGAGATTATATCCTGCACCTGGCTCGGAGCATCCTACGCCCACGGAGCCTTGCTCATTGCTAGCACAGCAGTCTGAGATCAAACTGCAAGGCGGCAGCGAGGCTGGGGGAGGGGTGCCTGCCATTAACAAGGCTTGAGTAGGTAAACAAAGCAGCCGGGAAGCTCGAACTGGGTGGAGCCCACCACAGCTCAAGGAGGCCTGCCTGCCTCTGTAGGCTCCACCTCTGGGGGCAGGGCACAGACAAACAAAAGGCAGCAATAACCTCTGCAGACTCAAATGTCCCCGTCTGACAGCTTTGAAGAGAGTAGTGGTTCTCCCAGCACACAGCTTGAGATCTGAGAACGGGCAGACTGCCTCCTCAAATGGGTCCCTGACCCCTGAGTAGCCTAACGGGGAGGCACCCTCCAGTAGGGGAGGACTGACACGTCACACGGCCGGGTACTCCTCTGAGACAAAACTTCCAGGGGAATGATCAGGCAGCAGCATTTGCGGTTCACCAATATCCGCTGTTCTGCAGCCACCGCTGCTGATACCCAGGCAAACAGGGTCTGGAGTGGACTTCCAGCAAACTCCAACAGACCTGCAGCTGAGGGTCCTGACTGTTAGAAGGAAAACTAACAAACAGAAAGGACATCCACACCAAAAACCTATCTGTACATCACCGACATCAAAAACCAAAGGTAGATAAAACCACAAAGATGGGGAAAAAACAGAGCAGAAAAACCGGAAACTCTAAAAATCACAGCACCTCTCCTCCTCCAAAGGAATGCAGCTCCTCACCAGCAACGGAACAAAGCTGGATGGAGAATGACTTTGACGAGTTGAGAGAAGAAGGCTTCAGAAGATCAACTACTCCGAGCTAAAGGAGGAAGTTAGAACCAATGGCAAAGAAGTTAAAAACCTTGAAAAAAAAATTAGACGAATGGCTAACTAGAATGACCTATGCAGAGAAGTCCTTAAAGGACCTGATGGAGCTGAAAACCAAGGCACGAGAACTATGTGATGAATGCACAAGCCTCAGTAGCTGATGCGATCAACTGGAAGAAAGGGTATCAGCGATGAAAAATGAAATGAATGAAATGAAGCAAGAAGAGAAGTTTAGAGAAAAAAGAATAAAAAAAGAAATGAACAAAGCCTCCAAGAAGTATGGGACTATGTGAAAAGACCAAATCTACATCTGATTGGTGTACCTGAAAGTGATGGAGAGAATGGAACCAAGTTGGAAAACACTCTTCAGAATATTATCCAGGAGAACTTCTGCAATATAGCGAGGCAGGCCAACGTTCAAATTCAGGAAATAGAGAGAATGCCACAAAGATACTCCACGAGAAGAGCAACTCAAAGACACATAATTGTCAGATTCACCAAAGTTGAAATGAAGGAAAAAATGTTAAGGGCAGCCAGAGAGAAAGGTTGGGTTACCCACAAAGGGAAGCCCATCAGACTAACAGCGGATCTCTTGGCAGAAACTATACAAGCCAGAAGAGAGTGGGGGCCAATATTCAACATTCTTAAAGGAAAGAATTTTCAACCCAGAATTTCAATGACAGGATCAAATTCACACATAACAATATTAACCTTAAATGTAAATGGGCTAAATGCTCCAATTAAAAGACACAGACTGGCAAATTGGATAAAGAGTCAAGACCTATCAGTGTGCTGTATTTAGGAGACCCATCTCACATGCAGAGACAAACATAGGCTCAAAATAAAGGGCTGGAGGAAGATCTACTAAGCAAATGGAAAACAAAAAAAGGCAGGGGTTGCAATCCTAGTCTCTGATAAAACAGACTTTAAACCAACAAAGATCAAAAGAGACATAGAAGGCCATTACATAATGGTAAAGGGATCAATTCAACAAGAAGAACTAACTATCCTAAATATATATGTACCCAATACAGGAGCACCCAGATTCATAAAGCAAGTCCTTAGAGACCTACAAAGAGACTTAGACTCCCACACAATAATAATGGGAGACTTCAACACCCCACTGTCAACATTAGACAGATCATCAAGACAGAAAGTTAACAAGGATATCCAGGAATTGAACTCAGCTCTGAACCAAGTGGACCTAATAGACATCTACAGAACTCTCCACCCCAAATCAACAGAATATACATTCTTCTCAGCACCACACCACACCTATTCCAAAATTGACCACATAGTTGGAAGTACAGCACTCCTCAGCAAATGTAAAAGAACAGAAATTATAACAAACTGTCTCTCAGACCACAGTGCAATCAAACTAGAACTCAGGATTAAGAAACTCACTCAAAACCGCTCAACTACATGGAAACTGAAAAACCTGCTCCTGAATGACTGCAGGGTACATAACGAAATGAAGGCAGAAGTAAAGATGTTCTTTGAAACCAGTGAGAACAAAGACATAACACACCAGAATCTCATTCAAAGCAGTGTGTAGAGGGACACATTCAAAGCAGTGTGTAGAGGGAAATTTATAGCACTAAATGCCCACAAAAGAAAGCAGAAAAGATCTAAAATTGACACCCTAACATCACAATTAAAAGAACTAGAGAAGCAAGAGCTAACACATTCAAAAGCTAGCAGAAGGCAAGAAATAACTAAGATCAGAGCAGAAATGAAGGACATAGAGACACAAAAAACCCTTCAAAAAATCAATGAATCCAGGAGCTGGTTTTTTGAAAAGATCGACAAAATTGATAGACCACTAGCAAGACTAATAAAGAAGAAAAGAGAGAAGAATCAAATAGACACAATAAAAAATGACAAAGGGGATATCACCACTGATCCCACAGAAATACAAACTACCATCAGAGAATACTATAAACACCTCTATGCAAATAAACTAGAAAATCTAGAAGAAATGGATAAATTTCTGGACACATACACCCTCCCAAGACTAAACCAGGAAGAAGTTGAATCTCTGTATAGACCAATAACAGGCTCTGAATTGAGGCAATAATTAATAGCATAGCAACCAAAAGAAGTCCAGGACCAGATGGATTCACAGGTCAATTCTACCAGAGGTACAAGGAGGAGCTGGTACCATTCCTTCTGAAACTATTCCAATCAATAGGAAAAGAAGGAATCCTCCCTAACTCATTTTATGAAGCCAACATCATCCTGATACCAAAGCCTGGCAGAGACACAACAAAAAAAAAGAGAATTTTAGACCAATATCCTTGATGAACATCGTTGCAAAAGTCCTCAATAAAATACTGGAAAACCGAATCCAGCAGCACATCAAAAAGCTTATCCACCATGATCAAGTGTGCTTCATCCGTGGGATGCAAGGCTGGTTCAACATACAAAAATCAATAAACGTAATCCATCATATAAACAGAACCAAAGACAAAAACCACATGATTATCTCAATAGATGCAGAAAAGGCCTTTGATAAAATTCAACAACCTTCATGCTAGAAACTCTCAATAAATTAGGTATTGATGGGATGTATCTCAAAATAATAAGAGCTATCTATGACACACCCACAGCCAATATCATACTCAATGGACAAAAACTGGAAGCATTCCCTTTGAAAACTGGCACAAGACAGGGATGCCGTCTCCCACCACTCCTATTCAACATAGTGTTGGAGGTTCTGGCCAGGGCAATCAGGCAGGAGAAGAAAATAAAGGGTATTCAATTAGGAAAAGAAGAAGTCAAATTGTCCCTGTTTGAAGATGACATGATTGTATATCTAGAAAACCCCATCGTCTCAGCCCAAAATCTCCTTAAGTTGATAAGCAACTTCAGCAAAGTCTCAGGATACAAAGTCAATGTGCAAAAATCACAAGCATTCTTATATACCAATAATAGACAAACAGAGAGCCAAATCATGAGTGAACTCCCATTCACAATTGCTTCAAAGAGAATAAAATACCTAGGAATCCAACTTACAAGGGATGTGAAGGACTTATTCAAGGAGAACTACAAACCACTGCTCAATGAAATAAAAGAGGATACAAACAAATGGAAGAACATTCCATGCTCATGGGTAGGAAGAATCAATATCATGAAAATGGCCATACTGCCCAAGGTAATTTACAGATTCAACGCCATCCCCATCAAGCTACCAATGACTTTCTTCACAGAATTGGAAAAAACTACTTTAAAGTTCATATGGAACCCAAAAAGAGCCCACATTGCCAAGTCAATCCTAAGCCAAAAGAACAAAGTTGGAGGCATCACGCTACCTGACTTCAAACTATGCTACAAGGCTACAGTAACCAAATCAGCATGGTCCTGGTACCAAAACAGAGATATAGATCAATGGAACAGAACAGAGCCCTCAGAAATAATGTCACATATCTACAACTATCTGATCTTTGACAAACCTGAGAAAAACAAGCAATGGGGAAAAGATTCCCTATTTAATAAATGGTGCTGGGAAAACTGGCTAGCCATATGTAGAAAGCTGAAACTGGATCCCTTCCTTACACCTTATACAAAAATTAATTCAAGATGGATTAAAGACTTAAATGGTAGACCTAAAACCATAAAAACCCTAGAAGAAAACCTAGGCAATACTATTCAGGACATACACATGGGCAAGGACTTCTTGACTAAAACACCAAAAGCAATGGCAACAAAAGACAAAATTGACAAATGGTATCTAATTAAACTAAAGAGCTTCTGCACAGCAAAAGAAACTACCATCAGAGTGAACAGGCAACCTACAGAATGGGAGAAAAGTTTTGCAACCTACTCATCTGACAAAGGGCTAATATCCAGAATCTACAATGAACTCAAACAAATTTACAAGAAAAAAACAAACAACCCCATCAAAAAGTGGACAAAGGATATGAACAGACACTTCTCAAAAGAAGACATTTATGCAGCCAAAAAACACATGAAAAAATGCTCATCATCACTGACTGTCAGAGAAATGTAAATCAAAACCACAATGAGATACCATCTCACACCAGTTAGAATGGCGATCATTAAAAAGTCAGGAAACAACAGGTGCTGGAGAGGGTGTGGAGAAATAGGAAGACTTTTACACTGTTGGTGGGACTCTAAACTAGTTCAACCATTGTGGAAGCTGGTGTGGCGATTCCTCAGGGATCTAGAACTAGAAATACCATTTGACCCAGCCATCCCATTACTGGGTATATACCCAAAGTATATAAATCATGCTGCTATAAAGACACATGCACACGCATGTTTATTGCGGCACTATTCACAATAGCAAAGACTTGGAACCAACCCAAATGTCCAGCAATGATAGACTGGATTAAGAAAATGTGGCACATATACACCATGGAATACTATGCAGCCATAAAAAATGATGAGTTCATGTCCTTTGTAGGGACATGGATGAAGCTGGAAACCATCATTCTCAGCAAAGTATCACAAGGACAAAAAACCAAACCCTGCATGTTCTCACTCATAGGTGGGAATTGAACAATGAGAACACATGGACACAGGAAGGGGAACATCACACACTGGGGCCTGTTGTGGGGTGAGGGCAGTGGGGAGGGATAGCATTAGGAGATATACCTAATGCTAAATGACGAGTTAACGGGTGCAGCACACCAACATGGCACATGTATACATATGTAACAAACCTGCACGTTGTGCATATGTACAATAAAACTTAAAGTATATATATAAAAAAAAAGACTTGCCCTGCTTCACTGGGAAAATAGAGTCCTCGGGAACTTCTCAGCTTTGGGGTGCCACATGCACAGGTGCCTGATTACTGTAAAGAGAGCTTCTTGCTCTTAGAAAAGCAACAACTTCCTCCACTCAGGCTCGGGGTCCTAACCAATCTCACCTGCTTGGTGTTATCAATTGTTCCCTCTCCTACACCTTCCAATTCTCCCTCTTTACTGGATCTTTGCTATTAGCATTGAGATATCCTAGTGTTCCCATTTTCAACAAAAGAAGAAGAAGATGAAGAGGAAGACAAAGTCAGAAAATAGAAGAAAATAGAAAAACAACAAAAAAGCCTTCTGGATCTTTACATGCCTCTCCAGATACAAATATCTTCCCCATCTCTCCCTCTGCTCACATCCTACCTACTTCTGAGCCCGCTGCATCTTCATAACCACCCATGTGACTCCACCACAGCTCTTGTGAAGGCTTCCTATGACTTTCAAGTCATTATGTCCAATGGATACCTTTAAATCTTCACCTTACTTGGCTTCTCAGAAGCAGTAAATAGAGTTGATGACTCCACCCTTCCTGAAATCCTTTCTGTTCCTTTGGCTTCTGCAACACCACATCTAGTTTACCTCCTACCATTCTCCATGTTGGAGAATGGTGTCTTGCGCTGTATGACATTCAAATACTGAACTTCCTCTCAGCTCAAACCTAGGCACTCATTCTTCTTTTCTTTCTACAAGCTCTCTCTGAGAGTTCTCCTCCATTCCCATGGCTTGCATTTGCCTCTTTATGCCTTTGAGTTCCTGATTTTTCCCACTCCAGAATTTTCTCCTGAGCTTTAGAACAGGAGAAACATGTTCTAAACAGCCTACATGACTACTCTAACCAGATACCACACAAGCCCTCTCATTAATCATGTCCAACACTGAATTCACAATCATCTCCCCAGTCAGCACTGCTTCCAGAGTTCCTTATCTTGGGAAAAGGGTCTGCTTTCCATTCAGCAGCATTGCATCTTTTACATATGCAAAAGACCTCTGGTCATTCCTGAAGCATCTTACCTTCATCCCAATATCCACTTGATCATCAGATCTTGTTTATTCTATTCACTAAACATTTTTGAGTCATCTTCTTCTCTGTACCTCCACGCTCAGCACTCCAATCCAGGCTACAATGATCTCCTACATGCACCATTACTGTAGTCTCATACAGCCTTCTTTTACTACTCTCTCCACCTCCAATTTGTTCTCCTCACAACAGAGTGAAAATTTTAATAAACTTATCTATTCATTGCACTCATTTGCAAAAACTTTTCTGAAACTGTCCATTGCTTATAGGACAAAGTCCGATATTCATATCTGCCCTATGCAGCTCTGCACGGTGGGCCCCTGTGCATCACCCCCGTCATTTTCCCCCTCGCTTTCTGCTCTCCAATGTTTCTGGTCTTTTTTTTTTTTTTTTTTTTTTTAAATTCCGTGAATTTCAGATGTCATCAATTGTAGGACATGTCTTCATTTCAGGGATTTTTAATGTGATGGAAAATGCATCTTATAATTAATCAGTAAAACACAGTAGTTCCTGACACTGGTCCTTCCAAATGCAGGGTGTTTGCTCTGAATCCCACCCCCATGCCTCCCTTTTTGCTTGGGGTACTTTTCTCATATTCCAGTTTTCAGCTTATATGTGACTTCCTCAGGAAAGTGCTTCCAGAATTCCACCCAAGACTAGGTTAGGATCCTCCTCGTTACACACCTGTATCCTCATGGTACACTTTAACTTTTCAAAGCACTTATGGTGACCATGAAACAGCTGTTTGTATGGGTAATGTGTTTAAAGTCTGTCCCCCTTCATAGACCACAGACTCAGAGACACTGCAGGGGCAGTGTCCGCCAGGTTAACCACTCTGTCTTCAGCAGATAACACCTGCACTGACTTCCTTTAATCCTCACAGCACAATAATAAGGTAGATCTATTATTATCTCCTTTCTAGAGAGGAAAAGTAGGCCACAGAGAGGTAGCTACTCAGGTCACACAGCTATTAATTTGAACGCATAAAATCTGATTACTGATTCTGTTCTCTTAATTGCCCTCTATCCTACTTGTGTATAATGTATACTCAATGATTATTGAATGAATGAATAAAATTTTTAAAAATTATTTTAAATGTTAATTGTTAATGGAAATTCAAAAACTGGGAGAAGTAATGAGACTAAGGAGTTGGTTACTGATAACCTTAGAGACAATTTCAAATTCTAATGAAACATTGATTACAAAGACCATGTCTTATTCCTTTATGGATGGTTGATGATATCTTCCTCATCACTCTACAAAATAGAGTGTTCCTCACAGCATTTACTGTTACACGATTTTTCCTTTCTTCTCTCCTTCTTTTGTTGTTTCCTTCCTCTCTCTTTTTTGTTTCCCTCCTTCTCCTCCCCCCATGTCTTTTTTACCTTCTTTCCTTCCCTCCCCTCTCCAGAAACTATGTCATGAGCACCTATTATATACTAGGGAATAAGTGAGGCACAGTGGCAAATAAAAGAGCATCATCCCCACCCTTGGGAAACATATGATCTTCAGAAAGGAGATATAATACATAGGTAAACCAATAAATACATAATTATAGAATTGTGGTCCCTGTTAAGACAGAAACAGAATTCAGTGATAGAGACTAGCAGATGGGAAGAGAGGGGCATGGGGAGGGGGACAAGCGCCCTTGAGAGGAGTGGAGGTATAAACTGCACCCAATGAATGAGGAGCTGACTTGAGCAAGGGGAGGAGCATGCTGGAGCAGGGCTGTCCTGGAGCAAGTACAAGCCCTGGGATGCAGAAGGAGTGGATGGAAGCCAGTGTGATGGGGGCTGTGTGTGCCCGGGAGGGGCCTGCAGGAGGCCAGGGGAAGGCTTTGGAGGGAGTTAGGCGGAGAAGCATCATTATGACTTCAAAAATTACACTCAAGACCACAGGGATAACAGTTTAGATTTGAGGGCTGGAGCAAAAGGAGCAACACTAATAAAGACCCAACAAAAATGTAATTGTCCTCCAGGCCAGGGGGCAGGCTCAGACTGGGAGGGGACTGGCAAGTGGGGAATGAGGGCTCCTGTAACCACAAAGCCCTCTTGGCTGACCAGGAGGAAGGGAGGTAGGGGTGCTGTGCTGCTAATTCCTCCCTCTTCTTGGCTTTGCTTTCTGTGGCCCGCTCCCAACGTGCTTGGCCATGCTCTGGGTGCAGGGCTCCAAGGGTACAAAAGCCTTGTATTGACCCTATGCAAAAACTAAGGCAAAGAAGAGGGAAAGAGGCAGTATAAGTCTGACTTCTAATCAGGAACTCAAGGCCCCTCCTTTCAAGCCACCATGCATAATCATTACCTGCTTCTCTACTAGGGAGTTAGGATTTTTCATTTTTAGTGAGAAAACTTTTATTTGGAAAGAAATCAAAACCGTGACAAAATGGCAAGCCTTCTACACAACGCTGGGAAGGAAAGAAAGGTAATAGCCATCATGCTGTTTTTCTGTGGTGCTCTGCAGTTGACTTTCTCACTCTGCTGCCTTCTGACCCTAACAGCAAGCCGGGAGCTCTTGCACATGTTACATCCACTCTGTAGTCAAGGAAGCTGAGACTCAGCAAGGTTACATGGCCTGCCCAAGGTATTATAAATAACCAGTATAAGAAAATGACCAGATAGGAAAATGAAGACACATAGAAAGGAAAAGACCAGTGTAATCATGGCCTCAAAGTCACAAGGCTGAAACAAGCCAGCAAGATCAGGATGCTGGGCTGTGTACGTGGAGCCCTGGAGGCCTATCATGAACAGCCACAGTGCACAGTGAGGGCGCTTGTTGGTGCTGATCACCATGACAACAGGAACCCTGAGAGGTGCGTTCTAAGTGGGGCTGTGAAGGAGTTTCCAATGAAATGCTCGAAGCTCCGCAATGCTCATTTATGGGCTTGATATAAAACTCTAATACCACCATTTGAACATCTTAAGCTCAGCTGATATCTACAACAAAGTTTGCCTAAACCTAAAAAGAAATTCAACCATGGTATGCAAGCTGCACAGTGTTTTTAAGAAAATATTGCAGAGAGACTTCTACCATATATTATGTCAAATATTTGTTTTCATTCATATGCTCATTACGGCTCCTAAGACAGATTCATTGCTGGCTAGATGTTAGGCACAAACAGCATCAGCTTAATTGGAATTGGGCAGAATGGTTGTCTACCAACAGCAATATGTCACAAGAAATAAATATTCCTTGTCATTCTTGCCTAGGCTATATCTCCCTTTCCAAATAATTGCATCTGAGCATGGTGCTTCAGCAAACAGGCATGTTTTTCAGAACATAACACAGTGAGTAATCAAACAGTTCATTTTTGAAACTACACCAGGCAGTTTATTCACATCCGTTCATTTCCTTCTAATTCAACTCTATTTCTTTTGTCTGCCAGTAGCTTAGAACTCTTTATCTAATAATTTTTCACATCATTCTTTAAGAGAAAACATGCCCCTGTACCCAACATTTTAACTAGCCCCATTCATTCTCTTATTAACTAAATTCATTATATAGATTTTCTTTCACTCCAATGTTACACAGCTGTACAGGTTGTGCTTGTAAGGAGATGGTCCTTTCATTTATGCCACAGAAAAGAAAGCTGTATGTAAGCAGGACATCTATCTCGGCCAGATGTACAAGTAATGGTGAGGCTATGCAGCTATTTTTCTTCAATCTTTAAGAAATGTTAACAAATTCCTATTGGCATCTGTGGAACACTCCAGTATCCAATAACCAGCATTAAACACTGGGAATTTATGGCTTACCTTAGAAGTATTTGCTTCTAGAAGTGATGATACATCTCAGGCATTAGCTGCTTGAGTAGCAGTGAGACGCCAAAACTAAGAAGTTCAATCACATTTAATTTGGACATCAGACAAAGGCAATTTAGAGGACAGTGGAGACTGCGGATCATTCATTAAGAAATGATGCATTATATAGTGTTGTTGAATGGAACAGCCATATGGAACATCTGTTCCCAAGCCATGAAGTAAAATAGACTCCTTGCCCTGGCTGCTCAGAAGACAACGGTCCTCCTGTTCCCACACTGCCAACCCTTATTCTTTTCATATAGATGGTATTTCATGATGATGTATTACCTCTGCTGGAAATGAGTAGTTATCCAGCAAATGCACAAATTCACCCTATAAAAAGAGGACAACATGCTCAAAGATCACCAAGGTCACAGCTAATTCTATTGACAGCTGAAAACAGTTAAGGTGACTTTTACTACCCAGGCAGGGGCCAAGTGGGGAAACATGGCCTAAAATTTCCTTCTGGCTCAGAAATTTGAATTTAATCCGGGCATTCTCAGCCTGCCACCCACCCCCAAGATCAGATGGCTCACCGTGTCATTATGACATCTCAATTCTTCCATGCGGGATCTAGGAGGGGTATTTACAGAACATAAGGATGAAGGTATTTGGCCATAAGAATCAGAAGTAGGTCTTCTATGGCATATGTCATGCCAATTTAGGAAGTCAGCGCAGAATTAATAACTAAAATGTTATGTTTGTGATCTGCACAGATGGTGTAATATTGTCACTTTTTGCATGGAGGTGCTTTGCTGACACTGGTCTTTTGATTCCATGAAACACAGGAGCCTGTGATCTCAGCCCAGAGAAAATGCTCAGTAAATATTTGTTGAGTGGTCATGGCCAGGATAGGCTGGCCATTGCTCTCTCCTGGGATTCTGCCCACATTAGAAGACCTCTGCATGATTCTTCGAGGTCACTCCACCTCTGCTTTTCCTCAGACTGTTTGGCCTGGGTGGCTGTGCTGCTGTGTCACAGGCAGAGGGCAGCACCTCGTGGGGTGTGGTATCGCTCCATTCAGCTCACTGGCCACAAAAGGGAAGCTAACATGTGCTTTTCTGCCCCTGGTAGTTTCTGGAATTCCGATAAGCGGTGGCTCCACTGTCATCAGACTGTGAGTTTCTCTTTCAGTGCTGAGACATGAATGTTTATTTGGTAAGTCCATGAGCTGAATGAGGCTGAAATAGCACATAGTAACTACCTTTTTTTTTTTTTTTTTTTTTTTAGTACTTTTACTTATATGGCTGGGATATCAGACTGAGCTCAGGTTGAAATGCAGATGATTTTGCACCAGGGAGGGGCCTCCAGGAAACAAAGAGGATAAAAATTGTCAGTCAAGATTCAGCTTAGTTAGGTTCCATGAACTTAAATTGCTCCTAACTTTCCATTTCAATCACTGGAGTAGCATTTTCTATACTCTAGTCTCTGAGAGACAAATGTGCAGTGAGATGCTAACAGCTGTTCTACCCAAAAAGAATCCTAGGACAAGATATGTTTGGCGATGCAGCTTTTTTCCTTGTAGAACTTCTCAGTACCTTAGCTATGATAATGAGAGAAACAACAAACAAACATTTTTTAAAATCTTAGTACCACTGTGAAAAGGACACATCTATGCACCATACACTTATATTTTTTAAACTAAAATATTAGCTATGTAAGGAACATATGCTACGTGCAAGACACTAGGCTTTTGGAAAAGCAAACAGCACAGAAAAATCCCCAAGACTCAAAGTTGGGGGCCTTGAGCTTTCATCCCAGCCATTTCACATAAGCAGTAATGAGCAAAAGGTTTGTTTTACATTGTTGTTAATATTCCATAAAACTTTATAGAAATTTCACATTTACCCTCTCTGAGATTAAAATTTAAATTAAATCTAAAATATGTTTGTGTTTATTAAAATTCAGTATCTTAGGATAATTCTGTGAATTAACACTGATTACACTGAATTTGTGATTATTTAACAAATGCAATGTTTTCGGTAGCCAGCGTCTTTCACTGCACACACATACCCTGTGGGGGACAGAAGAGGTCCTTAGTGGTGGAAAGTCTGACGATCCCTAAATGACATCTAAGGACTTCCTCCAGATCTAAACTTTCAAAAGCCGCTAATAAGAAGAATAATAAAATGTATTCTATATAAACTTTTTGTGGAGAATGTTTACCCTGCAAACAGAGGCTTCTGCAATGTGGTACAGCCAAGATGAACCCATTCAAGCTCAATGAGAGGACAGCCTAAAATCCCCACTTTCTCCCCCTGCTGGCCATGGCAGGAACTACCTGCCATTCCTGTATGGTGGGGATATACAGTTTCGATATGGTCCGTACCTCTTCTTTGGGAAACCACTGCCCCTTCCTATAATAATCCTGTTTCGTCCAGGATTTGTACCCGTGCCTGTCCACCAGAATGAACACACTTCTCATTCCTGGAAATCAAACGCACCCTCTCCCTGGCCATGGTGATGGGTTCAGAGGCAGGACAAAGCCTGGCTTTTCAGAGTCCCCCCTTTTATTTTTGCCAAGAAATACCGGGAAAGATGCTCTTTGTTTCCTTGAGATCATCAGGTCCATTGTTAATAGCCGCTGTCAGGACTGGCTAAGAATAAATGAAACAAATGAAAGGACGCGTCTGAGAACAATTGTGATATCTAACCTGCTGCAAGGGCACCCGCCATCACTTATCCTTCTGCGTGTTGCATCTAATGAGCACTGTCCCCAGAACTCTCTACCTTTGGATCAATCTGCATTTAGATGGATTCAGCTCCAGGGAATGGCTGAAGTTTCTTACCCTCAATCAAAATCACAGGACAAAATTTACATGAGGTTTATCACCAGTAATCTTTTAACAATTATATATATATGTACATGTATATCTGTGTGTATACATACAGATACATATATTTGAAGACCTCTCAAAGTGGCTCATCCTTCACCAGTAGTTACATCATGATAGTGTTTCTGTGTGTGCACACGTGCCTTTTAAATAATATCTATAGGCCAGGTGCGGTGGCTCACACCTATAATCCCAGCACTTTAGGAGGCTGAGGCAGGTGGATCACCTGAGATCAGGAGTTCGAGACCAGCTTGGCCAGCATGGTGAAACCCCATCTCTACTAAAAATACAAAAAATTAGCTGAGTGTGGTGGTGGGCACCTGTAATCCCAGCTACTCGGGAGGCTGAGGCAGCAGAATCACTTGAACCCGGGAGGTGGAGGTTGCAGTGAGCTGAGATCGTGCCACTGCACTCCAGCCTGGGCAACAAGAGCAAAACTCCATCTCAAAAAAATAATAATAAAATAACAATAATATCTATAGCCATTTTAATTACTTTATCAGCAATAAAGGCAAGAACCAGAAAGTAATTGCTTTATATGGCCTAACAATTAAAGGTCACAAACTCTACATGCTGATTAAAAAATAATGCAGAAATTTCCTGGCAGAAATTTCCGGCCTACACCCCTGAATAAGCCTGTGTGTAGCAGGACTGTTGGTTTCCAGCCCTAAGCCACTCTTTCTTCCTTTTTCTCCAACAAAACTCCTTTCATTTAGGCATTATGATCTCCTGTGAGAGTCAGAAATCAGCCCCTGCCTGAGAAGTCTCCAGTTGTGCTGGACACAGTGGAGAGAACCTGGTTCTTGTGGCCATTACTGAGTCCCTAGAATAACACTCCTGCAGTCACCTGTCTTCAAGATGTCTCCTGTGAAATAATGCATTTTCCTCATAGTTTAAAGCAGTTCATTTGGGTTTTCTTCTTTCTTGCAGTGAAAATAATCATAACTAATACAAAGCTTATTTACTATTCTTTGTTGGACAGTTTTAATGTTGGGTTACCTATTCTCCAAGCCTAAAACATATTCAAGGAGTAAATTAGGTAGGAGAAAGTGAGGTGCTTCACACATACACTCCTAAGAACAGAAAACAGCTGATGATGTGGGAGCAAAGAAGTGGACTTCTGAAAAATAAAATAAAATAAGGAATAAGGCCAGGCATGGTGGCTCACGCCTGTAATCCCAGCACTTTGGGAGACTGTGGCAGGTGGATCATGAGAGTCAAGAGATCGAGACCATCCTGGTCAACATGGTGAAACCCTGTCTCTATTAAAAATACAAAAAAATTAGCTGGGCGTGGTGGTGCATACCTGTAGTCCCAGCTACTTGGGAGGCTGAGGCAGGAGGGTCAGTTGAACCCGGGAGGCGGAGATTGCAGTGAGCCGAGATCATACCACTGCTCTCCAGCCTGGCAACAGAACGAGACTCTGTCCCAAACAACAATAACAACAACAAGAAAAAACAGGAATAAAAAGTTAAAAATATAAAACTCAGGGTCATTTAGTACCAGAGCAGAGAATGCCACACACCTCAAAAGCCCACCATGGCATTATTGTATTAAAGAGCAGAACAATATTGAAATAATTCATTTAGAGGAATTTCCAGCTAAACCAATCATTATTTTGTTTTTTCTACATAAGGGTTGAGCTACAATTATCCAAAGAAAAAAAACAAGAGCTCATTAGAACCAGTCATTCACTGAGAGTTCCGGGAGTCTTGGCTTTTACTCTACGTGGATACCAGAAAGCATGGGTCGAGAGTGCTTTGGAACACAGTGGCCATCTGTGCCCAAAAGCCAGATTACGAAAAGTGATTGGGTCCCAAGGTCGGTGCACAAAGCCCACTTGAATCCAAATGGACCTGAAGCATGTAGGGAACTATGGGGGTCGGGTAACGGGGTTATGAAAATAGATGATGTGAACCTACTGGAGATTACAGTGCTGTTCAGAGGGCAGACCTATGTCATCTTACTCAGAATAAGCAAGTGCTTTTTAACAAGGCCACACCACAGGGAACACGCTGCCCAGAAAGGTGCCTGCCTGTCTCTAGACGGTGCAAGCGGAGGCTGGTTGATGTTCTGTGCTGGAGAACAGACCTCTCTGTCAGGTGAGAGACTGGAAGAGATGACCTGTAAGGTCTCTTCCAATTCTGTTCCCAATTTTTGCACATCCATGTGGGTTCTGAGTGGTCAAAAAGACAGTGAATAGTGGCTGCTCTGTTCCTCATCAGTGAGGTGCCTTACAGGAGATATACGCCAACAGCAGGGCTGATCCCTCCTCTCCAGTCTCTGCCCATCCTGCCACTGCCTGAAATCTCCGGACAAGCGTTCAAGGAAGTCATCACAAAGGGCAGCAGCAGTGGGCAGGACATCCTTGTGGCCATGGTGGGGAAAATGAAGTGTGTGCACACTTGCTAGCTTCTCCTGCTAGCTAGTCTTGAATTTTGGCTCCCGTATGTAATGAAATGCAATACTCCTCCAAACCCTGGGTCAGCCAAACCTTCCACATGGAGGCTTCTCTGAGAGTCTTCCTGGACAAAATTAGTGATTCTTCCTCAGAACGCTGTAGCAGCATCTTGCTCCTCCTTTGTAGTGCCTCTCACATTCTACATTATAGTTATTTGGGGCACGTTTTCTCTTTCCTACCTGGATGAAAGATTCTACAAGCAAGAACCATGAGAGCCTTGTTAAAGACAGGGGGTTGGGGGAGGAATTGGCTCTTTCTATCTGAAAGCCAACTAATCAGTTTTGAAGCAATTAGACAAGTGTACCACGGATGGGTTTTGGAGCTAATAATATTCATTCAACATTAATATTAATTCATTCACATATAGGCATACTTTGTTTTACTGTGCTTCACGTCATTGCCCTTTGCAGATATTGTACTTTGTACACCTTGAAGGCTTGTGGTAATGTTGCATTCAGCAAGTCTATTGGCACCATTTTTCCAACAGCATGACTCACTTTGTGTCTCTGTATTACATTTTGGTTATTCTCACAATATTTCAAATTTTTTTTTTTTTTTTTTGAGACAGAGTCTCGCTTTGTTGCCCAGGCTGGAGTGCAGTAGTGCAGTCAGTGGCGTGATCTTGACTCATTGCTACAACCTCCACCCGCCCAGGTTCAAGCAATTCTCCTACCTCAGCCTCCTGAGTAGCTAGGACTATAGGCACCCACCGCAAAACCTGGCTAATTTTTTTTTGTATTTTTTTAGTAGATACGGGGTTTCACCATGTTGCCCAGGATGATCTTGAACTCCCGAGCTCAGACAATTCTCCTGCCTCGGTCTCCCAAAGTGGTAGGATTACAGGCTTGAGCCACTGCACCCGGCCCAAACTTTTTATTATTCTTATATCTGCTATGGTGATCTGTGATAAAAAAATTTGTGATGTTACTATTGTAATTGTTTTGGGGGTACCGTGAAATGTGCTCCTATAAGACAATATACTTAATTGATAAATGGTGTGTGTTTTCTGACTGCTTCACAGATCAAATGTTCTCTCATTTTTCTCCTTCTTCTTGGGCCTCGCTATTCCTTGAGACACAACAGTATTGCAACTAGGTTAATTAATAACCTTACAATGGCTTCTAAGTGTTTAAGTGAAAGGAAGAGTTGCACGTCTCTCATTTTAAACCAAAAGCTAGACATGATTAAGCTTGGGGAGGAAGGCACACTGAAAGCTCAGAAAGTCTGAAAGCTAGGCCTCTTGCATGAAACAGTTAACCAAGTTGTGAATGCAAAGGAGCATTAAAAGTGCTACTTCAGTGAACACACAAATGCTAAGAAAGTGCAACAACCTTATTGCTGATATGGAGAAAGTTTTAGAGGTCTGAATAGATGATCAAACCAGCCGCAACATTTCCTTAAGCCAAAGCCTAATTCAGAGCAAGATCCTAACTCTCTTCAATTTCATGAAGGTTGAGAGAGGTGAGGAAGCTGTAGAAGAAAAATTGGAAGCTAGCAGAGGTTGGTTCATGAGGCTTAAGGAAAGAAACTGTCTCCACAACATAAAAGTGCAAAGTAAAGCAGCAAGTGATGATATAGAAGATGAAGCAAGCTATCCAGAAGATCTAGGAAAGATCATTGATGAAGCTGGCTACACTAAACAACAGATTTCCAATGACAAAACAGCCTTCTATTGGAAGAATAGACTTCTTCCATCTAGGACTTTCATAACTAGAGAGGAGAGTCAAAGCCTGGATTCAAAGCCTCAAAGGACAGGCTGACTTTCTTGTTAGGCGCTAATGCAGCTGGTGACTTTAGGTTGAAGCCAATGCTCATTTACCATTCTAAACATCCTAGGACCTTTAAGAATTATGTTAAATCTACTCTCCCTGTGCACTATAAATAGAACAATGAAGCTTGAATGACAGTATATCTGTTTATAGCACGGTTTACAGAGTATTTTAAGTCTACTGACGAGACTTACTGCTCAGAAAAAAAGATCCCTTTCAAAATATTAGTGCTTATTGACAGTGCTCCTGGTTACCCAAGAGCTCTGGTGGATATGTACAAGGAGGTGAAGGTTGTTTTCATGCCCAGCACAACATCCATTCTGCAGTCCATGACTTTCACATCTTATTACTTAAGAAATACATTTCAGCTCAGGAGGCTGAGGCATGAGAATTGCTTGAACGTGGGAGGCAGAGGTTGCAGTGAGATGAGATCATGCCATTGCACTCCAGCCTGTGTGACAGAGCAAGACTCCAGTCTCAAAAAAACAAAACAAAACAAAACAAACAAACAAACAAAAACATTTCATAAGACTATAGCTACCATAGATAGTGATTTGTCTGATGGATCTGGACAAAGTAAATTGAAAACTTCTTGGAAAGGATTCACCATTCTGGATGCCATTCTAGAACATTCAAGATTCATGGGAGGAGGTCAAAATATCCACATTAACAGGACTTTGGAAGAAGTTGAGCCCAACCGTCATGAATGTTACTCCTCCTTTTCCATAGCCAAACATCTATAGGATAGAGCCAGTTTTCCTCTGATTTGGCATTAGTTCTGGCTCTCATCTTCCCAACTAAGTCTCTGCATCAGCCTTCTAGTGGCTTTTAGTCTCTGATGCACAAACCATTTCCTCGCTAATCCCATGATCCTTATAAAACCCAGATCTTATTATGTCATTTCTCTGCTTAACTATGAATGTTGAGGAAATAAAGATGAAAACAAAATGACATGGCGTTTTCCCATCATAAGATTATCATTAAAATTAAAGTCTGGTCATATCAAGCATTTTTCCAGGGTATGGAGAAGAAGGTTCTCATAGACAGCTGGGAGTATCAATTGGTGTCATTTGGAGGGCTTTTGAACAGTGTGAACTAAAACTTTAAAGGCACATACCCACCAACTACAGGGTTCTGAGTCTACTCAGAGGAACCTTCCTAAGAAAATGAAGGAGGTATACCAAAGACATTTATTGAATCTTGTTTAGAAAAGGAAAACCTCAAAAACCCAAATGCAAAGCAATGAGGAGATGGATAAACTGTGGTATATCCATGTTCTAAAATGGCATGCAGTATTAAACACATGGTCTATGAGGGGTCTTCACAAAGTTCATGGAAAACGCATATTATAAAAAATTATGCATGGAGTTCAAAAAATTTTTGTACCAAAATAAACTTGTGCTAACTTGTTATAGCATGTCTGAACACAATCTAGTTTGAGGCACTAAGAAGATAAGACATCAGAAACATCAGGTTTGACAAGAACCTCTATCAGAGCAACATGAGTTCTGCTAAAATTGAAGCAAGAACAAACATCAAATTTATGGTGAAGGTTGAGTAAAAACATTGTGAAATCACTGATGCTTTACAAAAAGTTAATGGGGACAATACCCCAAAGAAATCAGCAGTTTCCAATTGGATAACTCATTTTAGGAAGGGACAAGACAATGTTGATGGTGAAGCCCTCAGTTGTGGACATCAATTCATGTCAATTTTACATCATTTTGCCAGGAAAAAATTTGTCTTGTTCATGCCCTAATTTATCTTGTTCATGGACCAACCACTAACAGCACAAACAATAGCCAACACCACAGACACCTCAACTGGTTCAGCTTACACAATTCTGACTGAAAAATTAAAGTTGAGCAAACTTTCCACTTGGGTGCCAAAACCATTGTGCTCAAATCAGGAACAGACAAGAGCAGAACTTTCGATGGAAATTTTAAACATGTGGGATCAAGATTCTGAAGCATTTCTTTGAAGAACTGTAATAGGAGATGAAACGGTTTTACCAGTGCAATCCTGAAATCAAAGCACAGGCAAAGCAATGGTTACCAAGAGGTGGCAGTGCTCTAGTCAAAGCAAAAGTGGGCCAGTCAAGAGCAAAGGTCTTGGCAACAGTTCTTTGGGCTGGTCCAAGCATTTTGCTTGCTGACTTTCTGAAGGGCCAAAGAACAACAATATCTGCTTATCATGAGAGTGTTTTGAGAAAGTTAGCCAAAGCTTTAGCTGAAAAATTCCTGGGAAATCTTTCCCAGAGAGTCCTTCTGCACCATGACAATGTTCCTGCTCACTTCTCTCATCAAACATGGGCAATTTTATGAGAGTTTCAATAGGAAATTATTAGGCAACTACCTTTCAGTCCTGATTTGGCTCCTTCTGACTTCTTTTTGTTTTCTAATCTTAGTAATATTTCAAGGGCATCCATTTTTGTTCATCTAATGTAAAAAAGACTACATTGACATGGCTAAGTTCCTAGGACCCTCAGTTATTTAGGGATAAACTAAATGGCTGGTATTGTCACTCACAAAACTGTCTTGAACTTGATGGAACTTAGGCTGAAAAATAAGGTGTTTGTATATATACTTAATATGTATACACACATATATGAACTGATGTCCTTGAGCTATATAAGTTTATATTTTGAATTTTTATCTTTAATCTTATTTTTCCACAAATATTTTCAAGCCTCTTCATATGTCTAAATATACTGACGTGGAAAAACGTTTCATAACAATATGCTATGGGCTGAAGTCTTCCTCATCCCCAAGTTCATATGTTGAAGTACCTCAGAATATGACTATATTTGGATATATGACTTTTAAAGAAGCAATTAAGGTAAAACGAGGTTCTATGGGTGGGTCATAATTCAATACGACTGGTGTCCTTATAAGAAAAGGAGGTTAGGATAGAGGCAGACACACACAGAAGGAAAACCGTGTAAGGACGCATGGAGAAGGCAGCCATGTGCAAGCCAAGGAGAGAGGCCTCAGGAGAAACCAACCTTGCCAACACCTTGATCTTGCCCTTCCAACCTTCAGAACTGTAAGAAAATAAATTTCTGTTGTTTAAACCACCCAGTCTGTAGTAACTTATTACAGCAGCCCTAGAAATTATACAATATTAGATGTTTTTTATGGGTGTGTATAGATGTATGTGATGTATGGAAAACAGAATTACAAGGGCCCACCTCTACAGTGGTTACCATTTGGGAGGAAATGGGATTGAGACTGAGATTGAGAATAGTGGCTGAAGGGGATTTTAGTCTTAAAAAATCAGGTTTCACATCTTATGTTCTCACCGATGGGTGAGCTAAGCTATAAGGATGCAAAGATGTAAGAATACAATGGACTTTGGGGACTTGGGGGGAAGAGTAGGAGGGGGGCGAGGGATAAAAGACAACATATATGGTGCAGTGTATACTGCTCGGATGACGGGTGCACCAGGATCTCACAAATCACCACTAAAGAGCTCACCCATGTAACTGAATACCACCTGTACCCCAATAACTTATGGAAAAATAAAATAAAATTTTAAAAATCAGGTTTTAATTTTTATAATGAGAAAATACTCATTTATCAATCTTTTTAATCCCTCTTTTATGGCACTCCATTGACTACAGTATGCAATGGTCTTCACCACTTGGATCCAACTGTTTTTGGAGCTTTATTTCATGTCCAGTCCCATCTCCCACCCTTGCACGCCTTTTTACCACACTAGATTATTCCATCACTCTAATACCTACATGCCTCAGTCTGTCCACTCTGCTTGGATTGCTATATGCCATTTCCCAAGCCTCGGTTGCTGGTCTCCAGAGCTCAGACTGAATGTCGCCTGCTTTATAAATATGCTGCAAAAGTCTTACTTGGAAGATTCCCTGAGGCATACTTCTCTGTTCTTTTGACATCTTATTCTCATTTGTACCTCTTGTCCCTAATCAGTGCTGCAGCCCAGTAAATTCTCAATAAATGGTTCCAAATAAATGAATGATAGGAACATTTTTTAGCAGGTTGTTTTTCCACCTAGTGTATCTCAAAGGTCCAACATTTTATTCTGTGTGTATTAACAAACACCCTGAAGACCAGGGCTATAATTGTGGCATGAGTGAAGTCCTAGCCTTTAACTATTCCTTTGATACAATGGGGACAACTATAGTGCTGGGCCAGCCAAGCCCCATTTGTTTTCAGTTTTAGTGAAATCAGCTGAGAATGCATTGCAATTTATTTTATTCAAGTTCTCTGCCCATAAAGGTCTTTAATTAATAATTCACAATAGGTCCAAATAAAAAATTCCATTGACCTCTGACTGGGGGGGGGGCTCTGATAACCCAGGCCTTACCTTTTCATCAGCTTGGGTGAGCATTCTCTCTCCAGATTCGAGGACGTATGCTTCACGTGCATTGCATTATAGGATGTGTGAGTATAGTCATTTTCATCGCTGTAGTCGGGACCGAGTAACGTCCGGGCCCAAGTTCCCATGTCATAAGGAGGAAGAGTTCCTCCAAATTCAGAGGGCAAAAATTCAGGGTGTATTAGCTGGTGAAGGCTGTTTAAATTGTTTCCATGCAGGAAAATCTGTAAAGAAAACAAAAAGTAATTAGCAATACAAAATCCAAAACATACGACCAAAGATTTCATCTAATACACAATTTAGCCATGACAAATTGGATGCACTGCTGGTGATCACAGTGTTTAAAGAGGCATTGATTTTGTGACTGTAGCTTAGTCTTCATAAAATGTTAATTTATTGCTTAGAAAAGGGGCTGAATTAATAGTCATTAAAAATGAAGTTTATGAACAGATTGAGCATTACTTGGCTGTGGGCCAAATTTACACATACAGTCATCTCCTAATTATCCCTGCTGGTAAAAGGAGTGATGGTGCAGACCACCTGAAACCCCAGCTATTGCTGGATCTCCAGACTGCTCTGCTCTCCCATCTGTGTGCTCTCACCCAGTCCTCCAGATCCTTCCCCCCTTCCCTGGCCTAGACAAAGTTGCAGCTTCTTCCTAATTCGCCCTGGTGATAACTGCCTATTCTGCTTCTTTCCAACCACCCTCTAATTAATTCTTCAGTATCTGCTGACTGCCGACTTCTGTTTTTGTTTGTTTGTTTGTTTTTCTGATATGTTCATTTACGTCTTGTTTCCCCACGGGGGAAAATATCTAGAGAAAAAGTTGGTGTTTTCTTACTCCTTTAAAATGCTTCTTAGCTCCTAGGGTGATGTGGGCACAAGGTAGAAGAAAATCAATTCTTATTTAATGGAATCAAAAACCACAGCCTGAGAAGTTATCGTGAGATATTTTTGCTGCAATTTTCCATTTTTGTCTGGATTGGGGACATAGTGATAAAAACTGGTCAAGCAGGAGAGAAGGCACACCTCCAAGTTACAATTATTTCCAGACAAATCTACAAAGTGGATGAGACATGAATAGATAATTAGCACTGACTACAATTTAGGAGTTGACTCTGAAAGGTGACTTAAAGTCCATCCATGTACTGATGTCAGTTCCCACACTTCTTCATGTTGCAGGCATAAAGTAATTATGTGTAACACATAAGGTGCACCCAAGTATAGGATCATCAGGTATACACACATGCATGCACATATACATACAGTATAACCATGATGAAATATAAACGTGGGCCACGTGCAGTGGCTTGTGCCTGTAATCCCAGCACTTTGAGAGGCTGAGGAGGGCAGATCACCTGAGGTCAGGAGTTCGAGACCAGCCTGGCCAACATGTTGAAACCCTGTCTCTACTAAAAATACAAAATTAGCTGGGCATGGTGGGGCACGCCTGTAATCCCAGCTACTCAGGAGGCTGGAGAAGGAGAATCACTTGAACCCAGGAGGCGGAGGTTGCAGTGGGCTGAGATCACGCCACTGCACTCCAGCCTGGGCAACAGAACAAGACTCCAACTCGGGAAAAAAAAAATCTATATGTATTTTTTTTTTTTTTTGAGACGGAGTCTTGCTCTGTTGCCCAAGCTGGAGTGCAGTGGTGCAATCTCGGCTCACTGCAAGCTCCCCCTCCCAGGTTCATGCCGTTCTCCTGCCTCAGCCTCCTCAGTAGCTGGGATTACAGGCACCTGCCACCACGCCCAGCTAATTTTTTTGTATTTTTTAGTACA
Organism: Homo sapiens; assembly: GCF_000001405.40. Lineage (NCBI taxonomy): Eukaryota > Metazoa > Chordata > Mammalia > Primates > Hominidae > Homo > Homo sapiens. The sequence continues at coordinate 61,456,746 of NC_000008.11, read as the reverse complement.
GACGGGGTTTCACCGTGATAGCCAGGATGGTCTCGATCTCCTGACCTCGTGATCCGCATGCCTCGGCCTCCCAAAGTGCTGGGATTACAGGCGTGAGCCACCGCGCCCAGCCTATATGTGATTTTTAAAATACTTACATAGAGGACCTCAATAATAAACACTTGCTACCTTGTTCTATTGTATTGATTTTAACTCATGATGTAATGACATCATTTAAAGATGAAGGGGACAAGAAGTGCTAATTCTTCAGAAAACTACTGGAGAACTTCAGAAAGTATATCAAAATATCAAAATTTCTGATATTGCACTTGAGTATGACTGAATTTTAATAAGAATTATTTCTTTTGAAGAAAGTCACTTTTCTGGCTTTTATAAAACTTTTCAGAGGGTTTGTATATGAAACATGCTGGAGCGAAATATCAGCCCTGGTGTTTAGAGAAAACATTTGTACCCCTCCACCCAACATGTCCAGTTTTTGAAAGACAAAGAGTGCCATTAAAGGTGACCTTCCCTTCTGGGGGTCTTGTGGAATGGAGGAATGCAGAAGGAGGAGGCTGGACCCTCTACCTCTTAGAATCTATCCTGTGCCCAAAGCTCCAAAAATGCCCACCTATGGCATGGCAGCAAGTGTCCACCGTGGGAGGAATTCTCTCTCGCTCCAACCTGAATAGAAGAATAAGTTGCTGGAAAGCCTGAAGCCATGTTGAGAACAGTCCTAGAACACTTCTCTGTTCTTAGCACTGTCCTGAGCCCCAGATGGGTTTTAAAACATTTCTGTCTTGTGATCCCAGTGAGTTCTAATTCCTGGTTTCAAACTTGTTTGAGAACAGGGAAATTACCCCTGCTCTACCCCATTGCAATGCTCTCTAAAGGACCTGGAAGCATCTGAGATCTAGGAGTTAGAAACCCTGCAGAGTGTGGGAGGTGGCGGGGAATCCCTCACATTATCAGTCCCTCCTGAATACTCAGAGCTATTCCCTAGTGTCAGGCACCCTGGGTGTCAGGAAAAGGTGTTGTAGGATTACCCTAGCCAGGTTCCCATAAGGAGTGGTGTTCCTGACCCAGGAGGTAGCTGAAAATAGAAAGTCTCAAAGATAAGACTGTAGCATTATTCATAATAGCCAAGATATGGATACAACCTAAGTGTCCATTAACAGATAAATGGATATATACCGAGAGGAATACTATGCAGTCTTAAAGAAGAATGAAATCCTGTCATTTTCAACAATGTGGATGAACCTAAAGAACAATTATATTAACAAAAATAAGCCAGACACAGAAAAACAAATACTGCATGATCACACTTATATGTGGAATCTAAATAAGTTGAAATCATAGAAGTATAGAATAGAAGGGTGGTTGCCAGGAGCTGAGAGTAGGGGGAAATGGAGAGACACTGGAAAAAGAGGACAAAGTTTCAGTTATATAGGATGAGAATAGATTTTGGAGACCTAATGTACAGTATGGATACTGTAATAAGTAATAATATTGTATTGTTTATTTGAAATTGGCTGAGTAGATCTTAAGTGTTCTCACCACACACACACACACACACACACACACACACAAATCATAATTATAGGAGGTGATAGATGTGTTAATAGCTTGATTGTGGTAATCATTTCACAATGCATAGGTATATAAAAACATCACATTGAACACCTTAAATATATCCAATATTTAGTTGTCAATTATACCTTAATAACACTGGGAAAAAAAGAAAAGAGAGCTAAATGGTAAAGATAAATAAAAGTCAACAAGTCTCATGATGTACCAACTGCATCATGATACATGTTTTCATTAGCTGTCTCATTAGATTTCCCCAACAACTCTGTGATGTGGGTGTTAGATTCCGCAATTTATAAATGAGAAAATTGAGATTCAGAGTGGTTAAGGAATGTTCAGTTACTCAGCTCATCAAAATGCCATGAAAAAGCCCAACTCTGATTGATGGAAAAAGCTGGCTTCCCAAGTGTTATCAATTGATATAATTAAGGCTGTAAAAGCCTTCCTCATAAGAGCAGTGTTATTTCCAAAGAAGAATGCTTTTCCAGCTTTACAGGTGATGCAGTTAGCAGTTATCACCCAAAGTTATGGGAGGAAGAAAAATTGTAATCATTCTTCATAGCACTAATACATTTGCAGAACAAAATGCTAGCTACTAAAACATTTTATGAACAGGAAAGCTGCTGGACCCAGTATCTCCCATAAGAATTTACAGTAACATGGGCATCTGGTATTTGCATGCCTTCAAAGTTTCTTTTGGTTTGTCACTGGGACTCCGAAAATAACCCAGTTCTACTGAATTATTAATTAAACCCAGGCCATTTGCAAACTCCAGCTGAGGCTTAAATGCTTAGGGGCTGTAGAAAAACCACAGTGAAAGATAAAGAGAGAAAGAGAGAAAAAGGGGGGAAAGGAGAGAGGAGGGGAGAGAGAAAATAGAAGCACCAAAATTGTACCAGGAATTTACATGATGCATTTGTTTTCATTACCCGTTTCCTGGTCTTGTCTTTAAGAAATGGCTTGATGAGTGTGTAGAGGGCATGAATGTACCAGGGCTGGTTGACAAAGTGGACTCCTCCAAAGCGGGCAGGAAAGCTGTCCTGGGGCAGAAAGAGAGAAATGCACACCGATTAGTAAGCACACCTTGTTAGACTGGACCAGCAGGACCAATGCCCCAAAGAACAACCTGTTTTTCCTGCCTGGTAGAAGCTCTAGCTTCAGGATGAGGAGAGGAAGAAAACACACTCACTTCCTAATTGTTAAGGATGTCTTTATTCCCCTTGTCTCCCTTCTCTCCCTTTGACTCCATGCATAACTTTAAAATTGTGCATGGGTTCCAGGCCTGTCTTTTTCAAATCACAGTTACATGACCTTCTACTTGGCACAGAAGCTCATGCAGCCTGAGGAGTGAGGGGAATCTGAATTCTTCATTGCGTTAGGTAACGAAGGCTTACAGGCTCTCAGCACAAGATCTCTCTCTTTATCCTCATTTCCACTCTCCCGCTCCCACCCTCTCCACCGGCTTAATCATGACAGTAACTGAACTTTCTGGGTGAGTGAGTGCTGGCTGTGTAGGAAGTAGTTGCAAAAGGATTTCAAAGGCTCTTAGGAGATGGAGCTCTGTGGAATCAACCAAATGCTAACAAGGTTATAACAACTTTTTCACACATTGCAGTACTAGCTCCAGTGCACCCTGGGGCACATAGTAGATCCTAGGGAAAAGATACTTGTTGATTAATGGGCTAGCTGATTCCGCTAGTTGAGGGAATATGAGCACCCTTTTCTGCAGATCAACCTATTTCGTAAATAATAGGAAGTAAGAGCATTTAAGAAAAACGATTCCAAATTTAGAATCCAGATCAGGGCATTAGAATCCAGATCAGCTTATGTTTTAGATGCTAGGAAGCTGCTCTCGGTGCTAATTAGATCTACAGAACAGGGGACCATGGCCAGAAAGTCTGAGCTAGTCTTATAAGACCAGGTCCCGAGATCTCCCAATGAATGGCTTCAGCAGATTGGGTTCATCTCAGTTAATAGAATTAAAAAAGAAGGAATCTCTAAACGCTGTATGAATCGTCAAGTTTGCTATCAATTTCATTGCCACAAACATCTTTGTATGTACCCTAAAACTTAAAGTATAATAAAAAAAAAAATGTTAGCAAGATGAGATGAAAGCCGAGGGAGTCTGGCTGGCGGAGGAAATGGTTCAGCAGCGAGCTGCTCCCTGCGGGTATATGAGATGCCTCACCCGGGTCGTTTTTAGTAACAAGGAAAAAAGGTTATTAACTTTTTTTCAGAGCCCTTTGAGTCTACAGGATCCCCAGGCATCTTCCATGCCAAGACCTAGTTTCCAGTGTGAGTACATGAAACTGCACTTAAGGGTTGCCATTTGAAAAACTTTAAAAATAATTTTTTCCTCTACCTAGACATTTTAGAGTAGAAAGGTGCTAAATATTTTGAAGGCTAAACTGGACAATATCAGTAAAAGGCCTTTGCCTTCAGAATATGTATATATGTTTTGTTTTGTTTCTTTTATTTTCAAAAACTTAACAGAACAAGTGTAGGGCTAGAGAGATCATTTACACTAACTTGCTATTCCAAAACTAATTGAAGAAATGTAAAGATTCTTAATAAGGTTATCTTTTTTCCTCCAGGTATAGTTTAGGATCTAAAAGTTTTTTGGTTCCTTAAAAAAAGAGACCATTCCCGAAAGTGTTTCCTTTATAATAAGCGCTATTCACTATCATCACTTCTTTTGGCTCCTTTTAACTTCTTATTTAGAAGTAGAATTCATTATTTCACATACTAAATGTGGTTCTGAGGGGTGACAGAAGAAGAATAAGAAACAAGCATTTATTTATAAAACCAGGGCTTCACTATCTTTTTAATGGGACCAATAAGAGGTTTATTTCTATTGATGGTGTGTTATATAGTTCTAGGTTACTGAAGTGGAACTCTAAATAATACTTGACAGTAGGCAAAGTTGCAAAATATTAACCTTTTAAAATATCTAGACATTCTTAGTTTTAGTTTATGAAGCCTCAATCATCAAAGACATCAAAAACTATCTTCTGATTGTGTCAGGGGAGGTTGAAAGAAAAATTACAGTGCTGAGACTCTGTAATTACTCTCTATATTATCCCTGGTTGATGATTCTGCCAGATTGAAGGCATGGGCTTTCATTGATCTGACTCAAGTCATCCAGTGAATATGTGCAGACAAACACATGTGAACCCTGTGTCTAGAAGTTCTGAGCTTGCACCAGAATAGAAACAGAATCATTTTTATTCAGGTACTTCCTATACAAGTCACATGAAAGGCCTTCTGTCTGATAAAGGCAATGTGCAGATGTTCTGGGTCTTCTTGAATGAGCCCAGCCATGCTACTCTCTGTTCTCTCTCTCTCTCTCTCTCTCTCTCTCTCTCTCTGTGTGTGTGTGTGTTTTGTACAGAGGGGAAGGTGAGGGAAGGGAAAATCAGCAAACACACCCCTCTCATGGTCAACACATCATTATTGGTTGCCTCTTGCCTGATCACATCCGCCAACTGCAGACAAAAGGGAAGTTGTCAGTCACACAAAAGTCTCCCAGAACCCCAAGAGGCCTACCGCCCTCCTGGAAGAGCATTTCTTAAGGGCTAGAGCAGATGTATCTCAAGATCATAGGCCTTGGTTCAATGACAGTGTAACACTTTGTCTTTCAGTGTTCTTGGAGACTAAAGAGCATCATGCACCAACATACTCTAAGTTCAAGAAAATGGCATTAATCCTGTACATTTATACCTTTGTCAATAAAATATAACATCATTTTAAATTTTAAACATATTCAAATCATAAAAATGTGTCTGCCCCCCAGTTTAAGTTAATTTTGTTTCCTTATTATAAACTATACACATTCTACAAAAGTAAAAAATAGATAAAAACATTATTTGAAAAAATACAAAATATGAGAAGATAAGAAAAAAGAAAAGAAAAAGCCCCTATAATCCTACTGCCAAAGACACACTCTTACTATTTTCTATTATTCAGGATGGGTTATGTAATGTTATAGTAACAAATAACCCCTGCTTTTTTTTTAATCATTTTAAACAGTAAAGATTGATTCTTTGTTAACATTAAATGTCTTGCTTGATTTTTGTCTTTCCTGATTAATTTCCTGCTCACACTAAATGTCCTGCCCTGCTTGATTTGCCTGCAGCCAGAGATGCAGCCTCCTCCATCTGGAGCAGTGCTGCTTGACATAGCCCAGGAAAACCACATGGAAGAATCATACCTAAGCTCTTAAAGCTGGCTCCGAAAGTGACATGCTTCATCTGCCGTATTTTAAAGGTCAAACTCATGCCTGGCTTCCAGGGGATCAGAAAGTAAAATCTACCATGTTTCCAGTAAGAAAAGGACCAAAAGTATTGGTGAATAGCAGTAATAATTACCCAAACTCTGCCAAACCTTCACTTCTCTTTTTTTCTGTCCTTTTTAAATGTGATCATTTTTTAATTGAATGTAATAACTATTTTTGATGGCCTACAGTATGTCTCACTTAATGCATTGAAAAATACAAATATAGAGTCTTCAGGGCAGTGGGGACAACTGAAAACAGCAATTATATAATGATATGTTTAGTGTATTCAATTCTTGCCTTAACAATTAGTTCACGTCTTGCACGTCTTCAATTCAGCACATATTTATGAGTATCTACTACATGACGAACAGTTGGCATATTCTTTAAAGTGTACTTTAGTGACCAGGGCCCTCTGTGATTTTTATCCCCTTTCTTGCCTTCTCTAACCAGTTCTACTCACATCCTACACTGCTGAGGTTAGTAGCTTTCATTTTATGGCAATATCATTTTATGGTGATTTCATTTTATGTAAAGTTGCAACCTCTCAAAAAAATGAAGCCTGTAAACCTTAGATAAGCATAAGTTTTTTTTGCTTTTTAAAAAACTTATTATTTGATTCAAAGTTCCATTTAATTCATAGTCTCAAATGCCACAGCAAAGGAAGAGTTGTGGTAAGTTTACCCTCAGTTAGGTGGTGCAGCCCAACTTTACTCAATTTTTAGACTCCATTTAAGGCTGCTTCATTCTCTTCTTCTAATGTTTTATGTTTTCAAATTTAAAACACATCACTCTTCCCATAGAGCCTCTGAGATGAGAGCATAATACCATGATCTAGCAAAAAGGTGTCCTCTTGAGGGGTCTCACAGCCACTCTTCTGCTGCAACAATGGAGTTCTGCATGTACAGTGGTAACTGAAGGTCCCAAGTGTATTTCAAGATTTTCTCATAAAATATGATTATTAATTTCCTCCTTGTGCAAAGATGAAGTAGTCATACATTCCCCTATTTCTTTGGCTAAGTACAACTAAGACCTGGATAGTGTGTATAAAATAAACATATGAAGACTTCAAAGGTGGAGAGAAGAAGACAAATCAGCTAGGGACTCTGAGATCAAGGAAGGACACAATAGAGAGTTTCCCAGAATTCCTTTTATTTAGCTCTATGTATCAAAGTCTTGGGACAGAAGAAGGCAGTACCTGGAAAAACCAACTGGTGCAGACAACAAATAAATCAATAAAAAGCAACTAAAAAAAAGGCTGCTCTTTAATGAAATGACTAGTAACAGGCAGTCTAGCAAAATAGATAATATTTAGATAGTAGCTGCTCTATGCCAGTCAAACATCACAGGAAAAAACTGTGGTCCCTTCCTAACCATGCTAGCAAAGTCTGAGTGGGCAGCCTGATCTTCACCCTAGCAAGGCTGTAACAAGATGCATAACATCCCTGCCAGAGTAATGTTATAGAAGGCCAAGTAGAGAGCCAGAACTTTTATTCTTCCTAGCCAATAATGAGACCCTATTTCACACTGGCAGTGTCAGTGGAGACCATGTGGGTAAACTGGACTTCCTCCCCCACCTGTCAGTAATGAGAATCCCTTCCCTTTCTCCACTGATGGTGTTGGAAGGGGACTAATTGACAGTCAAGACTTTAATCATTGTCCAGTGTTAATGAAACCACTACCACCACAGTGTCAGTGGAGACCATGTGGGGAGCCAGAACTCCCACTCCTGCCCACCAGTAATGAGGAGGCCCTCCCTACTTGGGTGTCAACAGAGGCTGAGTGAGGAACATGGACTTCTACCTCTACTTGGTAATGATGAGGCAGCACACCCCACTTTCACTGCCAGAGTGGTGTCAAAAAAAAAAGCCAGCTAAAACAAAAGGTTTACATTAGATCCAGAGTTTCAGGACATAATACAGAAATGTCCAGATTTTAAAAAATCACTCTTTATACCAAGAATCAGAAAGATCTCAAATTAAATAAAAAATGACAGTCAATAGAGGACAACACCAGATGACAGAGGTGTTAGCATTATCTGACAAAGATTTTAATTTAGCCATCACGAACAATGTTTCAACAGCAATTATGAACATGTATGATGCAGATGAAAAAGTAGTTTTAGAAAGGAAATAGGAATTGATAGCAAATAAATATAAAATAGAAAAAAGAACCATATGGATTTTTTTTTTTTTTGAGAGAGAGGGTCTCACTATGTTGCCCAGGCTGGTCTCAGACTCCCGGCCTCAAGTGATCCTTTTGCCTCAGCCTCCCAAATTCCTGGGATTACAGGCATGAGCCACTGTGCCTGGCTCATCTGGAAATTTCAAACTGAAAAATAACTTAAAAAGTCCAATAAAAAGCTTAGCAGATGGGCTGAACATCAGAAAAGAAGTGACAGAAGAAAGAATCAGTGAACTGAAAGATAGAAAAAAATAGGAATTACTTAACCTGAACTACAGAGAGAAAATAGACTAAATGAATGAAGAAACCTTCCTTTTTGGGGTCTATAACAAAAAAATCTAAAATTTGTGTCATTGGAGTCCTTAAAAGGAAGGAGAGAGATCGAGGCTGGAAAAGTACTTAAGAAAATAATGGCTGAAAACTTCCATAATTTAGAAAGAAACATAAACCTACAGATTCAAGAAGCTGAGTGAATACCAAACAGTATGAACTCAAATAAATTGATGCCAAGACATATCATAATTATATTTTTGAAAGCTCAAGACAGAATATTGAAGGTATACAGAAAAAAAAACAATATATTGACTCTTGAGGAAAACAAATGAAATAACAACAGATTTCTCATTAGACACCATGGAAGCCAGAAGAAGATGTAAAATATTTTTCAGGTACTGAAAAAAAGGAACTGTCAACCCAGAATTCTAGTAAAAATGCTCTTCAAGAATCAAGAGAAATCAAGAAATTCTCAGGTTAAGGAAAACTAAGCAAATTTGTTGCCAGTAGATTTATTCTAAAAGCATAGCTCAGTTCTCCTAAACAGGAAGGAAATTATAAAATAACCTTTCCACAAACAGAAAGGAAATGATAAGAGAATTTTCGAATCATCAGGAAGGAAGAATACAGTAAGAAAACTATAGGTAAGTACTATGGGTTTTTCTTTTCCTCTTGAGTTTTCTAAATTGTCTTTGATAGTTGAAGTAAAAATTATGATACTCTGATGTGGTTCAAAGATGTATGTAGGGGAGGAAATATTTAAGACAATTATATTATAAATTAGTGAGGAAAAAGGGATGGTAAGTTTTCCATACTTCACTTGAACTGGTGAAATGACAACATAAAAGACTATAAGTTATGAATGCATGACATAATACCTAGAACAATCACTAAAAAAACTACATGAAAAGATATATTTAATAATACTATAGATAAATAAAAACAATTTGAAAAGGAAGTACAAGTAACCCAGAAGAAGGCAGGAAAGACAAAATAGAGAAAGGCAGAACAGAAAGAACAAATAGAAAAAAAAATTAGAATGGCATACTTAAGCTCTAACATAACAATAATTAATTTAAATATAAATGATCTAAGTATACCAATTAAAAGAGATTAGCATAGTAAATTAAAAAACATGATCTGCTATATATGCTGTCCATAAGAAACTCACTCCAAATATAAATATATAGGCTGCAACATATGCAAAGCAAAAGCTAGTAGAACTGGAAAAAGAAATAGACAAATCCACAATTATTGTTGGGGACTTGAATATCACTCTCTCAACAACTGATAATCTTTTAGACAGAAAATCAGCAAGGATATAGAAGAACTCAACATCATTAATCAGCAGAAGTCAATTGATATTTATAAGATACTTCACCCCAAAACAGAAGAATATACTTTGTTTTTCAAGTGCACATAGAACATACACAAAGATAAACAATACCTAAGTCATAAAACAAACCTCAACAAATTTAAAACCAGTGAAATAATACAGATTATTCTGTTTATAATGGAATCAAACTAGAAATCAATAATAGATAAGAGGAAAATCTTTGATCACTTGGAAACTACACAACACAGTTCTAAATAACCCATGGATGGGCCAAAAAAAAAAAAAACCTTCAAAAGAAATTTTAAAATACATGGAACTGAATGAAAATGAAAGTAAAGCACTATGGTTTGAATGTTTTTTTCTCCCTTGAAACTCATGTTGAAACTTACTCCTTAATGTGGCAGTACCGAGAGGTGGGGACAGTATTGAGAAGTGATTGGGTCATGAGGGCTCTGTTCTCATGAATGAATAAAACCATTTGTAGACCAATGGATTAATGAGTTATCAAGGGAGTAGGACCGGTGGCTTTCTAAGAAGAGGAAGAGAGATTTGAACTACCATGCTCAGCCCACTCAACATGAACTGCCCTATGCCACTCTGGGATGTTACATAGTCCCCACCAGCAAGAAGGCCCTCAACAGATACAACCTCTCAACTTTGGACTTCTCAGCCTCCATAATGGTAAGAAATACATGCCTTTTCTTTATAAATTACCCAGTTTCAGGCATATTGTTATAACAACAGAAAACAGATCAAGACATAGGACATATCAAAATTTGTGGGACACAGCTAAGGCACTGTTGACAGGGAAATTTGTAGCATTAAATACATATTTCTTTATTAAACAGAAAAGTCTTGAATCAATAATCTAAGCCCCTACCCCAAGAACTTGGAAAGAGAAGAGCAAAATAAAGCCAAAGTAAGCATAAAAAGAAAATAATAAAGGTAAGAGCAGAAACTGATAAAATTAAAAATAGAAAAATAATAAAATCTATGAAACAAAGAGCTGATTCATTGAAAAGATCAATAAAATTAACAAACTATTAGCAAGTTTGACAAGGGAACAAAAAAAGAAGTCACAAATTACCAACATTAGGAATGAAATAGGGCATACTACTATAGACCCTGCAGACACCAAAAGGATAAGCCGGGAATACTATAAAGAACTCTACATGCACATATTTAACAACTTAGAGGAAACAGATCAATTTCTCATAAAATATAAACTACTTCTCCAATATGAAAGGTAATTTGAATAGCCCTATAACTGTTAAGAAAATTAAATGTGTGATTTATAAATCTACCAAGAATAAAAGTTCTGGCTCAAATGATTTTACTAGGAGATTCCACTGAACTTTTACAGAAGAATTAACACTAATTTTACAGAGTCTCTTTCAGAAAATAGAAGTGAAGGTAACACTTTCCAGTTGGTTTATGAAGCTAGTATTACCTTTGTCTTAGTCTGTTTTGCTAGAAATACCTGAGATCAAACAAATTATAAAAAAAAGGAGGTTTATTTGGCTGATGGTTCTGCAAGCTACATAAGAAACATGGTGCCAGCATCTGCTTCTGGTGAGGGCTTCAGGGAGCTTCCACTCATGGCTGAAGGTGAAGGGGAGCAGGTATGTAGAGATCACATGGCAGGAAGTGAGAGAGAGAGGGGAGGGAGGTGCTAGGCTCTTTATAAGAATCAGATCTCCCAGGAACTAGAGTGAGAAGTCATTACCATGAGGACCAAGCAGTTCATGAAGGATCCACCCCCATGACCCACTAGGCTCTGCCTCCATCAATTTGGAGTGGACAAATATCCAAATTATATCAATCCTTATGTACCCAAACAAGATAAAAACAGAATGAAACAATAAAATTATAGATCAATATCATTCATGAATACAGATGTAAGAACTCTTAATGAAATATTAGCATGTAGACTTCAACAATATATAAAAAAGAATTAGACACTATGATCAAATTGAGTTTATTCCAGAGATGCAAGGCTAACTTATATTATAGAAATCAATGTAATTGTATTAATCATGTTTTCTAGTTTCTATATTTAATGCTTTGACATCTGAGGTCTTCTGGACCAGGGAGGAGCTGCCCCAACTAGTTGATTCCCAGAGATAACAAATGACTAGCCTGGGAGCTCCCCTTTCATATGCAAACTGACCAATCTAGCACCCATACTTCCAACCACCTCCTTTGGGCTCCTATGCTCTGGGCCACTATTCCCTTACCCTAATCACCCCAGGGTCAGTTACTAGACAACTAGCAACAACACCTACCCACAAGGGTCCACCAAAATGATTCAGACTAGCCAATCAATCCTAAACTTGCTGAGACTTCATTCCCAGCCTTACCCATTCTTTCCTATGAAAATCACAATAAAGGCTCTTGCCCAAGTTCTCTACTCACTCCGCTGCCTCCTGACTAACCTCGGGGCTTTCCCATGTGACTCCATTCTGTAGTGTGGAATGCTCCCTGTTTCTAGGGATCTGTGAGTGTAACAAACTTATCATAGCAGTTACTCCATGTCTGCCTGTCTTACTGTATCTGATTAAAACAAATTCCTGGTACTTTCGCAATAGTAATTCATCATATTAACAAGCCAAAGAAGAAAAGTCATGTGATCATATCTACTGATACATAAAAAGACTTTGGCAAAATTCAACACTGATTCATGTTAAAAATGCTCAGAAAAATAGAATTGGAGAGGAACCTTCTAAACGTGATTTTAAAACATCTGCCAAAAACCTGTATCTAATGTTATACTTTATGGTGAAAAACTGAATGTTTTTCCCCAACAACAGGAACAAGACAAGTGTATCTGATCTCATCACTCTTATTCAACACATGCTGGAAGCTCCAGTTACAGCAATAAGACAAGAAAAGAAACCAAAATGCTTACAGATTAAAAAGGAAAAAATATAGCTGTCTCGATTTGCAGATAACATGACTGTCTACATTAAAAAATCCCAAGGAATCTATAAAAGTACCTTTCCTATAGCTAACTAATGAGTTTATCAATGTTGCAGGATTTAAGATAAATATAAAAAAATTATATTTCTCTATACCAACAATAAATATGAAGACACCAAAATTAAAAATACATTACTATATATAATTGCTCAAAATATTAAATACTTAAGTGTAAATCTAACAAAACATATTTAGAATTTGTATGCTGAAAATTACACATTTCTGATGAAAGAAGTAAAAAAAGATCCACCTAAATGGAAGACATATGTTTGTAGATTTTAAGATAATATATATGTTAATTCCCCTCAAATTGGTAAACAGGTTTAATGCAACATCCATCAAAATCCAAGTAAGAATTTTATTTTTGCAGATATTGATAGAATTATTTAAAAATTTTTATGGAAAACATAGGCCCTGGAATAGTTAAAATAATTTTGAAAAAGAATAAAGTGGAAGGAATTATTCTACCAAATTTCAAGGTTTATCATGTAGTTATAGCAATCAAGACTGGGTGGTATTTGTGGAGGAAAAGATATATAGATTAAGGGAACAGAATAGAGGACCCAAGAATAGAATCACACAAATGCTCAAGTGGTTTTTGACTAAGGTATAAAAGCACTCCAGTGGCATAAAGATAGTTTTCAACAAATGGTGCTGGAGCAATAGGACATCCACAGAGAAAACAAAAAACAAAAAAATACCTGACTTAACCTTCACACCTCATACAAAATTGATTCAAAAATTAACTCATGAATTTAAATGCAATAAAACCATAAAACTTTTAGAAAGAAAGAAACATAGGAAATAATCTTCAATATCTAGGACTGGCAAGAGGTTCTTAGACTTGCCTCCAAAAGCATGATCCATAAAACAAGTAAAAAGACAATAAGTTGGTTACTGCAAAAATTAAAAACTTGCTCTGTGAAAGCTCATGCGAAGTAGATGAAAGCAAAAACTGTAGACTGAGATAACGTATTTGCAAATTACATTCCAACAAAGGACAAGTATCTAGAATATATAATAAGCTCTCAAATATAACAGTATTGAAACAAGAAATCCAATGAGAATATGAGCAAAAACATGCCAGAAAATTTTACCAAAGAAAATATAAGATGTCAAATAAGTACATGAGAAGATATTTCACATCATTAACCATTAGTGAAAGGCAAGTTAAAACCACAATGAGATATCACACTACAAATCCATCAGAATGGCTTAAAAAAATAGTGACACCTCCGGCCAGGCACAGTGGCTCATGCCTTATAATCCCAGCACTTCAGGAGGCCAACGCGGGCGGATCACGAGGTCAGGAGTTTGAGACCAGTCTGGCCAATATGGTGAAACCCCATCTGTATTAAAAATACAAAAACTAGTCAGGGGTGGTGGCGTGTGCCTGTAATCCCAGCTACTCAGGAGGCTGAGGCAGGAGAATCACTTGAATCCGGGAGGTGGAGGTTGTGGTGAGCCAAGATCGCGCCACTGCACTCCAGCCTGGACAACAGAACAAGACTCCATCTCAAAAAAAGTGACACCTCCAAATGCTGGTGAGGATGTGGACAAGCTGGATTGCTCATACAATGATAGAAGTGTAATATGGTATAGGAACTCTGGAAGATAATATGGCAGTTTTCTAAAAACCAAAACATACAATGACCATATGACCCAGCAATTGTACTCCTGCGCATTTATTTCAGAGAAATAAAAACTTATGTTTACACAAAAACTGGTACAAAGACACTCACAGCAGCTCTATTTGTAATAAAAAGTGGAAACAACTCACATGTCCCTTAATAAAAGAATGGTTAAGCAAACTGGTACAGCCAGACCATGGAACACTGCTTGGCAATAAAAAAGAACAAACTGTCGATATCTACAACAACCTGGGTGAATCTCTGGAGAATTTTGCTGAGTAAAAAGGGAAATCCCCCCAAAATTACATACTCTATGATTCCATTTATATGACATTATTGAAATGATGAAATCATTATTGAAATGATGAAATTATAGAAACAGAACAGATTAGTGATTGCCAGGGGCTGAGTAGGTGGGGTTGAGGGAAGTGAGTGTGCCTATAAAAGGGTAACATGGGCCATCCTTGCAATGATGGAATGTTCTGTACCTTGATATACAAAAGAAGGATGGTCTTTTCTGCCTTACATGGAATGTTAAAAAAGAAACCAAAAAGTGCCATGATAAATTGCGAGGCACAAGATACATTTCAGTACATTCAGTCTCAGAATCTCTTGATTTTCTTTAGGAGTCTCAGACAGTGTTAAGTGATTCTTGCAATCCATTAGAAATGCACTTCATTTTTTAATGGGCACTTCGTTTGTACTTCATTTTCACACTGGCACTATACAAGCATCACTCAACTGCCTTGTTTTGTGTTCAATCAGAGTTCAGGAGCAACATAATATAGGCAAAAGTATTCCCTCTCTCTCTTCAACAATCAGATACAGATGTCACCCGTGGCCGTTGGCTCAGTTTCTGCTGGATAATGAAGGATTAACTAGTGCCATTTTCTAAGATTTGTAATGCTTGCAGGCTAACATACCTCACAACAAGGTTCAAAACATACCTGAACTCAATATCACCTTGCCTTGGGAAGCTTCTTTCACATTGGCTGCCCTTTATAACTCTCATCTCTCCTTATCTCTTCTTATTGCCCTTATGTGAAAACTAAAATGAGACCCCTCCAAGTTGCAAATACAACGAACTCCCTCCATCTACTAAGATTCCTCTGAGAAACAAATGTGGAGAAGAAAAGGGAGAAGATGACACAGGCGCTGACTTTGAAATCTTCTGTCTCCTTCCCTTTAGTGTAAGGGAGGACCGTCTTTCAGGGCTTGGGCGGAGGAGTCCTTCAGTCACATACCTGCATGCATGCAGATCTGCAGGTGGTATAAGCACACAGCATGAAGTTAGGCTTTATCTATTCAGTTCATGCATGCCCTACCAATGACATCCATTTCCCACATAGAAGAAGACAGGTTAAAAACATTTTCAGCAGCATAAGTGGGTTTCATCGATGCAAAAGAGTCTTCTAAGAATACTATATTTTATGGTGATGGGTTTCTCTTATACCGTGTGACAGTCATTAGTGAGGAAGTCACATATCCACCTATTTGAAAGAAAATGAAGTGCTCATGCAATAGCAGTTACACACCAAATGCTCTTTTTGTTATATTAACACAAGAGAGCAAACATAAGAGAGAAGAGAATGCACTCATTAGAAAAGAAACTGGGCAACCACTCCGTATCTTAATAGGCAATGGATTTTCTTAGAATATATGTTCCTAGAAGGCACTGTTGATGTCCGAGAAGCTGTACCAACCCAGTGTTCCTTTGAGGTTAGGAGGGGTCTAGGTTTTTTCTGCAGGTTCATATCAGAGCACACTAGAAGATAAAGTTTTCTAAGCAGATCTTAGAACAGTTCTAACTCTTTGGCAATTGTCCTAACCATATTAAGCAAAACTGGCATCTGCAAAACTAGCCCAGATCAGCAGATCAAGCACAGAAGCTTTCCTAGCTGCAACCTAAACAATATTCCCTAATTGTCCCTTTTATATTCAACAATTCAAATAAGATCATGGTGTCTCTTGGAGAAGGAAGAATGACGGAAGGAACATGGAAGTCATTTGAAGCAAACATCTTTGGCAAATGGTAAATTTGAACCACACAAATATCTTTAGTCTGTAAGGAAGTTTGCAATAAACAAGTCTAATAACATTTTAAAGTCTTAACAGATATAATTTAAGAGAAAACCTTAAAAGCAGTTTACATAATTTAATAGCTAAGAATTACTGGACAGTTAGTATGCATCAGGAACTGTGCTAAGCACTTTTATATGTGTTGTCTCATGTAATGCTCTTGATAACATTATAGAGGTTCTATTATTATATTATCTATATTCAATAATTCAACAAGTAGTTATTGAGCTCTTGCTTTGAGTAAAATGCAGGAGGTGCAGCAATATACAAGACACATTCCTTGTCTTCAATTAGTTCATCTACTAGTGAGAGAGATGGAGAAAGACAATGCTTTATTTGAGGGAAAGAGAAGATGCAGAGTTTAGATTCTGTTATTTATGGTAGTTCCTTAGGGAAGAGCTAATAAATTGCTTAGATAACCAGACATGAAGACAAAGGGAAGGCTGAATGTCCTGCAGACGGCAGATGAAAAAGCCTTATGTGAAAGAGCTAGCAAAAGATTGATGGTGAAGAAATATATTTGACTATGTTTGAGCGTCTTTAAGAGTTGGTCCCTACATGTTTCTTAGTCCCATTTTTTTCTAATCATAAATTTATAGATAATCTCTATTAAAAAAACACACAAAAGAAGGGAGGGGTGAAAGGAGAGAGGGAAGTGATAGGTGAAAAAT
Organism: Homo sapiens; assembly: GCF_000001405.40. Lineage (NCBI taxonomy): Eukaryota > Metazoa > Chordata > Mammalia > Primates > Hominidae > Homo > Homo sapiens. The sequence goes on along the minus strand of NC_000008.11, from coordinate 61,439,754 downwards.
TATCTCATGGTACAAACCTGTCAAATTTCTGCCAAGGCAACAGACAATGTGACTATACATTTAAAGAACATACTGATTACAGTTATCTGCCTCATTCCTGGTAGGAAATCCTTTAGTATGAAGAAACTAAGATAATCTCAATTGCTTCTTTTACTTTCTGCTTAATAGAGCTCAAGTGGGAGAATTTTATCCTTTCCTTGTTTTGGCAATCCTGTTGCTGCCCAGGTGAGATGAGTGAGGAGGTAAACCACTGCTAGAGCTGGGAGGAGAGAAGGAGTGAAATGCAAATCCACCTAGCCTGCATTCTCAATCAGCAGAACTGAGTTCAAACAATGGAAACTTAATTTGCCATAAAAATCACTTCCAACTTCTCTAACCACAGTGACCTTAAAAAGGGTTTATGTTTGACTATTAAATACCAAATACATTATGGTTAGTACAAAATACTTCATTCAAGTTTCCCTGAGGGCCCCTAAGTGGTTAACAGATGATGATTGCTCATTATTTAAAAGCCATTTGATGGAGAAACTCAGATCACTTGAATCGCTGATTTGCAGAGGAAATCGATGCCAGAAGTGACAGTATGCTTCATATGATGCAACCTGCCAGTTAGTGCTTAAACTCATAAGATCATGGTGTCTCTTGGAGAAGGAAGCATGATGGAAGGAACACGGAAGTCATTCAAAGCAACATCTTTGGCAAGTGGTAAATTTGAATCACACAAATATCTTTAGTGTGTAACGAAGTTTGCAATAAGCAAGTATAATAACATTTTAAAGTCTTAACAGATACAATTTAAGAGAAAACCTTAAAAGCAGTATAGATAATTTAATAGCTAAGAATTACTGGTCACTTAGTATGCATCAGGAACTATGTTAAGCACTTTTATACATATTATCTCACGCAACACTCTTGACAATATTATAAAGGTTGCAATATTATATTATCTATATTATCCCATTTTACAGGCGAGGAAACATAACTTTACTTAGAATGATTAAAAACTTGTCCAAATACCATCTCATGTCAGTCAGAATGGCAATTCTTAAAAATTCAAGAAACAGCAGATGCTGGCGAGGTTGTAGAGAAATAGGAACGCTTTTACCCAGTTGGTGGGAATGTAAATTAGTTCAACCATTGTGGAAAACAGTGTGGCGATTTCTCAAAGATTTAGAACCAGAAATACCATTTGACTCAGTAATCCCATTACTGGGTATATACCCAAAGGAATATATATCATTCCATTATAAAGATACACGTACTTGTATGTTCACTGCAGCACTATTCACAATAGCAAAGACATGGAATCAACCCAAATGCCCATCAATGATAGACTGGATAAAGAAAATGTGGTACATATACACAATGCAATATTATGCAGCCCTAAAAAGTAATGAGATAATGTCCTTTGCAGGGACATGGATGGAGGTGGAAGTCATTATCCTCAACAAACTAACCCAGGAACAGGAAACCAAACACCACATGTTCTCACTTATAAGTGGGAGCTGAACAATGAGAACACATAGACGCAGGGAGGGGACCAACACACACTGGTGCCTGTTGGGGGAGGTTGGGGGTGCGAGCAGAGAGCATCAGGAAAAATAGCTAATGCATGCTGGGCTTAATACCTAGGTGATGGGTTGATAGGTGAACTGTGGCACACATATACCCATGTAACAAACCTGCATATTGTGCACATGTACCCCATAACTTAAAATTAAACAAAATTAAATTAAATTTAAAACTTGTCCAAGTTCACACATCAATTCAGAGGCCGAGTGGAATTTGAATCCAGGCCTGTCAGATCTTACAGTTCAACGTCTTATTTCCTCTACTATATTTCTGTACTATTGGCTTATTTAAATTCTACACATCAGTAAAATTTGAACTGTTGACCATCTTCATGTGGGACTTTAAGGATGCATATGCTTACTAATTCAAACAAAGCAATAAATATTTCATAAACTCCCATCTCAAATCCAAGTTAAAATTCCTATTCTTGTTTCAGCTGCATGTGTTTGACTTGACTTTGACAAGAGAATCATGATTTGAAAATGTTGTCATTTAAAGAAAGTTAAAGTTGTTATTGGAACAGAATGAACAAGTATTCTTAGTAATCACTCTGAAAGTATAAAAAATGAACTTGCATATCTCCATATTGGTCCTGCCTTATTAGGAAGCATTGTACTTATTATAAATTGCCTTATTCTGTAGGAGATTTTAGTCAGCTATAAATTTTCTTCTATTTGCATACATTTCCTCCCCTAATTGCTAAGTATACATTGCTTCTCCATACTAAATACTATCAATAACCTATCTGCAAAATAAACAGTACGGAGGATTCTTTTAAGACAGAGTTAGACAAAGTCATTAAATTTGTTTGTGGTTTCTTCTGAAGGTAGCTTCAAGAGATTACCTGAAAACTTTATTTGCATAATAAAATAACCCTTGTTCACAGTACAGTTCCACCCCTCACCTTTCCAGTGACTTTTTCATCCCATTCAATTTCCAAAGAGAATCATTTACAAATGAAGGGATTACAAGTTGTCACCACACCCAGAGAGCTTAGCCATGCTCCTGGGAAGAACGAACAAGTGTTGGAGAACTGCATGACCTTATAGCAAAGGAAAAGGAGCAGTACCACAAAGGAATTTAATGATTTTTGTCTAAACTTACCTTGATAGACCCCTCCCTACTGTTTATTTATAAACTATTATCTGTTCTTTGGGCTCATTCATTTCCCCTGAAAATCATTTACTACCCCTACAATTTCCCTACTTCCCTTCCCCTTGTGAAGAGGGTATTTAAACCTCAAGCATCTGGCCTTTCTTTGAGTCTCATATTTTATATGGCCCCTGTGCTTATGCATGTTAGTAAATTTGTATGCCTTTTCTCCTATTAATCTATCTATTGTCAGTTCATTCCAGCCAACCTTCAAAGAGGGCAGAAGGGAAGCTTTTCCTGCACCCCTACAGGAGTTGTCAGCTTGTAGATGATATGTAATGCCTTAAGTTTGGTGATGTCTCCCAAGAAATTAGTGGAGATAGAGAAGAAAGGAGATCTGAGGACTGAGCCCTTGGTCTTGCCAGTGTTTTAAGGGCAGAAATATGAGAAGAATCCAGGACAGATACCTGAGGGGTGGTGACTAATGGAAGAACAAATGTGGTGTACTAGAGGCCAAGGAAAGGGAGCATTTTCAGAGTATCTCAGAATTTTTGCAAGGGACATGGTGATCAATGGTGTTGAATGCTCCTGAGAGGCTGAATAAGATGCAGGCTGAGAAGTGTCCTTAGAATATGGCCATGTGACGGTCGTTGACATTGACAAGAGCAGTTGCAGTGATGTAGTTGGAGCAAAAGCCTGACCGGAATGTGCTGAAGAGAGAATACAAGATGGCAAGTGCAGCTAAATATTTTGATGACTTTTACAGTAAAAGGGAAGGTAGAAACTGAAGAGGCATGTGGTATTCAGAGAGAAGTGGTTCTTGTTTTGTTTTGTTTTAAGATGAGATACATTGCAGTGCATTTATGAGCTGGTGGGAATGACCCAGTAGAGAGGAAATAATTGATTATGCAAGTGAGAGGGCTGACTTTTTTCAAGGATGAGGTCCTTGAATAAGGAAGTGGACTGGGCTCTAGTACAGGCTATTTTGTAGGCTGTCTAAATTATGAGCTGACATTATATGAGAAAGCAGGCTGCAAAATGTGTAGATAATTACACACTTGTGAAAACATGTAAAAATATTTGAAACCTTTAAAATACACATAAAATATTAAGTGTTTATTTGTGGATGTTACAAATAGGGTGACTTTATATTCTAATTTTTTTTTCTGCAATGAACAATTGTTTCTCTTACAATCAGGGGAAAGATGAATTCAAGAATTTATGAAACTTGCCAATCCTGAGTAATTATTAATGGTTTTGATCTCCTTCTTAAAAATTGACTGTAAAATGACAATAATAAAAATAAAATTTTCTGCCTTTATTTTATATTCCTTACATCTTTATCTGTACAAGACAGTAGTCCTCAGTTATTTCACAGTGTTGCTCTGAATTGCAAATGATAAACACTTTGTGGTGGTGCATCAGAAAGTACATACATATGTGAAGCATTTTTTTTTTTTTTTTTACTATCACAATCATTTCACTATTAACTAATGTGCTACCCCTTTTAAGCCACCTAAATCTTAGGACCATTAAAATATTAAAATGAACTTAATAGAAGAATCATGCTCTAGTAACTGCCTACCTTGTAATAGAAGTTCAAATGTTTATGGAATTGAATTGAATTGTGCCGAAGAATGAAAATATTCAAGAAATCATACTGACTATGGCCCTAAGGAGATTTTTTAAAGACAAAATTCTAACTCACTACAAATGGCTAAAATCTTTTAAGAATGCAAGTCTCCAAAGAGAAGGAAGCAGAAGTGCTTCCTAAAATTAAAGTAAAAAAAAATAGCTCCTGAGGGCTGACTCCTTATTTTCTGCTGCTTTTGATTGTTTTTCCCTTTCAGGGCCTGGGGCCTCACTCTGCTGCATAATTGCTAAACCTAGGATCCATATTTCAAGTCTCTGTCTCTTCTGCTTCCCACCAACCTTCTCATGGGGGTATTTCGTATTAAGGAGTGAGCTCTGATTTTTTATCTTGCCCAAATTCCTACCTAAGGGATCTAGGGAGTCATGCCCTACAAACCATACATTCTCATCAGATAGGTTTTATTTGACCCTATATATTGTGACTTACTTTTCAATCTGACTCTGGCATAACATTGTGACACAAGGAAAAAATATTTAGACCCAAAATATATTTCCTTGCCATATCTTGATATTGCCCTGCAAAGTCTCTTGTGGGAAAAATCCACATTCTATAGAGAATCCCCTTCCCTCTTTGTTTTCCTTCCTTTCTCTCTAGACCCGGGAGATAATCAACTGAGAACCAGGCACCCTTTTAGGTCCAATGATAAGAAACAGTTTACAACCTGTGCTCTCTGTGAAGTCTGCTATCTGAGAGATTCCTCTGCATAATAAAACTTGGTCCCCACAATCCTTTATCTTAGCCTGAGCATTCCTTTCCATTAATCTCAGCTCTTCAGATAAACTCAACCAACTGCCAACCAGAAAATGTTCAAATTTATTTATAGCCTGGAAGCCCCCCTCTTTGAGTTGTCCCGCTTTTCTGAGCCAAATCAATGTATTTCTTAAATGTATTTGATTGATGTCTCATGCCTCCTCCCTAAAATATATAAAACTAAGCTATACCCCAACCACCTTGGGCACATGTTCTTAGGACTTCCTGAGGGCTGTGTCACAGGCCATGGTCACTCATATTTGGCTCAGAATAAATCTCTTCAAATATTTTACAGAGTTTGACTCTTTTCGTTGACAGTTGGCGCTCACTGTTTATTCTCAAGCCATGTTCATTCCCTTTACTATCTCTTAAATGCTTTTTCTTTACATGTAACTTTAGATGTGGCCTTCTAAATTCTGTGTCTGAATTTCAATACCAGTTTCATTACTGGTTTCTTTACCTTCCTGCACTTCCCAAGAAATGTTGCTAAAATTTGGGTCTGGGGACCTTGATGAAAACCCTCCAGTGACTTCCCAACACCTTACTTTAAGTAAAACTTGTAATTCCCTGGAAGAGATTAAAAGCCCTGATAATCTGACTTCTGTTTACTTCAGCTTCATGTCCTGCAGCCACACAGTAGCCCTCCAGGATCCTACCAGACTTCACCCAATTCTGACTGCTTTGTGCCTCTCGCTTTGCCTGGAAGGCCCCTCTTCTAGCCCATCTACAACTTTTTTTTTTTTTTAATGAATGATATGTTTTATTTATTTTTTGAGACAGTGTCTTGCTCTGTCACCTAGGCTGGAGTGCAGTGGCACAATCTTGGCTCACTGCAACCTCCACTTCCTGGGTTTAAGCAATTCTCCTGCCTCGGCCTCCCAGGTAGCCAGGACTACAGGTGCCAGCCACCACACCTGGCTAATTTTTGTATTTTTGGTAGAGGTAGGGTTTCACCATGTTGGCCAGGCTCGTCCCATTTCCAACTTCTACTTGCCCTTCAAACCTGGTCAGGGGCCACATCCTCCCAGCTTGCCCACCTGACTCGAAGCCCACAGAGTCAGACGCTCCTGGTATGCCTGCTCCAGGGCACCGTGTAAGCATCTCCATCAGAGGAGTTATTGAAGATAATTATAATTATCTATTTAGTTCTCTTGAGAAAGAAATAAATAGAATCTCAGGACTTCCAAACTCACCATGCCAAAGGTAAAGTTAAGCTTGGGCACTGAGTCAGGCAAACAAACAACAACAAATCTGACTTCCTTTTGTTCACAAACAGGTAGCTGTAATTTCACATCTTTACTTTATTGTATGTAAAATGTAGATTTACTGAGAGCCCGAGACAATGTATAATTGACTTCTCCACCTACTCTTTTCATGTGTAAAATACAGATTCACTGAACACTAATAACAAGCCTTACAAGAATGCAACCACTGGTCTGGCCCAATGGCTCAAGCCTGTAATCCCAGCACTTTGGGAGGCCAATGTGGGTGGATCACTTGGACCCAGGAGTTTGAGACCAGCCTGGGCAACATGGTGAAACACCTTCTCTACAAAAAATACAAAAGTTAGCCAGGTGTGGTGGCATGTGCCTATAGTCCTAGTTACTCAAGAGGCTGAAGTGAGAGGATCACCTGAACCTGGGAGGTTGAGGCTGTGGGGAACTGTGATTGTGCCACTGCACTCCAGCCTGGGTGACAGAGTGAGCACTGGCCTCATTGCCTACCCTCCTCCCCTTTTTTCCTTTCCTCGTTCCCCTCCTACTTGCTCTTTCCTCTTTAAATTTTGAAGTCCTCAAAACTCTCTTTGGAAAAAGCACAGGACACAGATCCTACTGCGGCTTGTGTTTCTTTTTCTTCAACCTACATCCTCAACCTGGGCAGAATAAACCTCTGAATTGATTGAGATCTGCCTCGGTCACTTTTCGGTTTATACTTTGTTGTCTCAAACTACTGAGTCAAGTATAAGATTTTTGTTATATCTATTTATATAACAGATATTTATATTAGTTTGCTGGCATTATCATAAGAAAGTACCACAGACTCGATGGTTTAAACAAGGGAAATTTCTCTTCCCACAGTTGTGGAGGCTGGAAGTTCAAGACCAAGGCAGAGGCAGGGCCAGTTTCTTCCGAGGCCTCTCTCCTTTGCTTGCAGATGGCTGTCTGTTTCCAGCATCTTCACATGAACTTCCCTCTGTACATGTCTATGTCCTAATCTCCTCTTGTTATAACGACACCAATCATGTTGAATTAGGGTCCATCCTAATGACTTCGTTTTACCTTAATTACCTCTTTAAAGACCCTATCTCCACATATAGTCACATTCTAAGGTACTGAAGGTTAGGGCTTCAACAGACGAATTTGGGGGGTAACAATTCGTCCCATAATAGTGTTAAGTGAATGATGATTTCATGGGATCCAGCAAAGATTTTACCCCTTGATAATAGGTGAGGTCTAGTCCAAGAATTTAGTTCTAATGCTAATTCAAATCATTTGAAAGAGATCTCACACTTCCTCATTCGAATTTGGTTGTCTCATGCTTTATATAGCTGTTTTCATCCATTCTAAGGCATACTTTTTTATAACATAGATGAGCATTGCACATTGAAAACAAAACCTACAAGGCTCAGCTGAAAGATATGCATTGGCCAAACCCAGAGCTGGAAGCACAGAGGAAACCAAATACTTGTCTTTGAAGATAGACAGCATGTGACAAAAAGATATTGGTGAAATATTTTCTACATTTCACTAAAAAGGATGTCCTGGCAATGAATACAGAACCTGGCACACAGTAGGTACTCAATAATTATTTAAGTGAAGAAACAAATTAACCATGTGGGAAAACACAGAAATTTTCTGGCACGGATAGTTTGAATTTACCATTGCTTTATGTAACCTATATATCGAGTGCCTGCTCTAGCCAGGTAGACTCCTAAAATTTCAGGACCTGGGGATACGTCAAAGAACAAAAGAGATTAAAAAGTCCCTGCCTTCAAGGAGCTTATACTCTAGTTTGAAGAGAGAGATAATAAACAAATTAAAAAGTAGAATAAAAAAGAATGAAAGAAAAAAAGAAAATGCCAGAACACGCTACCCTGGAAAATGAACAAGGTAGAAGGCTAGAGGTTGGGGAAGGGATTTGAATTTTAAAAGCTGGCTAGGTAGCAGGTAGCTATGTGGTCAGTCAGCCATGCCGCCATGATTGAAGAAAGAAGAGACTAAACTAGTATTTCCCATAGTAAGTGCTGCACAGTATTGATGCTGAAGGGTTTCCACATACAAAAAAGAATTCCAGGTTAAACACTTCATACACGGCCTCCTCTTGGGAGACAAAGGGATATGTCTGTAGACTTAATTAATGCCTTTGAGAAAGTCTCTTACACAAGAAATCTGTTGAACGTTGTTTAATACATTGTTTCCCAAGTGTTCCCCACCATGAGACCCATTTTTGGAAGGTTATCTATTAGCCAAAAAGAAAGAAAGAAAAAAAAAGTTCTAGAAAATCCACATGAGGAAGTTTTGGACTTACTGACTTCTCTATGTAAGTGAGAAAAGAATGTATTTCAGGTATCAGATCTATCAGAATTGAGATGGTGATGTGACAGTTTAAATATTGTTGAATACTATTTTAAGCAATCTATTATGAAAGTCATACAGTTCTAGGGAGCAAGCATGCGAGTTTAGTAGTTATTTTGTCTCCTTTTTAAAATTAGAACTGCATTTTAGTCATTTGAAATCTCTATTATTCATATTTCACCCAGCTTGCCGTCATCTTCATGTCCTGAAAGAGAAGCCCACTGATTTCTTGCTAGAAGAAAATAAGAACAGAAGAACTGAACCTCCTGAGGAGTCAGTCTGTATTCCACTCCATGTCCTTGATCTGAGATCCTGCAAAACAAGTGCACTGTCCATTAGAGTTTCAATGGCGCCCATATTTGTCTGAGATTAGGGCACAGCATAACACATTGGCACACACTGAACCCTAATTTGATATTGTCCTGAGAGCAGGACCTGGCAGTAGCAGAGCACATAAAGACAGCTTGTAAATCACTGGAACCTGGGACCCCAGAGAAGAGCCAGCCTGGGTTCCTCTGATCCTAAGCAAGGCGCCTCATGGAGTTGGGAGTCATTTCACACGTGCAGAAAATATTGCTTTTCACTGCCTAGATTTGAGTTTGCTGATTTGCTGGAAGGGAAAAGATGACTTGGACATGGAAGACAAGTAAGTGCCCTTGGGGGGAATTTTATTTCCCCCTCCTTTCTGAAAAATTATCTCATATACCTCTTTCTGCTCCATTGTCCTCCATGCTGGATGGGCCCAGAGTGCTTTGTAACCACTTACTCCACTATGTAAAGAAAATGCTTGCTAAATCATACAACTACCACATGGTTCCATAAAATTTAAACTTTGACTTAAGCAACTCTAGAGAACCGATGCATCTGTAATCTATGATTCATAAAGGTGTCTGCAAAAGATTTTTGATAGGTATATAGACTTTGCAACAGTCTTGACACACTTATTTGTGTATTTCATTGGTCTGAGTGTTGTTTTAAGGGCACAACTTAAAAAAAGTGCACTGGCTTCCTAGTAAATGTAAATCAGTACAAGTATTTGAGTAATTTTTGTTATGAAAAGGGAAGCTTACATTCATAGTTAAAAACAAAGGAAAGCAAATAGGATAGAAATGGTTCCAGAGAAAACAGCAGCTCATGCTAAAATTCTACTGTTTGTGCTTTTAACTTAGCTACAAGAAGCTTTGGGAATTTAAGGGCCAAAAGAGAGAAAATTATTACTAATAAAATCATGTATTTTTGACTTGAGAAAATTTACCACCATTATTATATTACACCTTGGGAAAAGTGGCTTTCATGCTTTTTATTAGTAACACAAATTCTTATAAGTATTTTATACCACCAAAAGCCACTATATTTGTTGAAAATTATACAATTAAGCTATTCTATTTCAGATTAGAGGCTTTAAGTATTAGCTATGATCTTTCAGAAATGCTTTTGGATATAATGATTCCAAACATACACATGGCTATGGTTTGAATGTGTCTCCCAAAGTTCATGTGTTAGATACTTAATCCCCAATACAACGACATTGAGAGGTGGGAACTTTAAGAGGTGATTAGATCTGGAGGACTCTGCCATCATGAATGAATTAATGCCAATATTGCAGGAGTGGGCTCATGATAAAAAGATGAATTTTACAATTTTAACCCTTTCCTTTCTCTTGCAGGCTTTTTTTTTTTTTTTTTTTTTTTTAAGACAGAGTCTCACTGTGTCACCTAGGCTAGAGTGCAGCGGCACAATCTCAGCTCACAGCAACCTCTACCTCCCAGGTTCAAGCGATTCTCCTGCCTCAGCCTCCCATGTAGCTGAGATTACAGGCATGAGCAACCACGCCCAGCTAATTTTTGTATTTTTAGTAGAGACAGGGTTTCACCATGTTGGCCAGGCTGGTCTTGAACTCCTGACCTTGTGATCCACCTACCTCGGCCTCCCAAAGTGCTGGGATTACAGGCATGAGCCACCGCACCCAGCTGCAGGCAGGCTTTTTTGCCCTTCCACCATGGAATGACACATCAAGAAGATCCTTGCCAGATGCCAGCGCCCTGATATGGGACTTCTCAACCTCTGGAACTGTAAACCAAATAAATTTCTACCGTGTATAAATTACCCAGTCTCAGGTATTCTGCTATGACAACACAAACAAACTAAGACACACATACACATACTTACATGTGTATATACTTAATATGTGTATGTATGTGTGTGTGAGTGACCCTTGAATAACGCGGGTTTTAATTGTGGGGTTCTTTTATACACAGATTCTTTTCAACCAGTTGTGGATCAATATCTGTGGGATGCAAAACCTGCTTATGGGGAAGGCCAACTTTTCTTGTACAAAGGTTCTGCAGGGCCCACTGTGGGATTTAAGTATGCACAGATTTAGGTATATGTGGAGGTCCTGGGACCAATCCCTGGCATATAATGGGGGTTGACTATATTTCTCTGCAGGATAACATCATCAGGGAGCACTTCAATCCGCTGTAAGGGGAGGAATGTGCCTTTTTCTATCAGCACAATTCAAATCTGCTATCCTAGCCACATGCCCTCCATGAAGCACTTTCTTAAGAAATGAGAAATCCAATACTTAAAGGGAACAATTCTCAGAAGGTACACATTTCCTAGGTTCTTATTCTGGAGGTTGTAATGCCATCATCCTTTCTTACTTAGTTTCATGTTACTATTTTATTATTAGCCATTGTATTGTGATTGAATATTTGCTCAAGATAAAAGTTTTATTTTGCTCTTTCTCTCCTTTCTTTACACACACACATACACACAAGCATTTCACAGACTTCAGCACACAGTTGACACATGTCAATATTTTTTATATTTTCTTTCTTAGTTATCAATGGGCATCCTAAATTCAGCTAAATGCATTCAAATTTACAAAAGAAAATAATGCAAAAGCCGCCTTCTAAGCAGGTGGACTCAGTTGTGACTTATGGGGTGTTATCTTAGGGACGACTACAAATCTCCACCTCTTCTGAAACTGGCAAATGCATCATGAAACATTCATCCCTTTGTCATAGAGCTTTATCTCCTGTTAAAATAAAGACAGCACTATCAGGGTAACACTCCAATTGTTTTAATTTAATTATTTCCTAGGAGCAGATTTGGAGTGTGTTTTGGGTTTTGTGTTATTGGTGCATATCGTGTGTGTGTCTGTGTGCCAGGGGCGGAGGAAGGAACATTGATGAATGTTTGTAGGGCTCTCCGGAGAAGGAGGCCTGCAATGGAAGGCACAAAGGTGCCAACTGCTAGTTTTTTCTGCTTCACAATTTCAACTAGCTCCATCCTAACAGTGTTACCAAAAAGGATATATTTATGGAAATCTTTGAGAATGTGACATCACATTGTAGGCACAAACATTTTTGCTGCTACTTATAAGTGGTTTGGGTCAAATAACTTAACCTCTCTGAGCCCAGTTTCCTCCTGGTAGGATTCTGCAGGTGACTGTGAGGATTCAGTAGATGAATGTATAAAATCCACAGCACCCCCAAAATGGAGAGCAAGACTCCTTACCAGCCCTGGCAGAGTCTCCCCATTTCTCAATTTAATTGCACTTGTCATAAGGACAAACATTCATATTCCAATACTGCAGTATTGATCATCTTTCCCTATACAACTGCTGTTTACTGTTTCCCCTCCCCATCCTCTCACTTTCTAAAGGGGAGAGATTCATTCTCTTGCTCATCGGGTTGGGTCCAGGCTTATTTTGCGGCACAGACTTGGGATAATGACTGAACGAGGGAATAAAGGAAGCTAGCAAGGCTAACTCAGTCTGCCACTGAGAAAAAGGGAAGGGGGAGATACCAAGAAAGCAGGTGCTGGAAGGTATGGGGAGAGATGTGGGAACTGGAGAGTGATAGGCTGCAGAGTAAAAAGGGGTACAAGAAGTTGAGAGGACAAAGATGATTTATTTTATGAAGTGTTGCTGTTGAGTGAGTTACATCTCCTTTAAAGTTCTTTAAGAGATGCAAACAAAACTCTAATCAACTTTTAAATGAATTTTAGTGGTTGGATTGTACTTGAAATGTTTTGTGAACACCATACTCCATGGGTACTTGAAGTGTATTTGGATTATGAGTTGTCTGGTTTACATAATTAGCACTTTAAATGATACTATTTTGCTCTCTCATTGTTTCAAATGTATGTGTGCTGTCTTTTTAGCTAGTCAGAAAGCTGCTAACAACTGCCTTTTAATTTATTTATTCACATGACAAATACTAAGGGCCTGTGTACCAGGCTCTGTGTAAAACTCTATCCTGCCCATGAGGAGCTCACAGCCTATGGAAAAAAGACAGCAAACCCAACATCCTTCACCTTCACCCCATGTGGTCAATGTAGTGATAAAAATGAAGATACAGGATAAGCACAGAAGAGGGTTGCTGTCTTCAAACACCTAGCACAGAGCCAGGCATATGACAGGTCCTCAAACACCAGGCAAATCCAGTGGTAGACGGTACTAGGACCGCAGACCAAAAGCAGGGATTCAGCAATACCAGTTGGCAGGGGCCCGATCCTCCACTGAATACTGTCAGAAAATGGGGGTCAGGAGAAAAGGTGATTCAACCTATGGCTTTCTACTGACAACTAAACCAACTCCTATCAATCGTCATACATAAATGGCATGAAGACACACTACGAGGTGACAGTGTTGGGATGGGGCAGAGACACAGAAACATCTGACACAAGCTATCTATTTGGGAAAATAAGACAAATACAGGATACAATTAGTAAATATTATAAGCCCATATGCAGTGATGCACACAATCGTGAGCTAGAAGTAACAAGGTACTGCAGGAATTGTCTGTTAGGTAAGCCTTTCCCACATCAAAGAATTTGTGCAACAGAATACTCAAAATAATGACTTGAGTATATTAAGGTAAAACTATGGACCACCCAGTGGAAGGCACATGTGCACAGGAATGAGGAATTGGTGCTCACTGGCCACATCTGGTCAGTTTCCCCTGAAAGGGATTAGAATAGGGGCGGAGTGTGAGATGGAAGCGTGCCAGGCTTCTTCATTTATATTCCTTGTGGTCTCTTCTGATTGGAGCCAGGTTCTAACTCTGGATAAACTTGTAGGCCACAGGCATAATCTGCATCCCTATAAGAGTGTAATTACAGCTCTAAAGGGTGAGATACATCAGATGATGGTATTCTAGTAACTTAATGCTCTAACTTCATGCAAAATGGTGTTGTATCTGATCTTACAGCAATCAAGCACAGAAATGAGACATAGTCCCTGTAGTCTGAGCTTTCCTCAAGAAAGAACAGCATGTGACATGTGGAACTGTCTACTCTCCCTCACTTTTATGCCCCAGACACTATTCAGTCAATATTTGTAGAGCTAATGAGTAAGTGAGTGGCATAGGAGTGATAAATGACCACACCAGAAAAGTCCACTGCTTATTCTAATTACAAAAAAATATTAAACAAAGCCTTTAAGATAATTTTCCCAATTGGGATATAGCTAAATGGGGCTAGGGGAGGGGAGTACTGGGGGTGACTGCTAATGGTCACAGGTTTTCTTACTGGGTTGATGAAACATTCTGGAATTAGATAGTGGTAATGGTTGCAATACTCTGTGAATACACTAAAAGCCATTGAATTGTGCACTTTAAATGGGTGAATTTTGTGGCATGTGAATTATGTCTAAATAAAACTTATTTTTTTTAAAAAAATCACTGTTGAGATACATATTGATGAGATACATTAGAACTTGAGAATCCAAAATACAGATCCTTGTGCATAGTATAATGAATTAGATTTATTCTTGAAAATAAGGGGATTAACATCCTACCCAATGAAAACAATAATCTTAGAATAGAGAAAAACATTATTCTTTTGAAATGCAAAGTACCTTAAACAGAAGATCTGAATGCAAATGAGCATGGGCTTATTAAAAATATTTTGTGTATCAGAGGATTGGTAGATGGGCTACAGGTTCATCTGGTCTTTCATCCAACAAACATTTATTGATAAATTTGAGTAGTAGTACAGGTCGAGTATTCCTTAGCCAAAATGCTTGGGACCTGAAGTGTTGCAGATTTCAAATCTTTTCAAATTTTGGAATATTTACATTACATACTGGTTCAGCATTCCTAATCTGGAAATCCAAAATCCTAAATTCTCCAATGAGCATATACTTTGAGCATCATGTCAGTGCTCTATTCTTAATATCCTTGTGGATAAATAACTCATAGCAAGGAGAAAGAGATAATTTTATTTGCATTGCATAAAAGGTAGGGATGTAATCTTCAAGATTCATTATTATAATCTTCTGTGTACATTTCCTTTTTGTGAATAGTCCCAACTTCAGAAAACCCATATTTTGACAGAATAACTGGAATGCACAGCAAATTCTTAGCTACCTTTACCTAATAAGACCCATTGTACCTGGGAATATTGGAGACAAAAAGATAGAGTAACTGTGTAGTCTCCCTTGAACAGGATACAATTTGGTGGGGGAAAGACATCAGAAAAAAAGAACTAAAGCACTATTATACGTGCTCTAATTGTGATATTTGTGTACCAGTAAATTTAGAAGAAAAGTACAATTTTATAAGTAATAAAGGCAAGTCTACATAGACTACTACTTAGTTAATAAAGCTTCTACTGTTACATGGTAATAAATTATCTGCAAATTATAACTTATTTATAGAAGTTAGTCTAAGCTAGTTTGACATCTATGTGTTTGTGTTTATGGTTCTTTGCTGCTGAACATGTAGAACAAACAAATTAGGAATTAGTCTTTCATTGTAGTGCTGTGTGCTGAAGAGTAGCCATTTATCAAGGAAAATTCTATGCTTTTCTCACAACCCTCAGCACCCTGAAGGCTTTGCTCCATGGAAAGTGTAAGACCTTTGTGAAATCCAAGCATTCACTGAGAGGCACTAATGAAGCAAATAATGGCAGACAATTTAAGAACACAGGTGAATGATTATAGTGGACAACTTTGGGAAAAAATACAGGAGCTAATGAGTGAACTTGCTAACAGGTTTATCTGTGTATAGTGCAATGTCACAGGTGGCCCTGTACTGTATGCGTGTGTGCATGTTTGTGTGCGTGTGCAAGGGAAGAGAGATGAAGATAGAGGTTATAAATTGTGTTCTGAAGCCTCAAATAATAATGTCATAAAATGTTGATATATGTTTCCATGTCTCGGCAAATTACTATTTCTAAATTACATACCTTTGCCACATACAGAAAAATATTATTCTCATATTTGCATATTAACCATTTTCATCCTTTAATGTTGCTCAAGTTACATTTCCACCTTAGTTCAGTCCATTCATACCTGAGAGACACTAGGGTGTGTGTGCGTGCATTGGTGGCCAATAAGTAGACTTTATAATATACTAAGAATCTGCATAAAATCTATGTGGGCAGTACCCATATGCCCATTTTGTAGAATTTGGAGCACAGATATAACATTTTCAATTTTTCCATACAGGTTTATACTTGTACACTTATTTTTTGACACATCCTTGGTGAGATTTAGGGCGCTCTTCATTACCAGGCATTCTCTTACTGAATAAACGTTTCTAAGCACAATTATGCAACACTGACAAGGTTTCACTTTGAAAGGTATTTTATAACTAAGTGAGAAAAGGAAAGCAGGTGTCCCCTGTAGAAAGAAATCCCTATATAATATTTCTATGCTCGGCCTGTCCTAGAAAAGAGGTGAAAGTCATAATGATTTGTTTTGAGTAAGCTAATGAGCATCATTAGTTGGAAGTGTTCTGTAAATTAAATAATTCTCTACATGGCCTGGCTTAAGGAATGCTTTAATTTTTAGTGTCACTAAACTCTGCTAATGTTAAAGCAGTGGGAACTTCATATGAATATCAGGATTACATGAGGCACTAAAGAAATAAGTACCTAGTTCTGATGCCACAGACTGGGAAAAAGCCCAGGGGTTGAGGTGGGGGCAGTTGACTAATAGGGAAGTGACCTCGGCAGGAAGGGTCAGAGGAGGAGGGGTGGGACAGTGCAAGGTGCATTGGGCTCATTCTGACAATGCTTTGAGATGCACTTTGATCCTTGTAGCTTCCCATTAAGAACAATCAGTGGACCCTGAAGTCTAATAGCAGTCCATTCATCTTCCAAAAGACTCCCTCCTGGTCACTCAGCTCTCTGTAGGAGGGATTTCCCACCCGGAGCACAGTCCACCGGGGAAGGGGCTTATCTCTTTTCTTTTTTAGGTGCCTGCTGTTGTTTCACTAACTCAAGAGGGTAGACCAGGGAACACAGCTATCAGCAGGTTTCCTCTGCTTTTACTCTTTCGGTTAGTCTTCCAGAGCACAAACAACTGATCCTGGGGTTTAAAGAGTCTGTTCAGTTAAGAAGTTTCCCTATATGATTATTTCATAAAGTGATTCATATTTCAAAAGTGATTTCATACTTTTATTCCATCACTTGTTTTCCTCCATATTCTAGGTAACCCTATTCAAATACTATATGGTTCCTCACTGGAACTTCTACGGTTTGTGTTTTCAGGTGGAAAGCTAAGCACTAGGTATACATTAGGCCTTAAAAGAAAACAGCTGAAGCAATTGGACAAAATGATGGAGACTAATAGGAGGAAAGCTTAATTAAGGATAATTTTTTATCAAGGCAAATAACATTGATTCATTTTCTCTTCTTTGTGCACGGACTATGATCTTTAATTATTTATTTATTTGTCCTGTTTTCCTCTCCTCTGGATCCCATTCCCCATGATGGAGACATCACACATGCTTCACGTGCTGCAGACCCAGCACTCAACTCAACATCAGGAACTAGAGAGGACTTGGTAAATAGTCACTAAATGACTGAGTTCACGTTATGTTAGCAGATGTGTAATCTCCAATTTCACACATGTATGTATATGCCCATTGACATTAGGTCAGACTATTCAGAGATCCTTTAAGTTTTTTTTCTTGCTTCTAATTAGAAAGTTGAATGTAATCCACTCTACTTTTGAGGGCCTTTAAAACTGGAGAAAAAATGTTCTTCAAAAAAAAAAAAATCAACCTGGCAAAAGGAATCACACTCAGAACTGAGGTAGAATCATCCAGTTCACACTATTTTCCAAGCAAGAAAATCTTCTTTGATTATTTGAACAGTTTCCTGACTAAAGCCCAATATTTTCAGATGTGGGTCTGATGTTTCAATTCACGTGTTCACAGCAGGAAGTAGTGCTGTAAGATCCTCATCCCATGAAGGAGTCTGCTTTAGCTGGATCTTTCCATTTCACTACAGAATGAAGGTTCCTAGCACGACCACAGAGAGGTGAAGTAGCAATTGGCTCTCTCTTCACATTTCACTACAAGCATTGGCTTCCAACATGAAAAGGCAGCAACAGCATGTCATTGTTTTATTTCCAGAGAAGGAGATGGAAATTGATTGAGGGGCTGTGAAGTTGGTCCTATAAGGAAGTGGAACACATACAGAAACCTGTTCAGCTGGACACCACATCCGGCAGAGTTGAGCCTGCCTGCTGTGCACTTAGGAATGGTATAGCTGGGTTAATGATAAATTGAAAAATTTAGTCCCTTTCACAGTGCTAGGGCATTGTAGTTAGCTTAGATTGGAAACAACCTGAGTTCAGCTCAGGAGTGATAGGGATTGCTTTCATCAGAATCAGCCAGATGTGGGCTACCCTGTAGGTGGAGGATGGCTCTATTGCTGGAGAAACACCCCACACATGTACCACCCTCTGAGAGGACCCGAGTGGACTTATAGCTCTAGTGTATCGTTGCTTTATTTTTGTCTTTATTCTGCAGGGCATTGCTTTATATACTCCTCACCAGGCCCACTTTGCTGCACCATGACAATCATCGTTTGCTGAGTGATGCTTGTGGTGGTACAGCTGTGCATTTACAGCCCCTCAGTCCATGATTTGAGCAGTGGCATCCAGCTGGAGTACTCTGAGGGGTTCGGTTCTAGGCATCTACTTTCAATGTTTCAAAGAGTCTGCCTCAGAATGGAACTTTTATCCCAACCAAAGCACCAACCACCTCTAATGCACCTCAAAAGCAAAAACAACCCTACATTTGATGCTAGTTTTAAATTTCTATTTCTCTCAACTTGCATACTCAGTTGCATATTTTTGTTTGTTTTTGATTTTTGTTTGTTTCTTTGTTTGTTTTTGAGATGGACTTTCATTCTTGTTGCCCAGGCTGGAATGCAGTGGTGCGATCTCGGCTCACTGCAACCTCTGCCTCCTGGGTTCAAGTGATTCTCCTGCCTCAGCCTCCCAAGGGTAGCTGGGATTACAGGTGCCCGCCACCATGCCCAGCTAATTTTTGTATTTTCAGTAGAGATGGCGTTTCACCATGTTGGGCAGGCTGGTCTCAAACTCCTGACTTCAGGTGATCCGCCCGCCTCAGCCTACCGAAGTGCTGGAATTACAGGTGTGACCACCGTGCCTGGCCGCATATGTTTTTGAGTATTCAATATAAACATAAATTAATGATTAATAGACATCATTCCTAAAATAATGACTTTTTTTTCTATTTTTGAGATGGAATCTCGCTCTGTTGCCCAGGCTGGAGTGCAGTGGTGCGATCTCGGCTCACTGCAACCTCCGCCTCCCGGGTTCAAGCGATTCTTTTGCCTCAGCCTCCCGAGTAGCTCGGACTACAGGCAGGAGACACTATGCCCAGCTAATTTTTGTATTTTTGGTACAGACAGGGTTTCACCATATTGGCCAGGCAGTCTGGTCTCGAACTCCTGACCTCATGATCTGCCTGCCTCAGCCTCCCAAAGTGCTGGGATTACAGGCGTGAGCCACCGCACCCGGCCAACAATGTTTTTTTAAAGGCTTGTTTTTCAACCTTTACTGGGTATTTACCATATGTCAGACCGTCTGTCACATGCTTTTTGTAGCAACCCTATGAAAGGCAATATATTATCAGTTCCGTTGTATGAGTGAGAAAATTGAGTCACAGAGAGGTTAACTAACCTACCCTAAGACCTACAAACTTTGGAGTCAGAATTTGAATGCAGGCAGTCTGACTCAGGAATTCCTATGTTGAGTATGAGTTCCATGAAATAAAAGGGAGGAAAGTTATTGAAAGATATTAGATAATAATAATCAGTTTTAAAGGTTCCAGACTTGTATAAATAACAGGTAGGTTACTTGCTCTTTACCATAAAGCCAATATTCACAAGCTTATTTAATAATGCTAATAGGTGAACAGCAAATATCAAGGGGTTAGGAAATTATTCTTAGAAACTCTAGTTTAGAAGTCAGTCTTGGACCCTTTGGATGTCATGTCTTTGACAGGCAGTTTGCAGATATGCAGTTAAGTTTAACAGGAGCAGTGCAGAAGCATCTGGAATCAGGACGCTATGCCAGGAAAGCCTGAGAGCCTACAGAGACCTAAAGAAAGAAAAAGAGAATAACTAAGGTATTCAGCTCCTAGAGTCAGCTGCTTTCAGAGGCAGGTTTCCCTGAGGAGGTTTCCAAAGCAGTATGTTAAACTGTATTAATGTCAAAAGGTAAAGGAGAAGCCTGGTTTCCAGTTCAGCTCTGGAGTTCCCTTGGCTGGTGAAACAAGTACAGGTCCCCTGCCATCAGCCTTCAGCATGTCAGCAATTTTTTGCATTGCTTATTCAAATGCATCTTCAACTCTCTTGGAAAAAATTCCCCATTTTCCCTCATTATTTTCTTTCTCATTTTCACCACAACACCTTTTAAATATTTTTTTTTTTTTTTTTTTTGAGACGGAGTCTTGCTCTGTCACCCAGGCTGGAGTGCAGTGGCGTGATCTCGGCTCACTGCAACTTTCGCCTCCTGGGTTCAAGCGATTCTCCTGCCGCAGCCTCCTGAGTAGCTGGGATTACAGGCAGCTGCCACCATGCCCAGCTAATTTTCGTATTTTTAGTAGAGATGGGGTTTCACCACATTAGTCAGGCTGGTCTTGAATTCCTGACCTCATGATCCATTCGCCTCGGCTTCCTACAGTGCTGGGATTACAGACATGAGACACCACGCCCAGCCAATAAATGATTTTTATTTGTGGCCTTGTTTGTGCCTTCATTTGTTCTTTTCAAAGCTCACTGATTTATTCATTAATTCATCCAACACCTCTCCCATCTCATCCCATATTTATTGGCCACTTTGTGCCAGGCCAGTGTACTTGGTTCTAGGGCCAAACATGGACAATGTGTTCCTGGCACGCTTCTTCCCCAGCCCCTGGGTCCTCACATTGTTGGCACTGATGCAGCCTCCATCCAGGGCAGGCATATGTGGCAATTTTGCATTCTCTGCAACAGCATTACTGACTTACTCGTGTTCAATCAACTCTCACTCATTCCTTCACTCAGCTGCTCTCTTGTTGATGTTAGGGAGAGTAAGTTGAGTGACCTAATTCCAAGCTACCTGATCATCTTGTAAGCTTCAAAGAGTGGTGACTACAATTTATCAAGCTCTTTCATGAGTCTCATTTCATATGCTCCTCAAAACAACAATATATTGAGTGGGAAAAAATCTAATTTCAGAATAATGTATATATTGTGGGTATTATTTGGTAAAAATGAAATTCCACCATATTTATTTATCTATGTTTGTATGAGTATGGAGAAAGGGTAGAAGAATATACATTAGTAATAGAATGTGTATTGCCTATAGCAGAAGAGTGGTAATGGAGGGGGTAAGGGAGAAAATTGTCTTTGCTTTTATTTGGCTTTGTTAGGTAACAGGTGTTAGCACCTGATTCATTAGGTAAAAAAAGCATGCATTATTTCTGCAATTTAAGTAATAACAAATAGTTGGTTTTTTTTGAGTTGGGGTCTCATTATGTTGCCCAGGCTGGTCACAAACTCGTGGGTTCAAGCGATCCTCCTGCCTCAGCCTCCTCAGCAAGGATTACAGTTGCACACCAACATGCCTGACTCTAATATAAATTTTACATTAAAAAAATTAATAATCCTATGAGGTTGAGACCAGCAATTCCTCATTTTTATGGTTGAAGAAACTGAACCTGGGGGAAAGCCAGTATCTGCTCAGGTGACAGGGGCAGTAGCAGGCAGAGCCGGGCTCCCTTCCAGATCTTCTGGTTGAGAGCAAGATTTCTGCCCCTGGCAGCTGTATCCTTTCTGTAGAACAAGCACATTGCAACTTATTAGGATTTAGGGCAGTGTACCAAAGCAACATGAAATGCTCTGGGACCAGGGGATAAGACATTTTGACTGAAAGGACTGACTGTACACCTGTTGGCTCTAAGAGTGAGGACAGCCACCAGGTGGAAGACACCAAGGTCTTTATAACCCTTTCAAGGTTTCTCCTTCTGAATCCAGATCCCCTGAGAGCTCATGGCTATCATCAGATGGCTCTCAGGCCACAGCACCCAGCTCTGGCACAAGGAAGTAGGTTAAGGGTGACTCTTATTTGTAGGTATGGATAATTTTGCATTGTGAGTACCTAGTTGGAAGATGCCATAAGATATTTTCTGACCTGATTCTCTGTTTTGAATAGCTTTTTATATTTTATGCCAGTAAAAATTAATTTATATACTGAGGAGTCTTTACTTTCTCCATGGAAGGCTCTTTGAAAAGAGGAGTGATTTTATAGTGGTGACATCCCACAGTGGTCAAAGAAATTCAGTGCACCTGTAGTTGGGCAGGTAAGCAGCCAGAAAACTTTGGCACTTCAAGCAGTCTTGCCAGAACACCAGAAAGTCCAACAGGTGGAGCAAAATTAAACTTTTACGTGGTTCAATTTCTGCTTTGTATCACATTCAAAGAAAAAAACGTCTGGGAGAAAAAAATATAGCATAGATTCAGATGTATTCCATGTTTCTTAAATACAGTGTTGTATTTAGTGCTTTTCACAAGTGGCCGGAGTGGAGGATGCAGATGCTTTCTTAATGTTAAGCTGAATTTCTTAATTTCATGTTTAGAGATCATTGTCTTTCTCCTCCTCATTCCATGCCCTGCAGCAACTCCCAAGCAAGATTTCTCTTCTCTCTCCAGCCCATGGTCTCCCCTTGACACTCATCCTGCCTGTCTTCCCCATCTCTTTTGTCATTCTCTGTCTCCTTATGCCAAGTATGCCCTCAGATCATTTTCTCCTTCTCCATTCCTGTGTCACCACTGCTGTCAATTACCTCCCTTGCTACACAGTGAGAAGTGGCTTCCACTGGGCTTGCTATTCTCTTAAGAATCAACTTCACGCTGCCTTGGCCAAATCCCTCTTCCACCCTCTCAAACTCTCTAGAATTCTGGCTGACGGAACTTTTCATCTCACAAGACTAAATTTCATCTTTAAAGCCCAAGGTATAGAACCATAATCTGGTAGATTACGGTAAATAATCAAAGAAAAGTGGAGCTGCTTCAGCTGGCAACTGCATCAAGGAAGGTTTCCATGGTTGCTCAGGTTACCCCTTTTCCATTCTTGCATTACTAGGTGGAAGCTCTGTCCATTGATTGCACATGTTTTGTCCAAGCAGGCCTGGGGGAAGCTACTTGCCTGAGGGGTCAGTGAAGGTTTGTTCCTGCATAGATGGGCTCATTGTAATCACATTAACTCTCAGCACTTCTTGGGTGTTTCTCTTGCTCTTTTTGATGGAGCTAATGCCCATTATACAGAGATGTGAGACTCAATAGGGTGTTTTACATCAGTGTTTCATATTTTGCAAGACAGCAAAAATAGAGAAGAATGAAGGCCTTGAACATAGTGACAGATCCTCTTGGGATGAACCAATACAAAATTCATTATTTTCCCCACCTATTGTTCTAGTATTTATTCTAGGCATGGGAATATGTATGTATGTATGTATGTATGTATGTATGTATGTATGTATGTATGTATCTAGCTAGCTAGCTAGCTAGCTATCTTGTTCAACTAATGCTTTCTAGGAAACCATTGTTGAAATCTAGGGAAAAAATGGTAATAGAAAAATATCACTATTGCAAATAGATGTATAATTCTCAAATTCCATAAATTAAGCAAAACAGGAAGATTGTTATTTATTTTCTTCTTTTACAAGTCCCATAACCTTGTCATGTAAGCACATGTCTCCACATCTGCAGGTGGCTAGGATTCCTCTTAGCTCTAGTCCAAGTGTTGTCTGGGAACCCCCAGTCAGCCCACACATAGCAGGAAAGCATCCATGCACGTATGCTTTGGATGAGTGTTACAGAGGATTCACCAGGCTTTGTTTTGTGCTGGTCAGGTTCTAGTGCAGGGGTCTCCAAACTTTTTGTTAGTGTGTATTCATGCACAAATTAATGTATGGATAAAAATCAATGGAGATAGGAAATAAAATTTTTCTTCCTATCCGTCAGTGGATCATCTTGTGCACCATTTGGGATCACTAGTCTGTTCCCTTGTTAATTACACATGTGCAATTAACTTCATCTCTTCAATGAAGAGGGTAGGTGGCCAGTCATTGGAAACATTGTGCATGTGTGAAAGCAAACAGCATGGAGCATTTACCGGCACCCGTGGAAGATGCTGCTCTAAGGCCCCTGGAATACTACAGTTCTGCTAACATCCTGGAAGCTCTGTGATCCCATGAGCAGTTGCCCAGGAATTTTTGATGACAAGGAGGGGAGAATCTATGGAACAGTTGATTATTTTGATGTGTTTGAATAAAGTTTTTTACCTTTAGATGGCTTAGCCATAATCATTTGAAAGACAATTGAGAATGTCCTAGTGTCATTTTTTCTGCTTACAGATTTTACCCCATTTTACTAGATAATATCCCACCACAAGTTGATTACTGCAAAATGAAGAGATTGGGATTGTGACAGCAGTACAGCCCTAGATGCTGTGACCTCCAGGGCAGGTGCCCCAGCTTCTAGCATGGGGCTATGCTGGGTGGCCACCTGGGCCACCACTCAGAGGCTGCCCCCTTTGCTCCTACCCTCAGGGAAGTGTTAGGCAGAAATGAATAACACAAAAAGTGGGTCCAATGTGAAGTAACGAAGCCTGTGAGAGTAGAGAAAAACAGAGAGAAGTGTTTTGAGGGGAAAAGGTCTCAGAATACAGATGAGGCAAGAGCCAGCGAGCATAATTAAGCCAAAAGCCTTGGGCCTTTGCCCAGAGCAGCATTGCAATCGCTCGGTTTTTTGGACTGGGAAACCTCGGTTAACTATTCCCATTTCCCAACCTCAAATGGCTCCTAACTACTGCCACTCTGTGGCTTACAATGAAGTAAGGAGAATAAGTTAAACTTTATGAATCTATAAAATATGTTAATAAATTGCCTGTTAAGTAGGTAATTGTCCCTGGCTGGAAAACCTAGAGCAGAGGCAGGTGCTGTGAGGATGAGAAGCACATTTGACATCTCATCTGTCCAAGCAGGCCTGGGGGAAGCTACCTGACTGAGAGGATCAGTGAGGGTTTGTGCCTGCACAGATGGGCTCATTTTAATCATATTAACTCTCAACACCTTGAGGGTGTTTCTCTTTCTCTTCATCTGTGGACTTCAGCTTTCCTTAGTTGATTATAGGTTGGTAACAGTAAAGACAAAGGTAAGAAGAGCTGGTCCCTTATAACAGTCTGGGAGACTCTGACCTACTCGCAGCCCCAGCCAAAACAGAGGGCATTTCTCAATCTCTTGGAGAAACAACTCAGAGACCTGGCAGGTCACAATACATCTTTGTTTATCAAAGATACCTCA
Organism: Homo sapiens; assembly: GCF_000001405.40. Classification (NCBI taxonomy): domain Eukaryota; kingdom Metazoa; phylum Chordata; class Mammalia; order Primates; family Hominidae; genus Homo; species Homo sapiens. The sequence goes on along the minus strand of NC_000008.11, from coordinate 61,414,489 downwards.
TTCTGTCCCCACTTTGTGCCATTAAAAAATCTCAGCTCAATATAAGTAGAAAAAAAGAATGGAAAAATATGAAAAAAAAAAAACAATTTCGGTAAATTCCAAGTGAAGCTGCAGTGCCCTTTTCTGTCTTCTTCATCTTTAATAACCTATTTATTGTTGAAAATCCCCTGGCATATCCAACTTCAGCCACGGAGACTTTCTTAATTCTAATCACACCAACTCTCACGTTATGCATTCCATTCTCAGAATTTCATAGCAACTTGGGAATGCCTTTATTATCATACACTCAGTTTTCTTTGTAATTATTTGTTCATATATCTATCTTTCTTACAAGGGTGTGAGCCACTTTGGGGCAGGAAGCCAGATTTATTTTTCCCTCCCCTCATTTAATTTTATTTCATGTTGTTCTTATTACCATTTTTGGGCACACACCATACTCACATCCCAATATCTGTTGATTGTCTAGGTCCTCCAGGCTAATTTATTAATCAGTTGTCTGAAACTAGAAATGCAGTTCCCTGTAAGTTCAGTGCCCAGAATAGCAATCACATTTCTGGAATCATCAGTAACTCCCTGAAAATATATATTTGGGATTAAGGAGGCACCTGTGCATTAGCCATTGTAGGGTAAATGCCTCTGGTGGCAGTACCTTGAACGTATCCTTAGAATGGCCCTGCATGGCAGACACACCTGAATGTTAGTCCAAGCTAGAGAATCTGGGAGTAGCCAACCCACAGATTTGTTCCTTGTCTATGAGGAACACCTGAGCCCCCAGTCCATCCCATGAAACACAAGCCATACAAGGAATTGAAGCCTTGAGTTTTGGGTTACATGAAGGTTGCCAGATGGAGGTTGTTAAGGGGAGGGTGTTAAGGGAAAATACTATATAAACTGCATGCTGTTTGTAATCAGTTGCAGTTTTTCTGCCCGGCCTGCCACCACTGGACTGTAGGTAAGGGGACGATCGTGTCCATCCCACTGCTGCTGGATCATTTCTGTAATTAATGCGGTTCTCCTGTCCAGCCCACCATCTCTGGACTCTTTCCCCTGTATGTAAGCCTTGAATAAAACCCCATGTCTCATTAGCTGGCTCTGGGTCTCTTCTTTGGCCTCTTGAATCTGGTACCTTTCCTGCTGAAGTTAATAGGGGTTCAGGACAACAGCCATGAATAACCAAAAACAACTGTATTGCAATACTAATGGAATATAATATATTCTTTGTATTTTGTGAATATTACTGTAGCATATGAGTTGCCCATAAAATAAATCTTCTACCAGGGGTTTCAAATAGAACTCAAATGGGACTGGGATATAGATCTTGGGCTGGGCTCCACCCTCTCAGTACTAAGTGAAATGCTACTTCTCCAGACTCGCTAATTTCAAAGGCCTCAACAAAATAACAAGTTGTTTACCACAGCACTTAGGGATCATTCATACATAGATTAAATCAAAATATTAAATCCAAAAATGCACCAAAGCTTCTAAACATAAGTCAGGAAGGCAAAAATTGAAGAGGAAATAAGCATCCATTATTAGCGTGGGGGAAAAACTAGTATAATCAAAGGAGAATGAAGATTTGCAATTTAGTGACCTCTATGGTGATTCTGATAGGAAGGTTTAGGAAAAGCTAACAAATTTAGAGCTTCTTAATACCAGTTCTTGACTCATTAGCTGACATTCAAGGTCCTCTAAAAAGGTAACTCAAACCCAGGTCTTAGCCTAATTTCTCACTACCTCCCCTTCTGTGTGGTTTAGTCTTAGCTAAACTGGCTCCTGTTGTTCCTGGAACACGTGTGTCTGCTGGGACTGTTGTTACATTACCAGTGGAGGTGCAACGGCAGAGAAGCAGGAGGCTGCCCCATCTCCGGTTGTTACAAGATGCACTGCCAGCATACCTGAGAGCACGTGAGCTGTGCACAAGTAAGGAAGATTCTTGAATGCCATGGAATGCCTCCCAGCCCCACCCCTACCAGTAATCCCTTCTTATAGCCACAGTAGATACCTATACAGAGCTTCTGACATAATTCAACCTATTTTCTGAGGTCTGAGTGAAAGCCTGAGTCAAATCCTCCTCCTCCCAAAGTCTCCACTGAGACCCCCACAACATGTGGTCATTTGTTTTTTTCAAACCTTCACAGTACTTTGTTTTTGCTTTTTCTTTGATTTGGTCCTGTCCCTGTGTTTCTGTGGTTGTCAGTACATATCTCATAGTATGTGTGCTCTTTTTTAACATTTAACGTTTTTATTAGAAATAATGAAAAATGTATGTCTTAATTACTGGTATATATATTCACATCCTCCACCAAATCATCACTTTCTGTAAGGATGGAACTTTGCCTTTCCCATCATTTTATCCCCAGGACCTAGTGTGGTGTGAATGCTGAAGAAATATTTGCTAATGTGTGTTAAGATGATCACTGCTAGGAAGAGGCCAGGCCTCCATCCACTGGCCAGCCCTGGCCTTCACCCTGTCTCAGTGAAGGCTTCCCTGCCCCTTGGGCCTTTTTCCCGGTTTCCAGCACGGAGTACTTGGCCCACCTCCACCCTCACAGTATGTTATAGGAAGGGATGAGGGTGACCCTCAGATACCCAAAATGCCCAAGGTGGGTTGTGGTGGGTGCTGGATTTGCATCTTCTGATCCAAATGCCCAGGCCACTCCCAGACTCTGAAGCACCACATGGGGCGACATCTCTGCTGCATGACAGCCCTGAACTAGGGACTGAGAAGAGAAGGAAGGTGACCCACCATGGGAGGCCTCAGGATGAAAGGCCAGGGCTCATCCAGTAAAGGAGGTTTGCCAGGGCTCCCACTCCTGTGACCTGTGACCACAAATGTGACAGGACTATCCCTCTTTAGAAGTACCCACAGAGAAAATGCTGTCAGTGCCTGAGGTTCTTAAAAATGACTACAATATTACTAGTCCTGGAGAGCTGCTGCCTCGGCATAGGGTTTTTGAAGTTTTCTTCCTGTGTGTTTAATTTATTTCTCTATCTTATCCCCCTTCTCTCTCTCTGCTCCTGCAGTCTCTTCTCTATCTTCTCTCTCTCCTTCTCTCTATCCCACCCAGCCTCTGTCTCCACTGCTCAGAAAGGGGAGGAAACATAGAGCCTTGCTTCTGTGTTAATTTCTCTAGCTGTCAGGGGCTTACCTGTCACTTCACAGCACAGGGCCAGGGTGGGCAGAGGCTGCCTTGCAGACAGGAGGAATTCAGTGCTTTGCTCAAAGCCAAGCAACAACCTCTGGAACCTGAACAACGACTTTTTTATTTTTTCTTTTTCCTTATGTCCTTTATGTTTATTTCTCCTACACACATTCTTGGAAGCATATATTTCTATAGTGAATCTACAAAAACTTAATGATTATTTGCTCTCCAGAACAACTTGTAGGATTTGGATCCAACAGCCTAGAATGCAGATATAGGTCCCCCACATGTGGAAGCTTTAAAAAGCACTGCATTTGTCCATCTGACAAATAGGAGGAGAGCACAAGCGTAGGAGGAGAACAAGGTTCTCAGTGCCCACAAATGTCAGTTTTAATAATGAAATTTGTCTGGATGTGGTGGCTCACACCTGTAATCCCAGCACTTTGGGAGGCTAAGGCAGGCGGATCACTTGAGGTCAGGAGTTCAAGACCAGCCTGGCCAACATGGTGAAATCCCCTCTGTACTAAAAATACAAAAATCAGCTGGTTGTGGTGGTTCACGCCTGTAGTCCCAGCTACTCGGGAGGCTGAGGCAGGAGAATTGCTTGAACCCAGGAGGCGGAGGCTGCAGTGAGCCAAGATTATGCCACTGCACTCCAGCCGGGGTGACAGAGCAAGATTCTGTCTCAAAACAATAAAAAATAAAAAAGGAAAAAGAAAAAGAAAGAAAGCAATCTGATGGAGTGGAGAGTGGGGCGGGTATGCAGAGAATAGAAGTAGAGCGAAGAAGGCTGTTCTGATGGAGGCCAAAAGGCTTCTGACCCAAGAAATTGCACAATGGGCTTTGGATAATCAACTCTATTTCTATTCACAGCAGATGGATTTGTATTATGTAGAATTATGTAAAGAAAGTCGATCTACCGGATGTTACAACTTATTTTTAAACCTCAATAATTAAAGCAGCATGGTATCTCTACATGAATAGACACAAGTATATATGGCATATGATGGAGATGGAAAGTATAATCAGAAGGGGGAAAATAAACGTTTCCATAAATTGTGTTGGAACGACTAGGCAGTCTCCTAGGAAACAAAAACAAAAACAAAAACAAAACATCTCACACTGTACAGTATGATAAACTGCAAATGGATAAAGAATTTAAGTGTAAAATGAAGCTATATAATTTTAGGAGAAAATCCAGAAGCTATGTAAGACTGATAAATACTACAACAAAATATCCTTTTACCTAGCAAAAACAAAGAAAAAAAAAAAAAAAAAAACCTCTGCAAGTAAAGCCAGGACAAATGAAAGAAAATTGAGAAACATTTGCAATTCATAGCACAAAAAGTGAATCTCCTTAATATAAGTTAAGAAAAACATAATAAAAAGATGGGAAAGGGATATTAGTAAAAAATTAGCAAAACAAAAACTACAAATTCCACTTAAACATGAAAAAATGATCCATCTCAATCATAATTAGAGAAATGCAAAATAAAATTTCACTGTGACATTTTTCATCTATCAGGTTGTCAAAAATCTAAGAGTGTAAGGAAACATTCTATTGGGTAAGTAGACATTCTCATACATGATTGGCAGTAGAGGATACTTTAGCGCACCGTCCCCCCAACCATGGACTTACCCAAATTGCAAACGGATAATTTTAATTTACACAAAAATCCCTCTTCTGAGAACTTGTAGATAATTGTACATGTGCAAAATGATGTTATGAACAAACATTCACTGCTGCATTGGTTGTAGTAGCAAAAGGGTGGAATTAGACTAAATATCCATTTATAAAGGACTGTGTTTAACAAATTGTGGTACATTTATTTAATGGGATACTATGCACATTCAAAAGAAATAAGGAGGGAGTTCTCTATGGGCTGATGGGAAAGATTTCCATTCTCTGAAATACTATGCTGAAATCCTTAAGACATACTGTTTAAATAATAAGGCAAAGTGTACAGCACTATATATAATATGAAATCTTGTATAAAAAAGAGGAGAAATAACAATATATACTTCTGTTTATGTAACACAAATAAACAAAGACAAAGAAACTAATAAAAAGTTACCCTTGTGGAAAAGAAGGATGGAAATGAAGTAGAAACATTTTGCTGACTACCTCTTTATATCATTTTGATTTATATGCCTTGTGAATGGATTACCTATTCAAAAATGTTTATATATTATATGTGTCAGTCATATTGAAATATGTCTGATTTTAATAGTCTCACCAAATTGTCCTTTTTAAGAAAATCAAAACAAAACTCAAAATGGTTTTTTATAAATTACCCTGTCTCTTTTTCTTTTCTGTTCCCCTTAGGGCTTTTAAGCCTGATATATTTCTTCCTTTGACTTAGAGAAGAAGATTAATAACGATGCTGATGAGTGGCCTGAGGATTTGAGGTGTTCTGTCAACAATATGGAGACCATCGTTTCCCCATAAACTCTAGGTATCTATCTTTGAGATGCCAACTTTTCTTAATGCACTGAGTGTTTTACTCTATAGATCACTGTTCTCAACCTGCTAATAACACTCAAGTATATCAACAGCTGTCATGTTTCAGCCCAAGAGTGACTGAAGGTAAAAGGTAATGTGTCTCCCCAAGATGACTAGCACTGGGAGTTCCAGGTATTTTAACCCTGGCCTTGACTATAAATTGCTCTTACAGGCTAGAGCTTACTTTCTTCACTTATAAACAGTGGTTTATAAATTGTTTGATTTAATACTGCTTCCATGTAAAATATAAGAACTCCTAAATACAGCTAAGTAGATAAAACCAAGTCTAATTTGCTAGAGGCACACAAAACCCAGTCCCCTGGCCTGGTGGGTTGATTTCCAGGTCTGGAGAAAAGAAGTAGATCATATTCTAACATCATGTAGTAAAGACTTGGGGCAGGTGAGTTGGGCAGCTAGGGGAAGGAGAAAGCTTCCACTTGCCTGTCTTTTCAATCGAATCTCTTTTAACTATTTTTCTAAAGGCCTTTGCACTTGCCTTTTCCCCTGTCTTGAAGTTCCACCCTGGTTCTTTGCATGTCTGCCTTCCTCATGTCATTTAGGGCTAAGCTCAAATTTCACCTCTTGAGATGTACTTCTATTGCTTCCTTACATCCTCTTGTTTTGTCTTCTTGCTATCACTAATCTCTGAAATGGTCTCATTCATTCATTTGCTTACTTGTTTATCATTTATTGTCCCTTTTCTCCCTACCGCCCAATGGACCGTAAACTCCAGAAGGGCAGGGCCCTGTCTATCTTGCCTCCCACCTGTTTGAAGTGCCTGGACCGGTGTCTGACTTTTGTAAATACTAGTAAGACCTTTGTAAATACTAATATAAAGAAGTGGAATATCAGGGCTCAGATCTGATGAGTTTTGTACACAAAACTTAGCAAATGAAAAACACTTAACAAATCCTCATCCAGTGAATAAGTACATTTAAGTCGTCTCTCCATTAGACATGAATGTTGTCTTTTGAAACACTTGAACTGGCAAAGAAAAGACTCTGGCTTGGCCCTTACTTCTTGTTGATCACCCTTTTCTACCACACTTAATACAATTATTGAGATCCCTGAAATTCAGAATTAAAAAAGAATTCTCTCATATTTTTAGTATTGTTTAAAAGCTTCAATATGCATTATAAGGCATATTTAACTTAAACGGCTTATTTAATTACTTATTTATTGAACATTCAATTTCTTTCTTGAGAATCAGTGGAACTTGTACTAAAGTGAATCTATTTTTCCTCCAATAATTGATTTAAAAATCAGTTGCACAAAATTCGTTGTCACCCACAATGAAATGTTTCTTTACCTGCTTTATTTTAATTTTCAAATGTCATTTTTATAAGTGTGAAAATAGGTTTTATAATTGTATAAACTAGAGTTTATTGATGTGTTGATTTAGCAAATCCTAACCACAAGATTACATTTACAATATTAATAGTCTGTTAGGCATAATTACATTTGAAAATACTAATATCTGTGCTTTTTAATGAGGTTTAACATCCCTTTTTAGAAATAACACTTTCCTTCTTGAACACATGTCCTCTTCTGATGAGGGGAAATTACAGATGATGGACCAGGCTTTGAAAGGATGAATAAATATCTACCGTGTGTTTAGGTATGTTCTAGCCATGGTGCTGAGTATTCTTCATATGTTAGGCATCAACCAAATGTTCTCTGGAGTTTTCTGCCCAGCACTCAGCCTATGAGGAATTCCCCTTGTGGGATTATTATGTGCGATGTAATGTACACCATGAGATGATCCCTTAGGTAGCTAAATCCCTTTGATCTGTGTCTAAGATAAATCTTATCCTATTAAAATGATCACTAATTATAATGAAGTTCAATATACCTAGTAAAATCCTTAAAACTACTGAATCTTGTCCTTCAGAGAATTTTTGATTAGACAATTTTACCTAGAAAGAATTTTATGTCGGCCTGGCGCGGCAGCTCGCACCTGTAATCCCAGCACTTTGGGAGGTTGAGGTGGGTGGATTGCCTGAGCGCAGGAGTTTGAGACCAGCCTGGGCAACACAGTGAAACCCCATCTCTACTAAAAATACAAAAAATTAGCCGGGAGAGGTGGCGTGCACCTGTAGTCCCAGCTACTCGGGAGGCTGAGGCAGGAGAATTGCTTGAACCTGGGAGGAGGAGGTTGCAGTGAGCCGAGACTGTGCCACTGCACACCAGCCTGGGTGACAGAGCAAGACTCCATCCCCCCCCCCACAAAAAAAACAAATCTATGTCAAACCTCCTGGAATCATGTGAATTAATCAGAAACTAGCTTACATTTTCTTCCTTCCATTCCTATGATTATACATTAAATATTTTTGCCTTGGAATTTTATGATAATGATTATGGCTTAAAAATCACTTTTTAGATTAAAGGAGCTGGAACGCAACTTATTGCTAGCCTATGTAGTGAATTAGTTTAAAAAGAAGAGCTTTCTTGAAGTACAGAGGAGGTAAAGTAATGGGTCATGAACTTATTTTTATCACTATTTCTTTTCTTCTCTAAATTCACTGATCTGTTCTGACAGGTATTGTTTTGTAGAATGGTTTGGAGTTTACGTGAGGAATGTATTGAATGGTTGAAATATCTAAACTGGGAGAAGTAATGGAAATTGAAGAGAAATTACTGCTTTTAGCTCAGACACAATTGAGCAATGAGTTACAATTTGGCCTCCATCTTACTTACAAACAGGACATAGTTAGGAGCTTTAATGCTGTAGAGTGTTTGGCTGATAAAATGGACTCTCATACGTTTCAGAGGGAAGTGTGAATTATTTAGGTGGACCTTACTTGCAAGGCAATTTGTTAATACATGTCAGGCACCTTAAAGTATTTTTATAGACTTTGACTCAAGAATTTGAAGTACACAAAAATTAGTATATGCAAAGAAATTTCTATATAGCAGTCATTCTTAAATTGTGGTCTGCCATCTGCAGGGATCCATGAGACCACTTTAGAGGTGCCACAGGGTCAAAACTATCTTCATAATGATATTGAGTTATCTGCCATTTTCACTGTGTGGTCATTTGCACCAGTGGTGCAATATAAATTAAGACAGTGGCACCTGACTATGCTAGATCTCATCTTCCACAGTGCCTTGCCCCAGGAGCAAAAAAAAAAAAAAAAAAAGTCAGTTCCACTTATCAGTGTATTGATAAATTAGTAAAACACAGTAACATTATTAAATTTTGGCCCTTGACTACCCATCTTTATTTATTATGTTTTGTAGAGGGGCCCTGTTATGTTACTTAGGCAGGTCTCAAACTTCTGAGCTCAAGTGATCCTCCTGCCTTGGCCTCTCAAAGTGCTGAGATTACAGGTGTGAGCTGCTGCACCTGGCCAGAATACACATATTTTTAATATTCTGTCGAAGAAATGGGAAGTACACATGAAGCACTTCTCCTGTACACTAAGTATGATTGTTGTCTTGCAGAAATGCCCTTGTGTAATGGCTTGAATTGGGAGCTGAACTAGCTGCTTTTTACACTTAAACACCATTTCAATGTGAAAGAATGACTAAAGGGCAAACTAAGGATAATCAGACTTGGGTTTGTGGCAGATGTTTTCTCCAATGAACAAACTGACCCAGTTACTTTAAGAAAAACAAGTAATGGAGTTTTTAAATGAGCTAATGGACATACGACTCTATCAATCAGAGCAGTTAGGACTAGAGACAAGACTAGGATAGTGCCTAATAGAATTATTTTAAATGAATTGGTGCATATATTCACTACCCCCCAGAGAGTTCTGCATAACATTCAAACATACTCAGCAGTGCATTGTTGGTGACTCAAGCAGCAGCTGTTTCCCCTGAGCCCACATTGAGTGGAGCCACAGTTGGTTCTGGTGGCCAGCTCTCAGTCAGTGTTAACTGGTTGCTGTCAGCTACTCAGTCCCTCCCATCCTCTTTGCTAGATCTGGGGATCGAGCTTGACATAGAATCTCCTCCTCTGTAAACCATGGTGTTCATCTTGGGGCCCTTGTGGGAATGCTGAGCCCAGCATTTTGCTGACAGGTCTCTGAAGGGATGAGTACCAAATTCCTGAAGTTCTTATACCTAAGGTGCAGTAAGAGATTTCACTCTTCCATCCTCAAACAATATGCAACTGGCCTGGACAAATTCCCTCCCTGCAAATCCACCAGCCATTTCCCTCTCTTTAATTTATTCCTAAAAACCTGGTCTTTTATCTACCTTCGAGTTCCAATGTTTCCTCCTTAGCAGCTTTAAGGGGCTTTGCGTCTTGTCACTTGGTAGTCACTGTTTTGAAAAACTGTTTCCTACAATCTTTCCAGCAATGTTAGCTCTTACAATGTGAAATAATTGTACTGGATCTTTCACCTATTCATTATAGACAAAGATTTTACTTTTGAAAAAAAGTTCCCATGGGTATTGAAATGAAAATATGATCAAGAGGTGTGTGTATCAAATATAACTTATTCTTTGAATAAACATTTATTCAGCTTTCACTAATGAATCTTTGGGATAGATAAAAATAAAAATATAAGGTCTTTGCCCTCAAGAAACATACAATCCCAGGAGGCTGAGAGAAAAGTAAATGAATAGACTCACAGAATACTCTGGACAGTGTTGAGATAGAAATGTCAACTCTGGCTGCAGAGGGCTTGGAAAGAAGCTCCAAGCTGACCAATTGGCAAGGGATGCTTTTCCAGAGGAGCCTGACCTTCAAGGTCCCCCAAAATATGGCCCTAAGTCACCCATCCATATTTATCCGCCAGCAGCTCCATAAGAATCCTCACTCCAGGCAGGGTTCTGCTCACACTCACAAACTCACTCTGCTTATTCCCATTCTATGGGTCTTGCTTCGATTATTCATTATGTCTGGAATTCTCTCACAACACCATCTGTAGCCAAATAGCTCCTACTGTTCAATGCCCACTTCATTTCCTGAAGCCTTCTTGATCACACAGCCAACTCTTCTGCTTTCTCGAAGCAGCATTTCCCATTTCCTTGGGAAGCATTAAGTAGATATCCTTTCTACATGTTTTCGTGGAATCCTGTGCCAAGCTCTGTTTTAGTACATACAAATCCAACTGCTGAAGTCTTCCACTTGGAATATTTAATGTTTACAATGTGCAAAACTGAACTCCTGATCTCCCTGGGTCCATCCCCAGTCATTTTTACCTGAAGTCTTCACTCTTGTCCCCATCCTTTTCCAGTCTCCTAAGTAGTAGCCTCACTAAAATTCTGAATGCATCTTCAGCTCCTCTCATTTTTAAATATCACACATCCAATTCCAGTGGCTCAATTTTTAAATATATCCGGAATTTGTTGTCTTCCCACCACTTTCACTGTTTCCATCCCAATCTCAGCCACTAAAATAATCTCAAAACTAGCTTATTGCAATGGTTTCCTAACTGGTTTCCCTGCATCTCCTCTTGTACCTATGTCTATTCTTCACAAGCAGCCAGAGTAATCTGTTTAAAACACAAATTGGATTGCATCATCCTTCAGCCCAGAGCCCTCCAACTGTTTCCACTTTACTAAAACTGAATTCTTCCCAAGGCTGACAGGGCCTCCCACTCTCTGACCCATCCCATACCGCTATTCCCAGTCACTTTACTTTAGAACTAGAGCTTCCTTGCTATTCTGTGAATACTCTATGCATGATTCCATCCCAAGGCATTGCCCTGACTGTTTCTTCTATCTGGAACATTTTTCCCTCAATAGCTGTGTGGCCAACAACCTTTCTTCTTCCAAGTCTTGACTCCAATGTCACCTCAATAAGGCCAACCACAATGACCCTACTTTAAATTGCAACCCACTCTTATTCATACCCTAGTAGTTTCAATCACCCTAACCTGTTTTTTTAATAGTACTTATCATGTTTTAGCATTATATATGCACATGCCTGCATGCACGCATGCAAGCACGCACACACACTCAAACTACATTGTTTTTTTGTCTGCCTCTCCCCAGTGTATGTATGCACAATGTATCCTTTATCTGGGCAGACATTTTGGTCTTTTTTATTCATAGCTATATTCACAGCACTGCTAGGATAGATTCTGTGATAGTTTTCAACAAGAATTTGCTGAATAAATAATAAGTTATAGATTAAGTTGCACCACTCCCTTAGTAGACTACAAATTCCTTGAGCACATGGATTCTGAATCATTCAACATTATATACTCACCATCTAGCCCAGTACCTAGAATATTGTTAGCACACAATAATTGTTAACAAACGAGTCACTCCATCCACTGAACTACTGTCTATACTGTTCATTTTAGTATTTAATTATCTGTTTTTAATATCTCATTGAATCGTGTGTGTACGTTAACCGGTTGGTGAAACTTGGTTTATTGTGATCTCGGGCCACAGCTCTCACTTGTTTTGTATGTGAACCTGGCTGATTACTTAACATATGTCCTGCCATATTTTCTGAGTTGAATAGAATATATAATAACTGGTATTGGGGATTGTGGGTGAGGAGTATAAGGATCCCTAGGAAGATATGTCATAGAGCATTATTTCCAGGAATAGAGACAAACAAGTTCTGTGAGAACTCTAGCTTCCCACATCTTTTTTTTTGCTTGACATGCCTTTTAATTTGCCAATCATTTTTCCCCAAATTTACATTCCAGAGGCCCTAGAACAACTCCATTTGCCCTTAGGGTCTCTTGCTTTTTATGGCTGCTAAGAATTTTAGAATTGTGTCAGTATTTTTATTAATTTATGTATGCTTAATTAAAACATGGCATAAATCTCAACATTCATCCATCTGTCTGTCCATCAATTTACCGAGTGGGTTCCAGGCCTTGTGAATAAAAGATACCTAAGATTTCTTATAGGCCCTTGCCTATAAGAAATTTACTCTACTTGAAGAGGCAGAAACTTAAATCAACAATGCAGAGCAGTAAGTTTAATTCTAGCATGAAAATATGTGCATTATGTTATGAGAATACATAAGAGGGGAGCTTAAGCCAGATCTAGTGCATTTACATATTTTTTGAAATTACCAGCACTTGAGCTGTGCCTTGAAGTACAATTAGGAGGTGAAGAGTAGAGATAAAACAGAAGGAGCTTCCAGCTTTGTTCTTTTTACTTAGGATTGTCGTGGTTGGCTATTTGAGTTCTTTTTTGGTTCCATATGAATTTTAAAATAGTTTTTTTCTAAAACTGTGAAGAATGTCAATGGTAGTTTCATGGGAATAGTATTGAATCTATAAATTGCCTTGGGCAGTATGGCCATCTTCACAATATTTATTCTTCCTATCCATGAGCATGGAACATTTTTCCATTTGTTTGTGCCGCCTCTGATTTCTTTGAGCAGTGGTTTGTAGTTCACCTTGAAGAAGTCCTTCATTTCCCTATTTAAAGATTTTAAAATAAGGTGGTGGTGATTAACTGAACAAATGTGGGATAGAAGGAAACTTCTTCAAAACGATACAAGACATCTATGAAAACCCCACAACTAACCTCACACTTAATTATGAAAGACTGAAGGCTTTTCACATAAAATCAGGAGAAAGACAAGAATGTCTATTCTCACTACCTCTGTTCAACATTGTTCTCTCCAGGGCATTTAAGCAAGAAAAAATAAATAAGTAAAATGTATCCAGATTGGGAAAGAAAAAGTAAAATTATTTGTTTTCAGTTGACACAATCTAGTATGTATAAAATCCTCAGGAATCCAATTTTAAAAATGATTAGTACTAATAAGTCAATTCAGCAAAGTTTCAGGATAAAATATTAGTATACAAAAATCAAGTGTATTTCAATACACTAGCAATGAAGAATCCAAAAATAAAATTAACAAATTAATTTTATCTAAAATATCAAAAAGATACCAAAACTGGCAGAGAGAAAACAAAAAAGAAAACTTCAGGCCAATATCCTTGATAAATATCATTGCAAAAATCCTCAACAAAATACTGGCAAACTGAATCCCACAGCCCATCAAAAAGCTTATCTACCACAATCAAGTAGGCTTCATCCCTGGATGGAAGGTTAGTTCAACATATGCAAATCAATAAATGTGATTCATCACATAAACAGAACTAAAGACAAAAACCATGTGATTATCTCAATCGACACAGAAAAGGCCTTCGATAAAATTCAACATCGTTTCATGTTAACAACTCTCAATAAACTAGGTATTGAAGAAACATCCCTCAAAATAATAAGAGCCATATATGAAAAAGCCACAGCCAGTAGCATACTGAATGGGCAAAAGCTGGAAGCATACCCCTTGAAAGTTGGCACAAGACAAGGATGCACTCTCTCATCACTCCTCGTCAACATTGAATTGAAAGTTCAGGGCAGGGCAATCAGGCAAGAGAAAGAAATAAAGCATATTCAAACAGGAAGAGAAGAAGCCAAACTATCTTTGTTTGAAGATGACATAATCTTATATCTAGAAAATGCCATCATCTCATCCCAGAAGCTTCTTAAGCTGATAAGCAACTTCACCAAAATCTCAGGATACAAAATCAGTGTGCAGAAATCACTAACATTCCTATACACCAACAACAGGCAAGTTGAGAGCCACATCATGAATGAACTCAATTCACAATTGCCACAAAAAGAATGAAATGCGAAGAATACAGCTAACAAGGGAAGTGAAGGACCTCTTCAAGGACAGGTACAAATCACTGCTCAAAGAAATCTGAGTTTACTCAAACAGATGGAAAAACATTCCATGCTCATGGATAGAAAGAATCAATATTGTGAAAATGGCCACACTGCCCAAAGCAATTTATAGATTCAATACTATACCCATGAAACTACCATTGACATTCTTCACAGAATTAGAAAAAATTATTTTAAAATTCATATGGAAGCAAAAAATGCCCAAATAGCCAAGACAATCCTAAGCAAAAAGAGCAAAGCTGGAGGCATCATGCCACCCAACTTCAAACTATACTGCAAGGCTGCAGTAACTAAAACAACATTGTAATGGCACAAGAACAGACACATAGAGCAATGGAACATAATAGACATCCCAGAAATATGACTGCACACCTACAACCATCTGATCTTTGACAAACTTGACAAAGACAAGCAATGGGGAAAGGATTCCCTATTTAATAAATGGTGCTGGGAGAACTGGCTAGCCATATGCAGAAAATGGAAATTGAACCCATTCCTTACACCATATACAAAAATCAACTCAAGATGCACTGAAGACTTAAATGTAAAACCCAAAACTATAAAAACCCTAGAAGAAAATATAGGCAATACCATTCAGGACATAGGCACAGGCAAAGATTTCATGATGAAAATGCCAGATGCAATTGCAACAAAAGCAAAAATTGACAAATGGGATCTAATTAAAAAGCTTCTGCACAGCAAAAGAAATTATCATCAGAGTAAACAGACAACCTGCAGAATGGGATAAAATTTTTGTAATCTATCCATCTGACAAAGGTCCAGCATTTACAAGGAACTTACACAAATTTACAAGAAAAAAGAAAACAACCCCATTAAAAAGTCAGCAAAGGACATGCACAGAGAAGACATGTCTTCTCAAAAGAAGACATACATGTGGCCAACAAACACATGAAAAACAGCTTAACATCACTGATCATTAGAGAAGTGCAAATCAAATCCACAATGAGATACCAGAATGGCTATTATTAAAAAGTCAAGAAACGACAGAAGCTGGCGAGGTTGTGGAGAAAAAGGAACACTTTTACACTGTTAGTGGGAGTGTAAATTAGTTCAACCATTGTGGAAGAGACTTTAGAGATTCCTCAAAGATCTAGAGGCAGAAGCACCATTTGATCCAGTAATTCTTTTACTGGGTATATACCCAAAGGAATGTAAATCATTGTATTATAAAGATACATTCACGTGTATGTTCACTGCAGCACTATTCCCAATAGCAAAGACACGGAATCAACCTAAATGCCCATCAATGATAGACTGGATAAAGAAAATGTAGTACATATGCACCATGGAATATTATGCAGCCATAAAAAGGAATAAGATCATGTCCTTTGCAGGGACATGGATGGAGCTGGAAGCCATTATCCTCAGCAAACTAACACAAGAACAGAAAACCATATACCACATGTTCTCATTTTTAGGTGGGAGCTGAATAATGAGAACATGTGAATACAAGTGGGGAACAACATACTGGGGCCTGTCGGAGGGTTAGTTAGGGGAGGAGGGAGAGCATCTGGAAGAATAGTTAATAGATGCTGGGTTTAATACCCAGGTGATGAGATGATCTGTGCAGCAAACCACCATGGCACACGTTTATCTATGTAACAAGTCTATACATCCTGCACATGTACCCCTGAACTAAAAATAAAAGTTGAAAATAAAAAATCAAAAACAATAAAATACCTACAAATAAATTTAACAAAAGAAATGCAAGACTTAGGCTGGGCATGGTGGCTCACGTCTGCAATCCCAGCACTTTGGGAGGCCGAGGCAGGTGGATCACATGAGTTCAGGAGTTACTGACCAGCCTGAGCAATGTGGTGAAACCCGGTCTCTACCAAAAACACAAAAATTTACCAGGCATTGTGGTGCATACCTGTGGTTACAGCTACTTGGGAGGCTGAGGTGGAAGGCTTGCTGGAACCTGGGAAGTCAAGGCTGCAGTGAGCCATGATCACACCACTACATTCCACCCTGGGTGACAAAGCAAGACTCTGTCTCAAAAAAAAAAAAAAAAAAGTAAAGCTTATAAAACAAACAGTATAAAACATTATTAAATGAAATTAAAGATCTAAATAAATGGAAAGACTTAATATTAAGATGGCAGTACTCCCCAAGTAGGTCTAGAGAGTCAATGCAGTCTCTATCCAAATCCAAGCTCCTTTTTTGTGCAAAAATTGACAAGCTAATCCTTAAATTCATATGAAAATGCAAGGGGCTGGATAACCCAAACAATCTTGAAATATAAAAATAAAGCTGGGTGACTAACATTTTCTGATTTGAAACTTATTGCAAAGCTATAATAATCAAGACAGTGTTGTATTAACACACAACAGACATATAGACTGATGGGATAAAATTGAGGGACCAGAAATAAACCCTTACATTTATGGTCAATTGATTTCCAACAAAGGAAACAATACTATTCAATGAGAAATGAATAGTCTTCAAAAAATGATGATGGGAGAAGTGGATATCTTCCTGCAAAAGAATAAAGTTGGAGCCCTACTTTACACCATACACAAAAGTCATCTCAAAATAGATTATAGATCTAAATGTAAAACTCTTAGAAAAAACATAGGCGTCAATCATCTTGACTTTGGGGTAGGCAATGGTTTCTTGGATATGACACCAATAAGCACTAGCAACAACAAAATACATAAATTGAACTTCATGAAAATTGAAACCTTTATGCCTTAAGAGATTCTGTTAATAAAGTAAAAAGACAACCTACAGAATGAGAGAAAATATTTGATCTTACCAGGGAATTATATGCAGACATGTTTCTCTTATAACTCCAAAATTAAAAAAATTAAAAGTTGGCACAAGATTTGAACAAATGATTCTCCAAAAAAGATATTAAAATGGCCAAGAAGCACATGAAAACATCTTCAATATCATTAGTCATTAGGAAAGTGCAAAGCAAAACCACAATGAGATACTGTTTCATATCAACAAATATGGCTGTAATTTAAAAAAACAAGAACAAAAATGGACAATAACCAGGGCTGGCAAAGATGTAGAGAAATTGGAGCTCTCACACATTGTTGGTGGAAATATAAAATGGCACAGTCACTTTGGAAAATGGTTTGACAGTTTCTCAAAATGTTAAATATAGAGTTATCATATGATCCAGCAATTTTATTCCTAGATATATAACCAAGCAAAATGAAAACAAATGTCTATACAAAAATATGTACAGGGATGTACATAGCAGGATTATTCATGATAGCCTGCAGTGGAAACAACCAAAATAGCCATTAACTGACAAATGAATAAAAAAGTTTGGTATAGATATGCAATGAAATATTTGGCAATGAAAAGGAATGATGTTGTGGCACATGCTATACCTGGAATCACCTTGAAAACATTATGCTGAGAGAAAGAAGCCAGTTACAAAGGACCGCATATTGTATGATTCCATTTATGCGAAATGTCCAGAATCAGTAAATCTGTAGAAACAGAAAGTAGACTAGTGGTTGCCTGTATCTCTGTAAAAGCAGAGAGTAATAAACGGAGAATGATTGTTAGTGGTTATGAAGTGTTTTTGGGGGTAATGAAAATGTTCTAAATTAAATTGTGATGATGGTTACACAACGGTGAATATACCAAAAAGCACTAACTGTGCACTTTACATCAGTGTCTTACATGGCATATGAATTATATCTCAAGCTGTTTAATACAAAGTAAATTAAATTTTAAAAATATAACTTTGTGACCAACAGAAAGATAAAAGGAAAAATACACCAAAAGATGAACTATGGTTCTCTCTGTGCTGAGGAATTATGGTTGATTTTTATTTTTTTCTTCATAGTTTTTGGAATTTTGAAAAATGCTGTAACAATTTTTTATTACTTTTTATTTTTTAAACTTACAATTTAAAATATGTATTCAAATTACAGTAAAAGGAAATGGTGTATATTAAAAGACAGATTTGATTTTTAGAAAGAGGAATATGAAAACTTGTGAATGAATTAAAGCAAACCTAGACAAGGCAGAAAGAAAAGTTAGGAAAACTGTTTTGTCCTCTGGCAAACAACTAATGAAGTCCCAAATCAAAGCAGTGGCTCTAGGGATAAAGTGAAAAGGATGGAACGTTTTAAAATATTAAGGAAGATCACCAATTATGTACATAAAAAGAATAAATTCATGAATTCAGTCCGAGTTTCCATTTGGGATAAGTGGGTGAATGGTGGAACCTATCAATACCTTAGAAATAACTGACAAGTGTGGGAAAATATATATATTACTTCAAAATCAATTTTTATTTAAGGAGAAAATAGTCTTAAAGCACAGGTTGAGAGTCAAAATATCTTACCTTGAAAACCCACTCCTGAAGTTTATGATGACGTTTCTAGTTGTGTCACTAACTAGCTTTGTAATGTTGAACAAAACACTTTGATTCTTCATTGAGAATTTGTATAAGAAGGTGCTCTAAAACAGTGAGTGTAAAAGAGTAGTCCCTGGCCCAACCACATTAGCATCATCACATGGGAATCTGATAAAAATGCAGACTCTTAGACCCCACCCCAACACTACAGAATCAGAAACTCCATGTGTGGGCCCAGCAATCTTTTAATATTTATTTTTTATTCATTTGTTATGAATTGACAATAATTGTGTATATTTATGGGGTAATATGTTATTTTTGATCTATGTGTAAATTATAGAATGATTCAATCAAGCTAATTAACATATCCATCACCTCAATGATTTATCATTTTTGTGTGTGTGTGGTGAGAATGTTAAAAGCCTATTAGCAATTTTGAAATATACGATACATTATTATTAACTGTGTTCACCATGCAGTGCAAGAGATCACTAAAACTTATTCCTCCAGTCTAGCTGAAACTTTGTACCCTTTGGTCAACCTTTCCCCTTTCTCCATTCCTCCCCCTCTCCCCCAGCCTCTGGTAACCACCTTTCTAGTTTCTGCATCTATGAAATTGCCTTTTTGAGTTTCCACATGTGACTTCATATGATATTTGTCTTTCTGTCCCTGGCTTATTTCCTTTAGATAATGTCCTTCAGTTCCATCCATGTTGTCATGAATGACATTTCCTTCTTTTTGAAGGCTGCATAGTATTCCATTTGTGTCTATATACCAAATTTCTGATAAGAGGCCTGTATCTAAAATATATAAGGAACTCAAGCAACGCCATAGCAAGAAAACAATTGGTAAAAAATGGGGCAAAGGATTTGGACAGACATT
Source organism: Homo sapiens (assembly GCF_000001405.40). Lineage (NCBI taxonomy): Eukaryota > Metazoa > Chordata > Mammalia > Primates > Hominidae > Homo > Homo sapiens. The sequence goes on along the minus strand of NC_000008.11, from coordinate 61,394,988 downwards.
TCTCAAAAGAAGAGATATGAATGGCCAACAGATATATGACAAAATGCTCAACATCTCTATTCATTAGGAAAATGCAAATTAAAACCACAATGAGATATTACCTCATACCTGTTAGAATGTCTATTATCAAAATGATGAATGATAAGTGTTGGTGAGGATGTGGAGAAAAGGAAACACTTGTACATTGTTGGTGGGAATGTAAATTGGTACAGCCATTATGGAAAAGAGTATGACAGTTCCTCAAAAAAACTAAAAAGAGAGCCCTGCATGCTGGCTGCTTGGACATAAACTCAGTGCTGCTGGCGAGGTATGGAAGGAGTGAAACTGACCTCGCTGGCTGCATGGGAGCTGGGTGAGGCCTGTCACCGCTGGCTTTCCCCAACTTCCCTGATGACCTGTATGACACAGTAGAGGCAGCCATAATTTTCCCTGGAATATAACTCTGATAACCTGAGAACCCCCGCCAATCCCCCACAGTGGCTGCAGCAAGCCCCACCCCAGGAGAGTCTGAGTTCAGACCCACCTAACCCTGCCCCGACCTGATGGTTTTTCTCTACATGCTCTTCTAGCTGAAGACAAAAGACATAAACTCAGGAGCTCTATGGCCCAGCCCATCACCTAAGGAACCTGAATACTTATCCTGGCCAACATAAGGCAAGCTTACATCCCCCTTCTACTACCACAACTGGTGCTCTCTTGAAAGTGCCACCTCCTGGGCCAACCAACTCAAGCAACTGATAACAGAACAATCCTGCTGCAAGGAGGGAGAAAACAACCGCCTGCATTCCATTGCATTGTATTTTTAGAGGAGATAGTGTTTCACCATGTTGGCAAGGCTGGTCTAGAACTCCTGCCCTCAAGTGATCCACCTGCCTCGGCCACCCAAAGTGCTGGGATTAGAGGCGTGAGCCACCGTGCCAGGCTATCATTCTAATCATAAGTGAGGGATAAGATTTTAAGAGGTAAAAGGGTAGGGTGATTGGCAATACTACAGGCTGAGGTACCAGTGGGAATGCAGAAATTGCATTGCAGGCAATTCCATTGCCTGCAACATCCTGGCTAACCAGAGGTTCTGAGCAGGTGACAACTTCCCTGCTAGCATAACCATCATTTGAGAAAACCAGTGCACTAAACAAAACTATAACCAAGGACTCCCACAGAGTCCACTTCACTCCCCTGCCACCTCCACTGGAGCAGGTGCTGGTATTCATGGCTGGGAGTCCTGAAAATGGATCACATCACAGGACTCTTTGCAGACATTCTCCAGCACCAGTCAGGAGCCTAGTAGCCCCAAAGGGTGGCTAGACCCAGAAGGGAAATAACATTGATTGCAGTCTGGCTCTCAGGAAGCCCCATCCCTAGGGGAAATGAAAGGGCACAATATCAAGGGATCACCCCATGGGAAAAAAAGAATATGGACAGCAGCCCTTGAGTTCCAGATCTTTCCACTGAAACAGTCTACCCAAATGAGAAGGAACCAGAAAAGTAATTCTGGTAATATTACACAACAAGGTTCAATAACACTACCAAAAGACCACACTAGCTCTCCAGCAGTGTTTACAAACCAAGAAGAAATCTCTTAATCGCCAGATAAAGAATTCAGAAGGTTGATTATTAAGCTACTCAAGAAGGTACCAGAGAAAGGTGAAAACCGACTTAAAGAGATTTTTTTTTTAAATACAGGATATGAATGAAAAAATCTTCGAAGAAATATATATAATAAAGAAAAGACAATCACAACTTCTAGAAATGAAAGACATACTTAGAGAAATACAAAATACACTCGAAAGTTTCAACAATAGAATTCAGCCGGGTGTGGTGGCTCATGCCTGTAATCCCAGCACTTTGGGAGGCCGAGGTGGGCAGATCACCTGAGGCCAGGAGTTGGAGATCAGCCTGACCAACATGGAGAAACCCGTCTCCACTAAATATACAAAATTAGCTGGGCGTGGTGGCACCTGCCTGTAATCCCAGCTACTCAGGAGGCTGAGGCAGGAGAATCGCTTGAACCCAGGAGGCGGAGGTTGCAGTGAGCCGAGATAGCACAATTGCACTCCAGCCTGGGCAACAAGAGCAAAACTCTTTCTCAAAAAATAAAAAGAAAAGAAAAAGAATTAAACAATGATTTAAAATATATGTTTTTTTTGAGACAGAGTCTTGCTCTGTCACCCAGGCTGGAGTGCAGTGGTGCAATCTCGGCTCTCAGGTTCAAGCAATTCTCCTGCCTCAGGCTCCTGAGTAGCTGGGATTACAGCCGTGTGGCACCAAGCCCAGCTAGTTTTCTTGTATTTTTAGAGGAGATGGTGTTTCACCATGTTGGCAAGGCTGGTCCAGAACTCCTGCCCTCAAGTGATCCACCTGCCTCGGCCACCCAAAGTGCTGGGATTACAGGTGTGAGCCACCGTGCCAGGCTATCATTCTAATCATAAGTGAGGGATAAGATTTTAAGAGGTAAAAGGGTAGGGTGATTGGCAATACTACAGGCTGAGGTACCAGTGGGAATGCAGAAATGGGACTTCATAATTTTATAATTTATAGTTGATTTGTAATCAGAGAAAATCAGATAACTGGAGCAGGGAAGAGGGCACCATTAGTCAGCACCAATCAACAAACTTAGATGAGTTGAGTAGGCCAATTTAGAAATTTTTTTTTTTCCTGAGATGGGGTCTCACTTTCTCGCCCAGGCTGGAGTGCAGTGGTGCAATCATAGCTCACTGCAGCCTCCAACTCCTTGTCTCAAGAGATCCTCCTGCTTCAGTCTCCTGAGTAGCTGGGACTATAGACCTGCACCACCATGCCCAACTAATTTTTAAAATTTTTTGTGTAAAGATGGAGTCTCGCCATCTTGCCCAGGCTAGGACAGCTCTCAAATACTGAATATTAGATTTACGCTCAAAGTTGATTATTTTCCCTATGTATGTATTATACTTGGGCTAATGGAGTTATTATATAAACTTAAAGAAATGCAAGCATTATAGAACAAAACCACAAGAACAATCAAGAAATTGAACTTTGTACCAAAGTACTTAATGATAACATGCTCTGACCTGAGAAAAGAATTGCAGGATATTTCATGTTTTAGCTCTATCAAGATGTCATTTCTTTTATAGCTTCTGAGCTATAAAACTGGGTCTTCTCTATAGATTCTCTTTTAGAACAAACTTTCCCCTTCCAAAGTCTTGAAATCTACTTTAATGCTGCCCTATACTCTTTTTATTAAAGGAATATCTTAATTAAATCCTCATTCAGTTAGTGAAAAAAGTCATTCATAATTTCTTCCAAATCCTTAATGAGTCTACAGATTAGGGCATTAAGGATTACTCCTCTCAACAAATGACATTTCAGTTGAGCTGGCATTAGCTTAATCTTCTTGGTTATTTCACATTGTTAATATTATCCATTAAACATCTTTAAATTACTAAAATCCAGTCTATTATTAAGGCAGAAAAAAATCATTTTTATGACTATGTACTTTAGAATTCTCAGTAGTAAAGGTATTTTCCAAACTCTTCAGTCCAGCTTTTGAGCCCTGCAACAACTACCCCTGTGTCTGGCTTACCCACCTCATTTTTCCTTTTCTTCCAGGTGGTCCCAAAGAAACATCAAGTTAATCTTCATCCCATCCTGGGAGTATGACCAGCTGGTTCCTCCACCTATACTGCTAACAATTCTGGCACATGGTAAGTTGAATAAATAGTTGCTGAATTGAAGTAAGTCTCATCTTTCCATCCTCTGCAAATTCGCATTACTCATACTTACCAAAGATTGGCTGACATTTCTCACAGAATGAGTTCAATGAATAACTAGCTCTGGCATCACTGTCCTTCTGAATAGGTCCTCAGCATTGATTTTATCCATCTTCTAAAATGCATTTCAGGATGTGTTATCCAATAACCAGTATTAGGACAAATCAAAATACATAGAGAAATAGTTAACTTAGATTTCTTCCTCACATCTCTTCAAATATAAATTCCAGATAGACTAAAATGTTAAAATACAAAAAAAAAAAAAATCTAAGTCTAGAAGAAAACACTAGTGAGTTTTATATAACATTTGGGATAAAGACTTGCTATAGCAAAGGCAGTTTAACAGACTTGATTATATAAGCTTTTTTAACTGCTTTTAAAAAGAACAGCAAAAATAAACACTTGTAAATTTAAGTTATGAAAAATATTTGTGATGAGATAAAATGTTAATTTCCTTGAGTAACAAAAATATCTTACAAATTTGTAATAAAACAAGAGTTTTAAAACCCCAATCAAAAATGGCTAAAGTACATTAACAGGCAATACACAGAAAAGAGAATACAAACATTTAATAGACGTATGGCAAATTGTCCCACCTCACTAGTAATCAAAGCAAACTGAAACAAAAAGATGCTATGCAGTGTAGGCATTGTGGAGAGGCTACAAGTAACAAAAACTTGTGTTTGGTACCCAGTGTTGGTTTGGGTTCAGGAAACAGACTTTCTCATACATTGCTGGTGAATATTAAAAAGCCCTTCTGCAGAGCATTTTCAAGATGCTCTTCACCTCCAGAAGTTTATCCTAAGGAGTTAACTCCTGTGGCCAAAAATTTAGCTAAAGAATTCTTCATGTCATCATTTCACACAATACTGAAAGCACTGGGAACAATCTAAACATTCAACAGTTGGGAATTGGTTAATACATGATCATATAACTAAACAATGATGTAGTCGTTGTAAACAATGAAGTAAAATATTAAAAGGGCTAGAAAGCTGTTTACTGTAAAGTGAAAAGAGCAGATGCCCAGGTTTAAAATGTTTATTTCTGAGTAGAATTGGGTATAATTTGCACTTTCTCATTTTTATTTATCAGAATTAGCAGTATTTAAAGGAAAAAATCTTTTTACAGTGAGCATGTGTAAGGAACTCCCAAGAATAGGACTTTTCAAGCTGAAGTTGAGTTTAGACAATATTATGGATTTCAACCTCCAGGCATTTACAACATGTATTATTCTTCCATTTTGGGAAATCTAAAAGGCAAACCTTCAAAGGGCTCTTTCTTGGTCATATGGAAACTATTTTTATTATAAAATGACTTTTTTACTCTCGTAAACCCTCAAAAAATTAGTATTAATAATTTCTGGAGCTTCCAAGATATACAAATGACCAAAGGTTTATCTCTTAAGCTGTACATTTTTATACCATATTATAGCTACTTTAGATGAACATCTCTCTAATATTTTATGCACTTCCGTGCTGGCTTCAGTAATGCTTGTTGAATATGACTGAGACTCTTCCAGATAGCTCAAGATCATGGCTGTGCATGTCATATCTGATTCTATGATATGCCAGTGCTCTCAGAGCTACTAAGATACGTGACTCTAAATGGCCTCAGTCATAGTGCTTTCTAGCTTCAGTTGCAAAATTTTATGTTATTCGTGTTTCTTCCCTGGCTGTCAGCTGTTATTTGTCTTTTTTTTTTTCCTTTTTTGAGATGGAGTCGCCCAGGCTGGAGTGCAGGGGTGCAGTCTTGGCTCACTGCAACCTCCACCTTCCAGGTTCAAGCAAGAGCCTCCTGCCTCAGCCTGCCGAGTAGCTGGGACTACAGGCATGTGCCACCACATCTGGCTAATTTTTTTTGTATTTTTAGAAGAGACTAGGTTTCACCGTGTTAGCCAGGATGGTCTCCATCTCCTGACCTTGTGACCCACCCGCCTCGGCCTCCCAAAGGGCTGGGATTACAGGTGTGAGCCACTGCACTTGGCCCTGTTATTTCTTGATATTGTCTATATGCTAATGTGGGTTAGCCTCTCAACCCAAATTCTTCATTGAGACTTCTAGTATGTGGTGAGGTTGGAAACTACATGACCAAATCAGCAAGAATTATGTGTAAAATTAGAATAAACAGTCTCTAAGGGAAGTTTGAGGGGTTTTCTTAAGAATAAAGTGTGTACATTATGTTAAGTGCCAGGCACAGAAAATAAAACACCGCATGTTCTCACTCATATGCAGAAGCTTAAAATGTTGATCTTAAAAACGTTGATCTCATAGAAGGAAAAAGTAGAACAGAGGATATTAGAGGCTAGGGAGGGTTGGGGGAAGCAGGGGAATGGGAGAAATTTGTTCAAGGGTACAAAATTTATTGCCAGATAGGGGGAATAAGTTCTAGTGTTCTATAGCACTGTTAAGATCACTATAGCTAACAATAATATATATTTTCAAATAGCTAGAAGAGAGGATATTGAATGTTCCCAACACAAAGAAATGACAAATGTTTGAGATACTGATATGCTAATTAGCCTGATCTCATCTCTATACATTGTACGGATTGAGACATCACTATGTACCCCATAAATATTTATAATTACTATGTGTCAAGTTAAAAAATAAATAATAAAAAAGATATAACAAAAAAAGAATGAAGTGCGCAGGCTTAATGCATCCATTTTATGACACTTATTTGATGCTGCATATCCTATATTTTAGGAGATACAACTGCTGTATAATTAAGTTCCACAAAGACAATGTGCTACTGCATTTTTTAGGCTCAAAATTTTCAAGAATAATTTATTTAATAAATTCTAAATATAGACATTAATCGTTTCAGATCTTTTATAAAAATATTACAAACAGATATGATATCAAGGTGTTGTCATACTGACCACTTATGTCATGGTGTTCCTGTCTGAATCAACCAAAAAAAAATGATTGATTCAGATAGGAACACCATGACATAAGTGGTCAGTCACTTCTTTTTGTATAAACTGTACTGCAGCAAAGCTGATCTATGGTTTTGAAAGTCAAGATAGTGACTACCATTGGGGTCAATCACTGGTACATAGTATCTCTGGGTCACAGTTACTATTTTTTCTTGATCTGCATTTGGTTTACTAGATGCTTTTACTTGCTGAAAAGTCACTGAGCTACACACTTATGATTTGGGTAGTTCTCTCAATGTACCTTACTCGTCAAAAGAGTTTTTACACAAAAATTAAGTCCTTTGAAATATAAAAATCCAGCAATCCCCCTCCTCGGTATCTACCCACAGGAAAAGAAGTCGTTATACAGAAAAGATACTTACACATTCATGTTTATAGCAGCACAATTTGCAATTGCAAAAATATGGAATCAGCCCAAATGTCCTTCAATCAACAAGTGGATAAAGAAAATGTGATATATGTATACCATGGAATACTCAACCACAGAAAGGAACAAACTAATGGCATTAGCAGCAACCTGGATGGAATTAAAGACCATTATTCTAAGTGAACTAACTCAGGAATGGAAAGCCAAACATCGTATGCTCTCACTCATAAATGTGAGCTAAGCTATCAGGATGCAAAGGCATGAGAATGACATGGTGAACTTTGGGGACTCAGAGGGAAGTTTAGGAGGGGGTTGTGTGATAAAAGACTACCCATTGGGTACAGTGTACACTGCTCGGGTGATGGGTGCACCAAAATCTCAGAAATCACCACTAAAGAACTTATTCATGTAGCCAAACACCACTTGTTCCCCAAAAACCTATTGAAATTTAAAAAAAAAAAAAAAAAAAAAGGAACTGTACAGTGGAATTTTGTCTTTGGGCTATAAAGGGCTAACAATTCTTGGGTTTTTTTGTTTTTGTTTTTGTTTTTGAGATGGAGTCTTGCTCAGCCACCCAGCCTGGAGTGCAGTGGCATGATCTTGGCTCACTGCAACCACCATCTCCCGGGTTCAAGCAATTCTCCCATTTCAGCCTCCAGAGTAGCTGGGATTACGAGCACCCTCCATCATGACCGGCTAATTTTTGTATTTTAGTAGAGATGGAGTTTCACCATGTTGGCCAGGCTGGTCTTGAACTCCTGACCTCAGGTGATCTGCCCACTTCGGCCTCCCAAAGTGCTAGGATTATAGGCATGAGCCACCACGCCCAGTCTTACTAGTTTCTTAGCAACAAATGTTCTTCTTTGGTGAATTTGGACTATATGTTACCACTTATTTATTCAAACAAAGTACACTTTCTCCCATGGTGGAACACAACAAAAAGTCCAAGGTCTTTAGTTGGCCTCAAAGGCAATTAAAATTTTATTGGAAATTGATGTTTGATTGTTTCAATCAATCTTTTTCATATTCTTATTTTGAAGTGATGGTTTGTTGCTCTCCTGCTCCACTTAATGAAAGGGGTGTAGGGAGGATCAAATAAGATAATGTTTGTGAAAGTATTTTAAGTGCCAGACTAATAGGTTACCATCACTGCTATCATCATCATGATCATCATTACCATCATCAGCAGCATCCTTGTATTTACCGTAGACTAGAAAAAATGAGCTTGAGATAGTTGTCATTCCCTATGGTTATTTTGCTTATTTCTAATATCATGAACACTAGACTTATATCATGAACACTAGACTTATATCATGAACACTAGACTGCCTCCTGAGCTAGAAATTCCCACATCAGAGAGGGCCAATATGTGGCAGGATTGCCTGGGTACCATCCACACTGAAGGAAAATCATGAATCAGTCATAGTACTCTTTTTCAGCTGAGCATGGCATTTGCATCAGAATTCTTCTCAATACTGCATTCTAATTGTTTAAATTTGATATGTGAGAGCAAACCTATTTCCCATCCTGACCTAGGCTCTAAGGCTATTTCTGTATAGGTAAAATTACAGATTCATAGCATTAGAAGATGAGAAGGGTTGTAAAGATTTATGAAGTCCGGGGTTTATCAAGCGTGGTCCTTCAGCCACCTACAGCATCATCTGGGAATTTGTTGAAAATGCAAATTCTTACCCTCACACCCCAAACTACTGAATCAGACACTCCAAAGTTAGGATTCTAGAATCAAGGTTTTAACAAGTTCTCCAGTGATTCTGGGAGTTATAAAGTATGAGAACCACTGCTGCAGTCCAATCCCCTCAGTTCTTGCTCATAAAGAATCTCAGGTCTCCAGGTGTCAAGCAATTTTCCCAAGCCTATCCATGGAATTAGTTGCCTAACAGAAACAATAACCAACTTTCCAATTTCCGGGTGATGTATTGGACAGTAAGTTAAAAAATGCAACAAAAAAGTCCCTCAAATGTCTACCTCCTTAAGTTTCTAATTGGAAATGCTTGTCATTGCCTGGCATCTTTTGGGGACTACCCCCCAACATTTTAGTCTCTATGGTTCAGGTGTAGAACCTTGGGTGGGCTCAAGATCTCATTTAGCCAGAGCACCCCTCAATCCCCTCACTCCTGCCAAGAACACAGACGACGCAGACACTAGAGGTCACGTATACCTGAAACTTTCAGTCTTCACTGTTACATTATGAAAAAATCCTGACTGAAAATAAAGTCAGTACAGAGAAAAGTGAGACTGAGAGATGGACAGAAAAAAGTGATAGTTTTCATGACATTGTTTCAACTTCAACTCTGGTCTAGCTCAGCCTGGAAGATACAGAGAATTGTCCTGTTATGTAAATGCCCTCCTCTCCTCTTTTTTTTCACTAATTCTTTTGCAAGGGCATTATTTTTAACACCTGTAGTTTAATCACCAGAGAGTGTGGGCTGTGCAGGGCAAGGTTCTCCACAGAGTTTCTTTCCAACAGAGTCCCTTCAAGAATGCCAAATGCTGCTTTAACTCTGATGCTAGCTCCCCTAGAACACTGACAGGACTAGAAACTTGTAATAGTCTCTATTTCTGCTAATATATTACATAGTGTATTCAGAACAGAGTCCCTGGACAGCCATATCACACTTCATTTTATAATAATGAGAGGCAGAGATCTCTTCTTTGGTGCACTGAGAAATATTAATGTGGAACTAAACAATTCACAGAGGCCAGTCCTTTGTCAAGATCAATCTCCCCCAGCTATTTGAAGACCCTTAATATATTCTTCTCGTGAAAATCTTGCCCAACGGAAAGTATGATGGAATACTTCTTCCACCACCATGCTCCTGCTCCCTTTCCTCCGGTTTCCTCTATGCCCCCACCACCTGTGGTTTGTGGACACATTTCTTAGCAGAGTTATCTTCCTTTCTCTACCCCACTTCAACCCAGAGCTCTCTAGATGACACCCCCACCACTGCACTGCCATGGTTTCTTTCCAAAGCCCCAGTTCCTTAGTTTCTGTCCTGATTCTTCTCACAGCTTCCTGTCCCGATCTCCCCATTGTCCCGATCTCCCCATTCTCCAGCTTCTCATCTAACTTGTTCATGATGTATTGCTCTTCACTTGGGTTCTTTTCTCAGTCACTGCTTCTCCCTCCCTAGGTTTTTTCTGAATGGTCTTTTCTTTCCTCTGATTTCAAGTACCACCAAATCTATGGATCCATCCTAAACCTCTTTCTCTTCCTTCAGCTCAGATTTAAGGTAAATGATGAAGATATCCACAGTATCTTAAATTCAGCATATCTAACCCCTAAAAAATGCTCAATACCTCCCACACCTGCCCGTTCCTGTCTGCACGATATCACCAGTCGGCATCACCATTCACCCTTCACCTTAGCTTCACATCTGACCTTCATCCTTAACTCCTCCTCCACCACTTCCCACGCAGCCAACCCTCAACCATTGCCTTATCTTTCTTCCTATGTGGTTATTGAATCCCTTTTATCACTCCTAGTTCAGATGCTTATCATTTCTTATGTAAATTATTGCAGTTGACTTTTAATTGGTTCTCCTGCCTCTAACCCCTCCCTGCTCATAGCCACCAAATTAATCCCATGTGAAATATAAATCTGTGTTGCCATCTTGCTTCCATATGTCCAGTGGCTCTCTAAGTCTGCAGGAAGAGAACAAACTCCTTAGCATGGTGCAGGGGCAAACAAGCTCCTTGCCTGGTGCCTGTGCATTCCAAAAAAATTAAATTAATTCTGTTTCTCTCTCCTACTGAGCTGTGTCTCTGTCTTTGTCTGTATTCTCTCCACTGTCTGTAAGCACTTCTTGCATCTTCACTTACTATTCCACGCTTACCTGCTAAGTATCAGCTGAGGCCTGGCCTTGCCCAGGATGCCATTCCTAACTCCACATGGCTAGATTGGATTCCTCCTCTGGGATTTTATTAGCTTGGTACATGTCTCTTTTTCCAAATATTTTAAAGAAATCATTTCTTTGTAAGTCCACCTCTGCTTTGAACTATGACCTTCCTGAGAAGAGGAACTGCATCTGTTTATCTTTGTGACTGGCTGGAAGTAACAGCTTAGTGACTGCTTCCTAAATGGATGAATCAGAGGGCTGGTGAGGTTTATAATGCATGGGAGTCTGAAAACACCATTTATCAAAAGTACACCAAAGATAAACTCATTTAAATGGCACTATTTAAAATGGGCCATACTGAGCCTGCCATCAGAATCACCAGAGTGTCATTAGCCCTAATTATCTTCCTGAGTTTAATTGATACTTAATAAGGTAGAGCATTGGAGGAGATATTTATTCCTCTAATATTCATATCATAACATAATGCACTCTTGCAAATTCAAAATTACAGCTTTGTGACCTGAGGAGGTAAAACATAGTTTGCCTAGAGGAAAAGTGTCCTTCAAGCATCACCAGAGTGTTTAGAAAACATGAATTAAAAAACTTCTTGACAAAATGCAAATATCCTTCTCCTTCCATCTGTTCTATCTAACATTCTTTAATACATGAAAACTGTAAAAATTAATAAAAGATGCTATAAATGTTACTGCTGAAGAGAGTCCTACAGGATGAAAGAGGTGCATTTCAGCCTCATTAATCACCACACTGCAAAGGCATTGGGAAAGGATTCATCCCTCAATTGTCAGGTGATAATTAAAATGATCACACCACATGAACAGAAAGAAAAAGTGCCTCCAGTGTCACTGCGTGGGCAGGTGACACCAATCTCGCCCTAAGTCATTACCTATAGTGAGCAGAAATAAGGAACTCTCTTGTTTAGGGCCAGTGAACAGGCTGGTAAGGTCTAATTTTCAGAGATCCAAATTACAGCGCTGGGGCAATTGAGAGTGATTTCATTTAAATGAGTGCACTAGAGCCACATGGGCCCACAGACAAGGGCTGCCCTCTTCATTCTTTCAACAACACTCTAACATTGAGTAGCCACTGGCTGTCTACCAGGCATGTTGCATGTACTATTTGATTTTCACCATAAACCTCTGAGGAGGGTACTGACACCACATTTCACAAATGAGGAAACCGAGACCCAGAAAGTGAATGATTTGCCTGAGGTCTTTGAGGGGCATAGCCAAGACTGAAGCCCAGACAGTGGGCTCTACTCTCACCCACACCAAAGTGTGGTTTGTACCAGCAGCAGCAGCATCTCCTGGAAGTGTGTGTGAAGTGTAAATTCTTGGGCTCTGCTCTAGATCTATGGAATCAGAAACTCTGGGAGTGGGGTCAGCACTGTGGGTTGTAACTAACCCTCCAGGGGCATCTGCGGTGCTTAAAGTTGATATCCATCACGTTCTACTATAATACCATGTGTTAGGGCAGGGCTTCTCAAACTTTAATATGCATGCAAATCACCCGAAGGACTTGTTGAAATACAGCTCTGATTCAGTATGTCTGGGGCAGGGCCTGAAAATCTGCATTTCTAACCAGCTCTCAGTTCTGCTGGTAGTGCTGGTTTGTGGACTACACCTGGAGAAGTAAGGCCCTAGACTGACTGTAAGCACCTGGAAGCCAGGTTGGCTTTTTTCCCTGCTGTACTCCTGTTTAGAAGACTAGCTGACCCATATTTTATGTTGGATGAATACACCACGAGTCAGGATGTCTGCATATCTGATGTATGGACTGCAGAATTGGTGTGAATATATTAATATTGCTAACTTGAAATGCATCTGCCCAATCTGACTGTCAAAATTACTAATCACAATATGATCAATCATTGATACTCATGAACTACCATTGCCCATTGATGTGACAGACTTTTCATCGTTCTAATCTTTTGAGTGAATATGGCACTTTGGATTTGCCAAAGAGAAGTGAACATATCATGTTTTGGAAAAGGGGGCAGGCTGTGGGAAGGAAGCCAGAGAGAATAAACCAAGGTTTGAGGAGTATTAAAAAAGAGATGCCAAAGAGCTAAAAACAGAATTACCATTCAACCCAGCAATCTCATTACTGGGTAAATACCCAAAAGAATATAAATCATTCTACCACAAAGGCACATGCATGCATATGTTCATCACAGCCCTATCACAATAGCAAAGACATGGAATCAACCTAGATGCTCATCAACAGTGGACTGGGTGAAGAAAATGTGATAAATATACACTATGGAATAGTATGCAGCTGTAAAAAAAGAATGAAATCCTGTCCTTTGCAGCAACATGGATGCAAATGGAGGCCATAATTTTAAGCAAACTAACGTAGGAACAAAAAATCAAATACCTCACATTCTCACTTATAAGTAGGAGCTAAACACTGAGTACACATAGACACAAAGAAGGGAATAATAGACACCAGGACCTACTTAAAGTTGGAGGGTAGAAGGAGGGCGAGGAACAAAAAACTACCTATTGAGTATTATGCTCACTACCTGGGTAATGAAATAATCTGTACACCAAACCTCAGCAACGTACAGTTTACCCACGTAACAGAACTGCACATGTACCCCATGAGCCTAAAATAAAAGTTGAAAGGAAAAAAACGTAATTCTCGTAACACAAAAAAATAATTAAATAAATAAAGGACACTAGGGAGATAGGTGATTTGCAGTTGGCTAAGCCTCTGAGCATTGCTCCATGTTCCATCCTACCTGGACTAAAAGTTAGAAAGTCATCATTTAGGGTCAAAAAAAGAAAAGAGTTGGAAAAGCAACGGACCTCCTTTTCTACTAAAGTGGCTCAAAACTGTTGGAAGAAGTTGAATCAAAGTTGATATAAATGTCATAAAAAACATCTTTAACAGAAAAAAAAAAGGTCACACAATAAACCTTGAATAAAGAGTTAAGGAACGCACCAAGTGTTCAGAATGGCTAGACCATAATGACATGAGCATGAAAATGAGAAAAAAACAAAAAATAGATAGCTTTCTGGATCTCTTCCAGAAAGTGAAAAATACACTTCTCTAAATCCGTAACAAATATCTGGGTCCTTCAAGGAATCAAATATTTTTAAATAGCCTACAGGACACAAGACTGTAACTCTTCCTAAGTGAAACACTTGAGGAAGGTAGCTCTTGAAGTATCTGGGTTGGCTGAACATTGATAAACACAGTACATTGATTGTAATCACTGGGCTGCAGTGATTTATAAAAAATAATTCCAAAAATTGATTTTGGACATGTCACAAAGCTCAAGAACAAGACGTCTCATTCTGCCAGAAATCCCCAGCAGAACTGAGAATAACGCTGAGCTGTATTAAAATGGTAGCATAAATATTACTTTGTTTGATTAAAATTTAAACAAATTGTAATGAACAGATACAACGGCTCTTTTAGACTTTATATTGACCACATTTAAAGATCAAACAGCCCAGCAGGAGTATATGACTTTCAAGCACTCTCAAAATTAGTATTTTGACTAAGATTTTTTGAACTAATATTTATAGAATATTTATGTAACTGGGGCAACTTAATATTCTAAACAATGACAATTCTTCAAAGCATTGCTCTAAAAGGAGGAATTTATAATACATACACGATTAACATTTCATGACTGGCTGATACAAGATAAATTTTGATGTAAAAATCTGATGATCCCTAAAGAGAGGCCTTCAATATGATTGTTATAATGACTCATTAATAAGCCTGTGAAGGGCATAACCAAGCTCCATGCACATGCCATTTTTTAATGATTATGGTCAGAAGTAGTATTAATTACTTTTTTAAAGCACAGAAATACAACTGGTAGACCAAAATAGAACACTGTCCCCTGCTTGCTAGCCCAGTGCCCATCACTTCTATAGTACCTAGAATCACATCCACTTTGGAGTCTATTGGGAATGTGAGTAATCCAGAAAACACAGGTATATATCCTGATTCAGAATAATAGAAGCTCCTTGATGTTACATTGCAATGGCTTTTCCAAAAGATATTCCAAACATCTTTTGCTTATTACAGATGCTCTGATATGCTGCCCAGCCACTGAGAGGGCTGCCAGAAAGTCCTCAGATAACAGCTCCCTTTGGAACCTCTAGCTGAAGAGAACCACTTTGCCCAAGTTTACTACCTTTTCCTAGGACAGCCAGCACACAGTGACTGAGCGCTGTGTGCATCCCTGCCTGTTAAGTCAAACTGCAAATGCTCATTCCGGCTTCAGAATGTCCGAGGCTTCACTGGAGATGACTGAATCCCAGCTTAATTTCTCCTACTGTCCAACTTTCTTCTGTAGTAGCTTCCCCAACAGGTGTGGACCCAAAGAGCACTACCTAATAAATCTTTGGCATGTTAGTCACATCATAGTCTGCTCCCCAGAGAACTCAAAGTGTAACAATTAGTAGTCAACAACCCAACGTGTAGCAATTACTAATCAAAGTTCTCCTTCAACAACTGTCTTTATGGAGAACTAGGAACCATGGTAATAGGACTAAAGCTCCAGGTTCTGGAACCATGCTGTGATGCAACGTGCAGGATTGACCCAGAATGACCTTAAATTCTCACTGCCTAAAGATTGGGCTGTCTGGGAGGGGCCCAACCACCTTGTCCCTGCAGGAGGTATTGTATTACCCATTTGGTGGTGGAGATGGGGGAGGGTGGGGAAAGGGGGGGAGGGTTTCATAACCCAAGGCCCAAAATTCTCCAGAGGTTGAGAAGCAGGTAATCCTAGACAAATGCTATAAACAAACAGCTGAAATCCCAAACCAGATGGCCTAGCACCAAATTGGACTGCTTATTTCCCCTGACAAGGCCACTTTCTCACACCTACTCTAGAAAAGGCGGGATGGCAGAGAGAGCAAGTTCTCTGCACTGGAACACAGGATCTCCCTCCCTCACAACCTCCCACATGTCCAAAGGATGGCTGGCTTCTTCAGGTCTCTCTGAGGGTGCATGGGAGGAAGGAAGCATGTGGCTTTTCTCTCATTGATGCTGGCTGCATGTGGCTTTTCCTTTCCCTATTAAAGTCTGCCAGTGGTGTTGGAATTTATCTTGAATTTTTGTGGCTAACAAATGGACACCTGTATTGGGCCCTCCTTGCACAGTACTGCTGACCACAAAGGAATGAACTCTGCTTAGTACCACTTACGGCTTTTTCAAGACATCAGAGGGGTTAATGGCTACCTGAAAAAAGTTGCTAGGAGAGCCAGTGGTAGATTGACCGGGGCATCTGAATATCCCAAAACCAGAGAGCAGATAGCCTGAAGTGAGAAGTTTTAAGTAGCTGGGCAGAGTTGACCATCCACTGTGGGCAAGAGCAGAATTGTCTTCAGTAGCCCTGAGTGCTTCCTCAGCATGGCCAAGTCAACAAGCTAAAAAGCATGGGATGGTGGAGCCCCTATCCTTGATGAAGGAACTGTACCCCAGCTCAGCTCCCCAGGGACCATGGGCTTCCTCTCCATGATAGGTGGGCTGTTCCTTAACCAAAGCCATAGGACATTATGAAATTCGTCTTGGACCCTGGCGTGTGACAACTGAAGGCCCAAATGGGACCCAAGTTGCCCCTCCAAAGGTCTTCTAGTATTTCCCACAAGAATAGCTTTGATTTATATATAGCATTACCTTTTAAAACACATTCGCATGGATTAATTCAGTAAGATCTCAGTAGGTTCACATCAATGTATTGAACTTTTCAAGGGACGTATTAAGTAATCCATACATTTTCAGGGAGAAAAATTGGATCATAGGGTTGGATAAAGGACATTTTTCTTACTGATTTAAGAAAAAAAATGTATAAAGGGCTAGAACTTGAATCACAGTTACTTGCACATGTAATAAATTATCTTTTTTAAAAAAGGTAAGATTACATGCAGCTTGTACAGAAATTCCTAGAGATATGGTCAGCATAATTTAAGCGCATGATATAAGCCCTGAAGCTTACTTTAAAACTTCCTTTGATAAAAGCTTTAAAGAGAGAGAGATCAGATGTTCAGAGGCTTAGGTGAGAGGAGGTTGGAGAAAAGGAGTTAGAGCTAAGAGGAAGTGACTGATGGAAAAGAACACAGAAGTCTATGATTAGGCAAGGCAGGATGCTCCATGTAGTCTGTACATTCAAAAGCAATTTTACAAATGTCCCCCAAATACACTACCCAGGACAATGTGGCATCCCTGGAACAATGTGGACTTGCTGTTTCTTTTCTGAAATGCCTGCCCTACTTCTCCTCCTCTGGGAAATAGGATACATTTCAATAAAATAAGATCCATTCAATAAATACATGCTTATCAGAGGCCCACTAGGTGCCAGATATTTGCTGGGGGCCAAATAGGAAGAAGTCATAATGTAAGAAACAGACCCACCAATTATTGCAGTGGAGTGTAATGGATGATTGAAATGGGTCCTAGTCTTGCACTTTGAAGAGCATGAGTAATGACTACTTGATCTGAGAATGTCATATTTTGCTATATACATAGCTGCCTATAACTGCCGTCTATGGGGAGAGGGTCACTCCATAGAGTTAATCTGCCTATGAAATTAAGAAGGGACAGAAGTTTTATCTATACTGATTCAAAATGTCTCCAAACTATGCCCTTAATTTGTTATAGTAATAGTAATTTGTAATAATGTGTCACCAGAAAGCTAAGCAGCATTGCCTTTCTGAGTTACTTCTCATAGAATCCCAGATCCTTAGAAAGTAGAAAGAACCCTAAAGACTAACCATTCTACCCTCCATGTAGCCCAAAAACCTCTTCTCCAAAATCCTCATAAGTGGTCATACAAACAGGAGGTAATTTCATCTGCTTCCTTTGTTTGCACTGAAGTGATCCACTTAAGCGCAAGCTCGGTAGCACGTGACACTCTTGGAAGTAGTGATCTGCAGGGTGCATTTCTGGGGCACAAAAATGCTTCTGAAAGCCCCATGCCACCCCTGTATATGACATGATCATAAAGCAGATGTTTCCTAGTTTTAATTTTTGTGAACTCTCTGATGGATTAAGCCGAACATCTTGGAGCTTTATTCATTATTGCTACAGAGGATAATTTGTGCCTGGGGTAACAGTAATTTGGAGTTATTAATGAAAATGAAAGTTAATTTTAAAAAGCATCTAAAACTCTGGCTGAGGCAAAAACATGGAGTACTCAGATGAATTTAATCCAAGTTTCCTTTTTCCACTCCAAAGGATAAATATTACTTTGGTTGCGATAATTTTTTAAAAAGTATGTTGCCACACATGGTCTTGTATTGCG
Organism: Homo sapiens; assembly: GCF_000001405.40. Classification (NCBI taxonomy): domain Eukaryota; kingdom Metazoa; phylum Chordata; class Mammalia; order Primates; family Hominidae; genus Homo; species Homo sapiens. Next base: position 61,376,795 of record NC_000008.11, on the reverse strand, counting down.
CATTCATTGAACATACCTGCAACCCTTCAATGGCCAGTTTAAGGATTGAAGGTGTCAGTTTGGAGGCTTGTTTGAAGGAAAAATTACTCCAGTCTATAATTAAAATGAAGCCATTTATCTGAAGCTCCGGATCTTCGATTAGGACTTCCAATGACAGCAGGATGGCACGAAGGATGTCTGTGAAGGAGTTCCTGCAGCCAGAGCAGAAAGGAGAGCTGTGTGTGAATATGAGCAGGTGATAGCATGTTGCGTGCAACAGTGCTGGCCTCCGCATGCCACTGCTCCATGAACCCCGCCTGGAGGGTCACACTGGCGTCCTGTACCCAAAGGGACTGAAAATACATTTGCTAAACTTCACAGCCATAATGCTTCAAGACTTGCAGGTTGGACACCTCCCTTGGCTCTGCACCCCAAACTTAATGAGATGTCCCTCTTCTGTGTTCCTGTGGCTTTCCATACTCTGCTTCCTCCACAGCCCCAATTGCATTTTGTTGAAATGCATCCCTTACCCATCTTTCTCCCTCACAGAGCTCTGATGTCCTTGAGGGTAGGGATTGCGCCATAATCATAGTTGTTTCCCCAGTACAATGAATCATTGCTGAACAAATGAGGTGAGGCCTCAATCAGAGGTGTTTATTTTGATGAAAGCTCTTTTATTTCCTTTATGTTTAAAAAATCCTGCTAAGAATGTAGAAACATTCATGCCATTGATGCTATTTTTTAGCTTCAACTCTTGGATAGAGAAAAATAAAACAGGAAGTATGACTTATTTTCAGTGAAGGTCTACAGAGTGTGATTTGGGAGGGAATTCGCTTTGAGTACATCAGTAACTATGACAACAGGCAGACCTGAATACAAACTAGAATGACAGCTCTCCAGTTCTGTGTGTATTCCTCCACATCATATATGCCCATTTGCCACGTGATTTTTGTTTTAAATAATTTTCAGACATGAAGAAGTGATGGCAAATTCACTCTATTTCACTCAGTAAATTATCTGAGCTATAAATCTAAGATCTTAGAGGATCTCTAGATTCAGTGTTTTTCTTTGGTGAGCAGGAAAATATGAGCTTGGATGGCAAGTGATGGCAAAATCTGCTACTCCCCCTAAGTTTTCCTTAAAATCAGAAGCCAAGTCCTCTTGTGAAATCAGTGTGAAACAATCAGAATCTTGAGCATTCCAATCTGGTTCAAAGCCAATGACTCCAGATTAGAAATCAGGAAATCTGTGATAAAAATGTAAGCCAGGGCCAGGCGGTGGCTAAAGCCTGTAATCCCAGGACTTTTAGAGGCCGAAGCAGGCAGATCACCTGATGTCAGGAGATTGAGACCAGCCTGGCCAACATGGTGAAACCCCGTCTCGACTAAAAATACAAAAATTAGCTGGGCGTGGTGGCGGGCACCTGTAATCCCAGCTACTTGGGAGGCTGAGGCAGGAGAATCGCTTGAACCCAGGAGGTGAAGGTTGCAGTGAGCTGAGATCGCGCCATTGCACTCCAGCCTGGGAGTTGCAGCCAGCCTCTGTCTCATAAAAAAAAAAAAAAAAAAATGCAAGCCACTAAGAATATACTAAATGCCTGGTAGAAACTCAGTGTTATGCCTATGCTTAAAGTTATAAATTAGAATGTCCTATTTCTACTTTCAAAGGACTCTTATTTTAGTTGGGGAGGGGTGGTAGATTAGCAACATGAAAGGAATCAATACAATTTGAGTAGTCAGGGAAGAGTTTATGGAGGGATGAAGGCTCGGGATAATCTTGAAGAATGGATAGGAATTTTATGGATAATTGGGAAAAGGGGGAGCAAGACTTTTTCAGGAGAGAGAAGTGACACAGATAAAAAATAAAGATATTAGCCCATTCTGTTTCTGTATAGTTCTTCTTACTAAAAATCATTTCCTTATATTAAGCCAAAATTTTCCTCCTTCAAATCCACCCAGTGGGGGTAGTTCTGCTATATAGAAAAAACCCTCAAGTCTCCCCACACCACACACTTTCAACTATCTAAGCATGGTGGTCATGATACCCTACATAATCTCTAGATTAAAAAAAATTGTAACTTTAACCTTTTCTCATAGAAAATGGTGCTTAATACTCTTTTTGTCATTATGGTTTCCTTTCAGATATATTCCCTTTTAATTTTTAGAGATGTCCTATTCCTGTTGTTGTAGAATAGGTTTTCATTGGGACTTTGTGTGCTTTTGTTTTTCCTTTCACATCAAAACAATTATCCAAAGACCCAAGTCTTTTTCAGAGATACAGCTTTGTATTGGAAGCAAACATTGATTTAAGAGGAACAAGGGAGCAAAGATTATGAATTTAGGCAATTCCAAATGGAAATGCCCAATTGGTAAACCGGAAATGATCATTAGGGCATCAGGGAGTCTGAGCCGAGATAAGCTTTCTTAGGAAGAGCATAAACACAGAGAAAGTCAGGATGGAAAGGTTAAGCCTAAGGTAAAGCTTACATACAGCACTGAGGTTGAAGGAGGAAGAATTAAATAATAAAAGGGGAGAGGATCAAGGTTCTGTTAAAAAAGAAAAAGAAGAAGAAGAGAATGTTTCAAGAAGCAAGGGTATGACAGATTGCATTACTGTGTTACTGACACCAATTCTTCACTTATCCCTGTATCCACACACTAGCTATGGCCTCCTTGAGGATACAGTGTATTTTTTGTCCCTTGTTCATGTGACTTGATTTGACAGTAAACATTATTGTAACTTTAACCACTGGCACCATGACAGGATGCCAATTCCAAGCCTAGCTCTCAAGAGACTTCAGATGTTACCACTGTTCTCTTGCCCTTCTACCGTTGCTATAGTAAAAAATATGCGACAGCCAGCATGCTGAACTGTGAACAAGGGTGAAAGACACACAGACCAGTGACTCCCCAGCCAACTAGCAGGTTTTCATTAGAAGTAGTGCTACCTAGTTGAACCCAGCCTAGATAAACTGCAGCTACCCACAGGTGCATAAGCAGCAATAAATGATTGCTTTCTTAAGCCACAGAGTTTTGAGATGGTTTGTTACATAGCAATAGCTATCCAACACCAAAAGGTAGTTAACAAAGTCAAATGAAGAAAAAAGATCAAGGAGAATAGGAAGGAGAAAGGACCATTGAATTTCACAGCAAATACTCTTTTGGGGGTTGTGGGAGAGCACTTTTAGTTGAATGGTGAAGATAGAAATAATTAACTTTGAAGATCTTAAGCAAATTACTTAATCTCTATCTCATTTTACTCCTTTAACTACAAGCTGGCACATCTTTTCAACACATATCCACACTTACCCACTCCAAGAGAAAATACTGAGCTCTGCCTGGAAACCATTCTATGCATTTTGGAGACCACAACCTTTATTGCAGCACAGGCACTGGCAGTGAAGGAAATGTTATGTTCCTGGGATGATCCCAGGAGAAAAGTAAAAGGTTTATGGACTTCATTACAGTTTCCAAATGTTTGAATGCTTTACTTTTCCAGAGAAACTGGGCAGGCAGGAAAGAGTTGCACGGACTGTGTCTTGAGTCATGAAGCTTTGCCAGTGTGGAGGAGTGTAAGCCTACCTCTTACCTTAGCTGCAGTCATTACCTTGATTTCCTTAGTTCTTGGCTTCCTTGTATGAATTTCCTCGTTGTTTTCCTCTTCGCTTTTTATAACACCCTTTGACTTCTGGACTCCTAGCTTTTTAAAATTTAAAATGGCTATCAGACTTAATAATTTATGTAGATACTCCACCCTCAAAAACATGGAGCATAACTCCCCACTCCATAAGTGAGCTGAGCATTGTGGCTTCCTTCAAAGAGTACAGTATAGAAAGAGGAAGAAGAGTTACTGTACAGTGGAGAAACACTACCTTAGCCAGGTGATCCAGCTCAACCTAGCCAGTGATACATCATGTTGACTGTATTTATTCTTCCTAAGGTGATGAAAATGGCACTTGACCTCTATGATCTTCCTCCCAAATAAATATAACCCAAGAGTAATCATGAGAAAAACATTAGACAAATTCCAATTGAGGGACATTCTACAAAATACCTGACAGGTACTGCTCAAAATTGTCAAGTTTATCAAAAAACAATGAAAGTCTGAGAAACTGTCACAGCCAAGAGGAGCCTAAAGAAACATAAAGACTAAAGGTAATGTAGGATCTTGGGTGGGATCCTGGGACAGAAAAAGAACATTAAGTAAAAACTAAAAAAAAAAAAATCCAAATAACGTATGGACATTAATGAATAACGTATTAATAATGGTTCATTAGTCGTAACAGTAACACTGTACTACTATAAGCTGAAAATAATAGACGAAATTAGAAGGCAGGACATAGGGGAAGTCTCTGTACTGTCTTCACAGTAATTGTGTAAATCTAACATTGTTGTAAATAAAAAGTTTATTTTTAAAAAATAAATGCCTTCTAGAGTTTATAATCTGCCAGAGTAAATCTTCATAAATATTCTAACAAGGATCCTAAGCAAACCAAAATGGTCATAAGCAGTTCACCTACTTTATGCAAATTGCAGAAATGAGAAGAGAAGACATTTCTAGAGTTTCTTCATTCTACCAAATCATTTACATTTATATATGGTTTTACTCCAAAAACTCAGGGGGAAATTTTTTTTGATTTATTTTATTGCCTGCAATCACAATTCTATCAGAGTATTTTAGCACTTGTATCAAAATGAACTAACATGACAAATGGATATTTACATTTCTTCCACCCTTTTCTATAATTTGCATAGCATTTATACAGTCAGTTATGGATATTAGTTTTGAATTAATTATAAGTTCAAATGTGATAATGTATGTGAGAGGACTATGTGAACTGCAAATTGCCAGTGAAATGTAGAGAACTCTATTAGCAGAAAATAGAAAACTTAAATTTTTTCCCCATAAAGGATTTTATACAAGTTAGGACTTAGTAAATGTTTATCTACAGGGGTTTCATCATTATACTGTGAGCAGTTAGAGATTATGAATAGTGACTCATTTTTAGGTTCTACTGTTGTATATACGAGTTAAGCACCTGAGGCTTTAAAACCTAAGTCAACAGCACCATACAAATGAAATACAAAATAGTGGAAATTAGTAAGTTCTTACCAATGAGAAAGTATTCAAATTTCAAAACATGGCCCATTTGTGCTTTGAGTTTTTAGTGGAGATTCCAGAACTTGATCCCAGTGCTAGACTCATAAGAAAAATAAGGCTATAAGTGATCAGATAACCATGTAAAGATATGATGGAGTTGAAGGAGACATTTTTTTTTAGAAGGAATAGGAGGCAGCCTCTTAGTCAATTCTGAAATCACAGGGCATATTCCTGTACTAATTTTTTGTGCTGCAGCAAGACATCTATTACAGACAACCCACAAAGTGGGAGAAAATATTTGCAAACTATGCAACTAATAAAGGACTAATATCCAGAATCTACAAGGAACTCCAACAAATAAGCAAGAAAAAGACAAATAATTCCATCAAAATGTGGGCTAAAGACGTGAATAGACACTTCTCAAAAGAAGATATACAAAGGGCCAACAAACATATGAAAAAATGCTCAACATCACCAATTATCAGGGAAAGACAAATCAAAACCACAATGCAATACCTAAACTTACTCCTGCAAGAATGGCCATAATCAAAAAAATAATAGTTGTTGGCATGGATGTGGTGAAAAGGGAACGCTTTTACACTGCTGGTGGGAATGTAAACTAGTACAACCACTATGGAAAACAGCATGAAGATTCCTTAAAGAAATAAAAGTAGATCTACCATTTGATCCAGCAATCCCACTGAGTATCTACTCAGAGGAAAAGAAGTCATTATAAGAAAAAGACACTTGCTCATGCATGTTTATAGTGGGATAATTTGCAATTTCAAAAATATGGAATCAGCCCAAATGTCCATCAATCAACGAGTAAATAAAGAAAATGTAGTATGCCATGGAATACTACCCAAACATAAAAAGGAATGAAATAATGGCATTCACAGCAACCTGAATGGAGTTGGAGACCATTATTCTAAGTGAAGTAACGTGGGAATGGAAAGCCAAACATCATATCTTCTCACTTAGAAGTGGGAGCTAAGCTATGAGGATGCAAAGGTATAAGAATGATACAGTGGCCGGGCGCGTGGCTCACACCTGGAATCCCAGCACTTTGGGAGGCCTAGGCGGGCGGATCACGAGGTCAGGAGATCAAGACCATCTTGGCTAACACGGTGAAACCCCATCTCTACTAAAAATACAAAAAATTAGCCTGACGTGGCGTCGGGCACCTGTAATGCCAGCTACTCAGGAGGCTAAGGCAGCAGAATGGCATGAACCCAGGAGGCGGAGCTTGCAGTGAGCCGAGATCGTGCCACTGCACTCCAGCCTGGGTGACAGAATGAGAGTCTGTCTCAAAAAAAAAAAAGAATGATACAGTGGACTTTGGAGACTTGGGGGGAAGGATAGGAGGGGAATGAGAAATAAAAGGGTACACATTGGGTACAGTGTACACTGTTCAGGTGACAGGTGCACCAAAATCTACTAAAGAACTTATCCATGTAACCGAACACCACCTGTTCCCCCAAAACTTTATTGAAATAAAAACAAAAAATAAAATTTTTTTTATAAAAAAACTCTTTGCCCAGTTCTGTCTTTAAACCTCTTGACATCACACTTAATATGATGATTTGACTTTGGAAATTTCTTAAGGTCCACCACAAACCACAAAGTGGTTTTGCAGATGATTTTTGCCAAATATCTATGTCTTGGTTATAGGTGCAAAACATTGCATCCCACCACATGTCTTCCTCTCTTCATCTCATTTGAAACTTCTTCCAAAATTACTTCCTAAAATAACTATGATGTGGTTCTTACAGTTTCAGAGTGTGCTTTGCCTTTCCTCTGATAATGATGTCTAAGCCAAGGTGGAGAGGCAAATGTGCTCCTTCTGTACATCTGCTGATGTATTTTGACCTCTAGACTGGGGAAAAATCCTCCTTTGGCAAACTGGCAAAAGGGCCTGTACTTGAGAAAGGTGATTGGGCTTAACACTGTGGATCTGCCACTCACCAAACATGCAACCATCCATACAAACTGAAGTTCAGCAATGGACAATTTCCTGTTTCTTACACTTGTAGGGTTATCGCTAGCACTATCCAAAATAATACGTGTGAAGGAGCCTCCTATCCCAACAGGAGGCAGTATTTGTATTTACATGAATTATAGAGATATCCCTCTTAGTCACTGTTTTCATGAAGATGATAGTAGCAGGACAATAGGGAGTGTGCAAATTTTAATTGTTTTGTTTCCAGGTGAGCTTATTTTCTCCTCTTCTAGGCCTGTGGGTCTTTGAAAAACTGTCTAAAATGGGAATTCACGTGAGACACTCTCTTAAATGGTTTGTAATAACTCTTACATAATTCAGGTTTTAGCTGAATGTGTGCCATCATGCTCCTAAGCAAATAAATCCTTATTTCTCAGTGAGGTAATCAAGGAGAAAGAAAAAAAATTGTGTTCTGAAAATATGAGATTCAAGAAGTGTGCTAATGAAAAATGTTTGGCTTTGCTCTAGTAGAATTAATATTAGCAAAATGTTGTATTAAATTTACTACCCTGAATCTTGGCTGGAAACTTAAATTAGACAATCACTTTTCTCAGCAAAATTGGTCACAAAGAGAACAGAAGCCTGGATTTAACTCCATCTCACATAACTTGATGAGGCTCATATTCTCAAGAAGAAAAAGGAAGGATGGAAGGGAAGAAGAGAAAAGCGAAAAGGAAGAAAGACGGGGAGAGAAAGAAGAGGGGAGGGAGGGAGAGGGAGAAGAAAAGAACAAAAGGAAAGGAAAGGAAAGAAAAAATCCTGCAAGCAAATTTTCATCTCTTTGAATTTTATCTTATTTCAATCAGTACTGGAAACTTTTGGAATTGTGTTAGCATAAGAATATAATTCTCTGAAATACCAGAATAATGAGTTGTCTAACTTATTATTAATTGTAATTCAAGAATACTTGGCATTCAAAGCCTCAGCATCAGATTTTTAGAAATAATGTATTGAATACTATTATATTCAAACATCTGATAACACACAGGTGGAGTTTTAGACAGGGAGCCAGCTACATTATTTCATCTGCTTCTGAATTTTTGGTTCAGTTCAGTTCACAGATGCTTGACTAAGAATAGTGTTTATTTTATAAAAACAGCTAGAGTCATTGCAAATGTGTGTCTCTCTAGCAAGTATGGCAACAATATATGGAGAGAGTTTGGGGACTGTCATCCTCTGCCCCAGTCCACCCCTATCTGACCAATGCTACTGAGGACAAAACACAAAGGGTAATGTTCTTGTCCAAGAACAAGGCCCTGACTTTGAAATAGTATAGAGAATATTGGACAAACACAGTGAAGACAATATTCTCTCAAGTACAGCATGGAAATAAGAGCCCGTGTTTCTCCAGACCACTCCTGGCAGGCCTATCCATCTCTGGATATAGACACTAGAGTGCAAAGCATTCATATCCACCACTTAAAATGACACTGAAACTAAAGCTTTTAAATTCCAATCTGCCTGGATATTTTTTCATTTGTGTTTCTGCGGAGAAATAGAGTATGTATCACTGTGTGTGTGCATGTGCAATAACTCACCATTTACAGTTAATTTCCCTAGATGTTGTCTTCCCTCTAGTTCTTTGATTTAAATAAAGCAGTGGTTTGAATAAATAAAAACCAACATTTTATCACATTTGGTCCAGGTGCTTCTGTATTCTCTCAAGAATTGAAGAGAATGAAATCAGCATCAAATGCATCTATTTCTTCACTTCAAAATTTAATGCAATTTCTTACTATTCGATGTCTTCTTTTAAAACTGTTGAAGTACCTGCAACTGCAATAAGGAGTCAGGAGGCATTTGTACAAAGATTTAATGATTCTGTACGTTGTGGAAGACACAAAGAGAAAAAAGTAATTTTACTTTCCTGCCAGTAGATGGAAATCAGTAGGAGACAGTAAAATATATGTACATGGGAGGCAATGAGGATTTAGAGTTCGGCAGAGTCTGATTTAAATCCCAGCTGTCCTATGTAAGGTTAGCAAGTAACTTAATCTCTGTGTGGTTTCATTCCCTCATCTGTAGGAGGAGGATCACAGCACCTACACCTCACTGGTAATGATGAAGTGCAGAGTGCACATAAAGCCTTAGCAGCTCATGGTAATGCACAGAAAGTGCTGATGGTCATGGTAGTCTCATTATTACCTGAGTAAATATGACATGAAGGAGAAAGTAACAGGGGTTGCAAAGTGCTTGGGAATTACAAGAAGGAGAGATCACTTATGATTGGGGAGTTTTGGAAAGTCTTCCACTGGGTCATGAGAAATGGGGAGGTTTGGACACTAGACATAGAAGGGAAAGGGCAGAAGGAGCCACATAAACAATAGTAAGAGCTTAGCGTGTAGACACCATGTATTGAAGGAATGCAAAGTTTTCCTGTGCAATGGGGCAAATGAAAAGGAAGGTAAAAATAAGATCAGAAATGTGATTGTGATTCATCTCATTCTGCTTGGTGGGAGAACTGCTGACTGTTATGCTGATGAAGGAAATGATGGCTTCTGTGCCTCAGGGAGATTTGGGCTGGCAGCAGGAACTATGTGCATCAAAGGCAGGGGACTGGAGTCGAGCAGCTCCATTAAAGGGAAGTGATGCAATACACTGGGTGAGAGTTGAATGGAAATAATAGAGATGTGGGAGGAACCATGAAGGATAGTAGCCAGGACTTAGGTACCAATTAGATATGGGTGTGAAGAGAGGAAGGACTGAAGGAACTAAGTCAGGTAGGAGGTGAGTCAGAGGTGCTGTAGTTGTGACTAGTTCTTACATAGTAGGAATCAGCACCCAGCACAGTATCACACAATATTAATATTAACATTACTTGATATCAGGGCTGTCAAGGGTTACTCAGAAGTATATGGGCTGGTAGTGTCTACCAAATGTGATAAAATACCACCATGAGCAGGTGCCACGTCTGCAGAAGAGAATATTTCCTGTCCTATTTATAACAAAGGAATGCTTGCACTGCTAGTCTAGACCATCAGCTCCAACCAAGCTGGGGGTTTGATGCATTTGCCTTTGAATCCCTGGCAATCACCAGTACCTATACATAGTAGATGCTCAGCAAATGTTTCTTAGCGAAAGAAGGAAGGTAGGCATGGTGCCAACTTGCCTTGACCAACACTGAGATCACTAGTGGTTGAATTTCCTTACTCTTCAAAGTTTCTCATGCTCATTGCTGACGTCTGATGTGTGTCCTTAAGTATTTTCTATTATGACTCATGCTTATAGAGAACAATGTATTACTGAGCACCTTGGGTCCAAGAGGAGGAAAGGAAACAGATTTGATTCTGGTTTAGGAGAGGGCCATGCCTGCATTCACATAAGGTTAATGTAGTGTGAATGCAGTCAGTGATAAAATGCAGTCAAGAACAGTGAATAACAAATGCTAGATGGATGCTTACAAACAGGAAGGCTTGTATACCATGAGACTCTTAGCCATTGGGAAAGATCTGGTCCTCAAACACCACTTTAAGACAGCCCAAAATATAAATGGGGAAGGGTTTATTTCATGTAGCTCTCTGGATAGAGATTGCACCAGGGCCCATAGAGAGCAGCAGCAGAAGAAAGCAGAAGAAATTAAAAACAAAACAAAAAATGATCCCAATGGAAGTGAGCTATGATCTTCCCATCTATTACTAAACAAATATAAAAAATTAATTTCATGCTTGTCTATTCTAGTAAATCCCTTGGCTGAGGATCTGCAGAAAAGTAAAAACTAGGAAGAGTTTCAAGAATGCAAATAAGCACTTAATACAGCTAAATTAGCATTGGTTTAAGCACTTCCGTTTTGGCCATTCTATTTTCAGTCAAGGTTTACACCAGGGTTTTTCTACATCCACAAACCAAAAGCAGGCAGTAGGTCACCAGATGTCTCAGCCTTCCTGTCTAATGACATAGAGTGATTTCACAATTCATGATGGACAACACACACACACACACACGCACACACACACACACACACACCCTGTAAACTGGCATCTTCTAAAATCACAAACATATGACTTCGGAGATGATTCTTTAATTATTCCATGAAGATTTCTTGAGCACTAGGCATGGAGCTAGGATCATATCAGCCTACTCAGAGCCACAAACAGCAAAATCTCCCCGACATGAGTGAATTAAGTAAGATGGTCACATTACTCCTACTTCCAATGAAACTCAATTGACATTTATAGATTTTTTTTTTTTTTGACATGGTGTTTCACTCTTGTCACCTAGGCTGGAGTGCAGTGGTGCAATCCCAACTCACTGCAACCTCTGCCCCCAGGGTTCAAGCTATTCTCCTGCCTCAGCCTCCCGAGTAGCCGGGATTACAGGCACCCACCACCACACCCAGCTAATTTTTATATTTTTGGTAGAGACGGGGTTTCACCATGTTGGCCAGGCTGATCTCCAACTCCTGACCCAGGTGATCCGCCCGCCTCGGCCTCCCAAAGTACTGGGATTACAGACGTGAGCCAACGCACCTGGCCAACATTTATAGATCTTGCATTGGGTTCATGGAAATGTGCTAGTCACTACCTGAAATAGAATATTCTTTCTCCTGAACCTGACTCTTATAACCATAAAATCACTTTTGGGATAAGAAATTGGATAATATGATGAGGCTTTTTAAAAGAAAAATATCTATCCTTTGGTACTACATTGCTTTGAATGATTTTACACTCCTGAGCTCCTTCCCTCTCAATGATATTCTGCAGTCACTCTTGCAATCAAGAGGTACCTTTCTGAAATCATAAACTCTGATAACAGTGTGCAAGGCAACTTGAATTAAATAGTGAATTAGTAAAGCAACTCTGTATGTATTGCTTTTCATGGGAAGCACACCTGTAACTTGAGTTAGAAGTATACAGCATCTCATAATTTTAATTAACTCAGGAAATTGCCTACTCCAATGAAAACTCCAAACCTCCGTATTTAATAAAGAGATCAATACATTCTACAAGGATAACATGCTTTTACAACCAAGGGAAGCCTTAAGCCTCTAAAATTAGTTGCCTATAATGAGCAATCTGAACCCTGAAAAATATGGCTAATTCACACCTAATAGAAATGGATTGAACTTAGAGAATCTGTAGTCTGATTTAAGTTTTAAAAGTTGGTTTATCCTTTCTCATTTTACAAATTCTATCCTTCTTAATCATAAGAAACTTAAACAGAGGCAGGCAATCAAATTCATGAAATATTAAAAGGAATGAGCTGTAGGAAATTATTATGTAACTGAAAGAAAAGTCTTATCTTTATAGGTAATACATTCAAGGCAGTTTTGATAGAAATGCAACTTGTTGGCTGTTTTGCAGGCTGGTATTCTTCTATGTGGGTATCATCCTTCAACAGTTTATCTTCCTCAAGACACATCATTGTTATGAGATTCTTGGAGCTATCAGGATATAAGGCTGCTGTGACTTCCACAGCTCTGAGGTGCAGGAACACCCTGACCACTGACTACACTATTTCTGAGTTTTGGCACCAATAAGGCAAGGCTGATGGAAAGAACTCTTGGTCTTGACCAACTCCTGTAATGCCTAGTGGTGGCTAACAAGTAACAATAATGATAGGTGGCTTGATCATCCTTCAAAACCAGGTTAAATATATTCCCCTGAGGAGAAAAGCTTTCTGCAAATGCTACCAACACTTCTTCTAGAAGTGAGTATGTGATTAACTTGGGCAGAAAAGTCCCCTTTGGAGGTTTCCAAAGTCATTTGGAGCCTAGAGCACTGTAAATATGAGAGTTAATTGGCAGGACCAGATGTGTCAGGATAGAGATGTGGGAGTTCTTAGGATTTTTCTAGAGAAGGGCCCACAGACACACCCATGGCGCCCCTGCCTAGCCCAAGTCAGGTAGGTCACAGAGACTAAAGAGTGGCCTCACCCTCTCCCTGACTCTCTTCATAAACCAGTGGGCTGAGAGCTCTATTGGACCTACTTTTGTTCCCTGGTCAGAACACAGGCTCCAGCCTAATTCTAAGAATCAGAAACAAACAAAAGATAGCATTTAATAAGTTCACAAAAGAACAAACATAGGAACATGGGGTCAACATAGTTCATTTAGCAACAATAACAACAAAATCCAATGGACTGGTTGACTTTTCCTATCCAAAGTTCTGTGTGTTTGGAGAGTTAATTTTGCTCTACCAGGTAACATTACCCACAGAAGCTCTGATGCCTCACTGGGAAATTATTTTATGAAAGTGGTGAAAGAAAACATTGGTTTCTTTTCCTTAATTACATCCCGAATTATCACTTGGAAATTCTCTAAGCAATCAGAGCCAGTGGTTATTATTTATCACTGCCACTTAACAGTAGCTACACTGCAGGAGATACTGTAAAACATCAGCGTACATTCCCTTCAAAGTGGGTCCAAAATATCCTACACTCTGAATAGCAAACAGAATTTGGAAAATGCGTTAAATATGTATATAGACACAATTTACATATTTTAAATTCTCACACAAGGAGAAAATACATTTTAGGATTTAGGATTTTGCTGGAGAAGGATGTCAGTGCCTATATTTATCTTAACAAAATCTCAGGGATTGTTCTCAATAGAGAAACCCTTGAGAAGACTGCTTAGAAAGATCAGCAGTTTAATTTCCAAAGGGGAAAAGAGGAAAAAATGTGAATGCTCAGCCCCTGGAAAGTTCTATCTGAAATTTTACCTCCTGCTTTAATCCTTGCCTGCTACAAGTTGATGACCCGTTACCTATCTTTTTTCCATTAACTAAGTTACAAGGAGCGCTTTCCTAGTTCTGGCTCATATAGAACCTTCCCAGAGAAAAGAGCTGTCTCTTTCACCCACATTCAGAAATCGGGAGTCTTACTTACCCACCTACATAATTCTTTGAACCCTGAGGCAACATATAAATATTGTAAGTAATTGCTGACTGCAGCAAGCTGAAGTATCAGGAAAGCTTGGGGAGAGAGTGAATTAAGATGGAGGCTGGTTCTTCCAGATGGATTTGCAATTCAGATAGAATCAGGCAAGGAGAGCTAACAGGAATCTTTGTAATTAATAGTGATCTTCAACTGGAGGTAAATTCACCTCCTTTCCAATTGGGGGACCTCTGAAAATGTAAGTGGGACTTCATTACTGGTTTTCAGAATATTTAGAGAATACTACCAGCATTTATTGGGCAGAGGGCAGTAATTATAAATATCCTGCAATGTGCAATATAACCCCCAGAATAATATACCATCCAAATGGTAGTAACCTCTTTCTGTCATATAATGAAACTCAGATCTGGAAGGGCTCAGTGAAACCAGATGAACAGTTATGTGTACAGTGGGTACAAGGTTCCCGACTCCTAGGTCCAGTGTGCTTGACATGTCTGTGAGACTTACAGAACATTCAAAGAAAGAAATGACTGTAAGGGGAGACTGACCAATGTATGAAATGAGGAATATTCTTTCCTCTTCTTCCCTACCTAGAACATTCTTTCCCTTCTCCACTTTGGGCTGACTCTTTCTCATCTTTCAGGTCTTGGCCAAATGTCCCATTCTTAGGGAGACCTTCCTACCACAGGAAGTCACAGAGTATTGACAATGACTCCCATCTTGACCAAACTCTGAGCCCTTTTCCTGAGTAGGCCTCATGCTTGGCCCGTGTTCTCAGCCTTCAAAGCCCAGTTTTAGCAAAGAACTCTGCTAAGCCAATTTGTTGAGAATCCCCTTACCCTTGATATTAATCAAGTTCCTCTTTTTCCTCACTCTGTCCTTGACACCTGACTACGTTTCTCCTAGTAATTTTTCATCAACAGCCTCACTCTGCCTGTGGCTACAAATTCTCATTTGTTCCTATTGTATTTGGAGTTGTGTTCAGTCTCTGTACCCTATTACAGTAGCCTTTACTTCCTATTGCAACACACTTGAGCAAAGTCTTTACTGTCATTTTAAGGTGTCCAGTATATACCATTTCTTTTATAATATTAATAAATGAATATATATCACATGCATATATTCCAAACATGAGTGATCTGGATAGCTGTTTCCACATGGGATAGTTGGCCTGAAAGTAGGGATAGAAACATGGTGGATGAGATAAAGGAACTCCTAATAAGGTGAATGCAATCAAGACTGGGTTTTTCCTTCTAAAATAAGACCCTGAAGAACTCTCTCTGTACAGCCAGAGATGGGCTATGGGGAAGACTTATTGCATCCATTTGACCTAATGAGCTTTCTCTGCAGCCAAGGCAGACAGTTGTGTCAAACTATGAGACAGGGAAAAGTAAGTCTCTAAAAGGCTTGGAGAATGTCCTTTGAGGTATTTAATTTACAAAGGAGACAACCTAGCATCTTGGGATTATGTGGACAAAATGAAAGCTGGGATACTATTGAGTAGGGCAGACTCTTTCAGTTATTATTCCATGCTTACAGGACACATTCATTTTTTACTAATCTGTGCATTCTTCCCTGACACATTAGTCATCATTGAAAGCTTGAAGACATCTGATATGATTTGGATCTGTGTCCCCACCAAATCTCATGTTGAATTGTAATCCCAATTGTTGGAGGTGGGGCCTGGTGGGAGGTGATTGTATCATGGGGGCAGAGTTCTCATTAATGGGTTAGCACCTTCCCCTTGGTGGTGTCCTGGTGATAAAGAGTAAGTGACTTATAGTGAGATCTGCTTGTTTAAAAGTGTGTAGCACCCCCTCCCCCTTTTCTCTCTTCCTTCTGCCCCTGCCATGTAAGATGTGCCTGCTTTCCTTTCACCTTCCACCATGATTGTAAGTTTCCTGAGGCCTCTGGAGAAGCAGCAGCCACTATTTCCTGTACAGCCTGCAGAACTATGAACCAATTCAACCTTTTTTTTAAATAAATTATCTAGTCTCAGATATTTCTTTATAGAAGTACAAGGATGGACTAATACAACATCTCTTAGAGAAAATCAACTATAGCATTTATTGCTTATTATTTAAGCAAGTCGTCACAAATTCTTCAAGAATCAGTGAAAGAGCTTGTGTTTATTATTCCACATCGGTGCTATAAATGGCATCTCACATATTCTTTCTTATGCCTAATGCAAAGTTGTCAAGAAGAAAACATCATACTTTAAAAACAAAAACAAAAACTTCAGACTAATCTTGAAATCTAACAAAACAGAAACTTCTTCTGAATTTATGTAGCTCCAGTAAGTTGGACAAAGCCATCTCAGAAGAGCACAGAGCTTATTCATTTACAAGCCAAAAGACAGTTTGTTCCAGCTAAATTTTACTTGGGCTGGCCTCTCTTAGAAGAAGGTAATATTTGTGTTTTTGATTGATTGATTGATTGATTGGCAATTCTGTTTTAAATGCATGCATACAAAATGTTTGTTCAACCAGATTTTTATCACTGACTATGGGATGCTTTCCATAGTCAGAGGATTTCTGGGTTGGAAATGGAGAAAGGGGACTTCTAGAATCATCTAGGTCCCAAATAAAACCCTGCTTTAGTTTTTTTTGGGTTTTTTAAAGGTGATTAGAAAGCATTTTCTTGCCAGTCACTCACGGCAAATCCTGGTCTCTGGGAAGACCAGGAAGGCCTGTTAATGCAGTGGGAAAGGTGTGTTCTTCTAACTGAAGATCCTAAGTGGTCTCTTAAGTGTTTTTTCCTCCAGATCTCAATGCACAGAGTACTACCCACTTCCACTCAAGTCTGCCCTTTCCCAAACTCCCTGCGGGCCTGCCTACAATGGCTCTGTAGAGTTGCAAGTTGCTTCAGAGGCTGGGATGTGTGTTATCCCTGTTCAGTGCAGGGCCATGCCGATAGCAGGTGCTAGGTAATCCCAAAGAGCTCCAGATACAGGATTCAGCAGCTGGCAACTCAAATGCCTAGGAACGCCAGGCAGGACATGTGAGTGAATGAAGCAGGCCAAGGGGACACAGGCCCACCAGTTTGCTACTCATCTGCAAAAAAACATCTAATTGGGGAAAAGGAAACCAGGTTTTCCCATAGGTTAACTATATACACTTAAACAAATTATATAACTTCTTCAAGATCCCAGTTGACTATTAGTAAAATGCAGTCATATTTATACTAGGTTCAGAGCTCTTACACCTAAATTGATTTTAAGTCTTTTCTGGCCAGGCATGGTGGCTCACACCTGTAATCCCAGGACTTTGGGAGGCCGAGGCAGGTGGATCACCCAAGGCCAGGAGTTCAAGACCAGCCTGGCCAACATGGTGAAACCCCATCTCTACTAAAAATACAAAAATTAGCCGGGCATGATGGCACTTGCCTATCACCCCAGCTTCTCAGGAGGCTGAGGCAGGAGAATCACTTGAACCTGTGAAGCAGAGGTTTCAGTGAGCCAAGGTCGCACCATTGCACTCCAGCCTGGGGGTCGCAGCAAGACTCTGTCTCAAAAAAAGAAAAAAAAAAAGTCTTTTCTAGCATCATTAAACAGAGACACATCTTTATATTCACATTTTAGAAATGAGCAATTTCTCTCTCCTCCAATTCTTTAGCAGATACCAACTTAAAAAGGTCTGAAAACTTAAACATACGTGGTGGACATAATCCAGTTACAGGAACCTAACTCTTTGAGCTAGTGTGGTTGGTAACTTAGTTCTGTGAATGATGAGGGCTTAATTTGTAAATAGCAGTCATAATAAACCGTAATCAGCAAACAAAAACATTTCTCAAGGCAAAATTTAGAACCATTTCTTTTGTATCAACAAGATAATTTCAGGAAACAGAAATCTATAAAAGAAATATGACTATAAGAAAGAATATAACTGAGAATGGATTAAACTTTAAATTATAATAATACAAATTTTCAAGGCAGCATGAAAATATGCTGAGATAGCTGCGTATGCTTCCATAACTTAAAAGAAAAACAGAAAAAATATACATTTAAATATACTTAAATAAGAACAAGTACAAAAGGAAAAGGTTTCATAAGGCCTTCTATACATTTGGGTGGACAACTTAAATCTATGTGCCTGATGTATCCAACACCCAGCCTCATAGTGTCTTGATCACTTGAGTTATATTCTAACATTCTATTGCTCTTTCTCTAATACTCTGTTTGGGTGGCCTCTCTTCTGGGCATACTCAGACCTCAATAGTGAAGATGGGTTCTCAATCCTCTGTTCCCAAAGCTGTTTTTTGTTTGTTTGTTTGTTTGTTTTAATTTAGTGTGAGCATATGTGTTGGCCCAAATCTTTATAATCATGTTCACCACTGTACCTTGGAAAAGAATGATGATGCTATGCCTGGAATTCTGATCAAATGTGGGACTTACCCTTGGATAAGACATACTGATTGGGCAGTTCAGAGAGATAGAATAAAATCGACTAAGCCTGAGCAGATAGACTTTGGAAAGATACAGAGGAAAGTCACATATGACTAAATATGCATAATGGGAAAACTAACAAGGCTTGCACACAGTGTGTGTGTTTGCACACAGTGTACAATATAATTATATGTTGATTTTACTTGCTGGAAATGACTAACATAGGAAAGGAGGTAGGTGAGGGTCAAACAAATAACATTTTACAAACATTTAAAGAAGTCAGTACTTTATCTTCTTTCCTACTTTATTGGGTCCAGAAGGTGAAGAAGTCTTTAAATTACTGTTTGAAAGATCCAGATTGGAAGAAAAATGTGGTGGCACTTCATCGTGTCAGTAAGTTACTGAAAGATTGTGAATCAATTCTCTGGTGACTTTAAGAAACAGGATTTTAGGGCTGTTCCAAATCCTTCATCTTTATACATAAGAAAAACTGAGACTGAGAGGACACAGCTAATAAATATCAGAGTCAAGATTTGAACTTCCTGTCTGAATATCACAGTGGGAAGGGATCTGAAAGATCATCAATCCCGGTCAGACAGCAGAATCTGTTTCCAGCAACTTTTTATTAAGAAAATGTCCCGGTGGCCAGGCTTGGTGGCTCACACCAGTAATCCCAGCACTTTGGGAAGCCAGGGATGGTGGATCACCTGAGGTCAGCAGTTGAAGACCAGCTTGGCCAACAGAGTTGAAGACCAGCTTGGCCAACAGAGTTGAAGACCAGCTTGGCCAACATGCTGAAACCCTGTCTCTACTAAAAATACAAAAAATTAGCCAGACATGGTGGCAGGCACCTGTAATCCCAGCTACTTGGGAGGCTGAGGCATGAGAATCTCTTGAACCTAGGAGGGGAAGGTTGCAGTGAGCCGAGATCGCACCATTGCTCTCCAGCTTGGGCAACAAGAGCAAAACTCCATCTCAAAAAAAAAAAAAAAAAAAAAAAAAAAAGAAAAGAAAAAGGAAAGAAAAAGAAGGAAAAAAAAACGTCCTGGCAAACAGAAAAGTTGAAAAAATACTGCAGTGATATACTTACCATTTGATTCAACAATTGTCATCATTTTGCATGGTTGTTTTATCTATCCTCTATGCATATGTATGCATCAATATAGGTACAGTTAATAGTAAGCTGAAAGAAAGTTCCATAGATCGTTGACTTTAAAAAAATGATTTCCATGCCATGTGCCCTGTAGAATGTCTTAAATTTTGGCTTAGCCTATTGTTTTCTCTTGATGCCATTTAACTTCATGAGTGAACTCCCATTCACAATTGCTTCAAAGAGAATAAAATACCTAGGAATCCAACTTACAAGGGATGTGAAGGATCTCTTCAAGGAGAACTACAAACCACTGCTCAAGGAAATAAAAGAGGACACAAACAAATGGAAGAACATTCCATGCTCATAGGTAGGAAGAATCAATATCATGAAAATGGCCATACTGCCCAAGGTAATTTGTAGATTCAAGGCCATCCCCATCAAGCTACCAATGACTTTCTTCACAGAATTGGAAAAAACTACTTTAAAGTTCATATGGAACCAAAAAAGAGCCCGCATTGCCAAGTCAATCCCAAGCCAAAAGAACAAAGCTGGAGGCATCACGCTACCTGACTTCAAACTATATTACAAGGCTACAGTAACAAAACAGCATGGTACTGGTACCAAAACAGAGATATAGATCAATGGAACAGAACAGAGCCCTCAGAAATAATGCCGCACATCTACAACTATCTGACTTTTGACAAACCTGAGAAAAACAAACAATGGGGAAAGGATTCCCTATTTAATAAATGGTGCTGGGAAAACTGGCTAACCATATGTAGAAAGCTGAAACTGGATCCCTTCCTTACACCTTATACAAAAATTAATTCAAGATGGATTAAAGACTTAAACGTTAGACCTAAAACCATAAAAACCCTAGAAGAAAACCTAGGCATTACCATTCAGGACATAGGCATGAGCAAGGACTTCATGTCTAAAACACCAAAAGCAATGGCAACAAAAGCCAAAATTGACAAATGGGATCTAATTAAACAAAAGAGCTTCTGCATAGCAAAAGAAACTACCATCAGAGTGAACAGGCAACCTACAAAATGGGAGAAAATTTTCACAACCTACTCATCTGACAAAGGGCTAATATCAAGAATCTACAACGAACTCAAACAAATTTACAAGAAAAAAACAAACAACCCCATCAAAAACTGGGTGAAGGATATGAACAGACACTTCTCAAAAGAAGACATTTATGCAGCCAAAAAACACATGAAAAAATGCTCATCATCACTGGCCATCAGAGAAATGCAAATCAAAATCACAATGAGATACCATCTCACACCAGTTAGAATGGCAATCGTTAAAAAGTCAGGAAACAACAGGTGCTGGAGAGGATGTGGAGAAATAGGAACACTTTTACACTGTTGGTGGGACTGTAAACTAGTTCAATCATTGTGGAAGTCAGTGTGGCGATTCCTCAGGGATCTAGAAGTAGAAATACCATTTGACTCAGCCATCCCATTACTGGGTATACACCCAAAGGTCTATAAATCATGCTGCTATAAAAACACATGCACACGTATGTTTATTGCGGCACTATTCACAATAGCAAAAACTTGGAACCAACCCAAATGTCCAACAATGATAGACTGGATTAAGAAAATGTGGCACATATACACCATGGAATACTATGCAGCCATAAAAAATGATGACTTCATGTCCTTTGTAGGGACATGGATGAAATTGGAAATCATCATTCTCAGTAAACTATCACAAGAACAAGAAGCAAACACCTCATATTCTCACTCATAGGTGGGAATTGAACAATGAGAACACATGGACACAGGAAAGGGAACATCAGGCTCTGGGGACTGTTGTGGGGTGGGGGAAGAGGGGAGAGATAGCTTTAGGAGATATACCTAATGCTAAATGACGAGTTAATGGGTGCAGCACACCAGCATGGCACATGTATACATATGTAACTAACCTGCACATTGTGCACATGTACCCTAAAACTTTAAGTATAATAATAATAAAAAAAAGAAAAAGACCATAGTAAAAAACAAACCACCACGCTGTGTGCTTCTGTTTTTCTCGTTTGTTTCTTCCAACTGATTTTGAATTGACAAATAAAAATTTTATATATTTATGGTGTAAAAAAAAAAAGAAACTTCTTCCTCTTAAACTGGAGTGAGGTACACAAGCTTGGTTGGATTCAGGCTAAATATTTCTGGAAGATTGTTTTCTAGATGATGTGCCAATAGAGTTGAATTCAGTACCAATTCTGACCAATTGATGTTGCTGCAAGAGCTCTAGCTGATAAAGTCAAGTGCTATATCATAGCTCAGCAGAAAGTGGTGACAAGATAAATTTGTTTTGGGCGTAGGTGGGAGTGGAACCAACTTCATAGTTAGGAGAAACAGGGAAGAACAGAATACTTTTTAAATTGAGGTAACTGTAGATTCAGATGCAGTTGTAATAATTTGTTTGTATGTGTGCATGTGTATATGTTTATTTAGTTCTATACAATTTTATCTGACGTACATTGGTGTATTCACCAAGCCAGTCAAGATACTAAACAGATCCATCCCAACAAAGACCCTACATGTTGCCCTTTTATAACTCTCTCCTCCCATTCCCTAAAACCTGTAATCACTGATCTGTTCTTCATTTCTAAAATTTTGTCATTTCGAAAATGTTATAGAAATTGAATGTTATATAATGTTTAGGGATTAGCATTTTTAGTCAACATAATTACATGAAGATTCATCAAAGTTGTTACATATATAAATAGTTCATTCCTTTTATTGTTGAGTAGTAATCAATGGTATGGATGTACCAGTTTTTTTAGCCATTTTACCTGTTGCTAGACATCTGTGCTGATTTTGGGTTTTGGCTATTACAAACAAAGGTGCTGTGAACATTTGTGTATAGGCTTTTTTGTGAATATAGGTTTTTATTTATCTGAGATAAATGCCCGAGAGTGTAATTTCTGGTCTGTATGGTAATCCCATGTACAGTTTTTTTTCAGTTTTTTAAAGAAACTACCAAATTGCTTTCCAGAAAGATGACACTATTTTACATTTTCACTGGCAATCTTGATGAGTAATCCAGTTTCCTTATATCCTCAACAACAGTTGGTGTTTCTGCTATTATAATTTTTATTTTAGGTATTCTGGTAGGCGTGTATCTCATTGTGGTCTTGATTGGCGTTTCCCTAATAACTAGTGATGTCGAATAGGCTTCATCAAGTGAGCTAGAAGAGAACATGCAAGCTTGTTGTTAATTCTTCTTAAAATATTTGTAAAATTCTCCAGTGGAAGCACGTGGGCCCAGAAGTGTCTTTTTCAAGAGTTTTAAATTTATGAATTCAACGAATTTGAAGGCTATAGGGCTAGTCAGATTATCTATTTCACCTTGATTGAGTTTTCACGTTGTGTAGTTTTTAAGGAATTGTTTCATATTTTCTAAGTTATTGACTTTATGAGGATAAAGTTGTTCATAATATTCCTTCATTTTCCTTTTCATGGCTGTAGGATCTGTAGTGATATCACCTACTTCATTTCCAATATTGCTAATTTGTGTTTTCTCTCTTTTTATTATTGTCAGTCTAGCTAGAGGTTTATCAATTTTGTTGATTTTTTTTTAAAGGGCCAACTTTTTGCATGGATTTTCTATTTGTTTTCCTAATTTCACTTTCATGGATTTTTGTTCTTTCTTTATTTTTTTTTTTATTCTGCTTGCTTTGGGTTTATTTTGTTTCATTCTTCCTTAGTTTCTTGAAGTAGAACAGATTTTTGACTTGAGACCTTTCCTTATTCCTAATATCAACATCTCATATTGTTTCCCATTCAGCTCTGTCTTATCTGCATCTCATATATGTGGATATGCTGCGTTTTCATTTTCATTTAGTTGGACATAATTTTTAAATTTTCCTTTGAGGCTTCTTTTTTGATCTATAAATCATTTAGAAGTAAATTTTCCTTTGAGGCTTCTTCTTTGATCTATAGATTATTTAGAAGTGTATGTTTAATTTCCATGTCTTCTGAGATTTTTGTGTTTTCTTTCTGTTATTGATTAATAGTTTGATTCCATTATGGTCAGACAAAACACTTAGTATGATTTCATTTATTTTAATTTGTTAAGGTTTACTTTATGACTTCAGGTACAGTCTATCTTGATGAATGTTCCACAGGCACTTTAAAAAATGTGTACCTTGCTGTTGTTGTGTGATGTGTTCTATAAATGTCAATTAGATCCTGTTGGTTGATTGCGTTGTTCAAATCTTCTGTCTAAGTTCTATCAGTTGCTGAGGGTGGGGAGGTTGAGGTCCCCAACTATAATTGCAGTTTTATCTACTCCTCTTTTAAGCACTATCAGTTTTTGCTGTATGTATTGTGAGACTTTTTATGTATGCACACATTTAAGAAACAGTCATCTCTCAATATCCACAGGAAATTGGTTCCAGGATTCCTGAGGATATCAGAATCTGTGGCTGCTCAAGTCTCGTATACAAAATGGTATAGTATTTACATATAACCTACTTTCTTATATACTTTAAATCATTTCTAGATTACTTATAATACTTAATGCTATGTAAATGCTATGTGAATGTTATGCCGTGTTGGTGTTTTTATTTGTATTATTTTTTATTGTTGTATTGTTATTTTTTATTGCTTTTTTGTTCAAATGTTTTTGATCCACCATTTGTTGAATCTGTGGATGCAGAACCCATGGAGGGCTGACTTATTTATGTCTTCTTAATGGATTGATCCATTTATCATTATGCAATTTCCTTCATTATCTATGGTAGTTTCCTTTCCTCTGAAGACTACCTTATCCGAATACAGCCATGTCTATTTTTTTAAATCCATCTTTGCATGATATATCTTTTTACTTTCAGTCTACGTTAATGAATTTCAACTGATTTTCTTGTAAAATATTGTTGAAGCTTGATTTCTTAATCCACTGCTAATCTCTGTCTCTTAGACTACTGGCATTTGGCATAATTATTTTTATGTTATGGCTTAAGTCCACCATTTTATTAATTCTTTTCTATTTATTCCCTCTGATGATCATTCCTCTGTTTCTGTTTTCTTCTGAGATGTTTCTGTTTTCTTCCTTTCCTTTGAGTTACTTAAACATCTTAGGATTCTGTCTTGACTTATTTAGAGTGTTTTTGGGTATACCTCTTTACATGATATTCATAGTGATTGCTCTAGGCATTACAGTATACATATGAGACATAATAGGTACAGTATCAACATTTTACCTTTTCCAATGAAGTATAGAAGCTTCATTACCATTAAAGTCCCTGTACTTTTCCCTCTTTTAAATATCACTGTCTTGAATAGCAGATGGTGTTAGAATTTGTGTTTCAATCATCAAATATGATTTATAAAACTCATGAGATAAAAGATAGTTTATTATATGCACATGTTTCTACTCTTCCTCTTGTTCCTTCTTCCTGATATTTCAAGATTCTTTCTTCTATCTTTTACTTTCCATTTAAAGAAATTTCTTTGCCGGCTTTTAAGGGTAGGTCTGCTAGGAACAAATTCTTTTAGTTTTTTCTTATCTAAGAATATCTTTATTTCTTCTTTATTTCTGAAGAATAGTCTCACCAGATATAGAAGTCACAGTTGACAGCTATTTTCTTTAAGCTATTGAAAAATGTTGTACCTCCTCCTTCTGCTTCCATGGTTTCAGATGAAAATTCAGTGTCACTTGAATTGGTGTTCCTCTGCATGTGATGTGTTCTTTCTCTCTGACTGCCTTCTAGATATTTCCTTTGTCTTTTGTTTATAAGTGTGTGATTATGATGTGTGTTCCTTTGTTTTATCCTGTTTGGGATTTGTTCAACTTTTGGGATCTGTAAGTTTGTATTTTTTTTTAACCAAATTTGGGAAGTTTTCAGCCATTACTTATTCAAATACTCTTTCATTCCACTCCCTCTTTTCCCTCTGGAATGCTGATCCTATGAATATTGGATCTTATGACATTGTCCCACAGGAGCCTGAGTCTCTATTCAGTTACTTTTCCAGTATATTTTCTCTCTGTTCATATTGGGTAAATTCTATTGATCTGTCCTTAAACCTAGTGGCTTTATCATTTTTGTCTCCACTCTATTATTGAACCTATCATTTCAAGTTTAAAATGACACTTTAAAATTTTTATTTTGTTAAATTTTTTCAGTTCCATAATTTCCACTTGGTTCTTTTTTATAACTTCTATTCCTTTACTGAGATTTTCTAATATTTTATTTGTTTCCAGAGAATTTGTAATCAACTGCTGAAGCATTTATATGGTCCTATTTAGAACATCCTGGGATGCTCCTACTATGTGGGATCTTTTGGAGAAAAAAATCCATACCTGAGCAAGTGGAGAGAAGGGACCAGATTCAGAGGATACCCATAAAATGATCTGCAAGGGAAAACAAGTTTCTGACCAAGCACGGTTACAACCACATCTTCCTGGGACAAATGAGGACATGTATCAATTCCTCACCAACCTTCCATACACCCCAGGCTTACCTAGGAACTGCCTTCAGCACACCATGTCTACCAGAGTGGCGGTATATAATCACTATTCAACTCCACAGCCAGAGAGAGGTGCAGAAGCCATCACAGGAAATGACTAGATGCCCCTGAGCTCTCTGTTGCTGCTGCCGTGCGGGTGACTGGGAATCACATAGTTAACTAAAAGCTTTTACTCAGCTTAATTTCCTCTACTCTACATGATAATTGCTCTGTTCATTTTCGCTTTACCTTTAAATTCAGGGCACATGCACAAAGACATAATGGTGTAAGAGTGGAAAAGAGAAGATGTATTTTCTAAGCTGCCTGCAGTCTGACAATTGTTTGAATGTGTGTGTACATTTAACAAGATGGTAGATTACAGCATTACCTTATCTTCAGGGTAAAACTGCCATTCAGGATCCAAAAATCTCCTAATGGTTTATTGAAATGGTTCCCTCTTGCAATGCATCATCACAGTAGTTTATGATAAGGAGAAAAGTATGTTCTGATACAAATCAAATAATGCCAAATACAAAGAGTTGTAAGAGAAATAGCTCACTTGGGAGATAGAGAGAATTGAAGAAAATGTATTGGGTGAGAGACGCTAACTAGACCTCTGGAAAGAGAAGTCAGCAATGACCCAAATGGGATACTTGATTCTCTTCAGTGGTCAAAAACCCTCAGGAGAAGGATAAATAGGTATTTATTATTTGGTATAGGACATGATATTTTGAAATACCTATATATTATGTAATGGTTAAATTGAGCTAATAAAATAAACATGTATAAACATCTAACAAGCATGTACAATGTGTTGTATAACAGATATCTTGGACTTATCCCTTTTATCTAACTGAAATTCTATATCCTTTGACCAACATATATTAATGCTATGGTTTAATGCTTTTTAGTTAATTTAATACTCCATACATGTATTAGTCTATCCAAGAGATAAAATTAAACCTTCCTGAAAAAAATTCTTACATGGCAAAGACAGCATGTGCCTCGGTGATGCAGTTCAGGGGTTATTTGCATGGAACTTAAAAGACACAAGCTGGTAGTGCACACTTACACTGTGTTTGGGGAGTGCTAGAGAGCCAGGAGGCAATCCTTTACCAACCAGCAATCCCTTCTGTGTGAAACTTCCATTTATGAAGCCTTATTCTGGATTACTATTTCTGACTTTTGGCGTTTCCAAACCAGGGGAGTATGGGAGTTTGGGATCAAGAACATTAGAATTGCAAAGTAATTCAGATTGTTTCTTACTGATTCCAAACAGAAAATTAAGAAGGTTCTGAACATTAAGATGGAAGATCAAACAGAAAAATGAAAAAATAAAACCTAAAAAACAAAAACAAAAAAACCTTCCTGGTATGTTTCCTGTACCATCTGCCCACCCAAACCTGGTCCTCTCACTGTTCCCCACCTCAGGGGATGGCACCACCCCAAGCACAGGTTTTCATGCAGAAATCTGAGAGGTGTCCTTGACCCTCTTTTCCCTCCTCCTCCTCTCACCCATATCCAATCAGTGGCCCAACTCTGTTGGTTTTATATCCTGATAGCTTTTCATTTTTTTCTTTTGAAAAATTATTATTTTTTAATTGACAACTACAAATTATAGGGGAAAAGCTCCATGAAATGAGTCTGGGCAATAATTTTTTTAATGAAATTCCAAAAGCACAAGCAAGAAAAGGGAAAAAGACAAGTGCTATTATCTCAAACTAAAAAGCTTCTGCACAGCCAAGGAGACAATGAACAGAGTGAAAAGACAACTTACAGAATGGGAGAAAATACTTGCAAACCATACATCTAACAAAGGGTGAAAATCCAAAATATATAAGGAACTCAAACAACTTAATAGCAAGAAAACAACCCAATTAAATGGGCAAAGGACCTGAATAAACATTTCTCAAAAGGAGACATACAAATGGCCGACAGATACATGAAAAGGTGCTCAACATCACTAATCATCAGGGAAATAAAAATTAAAACCACAATGTAATATTACTTCATACCTTCTAGGACAAGTATTATCAAAAATATGAAAAATGACAAGTGTTAGCAAGGATATGGAGAAAAGGGAACACTTGTATACTGTTGGTGAGAATGTACATTAGTACAACCATTATGAAAAACAGTACAAAAGTTCCTCAAAAAGTTAAAAATGGAACTACCACATGATCCAGCAATCCCATCTCTGGGTATATAGTCAAAGGACATGAAATCAGTATGTCGAAGAGATACCTGCACTCCCACGTTCACTGAGGCAATATTCGCAATAGCCAAAATATGAAATCAACCTAAATGTCCATCAGTAGATAAACTGATAAAGAAAATGAGGCATATCTACACAAGGAAATACTATTCAGCCATAAAAAGTAGGAAATCCTGTCATTTGCAACAATATGAATGAACCTGAAGGACGTTATGATAAGTTATTATTATTATTATTTTTTATTATACTTTAAGTTCTAGGGTACATGTGCACAACGTGCAGGTTTGTTACATATGTATACATGTGCCATGTTGGTGTGCTGCACCCATTAACTCATCATTTACATTAGGTATATCTCCTAATGCTATCCCTCCCCCCTCCCCCCACTCCATGACAGGCCCCAGTGTGTGATGTTCCCCTTCCTGTGTCCAAGTGTTCTCATTGTTCAATTCCCACCTATGATTGAGAACATTTTGCTAAGTTAAATAAGCAGACACAGAAAGACAAATATTGCATGATATCACATATATGTAGAACATAAAAAAGCCAAACTCATGGAAGCAGAGAGTAATATAGTGGAAACCAGGGATTTGGGGACAATGGTTGCGTTTGGGGAGATGTTGGTTAAAGGATTCAAATTTTCAGTTTCATAGGAATAATAAAGTCAGGAGTCTATTATACAACATGCTGACTATAGTTAATAACAATGTATTGTACATTGAAAATCGCTGAGAGTCGATTTTGTGTTCTAATCACAAAAAGACAAGTAGGTGAGGCAATGCATATGTTAATGGAAAGAATATGGAGAAAAGGGAACCCTTGTACATTGCTGGTGGGAATGTAAATTGGTACAGCCATTATGGAAAACAGTAGGTAGGGTCCTTAAAAAATTAAAAATAGAACTATCATATGATTCAGCAATCCCACCTCTGAGTATATAGCCAAAGGATATGAAATCAGTATGTCAAAGAAATACTTGCACTACCAAGTCCCATGTTAATTAGCTCAATTTGGCTATTCCACAATGTATACTTCAGGATATATATATATATATATATATATATATATATATATATATATATATATATATATATAATGGAATGGCCAAATTGAGCTAATAAAATAAACATGTATAAACATCTAACAAACATGTACAACATGTTGTATAACAGATAATCTTGAATTTATCCCTTTTATCTAGCTGAAATTCTATATCCTTTGACCAACATATATTAATATCCCCAGCCCCCCACATGCCAACCCCTGGTAACCATCACTCTACTCTCTGCTCCTTTGAGTACAATTTCTTAGAATTCACAGGTAAGTGAGATTGTGCAGTGACAGCTTTCAATGTGTCAGGTCTCGTTTCCACCATCACCTCTCTAATTCAGTCATCTTCATCTCTGCAGGAAGTAGCGTCAGGACTGGTCTCTCCTGAATTCAGGTTTGCAATCCTCCACTCCTTGCAGTCTGACAAGCAGAGAGAATTTCTTCAGAGACAAAACTGCTGAGATGCTCCTTGGCTGAAAGCCTCCATGGCCTGCTACTGCTATTTCTTAGGATGACCTACAAGGCTCAGCATGTCTGTGCCTTCATCTCAGGCAACTAGGGGTCCCCTCTTGGTGCTGCCAAAGCCCTCTCTTGTGATTCATGCTCCTTAGAGTTAGTTGTACAACATGGGGGATTATTCTCTACTCAAACTCTTGTTTTTTAGCTTCATTACCCTTCTTAAGCTCTCTTAATATGCGATGTCTTTTACCACTTGCAGTCATCTGCACAGGCTGTTTTCTCTTGGTCCAGAACAACCCTTGCTCTTTTAGATGGAGATCTTAACTATCTGCCTCAGAGTAGATCTGCAACAATTGCTTTCCATTCATTGGCACCCTGTTCTCTCTGAACATTGATCACATTTGTGCTTACACAGTTAGATGAGACATTATTTGTGTGACTGTCTCTGCCATTAGATGGAAACCCATGATTGCAGGACTATGATCTGCCATGCTCTTGGCACCATGCCTTACACAGGGAGGGGCTCAGTGTTTGTCAAATGAATACTTTATCTGGGGGAAAAAAGTCAAAACTAGTTTACAAGGAGGCATCAGGGAAGGATAATATTGATGGTTTCCTAGTGAGAAGGGATAACAAACAGAAATTAATTGTGTGCTGCCTTTTAATTAGATACATGTAAAAGGTCATCATTAGGACTGGCTGGGAATCTTTATTATTATATTGTAGCGAGCGCAACATATCTATAAGGCTTTAAGGGTCCCCAGAAGACTCCCATCCCTGTTATTTTCTCACCCGATTTAGTTTCCTCAACTGCGACCTCTGCTTCTCTGTGTGAAGTCTCCTTGCTCTTTCAGACCAAGGAGACTTTCAGACCAAGAGAAGAGTCTGTGCAAATGTCTGCAGCAGTGCTTCTCAGCCCTGGCTTCACCTCTGGGGAGTTTTTCTAAGACACTAATGCCCTTGCTTTACCCCCTGAAATTCTGATGTAATCGTTTAGAGTGAGTCGCAGGCACCCTGGGTTAAGAAACGCTGACTGACATTCTATACCATTTGCGAATAACTCTTCAGGGAAATGCCCAATACAGGAAAATTGGAAGTTCATTTATTTATTTACTTATTTATTTTTGGGACTGGATGGACAAAGATTTACCTTTTAGTCCATTAGGCCAATATACTTCTTAAAGTAACTCAGAAGAGAGATAAATGCACTCTCTCGAATAAACAATTAAAATAATTAAAAATCACATATAGGTTTGGTGCAGCAGCATCACTCTTGAGCTGGCTGAGTTCCCTGAAATATCTGTCCCCACAAGTCAAGCTAAGCCTTCTCCTGAGCCTCTCCCCAAGGGATCCTGCCAGCCACAAGATCTCATTTCTCTGACACCTGCTGCCACCATCTACAGCCCTCTCCAGGTAGGAATAGAAGCTGTTCAGTCACCTTTCCTCTTCTCTACCTCTTTCTTTCCCCCATCTCTTCCCTTTTCAAAGACTATTCTTTCCCTAAAACAACTGAGTAATAGCAACACATGTTGTCAAACCAAACACACACACACACACACACACACACACACACATACACACACACACACACCCCTAGAGGCTCCAATCAAGGAAGAAAGAAAAGAGCAGGCACCATATTCGAGGGAACATCAAGTCATCCAAATGTAATTAGGAGTTTCTTTCTCAGCCAGGACTTTTAATTGTTGCTTCTGCTCCTGAGCACCCATCTGCTTTTAGAAAAGGGTGTCCTCTGCATCCGTGAGCTTTCCAAATGCCCTTCAGCCTATCAGAGCGTCCTACTACATTGCACTTGTCGTATTGGGATTCTTGAATATTGAAAATGTCAGCCCAGCCTTTGCTTTGAGAATGAAAATAAAAAAGTAAATGTGATTTTATAAGGAGTTTTCATAAGAGTTATTGTCAATAATGGGAAAATATTGTCCCAAAGATTATAATAAAGGAAAATGAGTAGCAAGTGTATGGGGCCTACTGCCTTGAGAAACCAAGTGGAACTTGCCTCATCTTGGCTCTTGTGGATAGGCAATCAGGGGCCAATGCTCCTCAGTAGAAATGCACTCTCAAATGTAGCTTAACAGAGGATTTGTTTTTATTAAAACCTTGAACATAAAGATAGTTTAGAAAATTGCCACTAAAGAGGCATCGAGAAGGAGGTGTAGCAGCAGATGAGCAAATCCAAGCCAACGAAATCCACATTTGCCTTTTGGTAACACAGTAGGTCACACAAATATAATTTTCCATTTTATCCAGTCTATGTGGTACTTTTCCACTTTCTTTGGAATTACACCTTTTTTTTTTTTCTGGCCAGTCCCCAAATAGTATGCTTTCTGCAAAACTTCAATTTAAAATGGTTTTAATATTACTACTTACCAAAGAAGCAAGTCCCATGGCTACAGTTAAGGCAAGTATGGGAACCAAGAAAAAAAATAAAATTAGCTCCTTCAAAAAGGGAAAAAGTACGATCTCAGTTCCTAGTTGGATATTCATTTATTCATGTACTTATGAAGTACCCCATTATATGCGGGTCCTCTGCTCCATGCTTGGACAGCTGAGATTAGGGACAGCTGCACAAACTCCAGTCTATACAGCCACATGCCAGAATTGAGGGCTGAGCAGATTGCTAAAGAGTCATGGAAGAGGGAGAGGTTATCCAGTAGAACCAGATTACTCCATTCCCTGGAGCTGTCTAACCCTGCCATTTTGAGCTAAGCCTCTTGCCCTGCCTGGTCCTACTGAATTAAAGAGGTATTAATCTTGCATTGTTCTCTCTCGACAGTCATTGAGATGTGTGGGAGCTCTAGAGCCAGACAGTGGAATCTGGATGTTGGATCTGAATTTATCAGCTCTAGGCCGAGTGCGGTGGCTCATGGCTGTAATCTCAGCACTTTGGGAGGCTGATGTGGGTGGATCACCTGAGGTCAGGAGTTCAAGACCAACCTGACTAATATGGAAAAAGTAAAATGAATTTATTAGCTCTGATTTGGTCAAACTTTCTTTTTTTTCTTTTTTTAATTTCTCTGTGTCTCAAGTTCCTCACCTGCATGATTGAAATGATAGTGCCAAATCCATACAATTTTTGTGAAAAAATTGATGCCTTCAAGAGAACTCAGAACAGGGCCTACCATTAAGTGCCCAATAAATATTAGCAATTATTATTGCACATATTGGTCCTTTGGCATAGGACCATATTCTATTTTAGATTAAGAATGTGTGTATATGTATGTATGTATATCATGTTCAACAAACTCCTTTAAGACAGAAAATAGATTTTATTTTTCTTCATACCGTTAGCCTAGCACTAAGATTTAAAGTGGATTAAGGATGATGACAGCAGAAATGTTTTATTTTATACAGCATTTTCTTTTTAGGATGTTATCGGGGTATTGATATTTCCTCAAACATATCACCAAAATGAAAAATTTTGCCTCTAAGAGGTGTCCCCTGAGGATTTCACTTTGGAGAATCAGAGGAACGTGGTGAGAACTTCGATATTCAGCATTAATTTTGCAACTGGCTCCAAGACCCAGTCCTGAGCTCTCGTTGCCCAGACTGTTGACTTTAGGCTAACATTTTTGTGTCTTAGGTTTCTAATCCTCCTCTTTGTTTTTGGATGCTTCTCTTCATTACTCAGATTTGCTTAAAAGAGCATGACACCAAATTATGTAGTACAAGTACATTGTCTTTAGCTCTGGAGATGCCATCCTGAAAATTCCTGGGAACTCTCAGCAGTAACTGAATCATACTGTCACAGACCATTGCAACAACGTCCCACTGGTTTTTAAATGACTGATCTTTCAACATACTATTATTTCATCTATATTCTTTAGACTTGTTCTAAAGGTGGATCTACCTCACCACTAGCCACCTACAACCATAATAAAATTTGCATTCTAATACTTAGCTAGAACTTCAGCCAATAAACATCCCCATATATTTTTATCTTTTGAAAAACAAACATTTTGCTATAAATCCAAAGATAACCAGAAAATCAGAATGGGCAAGGGCTGGGCAATTGGAAGAAAGTGCTTTTATGTATTTTAACAGAATCATGCTGTACCAGCTAATGCTAAATAAAATATACCCAAAGTTACTTTGAAGTCATATTTGTTTTGTTAAATTGAGTGGAACAGTGAAGTCTCCATCGAGTGTAGAGATACGAAAATCACTCCAATGTTAATACCTGAAAACAGGTGGCATTTAAAAAATTCAGACTTTTTAAATGTTGTGTCCATGTTTCTCCCTCTACTTTTCATTCTTCTCCCAACTGTGATTTCCTTTGATCATTTTGGTGCCCAACACATCTCCTCTTTTGGATATTGTTCTATCCTTTCAAAGTTAAATTATAACACATTATAATTACATTATGGCTTGAAAAGTCCGTCCAGCACACAGTTGATCTCCTAAAGGCCTCAGAATGTCCTCCTTCCAAATTTGCTGCTCTAGGATGCCAGAGTTCTTTTCTAAATGGCTGCATGTGATGTGCACGGCAGCCTTTCCGAGGCACCACATAATTGCAATTTGTTATAATTGAGGTTTGAAAAGGGGCAATAAATATCGCTCATGTTTTTCGCCAAAGGTTAACTGGATTCCGTATGCCAATGGCTGTGCCAGATGCAGGCCCAGCACAAGCACGGAGAGAACAGCTGCTACTTTCAAGCTCACCACTGGGAGATCAAGAAGAAAACCAAGGACACATAGTGCGAAAAGCGGAATGGCGCGCAAGATAGAGAGCAAGGCAGACAAGCGCTTCTCAGGGAGCTCTGTGTAGAGCGGATATAGGCAACAAGTGTCAGAATTCCATTTCTTTGCTTTAGCCATCGAGGAGCTCAGAGTCCTGTCCTCCTTCCATTACCATCCCCCCTTTTCAGGGCTCTGCTGAACTCTTGTTCTCCTTTCTCTCTATCCTCCCACCAGGCCAATGATGCAATTAAAAGGAGCCTAAGCCGGCTCTGGTTGGGGAGATGTTTCTCATCCTCTAAAGGAGGCTGAATGGAGTCAGGGTGAGGCTGAGCAGGAGGAGGGTCTTGAAAAGCAGATCCCCACTAGGACACTTCAAAGAAGAGAGAAGAGCAAGAGTCACCCGCTTTACCACATGTGCACCTACCAGAGAGATTTGGGCAAACTTCCTAGTGTTTTCCTTGTGAACACCCTTCAGGAATTTGTGATGTTCAGAGATGGCTAGCTAAAGTTCAGAAATTCTATTACTTTCCATCGGAAAGCCAAGTAACACATTTTCATGACTTTTTGAACCCGCCACTCTTAAAATGCACAGCACTAAAAGCCCCTGGAGGAAATGGCAGTGATTTCAGCATCCATTCAAAATGAAGACAGCAGCTGTTTTTATTCAGGGGTATTCACACCTTCAGCCTTGCAAAATTCCCTTAAAAGCCATCAGTTAGATTCCAGTGGCTCTATCCCAATCTGTTAGTACAACCCTGGCTTTCACCTCCACCTTTAAAAGATAGAAAATACTGTGAGACTGTCTCCTACATGTATCTTTTTTGTCTGAAACAAAATCCTCAACCCCAGGGGAAATGTCCATCTTAGTGACTGCTCAAAACAAATCAGCTTGGATTGCCGTTCACGGAGGTGTGCATTCCCAGGAAGACAGGGCCCACCAGAATGAAGAAACCGGATGGTGGGTGTCAAGCTGATTAGGGTTCTCTGATGTTTGAGGAAGTGGACATGGACGTGAGTTCCTGGCCCTTAAGCTGTGCCTATGATTTGGGACATGCATATTCACAAGTGTCCCCAAAAGAGAAAGAACAGCCAGCTGTGAACACATTGTACGTGTGGAAAATGGACCGCAGAGGACAATGAGCGCTCTTCTGCAGGCCAGAGAATGCCTCCATTCATTTGTGGGTTTTAACACAGGTCTATTATCTTTAACAGCTTCATGCTGCCGTCCAATTTCAGTCCCAGTGCAATTTTCAGACCCAGTTCCCTCCAGACAGAATGACGGACTTACCAACATGTGAAACAGGATTCATTTTGTTGTGGTGGCTGGAAATGACAAACACTGAAATGATCACGAAGCCAAAAAGGAGATATTTTCTATTGTTTCCCTACGAGGCATAATTTATTCTTTTCAGTGCATTAAAGGTATGTTTTTATCGACAATACTTTTAAGAGAAAGCTATTATCTTCAGTGCTTGCATCCTGCCTGTGATGTTTGCACTGAGCTGACAGCATGGCTACTGAGTTATAAAACAAAACAAAGCAAAAACCAGGAAATACAAATTGTCTTCACATTCCCAAAACTGCCAATCTGAAAACATTCCACCCACCCCAGGGTTTAAAAATTATTGAACCAATTAAAAAGAGAGAGGAATTAATCAGAACCAAAATTTCCTTTTGCTTTCAAACAATATAATATTGAAATTCATTCCAATTAGAAATGTATCTAACACTGGTACAGCCATCATGGAAAACAATATGGAGGGTCCTCAAAAAAATTAAAAATAGAACTACCACATGACCCAGCCATCCTACTACTGGGCATATAGCCAAAGACATGCAGTCAGTATGTTGAAATGGTATCTGCATTCTGTGTTCATTGCAGCATTATTCACAATAGCCAAGACATGGAATCAACTTGCGTCCATCAATGGATGAATGAATTTTTTAAATGTGGTATATATATATATATGAATACTATTCAGCCTTAAAAAGAAGGAAATCCTGTCATATGCAACATCATAGATGAACCTGGAAGACATTGTATTAAGTGAAATAAGCAGACACAGAAAGACAAATGCCGCATGATCTCACTCATATGTGAAACCTAAAGAGGTGGAACTCACAGAAGTAGACAGTAGAAGGGCAGCTACCAGGGGCTGGAGGACTGGGGAGATGTTGGTCAAAGGACACAAAATTTCAGTTAGGCAGGATGAATAAGTTCAAGAGATCTATTGTGCATCATGGTGACTATAGTTAGTAACAATGTATTGTATACTTGAAAATTGCCAAGAAAGTAGATTTTAAGAGTTCTCACCATAAAAACTACATGTGCGAGGTAATGTTTATGTTAACTTTCTCCTCTCCTAACTTTCTGGCAATGCAGGGTTCTTTCCCTTTCTCTCTTTCTTTCTTTTCTTTCTTTTTCTTTCTTTCCTTTCTTTTTCTTTCTTTCTTTTTCTTTTTTCTTTCCTTCCTTTTTTCTTTCTTTTCCTTTCTTTCTTTTTCTTCCTTTCTTTCATTTTCTCTTTTTCACTTTCTTTCTCTTTCTTTCTCTCACTCCCTTTACCCCTCTCTTTCTTTTATCTTTCTTTCACTCTCTTTCTTTCCCTCCCTCCCTTTCTCCCTCCCTCCTTCTCTTTCTCTATTTCTTTTTTCTATTTCTTTTTCTTCCTTCCTTCCTTTCTCGCTCTTTCTTTCCCTCCTTTCCTTCCTCTCTTTTTTCTCTTTCTTGTTTTCTTTCCTTCCCTCTCTTTCTCCCTCCCTCCTTCTCTCTTTCTCTCTCCCTCCTTCCCTCTTTCTCTCTTTCTCTCTCTCCCTCTCTTTCCTTCTCTCAGGTCATCAGCTTGCCTGAGGGTTACTCTCCTGCATACCTGCTTGCTGATGAGATATAGGCCAAACATTTCAATTTGGTAGAGTACCTCTCAATTATGTCCAGGGGTCCCCTTGGGCACAGGTGAGTAATTGGTTCTGTCAGTGCCCCATAAGGGACATGGGTGACCTTCAAAGACACAGGACAGCTCACAGGCCCAGCTCTGGGCTGGGCCACTTGCATGCCTCTCACAGCTGCTAAATGCCCATAGGTAGTCAAGCTCCACTTGGTTCTTAATTGCTTGAATATAAAGATCTCTCCCACCTTAAGCAAAATTCCAAGCGTATTAAAACCTGACTCCTAGACCTCTGCCTTGAGGCTCTGTCCATGTGGCCCTGCCCACCATGCAAGGGACTGGGATTGCTGGGGAATGGGGGATGGGACGGGGCAGGCAAGGGGTCGGATATGTGTTCTCACTCGACCACCATGCTTCTCCTGTTTCCTCTTACAGAGGATGAGGGAAGGGCAGAGGACCCCCACAATAGCAGCTCATGCTGGCCTCCCCTGACACTACCAGAGGCTGCAGGCATAGTGCCCTGGCCCACCAGTCTTTATGAGTCATCTCCCATCTTCCCCTCTCCAACCTCAAAGCATCCTCAGCCTCCTCAAAAGAAGCACACACACACACACACAGGCACACACTCACATGCATACACACACACACACACACACACACACACAGTGTTCCCTTTGGTGGCCAAGCCTACTGACCTGAGAGAGCCAGGAAGGGAGGGGCTGTAAATTAGTCCATGCGTTGCCACTGGGCCTGAGCTCCCCTGCAAGCAAGGAAGGACCTCCCTGGGGCAGAGGCTGAGAGGAAGAGCCTCCCCGGGGCAGAGGTGTGACAGCTGAGCCAGAGCCAGGGGGCAGGGGAAGGTTGGGGGGTCCCTCGGCGTGTTTGTCAGCCCTGACCTCAGTGTGGGAGAACTGTGTGTGGCTCCCACACCAGAAAGGAGAGAGACACCGGGCCAGCTGCTCCTTTGAGAATCTGCTGCATATGGAGGAGCATGATTTTTGGAATGAGCATATGGTTTTGGAACCCAAAAATGTGTGCTGCGATCCTGATACCCTTATTGCGTAAGTACAGACTATTGCCTGTGCTAGTGAGCCTTAAAGTGTGGTCTCCTGATCATGGCAGCGTTAGCATCACCTGGGAATTTATTAGAAATGCAGGTTCTCAGACTCCACCCTGTGCCTACGGAGTCAGAAACTCTGGGGGTGAGGCCCAGAAATGTTTGGTTTTAAGGAGGTTTTCAGGTAACTGTGGTCTACATTTAAGTTTAGGAGATTACTGGTCAATTTAAAAGTGCCTATTACAATATCTGAAATGGTAAATGCGTGGCAAATGACAGCCTCTTTTTTTTTCCATTTTCCTATTCTGAAATAAAGAAGCATAGAGTTTTAAAAAATTGCTCAAACCTATAACAATTCAGTTTAACTGAAATATTTGCAGAAATGGAGGCTCTGTGTCTGGCATTGTAGGGACACAAAATAAAGTGAGAGAAGATGGATCGCGCTGGGCTCCAAGTGTGACATTGAGGGTCCAGACCTTTTCCTGAGGACATAAAGACTGAACATTGTTGAAACTGCTCCATATCAGGGTGCCAAGTCTCAAGGTATTCTGCAGGTTACCTGTCTGGAAGCGAGGAGATCATGTGGAAGTGAGGAGATCATTTAAAAGTCAGTTTTTCCACTAACCATTTGTATAGTCTTAGGCAAACCACTTTCTGTAATCTTTGTTTTCTTTATTGTCATTTTAGAATGAGATCTATAAAGAAGATGTTTTCTAGTCCTCTGCATGATGTGGTAGAACAAGTCAGTTCCTGATGTCACCCAAATCAGAATCTAGACCCCCGCCCTGCCACACTCCCTTAGCTGTTTGACCTTGGGTGAATTACTTCATGATTCTGGTGTTCAGTTTCCTCCTTTTGAAAATAAAAATCACGATAGCCACCCTCACACATTTGTTTTGCAGATTAAATGGTTGTATGGGAAGACACATAAACAGCCCACATCACAAATTGCAATTGGTTGGATCTGGTGGGGCCGATCTGGAAGGCAGAACACAGCAGAGGAAATCTCTCAAACTCGGCAGGTGTCTCGGTTGTGCTTTTGGAAGGGCGGAAATCCTGGAGGGGCAGTCACTCTAAAGCAAGCCATTCAGCTGCTGCGCAAGTCAGGGAGAGGGACTGTCCAGTGCTGGGCAGTGGGAGAGCCTTAGCCAGGAACCAGGAACCAAGAACTAGGCTCCAAGTTCATCGGGCAATTATAGGGTAAATATGAACTGAAAGTATACAGAGAAACCGGAGGCTAAGAGGGCAAAAACAAGGCCCTTGGAACTACCTCACAGGGAAATTATTTCATAACTCACCCACTTGTGGCACAAGATACGTGAAATATCAGCAGACTTGCTTGGGACTGCCCTAAAACATAGGTAGGGCCGAACCTGCCCTTAAAAGTGTTTACTACTTTGGTCTAAAAAAGGATTGGTGTAGACAGAGAGTAGGAGCTTGGTTTCCCTGATCTTGTAGTCAACGTGGAAATCTGGGTGATGCAATTGATCATCTTTGTCAGTTACCGTAGTCAAGCATTCAGTCTGAGAAATGAAAGCTGAGAAAGCCCCAAAATTTTTACCCTGGAACAATGAATTTCCCACAAAAACCAGTACTGAATTTACCTTATGTTTCCCAATTGGCTCTTTTTGCCATAACCTATTCCCTCTGTAGTTTTGGATACAGAAGAGGTTTTATTTTTTTGTTTGTTTGTTTTATTTTTTCCTGTTTATTTATTACTGGCAGATGACACTCATTTTTTGCCC
This sequence comes from Homo sapiens, assembly GCF_000001405.40. Taxonomy (NCBI): domain Eukaryota; kingdom Metazoa; phylum Chordata; class Mammalia; order Primates; family Hominidae; genus Homo; species Homo sapiens. The sequence continues at coordinate 61,336,827 of NC_000008.11, read as the reverse complement.
TTTCTTAGATACCTATATTTGCACCACCTACCTTAGTCAAACTTTATGTATTTTCACATGCACAGGCTTTTTCTATCTTTACCTTGCTTTTTTCTAGGCTATTCTTTATTTTTAAGGTATTTGGCTCCTTTTCTTTCCCATTCTGTTGGATTATTATTGTTATTGTTGTTGTTGACTAGCTTCTGTAAGTCTCCTCTTTCTGCTTTGGCCTCTTTCCTCCTTTTATGCACATGTTTTCTCTCACAGAGACCTCTGTGGATCCCATAAGAGGTGCCTCCCAGTACCAGGGAGGGTTCTGCTCACTTCTATTGTACCACCCAGGGTGCCGGGCAGAGGTTTCTCTGGTGGTGAGGACCCTTTGTGCAGGAAGAAGCATGATGCCAAACTCGAAGCCACTGAAACACTGCCAGGCTGCAGTCTGGCTCTGCATTTAGGACATGTTGTGTTTTACTATCCTCTATATTTGGAAGAAGACATTTGCTTCCCTCTTGTTACAAGTGCTATAGCGTTTTAGAAGTTAAAATAAAAGTCACAGTGATCAAGAAATAACAAAGCAGACCCCCATTACTCCTGAGAAGGAAATGTGAATCTCAAATTAGGTTAAATCCTGCATGTTCTCAAGGAGGATATATGGTGAGACTGTATCCTGAAGGAAATTTGAATGGCGTCATAGCAACTCCTAGGGGTTGCTGTGGGTCCTGCAGTTTCCCAACCCAGGTTAGCAGCGTAGAGTGGGAATGAGGGTTCAGCAGAGACCCGTCCTCTTGCTTTTCTCAGCGAATTCTATTCGCTGAGAGTCTGTGCCTTTACCCTCAGGCAGCCATTCCTCTATTCCCTGACTCTTGTCTCCCAACCTGTGAGCCTCCAAAAGTGTCCCTCACCCAGCATATTTTATGTCACTGCTGATTAAATTCTGATGAACAAGTAGGTTTTCCTCCAGCAAGGAACTCAGGCCTAAACACAAAGTGCAGGGAACACGTGCCCCATCTGGGATGCTTTGATATCTGCTCCCCTAGCTTTTATACTCTGTTTGCAGTGCAAGAAAAAAAATTGGTTTTGCAGTGGTCTGCTTCTGAAAAAGAATAAAGCAGGAGTTTGACACTTTTTGATGCTAGAAGACAATATATACCTTAAATTGGAAAATACACTGTAGATAAATTCTTATATGTCATCTAGATTTTTACTAGATGTTTACAAATAGACTCCTACTCTGAAGAAAATTGTCACAACAGCCCTAAGGAGGAAAATCTCTCATCAGAAAAGGCTGTTTCTCCCTCATCCACTTGTGCATAAGCTTGGGTACACAATGCTTACAGAGCACCTTGGTTTTGATGATCTTCGGTGATATTTTCTGGTTTTGAAACTGCCTTTGCAAAATTATGACAGACAGTGAAAGAGATCTAACTTAACCGACTCCATCTTGCTTCTAACCTCCAAGCTGTCCTTGTTCATTCCTGGGTAGAGGCTGAACTAACTTTGGGAGAAACTTAGTTTATACTTTAAACAAAGAAGGTAAAAGTCCTTTCCCAAAGCAGTCCTCCTTCTTGTCGAGGACTAGATTGCCTTTGTAGAACTAACATTCACCACAAGATTAGAAATTATGGTTTGGGAGTCATGCAGCTGGAGGCTACAGATTCTGACTCTCCCTAAACTACTTCTAAAATCAGTGCTTCCAATATTTTGCAGACTCTGCACTTGATGGATCAGCTGGCATCATCCAGATCAATAAACTGGCTCACTTGATCTTGGCCCCCAACCCAGGAACTGACTCAGCGCAAGAAGACTGCTCCAACTCCCTATGATTTCATCTCTGACCAATCGGCACTCCTGGCTCACTGGTTTCCCCCTACCTACCAAATTATCCTTAAAACCTGTGCTCCCCTCCCAAATGCTCAGAGAGACTGATTTGAGTAATAATAAAACTCTGGTCTCCTGCACAGCCAGCTCTGCGTGAATTACTCTTTCTCTATTGCAATTCCCCTGTCTTGATGAATCGGCTCTGTCTAGGCAGCTGGCAAGGTGAACCCCTTGGGCAGTTACAGTTTGGCCCAAATGGTGTGTTCCCACCTGGACAGATCCCAGCCATCCATTAAGACCCAGCTCAGCTGCCCACCCCTCCCCTCAGTGGAAAGTGCCTCTCCTCTGTATCACCATGGCAACCTATATATTTATTTGTCCCACCACTTACTACATTGTAGGGAAATACTTCACTAGTTTTCTCTCATGTTAGCCTCTTTGCTTTCCTGGAATAGCTGTCTTGCTTACTCATATGGACAGTGTTAAATTTACCTGATTCCTATGATCCTGAAAACAGCAAAGGCGGAGAAATCCCTTGCCCTTTGTGTTCCAAGAACCAGCTGACTGCAAAGAATCGCTCTTCCCATAGGACTTAGAGAAGACACAGAGGCCCTCTTGCTTGTCTAGGACAAGACCAGACACAGACCCTCCAAATTTCCATTCTTTGCCTTATAAATGGTTAGCTAAACTTCTCGTCCCCACTGATCAATACCCACTGATCAGTCAGAATGAAATGCTTGTTAACCAAATTTGTTTAAGAGTGTCTCCTTCCTCCTGGCCCCTGAACTTAGGCCCCTACTCAGCCGCTGGCTGGCATCAGAGCTACTATCCAATCATGCCTCTCTCTCATCCCACTTCTCACACCCGGTTCTTCTAATCTCATTGATTCCTCCCTATAAGAAAATCTAAATCAACCTAAATGTCCATCAGTGATAGACTGCATAAAGAAAATGTGGTACATATACACTATGGAATACTACACAGACATAAAAAGAACAAGATCATGTCTTTTGCAGGGACATGGATGGAGCTGGAGGCCATTATCCCCAGCAAACTAACACAAACAGAAAACCAAATACCACATGTTCTCACTTCTACATGGGAGCTAAATGCTGAGAACACATGGACACATGGAGGAGAACAGCACACACTGGGGTCTATTGGAGGGTGGAGGTTGGGAGGAGGGAGAGGATCAAAAAAAAATAACAAATGGATACTAGGCTTAATACCTGGGTGATGAAATAACCTGACACCCCCATGACACAAGTTTACCTAGGAAACAAACCTACACACGTAGCCCTGAACTTAAAATAAAAGTTAAAAATAAAAGCAAACCCTTTTTGCCTAATCCTTGAGAGTTTACAGATCTTGTGTTCCCAGAGTTCTCCCCATTGCGACATTTCCTGTCCTCTACTTGCTCTAATCCTTTTGAATGGTCTCTCCTTACTAATCCAGATTGGTTTTTAGTTGACAGTATATTTATTCTCACATAGTAATAAGCACTTGGTACAAATTTGAAACTGCTTAGTTTTGTCATTTTTGAAACTCAATGTTTCTAATTTCCCAGACTTTTCTTTCTGTTTTATTTTTCCTGCAGGCTGCAGTTATTCTTATACTAGTCACATCCTCTACTATTCTTGAAATCTTTATAGGACCCTATAAAGATCTGTGGCCTGTAAAGATTTAACAACTGTCACAATTCACTGACTGAGCTTTGATACGTAAAGGAGTTTTCTGGTTGTAGGTACTTCTTACTATGGTGTTTACCTATTTGCCACTGGGTATGTAAAAACTTTATTAAACTTTCAAATTTCTCCATAGTTTTGCTTATTCTTACCCTAACTGAAAGGATATTTTTGAACGTTTTTGCTTCCTAAGCAATGTAATAAAAACAAAATCAGTAAATGCATATGAAAAGAAGTGGAAAAAACTTTGATGGCATTAAAGATAATTCATATAGCCATTTTAAATGCTAACTCACATCGTCAAGAACAGAATCATGGGAAAATGGAAACAAAACATATGAACGAAACTAAATAAAGGTTGGTAGAGATTCTCTTTATACATGAAGATGGAAGATGAAGCTTGGGAGTTTAGGTCAGGCACGGTGGCTCAAGCCTGTAATCCCAGCACTTTGGCAGGCCAAGGCGAGTGGATTACCTGAGGTCAGGAGTTCAAGACCAGCCTGGCCAATATGGTGAAACACCGTCTTTACTAAAAACCTACCCGGGCATGGTGGTGCATGCCTGTAATCCCAGTTACTCACTCGGGAGGCTGAGGCAGAAGCGCTTGAACCCAGGAGGCAGAGGTTGCAGTGAGCCAAGATCGCACCACTGCACTCCAGCCTGGGCAACAGAGAGAGACTCTGTCTCAAAAAAATTAAAAAAGAAATTGTGAGTTTATCTCCTCTTCATTTAAAACTCCATTTACATAAGAGTAAAGGAATCTTTTAATGCATAAACTTAGGGAACAAAGAGAAATATGAGATGATAGCAGATTAGAAGTATCAACAAATTTCGGAAGTTGGCAAGCTGATAGACAAATAGTCACTGTCGTAACAGTCCAGAGAAAGTAAGCCAGCAAAAAGCAAGTCAATTTGCACCACAAACTCCTAGAAATGCCCAGGAGGTAGAGTCCCTCTGAAGGCAGAGACAAGCAACTAACACAAGGGGAGTCCATGGAAGGGTTTAAAGGAGCAGCGCAACACCCAGATCCCACCCAGCAGAAGAGGAAGAATCTACTGTCTGAGGGTGCTGGAAAAGAGAGGCTTCAGGATGCCAAGTACAGCAAAGGTCAAGGCTAAGGAGCCAAATCCAGCTAAATGAAAGTCTACATCCCAAACTGAGAAACCACCTGCTCCCTTCCCTCACTCAGCCCCCAGAAAGCTGGCAGCCACCTTTTCCCTCAGTTAAGAGATTGGGGGTACTTTTCTCAGAGGATGAAGACCTATAGATACTAACACTTGGAGGCACTCCAATGCAAAGCTAGCGTGCTGCCCTGCCATGCCACCATGAACCTCAAGAGTTGGCAGAACCCTCACATGCGGACAGAACTTCCACACGGAATTTTAGTGCACCCCATCCAAGGGATGATTTGTCAGCCAGGAATCAGTGACACATGAGAAAACTTTCCAACCTAGGGAGAACAAACAAGCTTACAGGAAAAGAAGGAGAAGAAGAAGGAGGAGGAGGAGGAGGAGGAGGAGGAAGAGGAGGAGGAGGAGGAGAAGAAGAAGAAGAAGCTGGAGGAAATGAGAAAATGTAGAAAAAGGAATTATAATTAAAATCCTCAGAGATATAATAGAAGACACTGCATCTGTGGGGGAAAAGCAGGATAGGATGTTATTGACAACCATAGCCAAAAAAGTACACTTAGAGAGGAAGTGTTATGCCCTATGTGAAAAGTGCAGAGAAGGACAGGACGATCATGTTGAGGAAATCTCCTGAAGATAGAACAAAAAGACAAACCAAAATTGGCAAGAAAAGAGTTTTTTTTTTTTAATTGGGAAGGCAATTCCAGGAAATCAAACATTCAAATAACAAAAGTTAAAAATAATAATAATAATAATAAAGCCCAGGGAAAATGGAGGAGGGAATTTCACAAAGAAATAAAGTAAGAAAGTCCTTTGGATGAAAGAACATGATTTTTCAGACTGAATGGGCTCATAGAGTGCTCAACTGAGTAAATAAAAAAGACCCAGACCAAACACAGCAATATGAATTACAGAACACCAGGAAATGTTTCCTGGGAAAGGCTCCAGAAAAAAACAGATTCACATTCTGTGTGAAGGACCAAGGATTAAAATATCATTGGAAGTAATGACAATATTGGAAGCTTAACAAAAATGAGAAATGCCTCCAAAATTCTGAAGAAAAGCAATTTCCAACCTACAAATTTGATACCAAGCTTAGTGTGAGGACACCATACAATGTTTTTCTTTTTCTTTTTTTGAGACAGGATCTTGTTCTGGATCCTGGCTGGAGTGCAGTGGCATAATTATATCTCACTGCAGCCTCTAACTCCTGGGCCCAAGTGATCCTCCCACTTCAACCTCTTGAGTAGCTACAGGAACATGCCACCATGCCTAGCTAATTTTTTTTTTTTTTTGAAATGGGGCTTCAGTATGTTGCCCAGGCTGGTCTTGAACTCCCAGGCTCAAACAATCCTCCTGGCTTAGCCCCCCACAGTGCTGGGATTGCAGGCACGAGACACCAAGCCCAGTCCAGCACCACACAATGTTTTTCAACCTGCAGTGTATCTCAAGACAAATCAAGAAAGAAGATGCCATGGGATCCAGAAAATAGCAGAGACAACACAGAGGAGAAACAAATCAAAAGGGATTCCGAAAAAGATGAAGAAGAGAAGTGATGTACATCTGTACAGCAGGGCTGGTGGATTTGGATGACTGTAAAAGGAGAGACTTCTCTAACTAAAGATATTAGTCAGTGTGTTTGACCAAACTGAGAGGAGATTTAGTCCCATCACTGCTGAAGGTGAATTAATCTTTAGTGCACACACACTGGTCCCTTACATTGGAAGGCCGGGTAAGGAGTGAGAAGACCTCCAGCCTGCAGCCCATGCTATCCAAATGGGGCATGTATTTTCTAACGTCCCCCATTAGAATACAACAATAATTCCTTTCTCCTCTTTTCTTTTACCTGGGGTCCCACACTCTTATTTGGAGTTCTTTCTAAATTTTCTGCCATGTGTCCCCTTCCAACTATTTCCTGGACTTGCACGAGAACCCTCATGGTAAAGCTCCTTTCTTTACCATGAGGTTTCTTGCACAAGTCCGTGGACACTGTAACAGCAGCTGCTCCTTGGTCAGTCCTCAGCCTTGGAGTCCTCAGCCTTGGAGATGGTACACACAGAAGCACCACCTAGCTTTGCAAGAAGGGACCGGGAAGGGGAATTGGGATCATCTGGGCAGGGAATTCTGGGGTCCTGGGTTTCAAAAGCAATGTCTAGAAAGGTAGAGTGGTACCAGCTGCAGGTGGGCATGTCTCCCTCCCTCCCCACCATGGGTATCTTGCTGCATGGAGAAAGCTGAGGCTAGGGGAAAGCTAAAGGGAATCCTCTAAACTTTAGAGTCTAAAGCTAATGGCAAGGACAAGGGGCCCTTGTCCCCCAGGTCAATAGGCAGTACTGGGTGCATAGAGCAGTCAAGAAATTCTTATTAAAGCAATTACTAACTGAAGGGATGGCAAAAGGTTATATAGGGAAGGGAATGTCATCATAGGTTTTTACTTAAAGGAACATTTAAAATGTAATGAGTTTTTTAATGTGACTCAACTATAAATAATATTTACAAAGTGATCATAATATAAATGACAAATATTGATTTAGCTTCAAATTGTGATTTAACTATTTGTTTTTGTTTCTTTTATTGATACATAATAGATGTACTTTATTTAGGTACAAGTGCTAATTTGATACATTCATATAATAAAATCAAGGTAATTGGGGCATCCATCACCTTAAATCTCTCTCTTTTCTTTATGCTAGGAAGATTTGAATTATTATCTTCCAGCTATTTTGAAATGTCCAACTGATTAACATTAGCTGTAGTCACACTGCTGATCTATTGAATACCAGGTTGATTTAACTCTTTGGAAAGGCTGGAAAGAGGGGAAATTTATGTTCAAGGTGGGATCAAACTTTCATAGTAGGATTATTAACTAATAGCTAAAACTAAAATAATCAACAAATAGCAGTATGTGCATGCTATTTCAAAATATGCAAGTAAATGCTAGAAGATACAGTTAGGCCAGTGAAAATTATTTGCCCATGAGCAAGGAGATGAGAGAGAGAGAGAGAGAGAGAGAGATGAGGAGGGGTAGGAAGATGCTGCCTACTCTCTAAAGGTTTTTATTATTTGACTTTCAAAATGACTTACATTATTATCTTGATAAAAATTAAATTAAAAGAAAGAAGATTATTAGGGAAAGTGAGAAAAAACAGAAAATATAGAAATGTTAAAGAGGGGAAGAAACTATTTAAATGCAAATAAAGACAAGATAAAAGTACAAGAATGCAGAGATCTAACTTGCAGACACAATAATAAAAATTCCATGTTAGACATGGTATGCCATTCAGCAAAGCTTCTGTGGGTTGCCATTCATAATTTTATTGACTTAATTTATTCCCCTCAACATCCCTCTGAGTTAGTCTCTTGGTAACATTTTTCAACTGTCCAGTGTAAATAGAGTGCAGGATGAGGATAGAGGGGAGTTAATAACAAAAGACAAATCTTTGCTTCCAGGGGACTTCCCTCCTGCTGAGAGACAACCAACGTAAGTGGGAAAACATGAAAACACAGATGAGAGAAATCTATCTAAGGCAGAGAAGAAATGAACATGCATGCTAGAGGGCTTGTAAGGCATCTGGGAATTTTCTGTCTGGAGCAGGCTTTATGGAAGTAATCGATTTGTATGATGCTTTGAATGAAGAAAGAAATGACAGTTCTTTGATGAGGATAAGGGAAGTGATTAAAAAAAAAAAGACTGGGCAAGGCAAGGTGAAAGGGGACAGCTGGTAATATATGCTAAGGGGCTAGGGCAGCCTGCCCACCTTGACCAAGCTGTAGCTGGCCCATGTAAATCCTGCCCATCCTGTGTGTCCAAGTTGACCCTCACCTTTCAATTCAAGCTCAAGCTCCACCTAAGCCACAAAACATACCCCATTAGAAAACACAACAATAATTCCTCTCTCCTCTTTTCCTTTAGCTGGGATCCCACACTCTTATTTTGGGTTCTTTCTAAATTTTCTGCCACGTGTCCCTATCCAGCTATTCCCTGGATCAGAAGGCAGCAAAAGCATGGCCTGTGACACTGAATTTGAGTTGGAATCCCTGCTTCACCCGTTTACTACAGCTATGGTCTCAGGCAAGTTCATGAAACTCCCAGAGCCTATTCCCCTACCCAAGAATTGGGCATAACAATTGCCTAACTTACAGTGTGCTTGGATGAAAGGAAGATAACATGTAAAATGCAACTGGCAAAGAGTAGGCATGCAAAAACATGGTAGCTGCTGTGATTACAAATATTATTATTTATGTAAATATTTCTTTAATTAAACAATGCATGTCTTTAGAGTAGGGACTTTTACTTTTTCCCTCCTCAGGGTCCTAATGCCAGGCACATGGTGGATATTATTGAATCCATACAGATTGATCAACCAGAGAAGGCCACTGCACAGTCTGTTGCATAGAGAAGGAGAAATCCATGCTACTAATAATGTGAGGGGTCTTAAATGTTGATAGGTTGGGGTAAGCCACTGAGTCTAGTCCTGACACAGGTACAAGGACACTTAGGTGTAGAGTCAGTGGCCTTGTGACACCTCTTGAAATGAGGAAGAGAAAAATGCATTTGAACACATCTGAAAAACATTTACTTTCAATGTGCACACAGGAATCAAATCATATGAAAAAGTTGAAACTTTTGAGTCATAGTTGAAATTTGAACTTGAATCTCCATTTGATTTAATTCAGCAAATATTGAGGGCCAACTAAATGTAATGATCTGAACTAGTGACGGGAAAGTAGATAATATGTAGACGTTGCCTTTAAAGCACCTATTTAGAAGAGAAAATATTTATATTCAAATAATAGTACTAAAAGTAATTTGAAATTTCTTATTCACTGTTTTATCCATAATAAGTAAAAATATCAAATGAGATTCTGTAAACAATAGAGCATTATCATGACAATTAGAACACTAATATGTCAATATCTATAGGTGTTTATGCTCAACACCAAAGATACTTTAAATTGTTAGAATTTAAAATCATTTAGATTACTTCAAGAAAAAATGTATTGCAATATATATGTAAACAATGCTTTGTTTTCACTAAAGAGAAAAAATTGGCCCTATTCCTAAAGGATTCACTTTTAATTCTCTCATGCTGTCTACATTCCTTAATGGTTTCATGTATGTAGACATATATGGCCAGATATATTCATATGTGTGAATCTTCCAGCATAAAGAGATCTACTTTAGCTCACTCTTAATGATAGCCTGAATATTATATTCATGAGAGTTGTCAAATCGAAAATCCTTTAGCTGAACTGAAACATGTTTTTACGGTTTTTGAGAATTAAAAGATAAAATCAGCATTTTTCTGGCTACATTTATAATGTGGAGTGAAATCCTCCTACATCATCAGAAGAAAATGCCTTTGAAAGTATCTGAATGTTAAGTCTATTTCATATAGAACATCAGATTTGGAATTATTGACCTCAATTATTCTTTTGTTCTCCTTCACTTCAATAAATATCGATTATAGTACTTATTTATGTTAGATGATCTGCTTTATGCCATAGAGAATACAAAAACTAAGAGGATTTGGTTTCTGTGGTACATTGTTTAATGGTCACAAATTCCTCCCATCTCAGGCGACATGTTCCTCTGTACTGCGATTATGCTGCACCTCCTACCCAGAGGTAGAGGCTTCTTGCACCTCTTCAAACCAGGCTGGTTATGCAGCTTTCTTTGACAAATAGAATGTGGTACCAGGAATCTGTGAGTTCCAGAGTCCACTTCAAGAGACCTCACAACTTTTGCCCTTTCTCTCTTGGAACTCTGTGGCCACTATACTGTATAGAAGACCAAGATCAAAGACTACCTGAAGCTCTCCATCTCTTGCAGGTAAGCTAAGCTAAGCTCAACTAACAGCTGACTCTACACCTAAATGCAATCGAATGAGTGAACCCACCAAAAGTCAGGAAAGAACCAGGCACTCAAGTCACATAATCATGAGAAATAATGAACCACTGTTATTTTAAGCCACTAAGTTTTGATGTAGCTTGCTATTCAAAAGTACACAACAGACCCAAATGGGTACCTTTGTTGTAACAAAGACTTAAAACATATGACATTGGTTTTAGTTCTGTGTTGCAAATGAAGGCTGAAAGGCAGTGAAAAGACTATTAGTAAAAGCTGGAAGAGCAGTACGGAAATCTCTATGGGCTGGGGAAATCTCTAAGGCTGGGGAAAGGCAACTCGTGTCATGAAGTGGTGGTACATTTGCAAGAGTGTTTTCTGAGATAATGTAGAGCATGGCAAGTGTACCTAATAAACTTGTGGATCGGCAGAAAGTGGAAAGCATTATTTGGCACATTTTTCTATGTATGATAAATTATGTTAGGGTGAGATGAACTATAAATAGGAAATTCTTCAGTTTGTTAGTATACTTTAGAGGAGGGGTATAAGGCCAGGACTTGTTGGGTTGGAAAATAAAACTCTTTCATATAGTCAGTTTCTCCTGATAGCAAACAATTATCGATGTATGAGATGGTCCTAACACAAACATCAAATCACAGCTATGGTTGCTGGACTTTGTTAAAACTTCAGAAAGCTTTTAGATGGTGCCCAGTAGATGCTATCAGCTAGATAAAAGAACATCTGAGAAACTCAAGGTGTTGCCACACAGCAGCTATCCACCTAAAATACAGAGAAGTCTATCTCAAAACAAGAATAGATGTGGCTTATGGTGCATGGCATGAACAATGGAAGACTCATAGGAAACTCACAATGTTTTTAAGAGAGTCACAATGATAAAAACACTAATAGCTTGGAACAAAATAGACTGCTAGTCCAAAATGCAAAGAGCCTTCTGGGCCTTCAATGTTCTATAGAACACTACTCAGCTGCAAACATAGGTTATTTCTCTTATTGAGGTAAAATTGACAAAGTTGTACATATTAAAGGTGTACAGATGATAATTTGATATACGTATACATTGTGAAATGATTACCACAATCAAGTTACCTAACATGTTCACATCCTCACATAGTTACTGTGTGTGTGTATGTGTGTGTGTGTGTGTATGTGTGTGTACATAGGTTATTTCTTAAGGAAAAGAAAAGATGTCTCAGAGGGGAGAACCAGGAGCCCAGAGGACAGAACAAATTGCCAAGGAGAATAATAAACCAGGAAACCACTTCAAAAATGCAGAAACAAGCTCCTATCAAAGAACATTTTCTGTCCCTAAAGTAGGCAATATGGCCCAGTTGGACTTCAAAATTGTTGAGAGCTAGGAGCTGCTGTGTGCTTCCTCTTCTTCCTTATTGTGAGCAGAAGTGCCTATTGCAATTATCCATGCCATGGTATGTTGGGTGTATGGGCAGATGGCTTGACATTTTAGTCCACAAATCTCTAGATAAAGAATTACTGTTCTCTGCTTGTACACTGTTGGTAGGAGTGTAAATTAATTCAGCCATTGTGGAAGACAGTGTGGCAATTTCTCAAAGACCTAGAGGCAGAAATACAATTCAACCCAGCAATATCCATTCCTCATCTCCATATGAGACCACCTCAGCCTGGAACTTATTGTTCATATCACTATCAACATTTTTGTCAAAGCCATTCAACAAATCTCTAGGAGGTTCCAAACTTTCCCACATTTTCCTGTATTCTTCTGAGCCCTCCAAACTGTTCCAACCTCTACCTGCTACTCAGTTCCAAAGTCACTTCCACATTTTTTGGTATCTTTTTAGAACCACCCCACTCCTGGTACCAATTTACTGTATTAGTTCATTTTCATGCTGCTGATAAAGACATACCCAAGACTGGGAAGAAAAGGATGTTTAATTGGACTTACAGTTCCACATGTCTGGGGAGGCCTCAGAATCATGGTGGGAGGTGAAAGGCAGTTCTTCCAGGGTGGCAGCAAGAGAAAATGAGAAGGATGCAAAAGCAGAAACCCCTGATAAAACCATCCAATCTCATGAGACTTATTCACCACCATGAGAAAAGTATAGGGGAAACTGCCCCCATGATTAAAATTATCTCCCACCAGGTCCCTCCCCTAATACATGGGAATTATGGGAGCACAATTCAAGAAAAGATTTGGGTGGGGACACAGTGCCAAACCACATTAATACCCAAAGGAATATAAATCATTATATTATAAAGAAACATGCACATGTATGTTCATTGCAGCACTATTCAGAATAACAAAGAAATAGAATCAACCTAAATGCCAATCAATGATAGACTGGATGAAGAAAATGTGGTACATTTACACTGTGGAATACTATTCAGCCACAAAAAAGAATGAGATCATGTCCTTTGCAGGGACACAGATAGAGCTGGAGGTCATTATCCTTGGCAAACTAACACAAGGACAGAAAACAAAACACTGCATGTTCTGACTTATAAGTGGGAGCTTATAGACACGTAGAGGGAAAAACACACACTAGGGACTATTGGAGAGTGGAGTGCAGGAGGAGAGAGAGGGCCAGAAAACTGACTAATGGGTACTAGGCTTAATACCTGGGTGATGAAATAATCTGTACAACAAACCCCCATGACACAAGTTTACCTATGTAACAAAGCTACACTTGTAACCCTGAACTTAAAATAAAAGTTGAAAAAAAAAAGAGTTACTGCTCTCAAGACACTGCACCAGAGAAGCCTTGTCCACTTCTGGATCTGATGCAAAACATGGCCTTTGAGCTTGACACCGAAAATTGAGGTGAGACTTTTGGTGGAATGTGACTATATTTTGCATATGAGAGAAGTGTGAATTATTTTGGGCAAAGGATAGATCTTGAAACAATAAAAGACTCAACAATTTCTTTCAACCTACATGTTCCTCTGCAATGTTACTTTGCAATTCCTCCCTCAAGAGGTGGAATGGACTTCCTTACCCCTTGTATCTGGACAGGTCTTGTGATGTGCTTTCGTCAACAGGATGGAGTAGGAGTGACACTGCAGGAGCTGTGACCTCAAGCGGCCTCAAAGCTTCTGCTTTTGCCCTCTTGAAGAACTGCCCTGAGAATCCTAACCCTAAAGAAACCTGGGCTGAAAGAGAAGCCTGGCCATCCCACCTATTCCAGCTGAGCTCAGTACTTAAATGACACTCTCCCTGCTCCCAAATTAATGCATCACATGAGTGGGCTTCCAGAAAAAGCCACCTGGTCAACATACAGAATCATAAGAAATAGGAAAGGCAAGCAATAATATGTAGCAATGCATAGCTGAGACAGTTCGTGTTCCTTAGGTGCCTATAAAGTATTAGGAGAGAGAAAATACACACTTCCTTAAGGATACATTTAAGGATGATTATTCGGAGTACCACAAGAGACATAGCAGTAAAATTTGGGAGGTTCAAAGTAAGGGAGACTAAATTTTGTTTGGAAAGACTGGTGAATATTTATATTTAAGATAATTTTTAAACTGAATCTTGAAAAGTGTTTTAGGTAAAGGAAGAACGAGCAGAAATCTTCAGTTTTCTTGCAGTAATTTATTAATTAATTGATTAATTGAGATGAGAAGAGTACTGCTTCCAAAAAGAGCAAGAGTAGGCTGAGGAAGATGGGAAGAATCATTCTAACTTATGAATAGTCCATTCCTGTTTCCAGAAAGTAAGAGCTGCCCTATCTTTCCATTTCAGTTAACAACAAACTTCTCTATATTTATTACTTAATAAGAGAAAGTGAGTAAAACCCTCTTTGGGTGAGCTGCTAGAATTTTGACACCACCGATGGCACTGGAAGTCCCTAAGGTTTACTACTTAAGCAAACTCTAGGCACCCAGAGCAAACACACAGGGGCAGTTGTGCAGGAGAGAGATGACATTCCAGTTACTTATCATTCCATCTCTCATCCCTCATGTGAGGCTCAGAATCTTTGGAAGGATGACACCAATTTATAGTCAATGTGCACTTTTCCTTTCTTATGTCTATCAGAACTTGAAAGAGCTTGCCAAGGATCCACATCAGTCTCCAAAGGGATCTACCATATTTCCATTCTACATGCCTGTAATGAATATTAGAGAAGAACACATCTGTTTCTGTAAATATATGCAAACAGAAAATAAATCCCTGGATATTTACTCACACTGAAGAATTTAGTCATTCATCCAATACATATTTAATGAGCACCTACTCTGTGCCAGGGGATGTTTAGGGTACTTGGTTATATCAGGGAACAGAACATACAAAGATCTCTATTCTCCTTCTGGGAATTTATATTCTAGTGGAGCTAGGGTACAGGTGAAAGAAAGACAACCATAAAAAAATAGGTTAAACAAACTACTAAATATACAATGTTTTAGAAACTGATAGATGTATGGAAAAGAAAAAATAGCATCAGGGGAATCTGGAGTACAAGTAGGAAGAGGGATTGCAATGCTAACTTGAGTGGTCAAGGTAAGTCTCACTGAGAATACGACAGCAGAGCAAAAACTTGAAGGAGAGAAGATTGAAGATATATCTCCCTCTAAAGTAGATTTCTTATAAGAAACAAGAGAAAATATTTGAAAATAAAATAAAATTTACTAATTTATCATTTTTTAAATAATCCCAGAGGATATGACATCTCTGGAACTTTAAGAAGCTGATGTGAAGAGGGTCACCCTGGTAGGAGGAACTGCATAGACCTGTATAGCACTACTGCTGAACAAGAGTAACAAGAGAGTCATCAGCCGAAGCAATATGGGAAATGTTGGCTGAAACAAAGAAATGCTCTAGGTAGAGAATGTAGAGTTTGCATTATGTTCCAAGAAAACAAAATGTCAGAATAACAACCATTCCCACGCATATGCAGTGGGAATTTTTCAGGATCTGAAAAGAAAAAAGAGGAAGAAGAAGAATAGGAGAGAATCTTATAGGCATCCAGAAGAAAAAAAAATCAGATCACCCAGAAAAAAAAATCCACATCAAAATCAGGTTGTTCTCAGACTCCTCAGCAAGTGAAAGTGCTGGGAGGCAAGCTAGCAAACCACCGCAGAACTTCTGTGGATAAAGCCTGAGAGCCTGTGCCCCATCAGCTCACCCTTCACATGGGAAAACAACACAAGCAGGTCCTCAGCTACTGAAGCATGCAGAATTCTCCTGCCAAGGCAAGCCCCTGAATAAGCCACTGAAAAATCTACACTGGGACAATGAAAAACACATCAAACATTTCCAGAATGGGAAAATCTTGGTGGAAAAACAGACATTGAGCAGAAAAATGAATAAGTTGCAGAGATGGGTTTAAATGTTTGTTTTAAGCATGTTTTAAATGGTTATAAAATTGATTACAATAGTTTTTTTTAAGTGAATGAAAAGATCACTTTTATTTTTAAGTTAATAGAAAACAAATGATGGCATCCATAACACAGAGTAAGTAAAGGAAAAACTAGTATAAAGGGAAACAGTATCATACTTCTTATCTTCCACAAGAGATGGTCTGAGGTTTGTGTTCCCCAACCCCCAAATTCAAAAGTTCAAATTCTAACCCCCAAGGTGATGGAATTAGAAGGTGGAGCCTTTGGAAAAAGATTAGCTCATGAGGGCTCTAGAGCAATCAGTGCCCTTATAAAAGAGGCCCTAGAGAACTTGTTTTCTCCTACTACCATGTGAGGACACAGTTAGAAGGTACCATCTATGAACCAGGAGACAGGCCCTCGCCAGACACTGAATCTGTTAGTACCTTGATCTTGGACTTCCCAGCCTCCAGAACTGTGAGAAATACATTTCTGTTGTTTAGATGCTAGTTTATGGTATTTTGTAATAGAAACCCAAATGAACTAATTCAAATGGTTTTAAAACTACTAATTTTGTATTTACTGTAAGAGTTAATTTAGTACAGATCTAGGATTGTCTTTGAAAAATCTAAGTTAACCAGTATTGTCATTGAAAGCACAAAGCTTATCTTTTTTTTTTAACAAACTTATCTTTTAGAATATTGCCAGAAAAATAGCAAATAAAAATAAAATGTATACAGCAAAAATGAACAAACAAAAAGCACATAAATAGCAAAAAGAAAAAATCTTTAAACAGTAACATCATCCACAACAATTATAACTTATAAAAATGTGTATAAAACAAAATACAGAAAAGCTTGAAACAAGGTGATCAAAGGCAGAGCAGATAACTCTACAAAAAAGAGCTGTATGTAGAGACAGAATGTTAATATCTGATAAGTCAGAATCATTAGAAGGATAAATGGCATAATTTTATATGGATAGAAACTATAATAAATGCTGGATACATAAAGAAGAGTATAGTACTTAAGGAAGCAAACCTACCGAGAAATTGATAAAAATGCAGTTACATTAGAAGAATTTGACACACTGTTATCAGCTTATGACAGACCATATGCAAAAATAATTAAAGGCATAACTTTTTTATTAAGATAGAGAACAAATTTATCAACCTTTCAGATGATATGATTGTATGTTTGAGACTCAAGAAAATGAAAGAAAAAAGGTGAATAAATATAAGGTAAATATGCAAAAATACATTTATTTTTCTATATTAGAAATCCTGCTTAAGGTGGCAGCATAAGCTAATGCCATAAAGCATTAACCTTTCCCCAATCAAACAGAAATGTGGAATAAATATACATTTAAAAGTGTTAATTGGAGTCAAAACTAAGAAATCTCCAGGAGTCACAAATAAGCAGGACTCATCAGAGGAATGAGGGTCTTGAAGCCTTATGGAGCAAATTAACCAGATCTACCTCTCAGGAGTTAGGGCTTTAACACTTCCATAGTGATGAGATGGAAGTCAAGGCCTTGGGACTGAAACTAAAACTGGTCTCCCCACATAAAATGAGGAGCTGGAAGTGAGGAATCCTAGTTGTAACAGGAGTGAAGAGAACATTGCCTTCCTGTCTTTGGGCATGACACAGAATGGGGCTTTCATCTAGGTCCATGGGGGGAAATAATGAGCCAAAACCAAAAATTAATCCTTAACCTTCCCTAATTGGTGCAATACCCAATATCTGGTATAGAAATCCTTGCATAAGGAAGCAATATAAAAATGGGTACAGAATTAGTGAGGCCACAGAAAGGTAATAGGGCTGCTCTAACAGCAGAGGACTCACTTAGAGACTCTGTAGAAGATCATTCCCACCACAATGAGCTTATGACAAAAACCACAAACAACATGACAAAATTAAATGCCATGGTAGAGTCAACAACCAAAAGAGGTAGAGAAATTACATCCAGGACTATAGCTAATTGAATAATCTGGAAGAAAATTTAAAATATGTATGTTTAAAATATTCAAAGATAAAAAATAGAATATTTTAGATAAAAATAAAGCATTATGAAAAATAGTATTAAAATATTCAAATAGAAATTATAAGAATAAAAACTATAGACACTGAATTAAAAACAGATGAGACTTAGGTCAGGTACAGGTACTCATGCCTGTAATTCCAGCTCTTTAGGAGGCCAAAGCAGAAGGCTCTTCAGAGCCCAGGGCTTCAAGACCAGCCTCAGCAACATAACAAGACCCCCATCATCTCTTAAAACAAACAAACAAACAAAAAGGACCAGATATGGCTTAAAAGAAAATTAGGGAACTGGAGTACAGAACTGGGAGAGAATGAAGAGGAGATGAAGAGGTTTTCCCAAATGCTGTACTGGAAGACAAAAACTTAGAAAATATGAAAGAAAAATTAAAAGTCTTGAAAATAGAATGAGAAGTTCTGGCAACAGACAAATGGGAATTTCATATGAAGATAGAAATAATAAAAGGGAGGCAATAAAGAGATAAAAGATAATTTTCTAGAACTACAGAAATGCATGAGTCCTGAGATTGAAAATCTGAGCATATGACTATAAACTCTTCCAAGAGTACTTCAGGTCCTTGAAAACAGAACTTCTCCCTTGTTCAGCTCTGTATTCCTGGTATCTAGGAAACATCTGGCATGCAGTATATGTTCAATAAGTATTTGTTGAAAGAATACATAAAATGAGTGAAACAGCATATCAAGTGTCAGGCAGGATTAAAAAACAATGATATCAAAAACATCTTAACACAACTACAGAACACCACAAACAAGTGAAAAAGTTAAAGCCACTAGAGAGAAAAACCAGATTACTATGAAGAAACAGCAATTAGACTGACAACACGCTTTCTAAAGCAAACAGAATGCAATTAATTAACATCTTCAGAGAGTTCAAGGAAAATAATTTTAATTTATAACTAAATACACGCTGACATAATTTAAGCAAAAAGGAGAAATGACATTTTCAAGCATACACAGGTTGTTAAGAGAGTTTACTAGCTACAGTCCCTTACTTCAGTAGGAAGGGAAATGAACCCACAAAGGGGAGTCGGGTGCAAGGCTTCATAGTGGGCAAAGACACAGGTAAAACACCTTGATAAATTTGCACAGGCTTTCATTGCAAGTAATAACAAACAATAATAGTAACCATGGTGTTGAATAATGATACAATGGTAACAATAGACAGCAGGCAGTGATTTTTAAAGATAGGAGAGTTCAGAGTCAAGCTGAAGCATTTTTATTCGGGATGAGAACAGAGAAATTGATTTTGGACATTTTAAGCAAAATATACTGCTAAGCATCTATATTAACATTTTGGAAATAACATGTAAAATATAGAAATAGATAACTTCTAAACCAGAAGAGAAAGTGGAGAAGTGAAGAAAAAAGTAATACTTGTTCAGACCAACAGCGGTGCTAAGGAGAAATGGGTGCTCTCATAGACTGCTGGTGGAAATAGAGATGGAACAACATTTCTGGAAAACTGCATGGACCAAGAGCCCTGAACATTTTTATTGCTCATTAATTCCACTTCTTGGAATTAATCCTAGGGGATAAAAATTGAAGATGTGGGAGAATATCCATATATAAAGACATTTATATTGGTGAAAAATTGGAAATAGCCTAATGCCCAGGATTGAATTTTAAACTATCATGAGGACTCCTCCCCTCAGGAAAGGGAGTAAGGTCATTGTAAAAGTGGCTTCCCCCAGCATTTGACTCACTTGCCTATCTGCTTTCTGCCATGTGAGGACACAACATTCCTGCCCTCTGGAAGCAGCAGCAACAGGACACCATCTTGGAAGCAGAGAATAACCCTCACCAGACAACGTAACTTGTCAGCCCCTTGATCTTAGGCTTCCCAGGCTCCAGAACTCTGAGAAATAAGTTTCTGTTGTTTATAAATTACCAAGCCCCAGGTATTTTGTTATAGTAGCACACAAGTGAACTAAGACAACATTTAGTAACCTAATGAAGTGACCACAATATAATTTTAAGTGAAAAAAAATCAGAATAATAAAAATAGTTGACCTTTATTGAGTGCTAATAAGGGGCCAAACATTTTTATGGACTTTTACTTGTATTAGCTCCTTTAATTCTCAATACAACCCTTA
Organism: Homo sapiens; assembly: GCF_000001405.40. Classification (NCBI taxonomy): domain Eukaryota; kingdom Metazoa; phylum Chordata; class Mammalia; order Primates; family Hominidae; genus Homo; species Homo sapiens. The sequence goes on along the minus strand of NC_000008.11, from coordinate 61,316,910 downwards.
GAGGTAGATACTATTATCTTTATTTTATAGGTGAGAAAATTGAGGCACAGAGTGTTTAAATTAACTTGTCTAGGCTCAAGCAATGGGAAAGTGATGGAGCCCTGACTCACACCCAGATAATCTAGCCACAGGCACCTGAGCTCTCATCACAGTGCTGTCCCATCTAGATTCAGAAAGCTATACACAGTGGATGCTCAATTGTATGTGTATGTGTGAGAGAGCAAAATATATCTTAATTCTCAGTGTAAACTGTGGTTCCATCTAAGTGATGAGATAATTTTTAATGTCCTTACACTTCCTTTATTTTCATTATTTTCTTCTATGAGAATGCTTAGTCTTACAATCATGCAACACTTCATAGTTAGGATACAGCAATCAATTCATTTGAAGGTCATTCTGTAATACTATCCCAATAGGATATTTGCCTCCCCAGTATGCCACAGAATTATACTCTTGAGTTAACAAGTAGAAAGAGAATATAATATGGTGATTCTTAAACTTCTTCGGGTTGTGAAGCTCTTAAGAATCTGATAGAAGCTGGGTATCTCCTCTTCCACCAAATGCACGTGTCTACATTTCAACAGATTCATGTATTCGCAGTAGCCAATTGTAGAGCAAAGGTCAGTATCCTCGGGTTAAGAATAAACCAGGTGTTTGGGTTGGTTCCAAGTTTTTGCTAATGTGAATAGTGCTGCAATAAACATACGTGTGCATATGGCTTTGTAGTAGAATGATTTATAATCCTTTGGGTATATACCCAATAATGGGATTGCTGGGTCAAACGGATAGACTGGATAAAGAAAACGTGACACATATACACCATAGAATACTATGCAGCCATAAAAAAGGATGAGTTCATGCCCTTTGGAGGGACATGAATGAAGCTGGAAACCATCATTCTTAGCAAACTAACATAGGAACAGAAAACCAAACACACATGTTCTCATCCATAAGTGGGAGTTGAACAATGAGAACACATGGACACAGGGAGGGGACCATCACACACCCGGGCCTATTGGGGAGTTGGGGGCTAGGGGAGGGATAGCATTAGGAGAAATACCTAATGTAGATGATGGGTTGATGGGTGCAGCAAACCACCATGACACATATATACCTATGTAACAAACCTGCACTTTCTGCACATGTATCCCAGAACTTAAAGTATATATATAAAAAAAGAATAAACCAGGTTAAGGGGTGCCACTTATTCAACAGCTTCAACCATGTAGACCACTGCAGAGTTGAGGGAAGAAAGTACGACCCATGTTTCCCTCCCCCACTATGATGTTGTAGAGCTGGTGACCCTTGTCAATGTCCCTGCCCTTGTCCCTATCTGTGAGTATCTGGGTACTGGAGGGACCAAAGCAGTATAAATATGAAAATTGTGGCCATGGTGGCAGGATCACAGTCATGTATATCACGATGACCACCCTGAAAATAAGCAGGAGGTAGCTCAGATGAGGGCACCAAAGGGAATGGGCCCAGTGGCAACACTATTTGGATTTTCACTACCTTAGAGTAAGTATGGAAGGAAGACAAGGAAGGTACTAAAAGGTAAACAGAAAGATAGGTTACTTTATCTCTCCCCCTCCCCAATACATCCTTGCTCAAAGACAAAGCCTTATCTTTAATAGCTCAAAAAGTCTAAAAATGAAAATACAAAGGACTGACACCACTTTGGTAAAAATGGGTTTTAGTTCAAGTTCAAATGAAGATACAAGTCTCTTTCTGTTAGTTTGGGGAGAGTATTAGAGAGAAGAAAAGTACAAATATCAGAGACGGACATAGTACATGAATCCAAGGTTGGAGAAACCTTGGAAGAAAAACTGCCTAGGTTTTCCGTTTTGTACAGCCCCAAACAGATGCTGCAGTGGAAGATACTTCATGCTTGCCTGCTGGTCCATTGGGCACAACTACATTTCCAAGCATACCGATGAGATGTTATAAAATTCATGCACGGCTACAGATCATTTACTTTATTTATTGGGATTCCCCATGGTTTCTCACCTATAACACATAATTCAACAAGCTCAGTTTTCTGGCTTCCTAATCTACAGGAAATTAGAAAGAGAGGAGTTTTCAAAGCAGGCTCATTAACAGCAAGTTGAATTAACAGCTAAAAGGAGAAAGAAGTAACAACAACAACAAAAAAGATATTAGAAAGACTTATAAAACATGGCAGTATGGGTCATGTAGCTGGGAACAGAGCTCTTCATAATTCTCTAAGAATCTTCATCAGGATGGTTGGTTCACAGCCCAGGGTATAATCATTTAAATTCACTCTAGTCACCATGCGTCATGAAGAAAGTATTAATTCAACAAGGGAAGAGAGTACGGAATACATTCCAAGGTTAGCTTCCTCATTTTTATTTTATTTTATTTTTGCTTTTTCAAGTTCTTAAGTTCTTTTGTATGCTTGTGTGTTTTGAACCAGCCCTAAATAAAATAAAATTTTAAAACTGGCCTTTAAAATGTAGACCTCAACGACTTGGAAATTTAATTTTTCTGGAATGCACTCTTCTCTTACAAAGATTTAAAGTAAATGAGGCATTACAGTATTATTTCAGAAAACTTTAGAGATCAAATATCAAAGTGAAATACCCTACCCATGGTGGTGTGATATACTAATCAAGATGCATACTATAAAATTATAGGACGGACTAACTCCTCGGAAAATCATGAGATTCACCAGAATCTACACGACCCTGTCAGGGAAAGGGGACACTGAGTACAAAAAAGCCATTCACAAAGCTTCCCTTCCCCAAGCTCTCCATGGAAAAGCAGCATCCTGAACAGTGGAGATTTCTGTAACGTCGAAGCCTTTCTTAACTCTGTCTTGTGCACAATGACACACAAAGAATATAAAATTTGTGAGTTGAGAGAAAGCGATGAGTCATCTGCTTGCACATCCTTACTATCAGAAGAGGAAGTTGGCACCCGGAGCTCAAGTCACATAGCGGACACAGCCCCTGCCGAGCCCATGACTCCCAGGTGGTGCCCTTGCTCCCACTGCTGCCTCGACGATGTGCTCTCTCTCTCCATTAGGCCATGCTGTGGATCAGTAGGCAAGGGCTAGGCAGGAGCATCCTAGTCTCTTCCTCCCTCATTCTCAAGTTCAATTGCACACAACTCCAGTCAACTCAACAGGAATGCTGTTGTTGGGAAGAGTCTAGAAAGAGTCTCCCTGGTTTGGGCTTTTCATTGTTTCAGATTTCTCCCCACAAGTCAGGCAGCCAACAGGACACCACTGCCCCCTGCACTGTACTCATGGATACCAAGGAGAAAAGACACAGTTCCCTGTCTCCAGGAGCTTCCAGGAAGCACGAGAAAGTGTAAGGTAAAGAGGAGCATCCCTTGCCATGGCTGAGGCAGCATTGATCCCTCCTGTGTTCTTTCCTAAATGACTGGCATGCTCATATCTATTCCAATCCTTTGTGTGAATATGAGCTTGGAAAGATGAGCAGAACTTGATTTGTCCTTAGGATAAAGCCCAAATTCCTCCATTCCCAGCCTCAGCCCACCTCCTCAGCCTCAACTGTCACTATGTGGGTCCTTATTTTCTGTGCTCACTGGAATCAACTGAGGTTTCCCCAGCTTGGCAAGCTCTTTCTTCTAGACCCTTACATGGTGTGCCCTTTTGTCTCAAGCAGTCTCCCTCACACTCCCTTCCCTTCACCTGCTCACTCTTACTTCTCCTTAAAGCTAGACAAGACCTGCAGGATGATTCCTCTGAGGTCCCAGCTTCCCCGCTGGGTTTGAGGCCTCTTCTCATGTAGGGCCATTTTCCCCACATTATAAGAATGAAGACTGAATGGGAGGAACTGTATACGCGAAGGTGGGAAGAGCTGTGATGCAGGAGGAGCAGAAGGGGAGAGTGGGGAGAATTGTTTGACTCAAGTGGAAGATGACCTTTGGATAAGGAAAGTAATGCTGAATGATTAAGGTTTTATGTGCCAAAATGTATGGCAAAGAGACTGAACCAATTTTATTAGGAAGCCATGAAGATTCTTTAGTAAGAACTTTGCAACAAATTGTGAGTCATCAGAGATTAAGTGGCACAATCCCTGACAGCAGGCCCCAAACATAATTAGGCAGCATGAAGAAGGAGAGAGAGATCAAAGCACTAACGAGCTTTGCGATTTTGTCGAGATTAAATACCCTGTATTTAAAATGAGAATAACAACATCTCCTTCATAAATTGTCCTGAGGATTAAATGAAACCACATGCTCAGGGAGGTGCTCAATGCCTGGGAGCATTATTAACATTAACAATCTGTAATCCAGAAAGGCACTGCTGTTATTTATGGGAAAGCCATATTTGAAATTAGATCTGGAGATACTTATCAGGGACTATTGGAGATAGGGAAGAAATAGTAGCAAAGAGAAGAGAAAAATGGTGAGAAACAGAAAGAATGTGCAAAGAAAAAACAACACATCACTTTAAAACCTTCACAACAAAATTTACCCTGTCTTTACTTTCTTATCTGACGTTATATTTTGCAGGATAGTGGCAATAACTTCTACTGCTTTATAGAACACTCACAATAAATGGCTTTGGAGCTTGATTTACAACTGGAGCGAAGCATGGGCACTTAATCTTTCCCAGTGGCTGTTTAAGGTTCTGTATATCACTGTTCTGAGTGATTATCTGGGAACCATATCGAAAGGGCGGGGGAGCTGGCAGGTGGTTATAGAGGTGAGGCTCTGGGCACAGGAATTGGGGGTTGGAGTTTGGGCTTGTGCCAGGGGCTTTCCTTCTCGGCTCTACAGTATCTTCCTTATGGGGACAAAACTTGCTTTCCTGGCTTGTTGAGAACTGGGGAAAGCAATGAATAGCCCAGAAGAGCTTCAGTGCAAGAAAAGGCCTCATAACTTGCAATGCATTCATTCAGGAAGCCAGCTATGCTTATTACAAAATCCAACAGTGAATGTAGCATACAGGCAACATTGTGTTTTTAAAACGCCCTTTCTACATGCCCTCTTTTACTGACACTGACCTTTGGAAGAGCAAACATAGGTCATGCTCCTGGATTGCAGCACAATTTCAAATCAACTAATTGAGTGAGCTTAGCATTGGCTGCCTTCACTGGGACTTGCTTTGAGAAGGAAGAAGTTATTCTTAGGCCCTTGGACTTCTAGCCATCAGAGGAGACTTTTTTATCTATGAGCTAATGAATGTTATGTCTTTTTAACTTCTGAGTTTATAAGTGAGAATTTCAGAGGAGCAGCTGGCCTGGAAAGATATGCTGTCAATAAAACCTTGTTCTCCAGGTCAGTACAGCCCCCTCACTGCAAGCCCACACTGCCTTTGTAACGACATTTTCGGAGCCCTGTAATGGCTGACATCTTCCTGGTGGGCAGCCACCCGGGCACGCAGGGATGTACACTGTTGTGTTATCTCTGAGCCGAGACCCAACTGCTCTCCCATCCAATCTGTGGGAAAGATGGCTTCTAACAGACAAGTTTGTAAGGTCCTGAGTGCAATCGTAAGGGCACGTTGATGGTGGGCAGAAAGCAGCTGAGCCCTGGATGAAGTGGAATTAGAGAGTGAGTGGTAGAGTATATCTGACAAGGAGATTGTTAGAGGGAGAAGGGAGAATAAAAGAAATATTCAAAGAACTATTTGGTTGACACACATGGCACACCATACACACATGCAGTGGGTCGAGGAAGCCGGAATCAAGGCACATTATAAACTCTCCTAACTTCATCCCTCATCAATCAACAGCTTTTCAGAAGCACACAGCAGAGACATATTGTATTTTATCAGCTCTTTACACTGAATGAGAAATCATATCTTGAGCATTTTAGGCTCTGGATTAGGTCAAAATAGGAAAACCACCTCACTTATGGAAGAAAGGAAATGACTATCTGCCTGTCTGACCTCTTCTTCTCTAGTACCTCATTTCGTCCTCACAGTTCTACAGAATACATATTATTACCAAACAAAGGAGAAAAACAAGGGTAAAAGGAGTACAAATCTTGCCAAGGTCACAACACTGGTAGCAGCTGAGCTGAGATTCTGTTTGCCAACAGAAAGTCTCTATATGAACACTCATTTCAATGCAAGGCAGAAATGATGCCTTCAATCGCTATCTTAAATCAGGCTTAGATTAGGACCAAATTTTGTAAAACATTTCAAGCAATATCCAGTGTCCTTTGCTGGGCTGGAATTAAAAGAAAAATCAAAGTTGTTTTTGTCATCACTGTTCCTATTGTCAGATAATTAGGGCAGACATTGGGTAAGGATTTTGAACATTTGGTTCGCTAGGTTTCTGTGAGATTGAAGTATGTGGCAACAGGATTTGTCTTTTGGGCTATGAGGTCCTTTCAAAGTATTTTGAGACCTCAAGTGACAAGTGAAGTCTTGCTTACTGATAGCTCATGGAGACCTGTCGTTAATGTCTGATTTTGCAGCCCCCAGATTTGGTGAATGAGTTCCAGTGATAAGTGATAAGCTGTGCAGCACAGTGTTTTAACTGAGAAATTAGGTCTGAGATCTTGCCAGGTTTAGCCACTTGCCAGCTGTATGACCTTGGACAGATCACCTAACCTCTCTGAGCCTCAATTTCATCATCTGCAAAATATGGCTATTAGTAGTGCTTACGTAAGAGCATTACTGCCTCAGTAAGCACTCAATATTGTTTGCTTTTATGGTTGTAATAACTGTCCTTCTCTTCAGTTTATGTTTACTCATTCTCAAACTCAAAAGAAAAATTGATCATCACCAGAAAGATTCAGGAAATGTTTTGGTGGGAAGGGCAGACAGTTAAACCTTTTCTTGGGTTTCTCTTAATAGGCTTTGGGGGCAGGGTTACCTCATGACCCTGGTGAGAAGCCTAACATCTCCCTGGCTTGCCTCCTCCCTTCTTTCCTCACCAATATTCACCATGGATACATTAGAAATCTTCCCCTTTCATGCTACAAGTTCTTATAACTGAGGACAATCAAACCGAATGAGGCACAGACCTCCCGCTACTTGTAAAAAGCTCTTTAACACTCTTGCAAAAGCCAAAGGCAAACCTCAATCAGTGGGCTTATTTATAGTTTGAAGAGTTATATCCCACCTACGGCCTCGGGGTTTTAATCAGAAGAAGGAACCTGCTTAATGCTCATCTCCCACTGCCAAATCACACCACAGAGCTGTGGGGGCTTTTGCAATGTTAGCCCTTTAGAGACTGCCACAGGTCAGCAGTGACTGGTAACATTTGAAGAAGCTGCTGTCTTCAGCGTATCCATCAAATAAATTACTGCAAGGCGTGAGGGGACAAGAAACAGCTGAACACCTTCCCAGAAACAAGGGCAAGTGGAAAAGCACCTGTCCTCTAAGAACAAACAGATTTGGGGTGTTTTTCTACATGAGAAAGTAAATATGACAGTGTCTTCATGTTCACAATCGTGAAGGAAAGAAGGTCAAATATCCTAGTAACATTCATTTTTTCATCATTTAATGCCTGAGGGGTTTGGAGGTGAGAGAACTGCTGTGAGATGTCATTCTGAGATCATGAGTTCAGAACAGGAATGCAACCTTGGAACCTTCAGGAAACACACAAGGACAGATGACTGTAACCATTTAGTATGTGTATTACAGAGTGCATGAAGGAATGGAGACTCGGATTCATTCCATTAAAGCGTAACAAGCCTCGTCAATTGGTCAGCACCCCTTTCACTTTCAAACTGAACCAACAAGTCCCTCTCCACTTTCTTTCTTCCCACTCACATCGAGGACTGAATAGGCCCTGGATGTTGAGACTTCAGAATCATCTCGACTTCTGGTGGACCCAACTTCTAATGCACACGCATCACTGCCTGAGTCCCATTCGAATACACACGGAATGGCTGCGTTGTTTACATTGAGCCACCCTCTACCTCTTGGCTGGGAGAGGGACTTGAAGAAAGAATGTAGAAACAAACTTGAATTTAGACCCTTGGGCTACTTTGCCACTTAACAGCATACCGGTGATTCAGCTTTTGATTGAAAAAGACTTTGGAAACTGAGTGCAGGGTCGGAATGAGATCATAAGTAGGACTTAGTGGGAAAGCATAGTCCTTATGTGCAGACAGACTAGGGAATAATTCCATCACTGTTACATAGTACCCATGTACAAACATAGATCCTTGTGGGACTACGGCAGGCCTTAGAAATAGTGTATACAAAACACTTGGCACAAAAGCACCTAACAACTGGTAGTTATTGATGCTGATATTAAGATGTTTCTAGACAGTCTCCATCGAGGGCTCTCCAGGTGGGCCCCAGCTCCCCTAAGGGTGCTGGAAATATGGAGGTCTTCTGGGTTATCACAGTGCCCGGAAGAGGGGATGCTAAGCATTTCATGGTGCTTAATACGGTTCTACCGGATAACATTGAGCAGCTCCCCCTGCTGACTGTGCTCTTTCTAAGAAGCACTAAGCCCAGACTGCCGATCCCCTCCACCGTGACTCATGGCGCGCATGCACATGCTCATTCTCCGCCAAGAAACCCACTTGCAGTCTTTCAGAAGCTCCATGGATATTTTGAAACATCTAACCACTCAGGGGCTGAGTGACTGGCTTCAGATGCCTTTGGGATGAGCTTGTAATTGGAAGCTCTGAGTCTGAGCCAAGTTTTCCCATTGATGAGTCATATTGCTTCTTGACTAGAAAGTGTCTTCTCCTCCTGAAACTATTTTTATGTCATTAGTAACTTAGTGATACTGAAACTGCCAAATGGTTATGAGCATTAAATAAGAAAACGTACATGGAAATGCTTGAGGACCATAAAGACTATGCAGCTGAAGAGTCTATATATGTGCAGTATTATGTACTGTACTATAACTGACCAGCAGCCAACTTAAGGTTCTTCCTCTGAGAAATCTGATTGGTCTGAGCAGTGCTGCTCTGAGCCAAGTTGGAGCCTGAAGCCAAAGGAAAATCAATAATACTGATCCTGCCTTCTTTAAAAATTTGATATTTTAGGAACAGAAAGTCAAATATTACATGTTCTCTCTTATAAATGGGAGCTAAATAATATGTACACATGGATATGGAATGTGGAATAATAGACATTGGAGACTCCATAAGGTGGGAGTGTGGGAGGGGGAGGGGAAGCAAGAAATTACCTATTGGGTGCAATGTACACCATTCAAGGGGTGGTTACACTGAAAGCCCAGAATTTGCTACTAAACAATATAACCATGTAACAAAACTGCACTTGTACCCCCTAAATCTATCAAAATAAAAAAAATCTAGCAATAAAAGGCAAATGTAAGCATGCTTTCTTTACAAAGTAAATAAATAAAATTTGGATATTTTGTTCATAAAGAATTTTTTTGCATTGTGGGTTTTTAAAATATTTTATTACAATATTATTTATTTAATTACTGAGTTTCTTGGTGCCCCCTTAAATTTTGCCCTATCCCTCACCTTTACAACCCTGAGTCTGAGGTCCTTCCTCATACTTCTTCATCTTCAATCCAACCTTTCGGCCCTTGCTCTGTATTCTGGGGAGAAAGAACCTCCTGGATCCTTGGCCTTCTTACAATGACTCTAATCAAATTGTTTACCAACTTTCTTTCCTCTCTAGTAAATTACCCTAACTTAACTCATCCTTAAAGTGCCTCTTCTTCCTTAAGGAACCAATTTTTCATCTAGTTTTCAACCTGGTTGCTGATTTCTGAGCTTTTAATTATGAGAAACAAACAATACACTGACAAAAGAATCTTCAGTGTAATTTTATATATTATGACTTGCAATGCATTTCCACTGTTTTTTCCCCATCAAGGTTCTTGGGGACCATAGCTGGTCTACACAACACTAATGGATACTATTATAGTGTATTCTGGGGCTTTTATTATCTGGATTCACCAACAACCCCCCATTCATTTCTTATATCTTGAGAATATAATAAACATAATAGGTAGGATCACTAAAACAAGGTGACTTCTCAGAGCTTCTCAACCACAACTGAACTATCTCAGAGGTCTTTGCAGAGGACCGTCTGCACTTATGTACCCATAGTGCATACCGCTAAGGGTTCTCAGCTGTATTTTTGTATACTTTTCTAGTTGGAGGAAACCTGGTAATGGCCTCAAATGCTGCAGCCTTTAGAGGGTACATCTTGTAGATGCTGACAAAGATATGGAGAAAGGGGAACCCTCATACATTGTTGGAGGGGATGTAAATTAGAACAGCTACTATGGAGAACAGTATGGAGGTTCCTCAACAAACACAAACTAGAATGTTCACATGATCCAGTAATTTCACTACTGGGTATATAGCCAAAAGAAATTGATCAATATATTAAAGAGAAATCTACACTCCCATGTTTATGGCAATGCTATTAACAATAGCCAGCATATGGAATTAACCTGAGTGCTCATCATCAGATGAATGGGTAAAGACAATGTGGTATACAGCAAAAGAAACTATCAACAGAGTAAACAGACAACCTACAGAATGAGAGAAAATTCTTGCATGTAATGCATCCCACAACGGTCTAATATCCATCATCTGTAAGGAACTTAAACAAATTTACAAGGAAAAAACAAACAACCCCACAGAAAAGTGGGCAAGAACATGAACAGACACCTCTAAAAAGAAGACATTTATGTGGCCAACAATTGTATGAAAAAAGGCTCAACATCACTGATCATTAGAGAAATGCAAATCAAAACCACAGTGAGGTACCATCTCATACCAGTCAGAATGGCTATTATTAAAGTCAAAAAATAACAGATGATGGTGAAGTTGTGGAAAGAAAAGAATGCTTATACACTGTTGGTGAAACTGTAAATTAGTTCAAAGATTGTGGAAAACAGTGTCACAGTTCCTCAAAGACCTGAAGACAGAAATACCACTTGACCCAGTAATCCTATTACTGGATATATACCCGAAGGAATATAAATCATTCTGTTAAAGACACATGCACGTGTATGTTCATTGCAGCACTATTCACAGTAGCAAAGACATGGAATCAACCTAGATGCCCATCACTGATAGACTGGATATACACCATGAAATACTATGCAGCCACAAAAAAGAGTGAGATAATGTCCTTTGCAGGGACATGGATGGAGCTGGAAGCCATTATCCTTAGCAAACTAATACAAGAACAAAAAACCAAATACCACATTTCCTCACTCATAAGTGAGAGCTAAATGTTGAGAACACATGGACACATAAAGGGGAACAATAAACACTGGGGCCTTTCAGAGGGTAGAGAGTGGGAGGAGGGAGGGCCAAGAAAACTAACTAATGAATACTAGGCTTAATACCTGGGTGATGAAATAATCTGTACAAAAAAAACCCCATGACACAAGTTTACCTACGTAACAAACCTGCACATGTACCTGAACTTAAAAGTTAAAAAAGAGAAAATAGAGTTTATATACATACAACAAAATATTATTCAGCCATAAAAAGAATGAATTCTGTCCTTTGCAGCAACATGGATGGAACTGAAGGCCATTATGTTACGTGAAATAATTCAGGCACAGAAAGACAAATATTTCATGTTCTCACTCACATGCAGGAGGTAAAAATGTGAATCTCATGAAGATAGAGAGTAGATTGGTGGTTAATCAGAGAGGGGAAGGGGAGTGGGAAGGGAGGATGAAGGGGGAACAAAGAATATAAACGTAGGTACTGCCACTGAACTGTACGCTAAAAAATGGAAAAGATATTAAATTATATATATATATATTTTACCTCAATAACAAATTATTACAAAAGACAGTACATCTTTTGACCCAGTATCCTAGGTATTTGCCTGATTTGATTTTTTTTCTTAAGAAACAATTCCCATTTACTGAGCACCAACTGGTACTCACCTATGACCCTCATCACCCCTACTGTACAGGTGAGAAACTGAGGGTAATAAGGATTTAAGCAACTTGCTCAAGACCCCATGGCAGGTTAGGAGGAGCCAGGATTGGAAGCTGGCCATCGGGGTTCAGAGTTTGTGCACTTCATCACTTTTCTATTTGGCCTTTGGACACCACCAAAAAGGGCAATTGTGATTAATTCTTGCAACAGCCCCATATGCCAGATATCTGTTTCCACTTGATACAATTGAGACCCTAAAAAGTAAAATTACTTGACCAATTTTAACCTTTTTTTCCTTTTAACTGAGTGAAATCCAGAAAAAAAACCGATGTGTCCCTTTATGCTCAGTTTTTCTTCTCCAGCACTGGGGCATTCATGGCAAACTGGGCTTATGACCAAGTGCAAGCCTGCAGCTTAGAAAGAAGCAAGAAATGAATTTGTTTTTCATCAGATCTTAAAGGGGCAAATGGTGAATTATTGCCAATGCTGATACGAGTTTAGGTGGGAAAAATCAGAGGGCTCATCGACCAGCAGTGTCCCCTAGGTCTCCGTTACATACCAAGCTGGGGAGCTGGGATAAAAACTCTGCTCACTCTGGGAGGGCCAAGTTCATTTTTTGTATAAATACATGCGAGCTGATTGAATCCATCTGGTTTTGGTTCGGCCTGGCAGCCTCAAAAAATGAAGAAGTCAGTTAGCTCTCTGCTGAGGTCCAATGCCCAGGCAAGGCCAGTTTATGCTCAGGTAGCCCAGGCACTGCCTATGCCTCGGTTGCCATGTTGAACCCAAGCAGGCAGAGACTGGCATGAGCCCTCACGGGATAGTGTTTCCCATTGCTCACTGTTCTGAGCTTTTGTCCATGTGTCTGGGTCCAGATGAATGAGATTTACACTGTCTTAATAAATATTCATAACCATTTTAATCTTAGTAAACCCTTCACATGAGATATTCAAATGACTTCCCAGTCATCTCAGGCCCCTGGTGAGAATGAAGTCATTTCCTTGCAAAGCTGTGTCAGCCTTTCCAGGCCTTTTGGGCCCCACAGGGCTGGGTCTGTGTGAAAGGAAACACATATGGGGAGAAAGCAAACAGGTGCTTAGGATGGGCATGCCGTAGTTCACATTCATTGCCCCATTCCAATTTTCAAATATTGTACTCCAGCCCCTGGTTGCAATTCATTTTACCATCTGTCCTCTATTACTTTTTACATAGAATCTTTCATAGTATTAGTGATAATACTAGAAGCTAATATCTAGAGTGCTTACCGTGTATCAAACAACAAGCTGTGTTTTTTCAGTGCGTTATGTCATTCAATCCTCCCAACCATACTGTTAGATAGACATCACTCTCATTCCCAACTTACAGATGAGAAAACTGAGTTTCAGGGAGGTTGCTTGTCGAAAGTTATATAACCAGTAAACAACATGACAATATCTAAATTCAAACGGAGGCTTGTTTGCATCGAATATTTGGCTGCCAATGGAATAGCCTTGTCATTACAACCTTTTTATTAAAACCATAATGGTCTGGGACAAATAATATTGCACAGTTTGAAAAATGTGGAGTGGGAGAGTGCAAAAAGAGATTACTTTGAAAAGTCTAGTGAATTAGGAGACCATAAAGTGAATTTTTAAGTCCCTTCCCATCCATAGGATCAGGCTGAATAAGCTTCACATTCATGAGCCATTAGAGCTGGCAGGTATCTCAGGAATTACATAGTTCAAACTTCTTATTTTACACAAGAGAGAATTGAGAAATAGAGAGGTGAAGTAATTTGTTTGAGGTTATCATAATCATAAACATTTGGATTATTTACTAAGAGATTTGTTTCCTCTTCTTAACAACATACTTTGGGATATACATGGACCAAATCCTAACACAAAATAAAATATTTTACCATGGCTGATTTCTTTATGTGTGTGTCCCCATTTACTGATGTTCTCTACCTCATCTGTCTTAGCAGATGGAAGTTCTAGAACACTGAAAACAACTAAGCATAAATGAAGTCAGCACAATTATTGATATGGTTTGGCTCCATGTCCCCAACCAAATCTCATGTTGAGTTGCAATCCTCAGTCTTGGAGGTGGGGCCTGGTGGGAGGTGATTGGATCAAGGGGGTGGTTTCTAAAGGTTAAGCACCATCACCCTAGTGCTGTCTGGTGACAGAATTCTCAGGAGATCTGATCGTTTAAAAGTGTGTGGCACCTTTCCCTCACTCTCTCTCTCCTGCTCCACTATGTGAAGATGTGCCTGCCTCCCCTTCACCTTCTGCCATGATTATAAGTTTCCTGAGGCCTCCCTCGCAATGCTTTCTATACAGCCTGCAGAACTGTGAGTCAATTAAACCTCTTTCCTTCATAAATTACCCAGTCTCAGGTAGTTCCTTATAGCAATGCAAGAATGGACTAATACAATTATTCTCCAGAATTATCAATACTTTCCTATTTCAAAATCCAAAATGTTAATGTGCCATTTTTGGGAGGACAGCTGTTGCCTCTAGTTTACACTGATGTCCTGCACCAATGAATTGTGTATCTCAGAAAGAATTATTCTATTGCAGTTGGAGTGAGCCATCTATATGTTTGCACCATTGCTAAGCATCCAGCTGAACAATGGGGTCCTAACCGGCAGGGATTGTATGTTCTCATCGCTGTCCTCAGTGCCCTAAGACAAGCTCTGGCACAAAGTCTATACTCACTGAATGTTGAGTGAATGATAAAGATGAATGAATCATAAGACCTAAAAATCTGTCTCATCAGTGAAGCAATGTAGTGAGAGACTCATCATTAATTATGTTAATTATGATATGATATATGATATGTTATTCCATATCATTACAGAATAACAGAGTAGAAACACGGAAAGGTAGCCCAGGCCCAGGTGGAGTCCTGACCAAATTCTAGACTGATAGTGTTGAAATATGCAAATACCTTTCCAAGATTAGACAGCCCCACCCCAAATTATCAACCACAAAACAGCCAGTGATTACCAAGTTGCCCTACACTGTTATCATCTTGAAGAGGAAGAGTAGTGACATGAGGAAGTGAAGAGGCACTTTAGAAATTCCTTTTAATGGTTATGGGGGTTGATATATTTTTAGGTTAAACCCATGTCTCCCCGTGAAACATAAGAATGTTAATGATTATATCTCTGTGAAAGCTCAATTCATAGGTAATGTTTTGGAAATTGATTCATTATTCTTTCTCATTCAACATTCATTGGATATTGCGCCATGCACCAAAGACATAAACATGAAAAAGGCATGATCTCCTGCCCTCAAGGAACCTGCAGTCGTGGGAGGAGGAGTAAGAATACACAAAGTATACACACAATTACAATGAAGTCGGGTTAAGACAACTGGCTCTCACATCAGACTACCATTGCCCAACTCCCACTCCGTATTCACTAGTTGTGTAACATGAGTGAGCTCCTTAACTTCTAAAAGCCTTATGTCATCAAAGGTAAAAGAGGGGTCATAGTACTAATATCTACCATGCAAAGTTCTCAGGTGGGTTAAATGAGGTAATATATATTTATGCTTAGCAGAGCTTGTCATTAATATTCAAAATGTTAGCTATGATAACGGTAGCTGTTACACTTCCATTGTAACTGCATTAGTAGAAACATAAACAGAGGTGGGGCGCCTGAGAAAACAGGGTTGGGAGGGAAGTAGAAGAAGACTACCTTCCTCCAGGACCATAAAGATGCATCAGTAGGCAAATTTTGTTGTTGGAGTTGGATGATTGGAGTTGGGATAGGGGATGGCTGTCTCTCCTTTGGGTGTCTGACAGGTCAAGTCCAAAGGGTTGGAGGTATTTAAAAAGCTTAACTGTTCAAGGCAAGGCTTATAGTCCCAACCAGCTGGACCAGAGGATGTGAAGAAGGTCAGAAGATGAAGCAGAGCAGGAAATGCAGAAGGCGGATCATAAGAACCTTACTTTATTTCGATAGCTTTGCAGGTCATTGAAGAACTTTAATCAGGGAAGTGATGTAACAGAATTTTGGAAGGGTCACCCTGGCTACGGTGTAACCTAGAATGACTCAGAAGAGATAAGACTAGAGGCAGAGATACTAGCTAAGAAGCTGTTGCAACAATGAAAGAAGAAATGATGAGAACCTAAACTAAGGCAATACTAATAGAAGCAAAGAGAAGGGAAGAGATTTCACAAGTTTATAAGAAGAAAGTGGTAGGACTTGAAAGTTAATTGGATGTAAAGACCAAAGCAAGGGGCAGTCAAGGATGGCTCCTGGATTTCTGGCTTGAGAGACTAGGTGGATGAAAGAGCAGGTAGAATGAGAAAGATGATGCTTTCAGTTTGGGATAGGTCAAGTTTTGGGTCCCTTATAGGTCTTTCAGGGAGAAATGTCTAGCAGGGATTTGGATAGAAATGTCTGGCACTCAGGAGAAATAGAGGTAATTCAAGTCATGGAGAGGATCCAAGAAATTATTTTATGCATTGAAAATACTTGATATTAAGCCATCTACTAACTCCATTTTTGTTTTCTTATTAAAGATGAGAACACCAAAGACAGAATATATGGTTCTTCTAGAAGATCCACTTTCAATTTTACTAAAGTGAATGACCCACTTTGATGAAAAGAATAATGACTTCTAAGGTCTCTTACAACTCTAATGTTACAATTCTATTGTTCCATCTGGAATTGCCTTTTGAAGACAGCACACCTGTGGCCTAAAACTTCCTTGGTGAACATGTGAAATATTTTTTAATGAAAGCCCATTACATATAAAGCCATACAACCCCAAACATGCAGTGATAATGCTTATAGCAAAGAAAAACCAAGTAAAGACACTATCTACATTTACCTACTCTGATCCCAATTGGCTGCAAACAGCAAAAGAATCTTCCTGCCGTAATGGTCTCGGTTTTCCAGCACCCCGGGGAACCCATCGATCAGAGCCCTCTTAATGCCGGGATCATCTGCCTTGAAGTTTTTGAACATGTCCAGGTTTAGCTGGCGGTACTGGAAATACTGAGCCAGGAGTCTAAAGGCATCCGCTTGGTGAAACTTCCTGGCTCGGAGAAATCTCAGGATGAAGGCATCATCTGTACGTAAAAATCCAATGTCAGGCCTGGTGATGATCATGTCCCTGACTTGCTGAATATCCTGATGTAAAACATCGGGGTTTTCATTCAGTTCCAGGCGAGCTTTCTCTATAGTCTCTGGACTGAGTCCAGCCTGTAAATGGGTCATCTTGGCCAAATCTCCGTTCCAAGTGTTTAACTTCTGATATTTTGGAAGAAGAGAGACTGGTCCCATTCACCTGATGGTCTGCTGAAACTGTGGCCCATTCAACAGTGTTTTACTACCAGGCTGCCCCGGAACAGACAAATAGAGGGTCTTCTTTCACATTCAGGCCCTATGTGGTGGTGTTCATCCAAAACAGAAGCAAAACTGAGGCCATTGCTTACTGAAAAACAAATACACACAAAAGAAACAGAAGAGAGATGATACAAAGAAAGTCTGGGCAAATTAATTGGAGCTTAGATAGAAAAACAGTATATTAGGCTGTGGGTCTGATTAGATTAGGTGTCCAAAGAACAAATGATAAATTATCCTTAAAATGGAGTATTGAGCAAAAGTTGATTATAGACAACTTGAAAATCTAACATGCAAATATTTGAAATATGTTTGGGAACGTTTCAGTTCCATTGACTAGTTAACGTAATAGTGCTTGATCAGATTAGCAATAGCATGCACTTTTATTAATTACCTTAAGAAACAGTGAGAGGAGAGAATGATACTTCTCTGTGACAGCATGCTTTATGGGACCACTCACAGGCCTGGATATGGCAGAGAAATTATAGCTATGGTAAAATTTTGCTTCCCATTGGCCTCTTTTCTCAAACAGAAGTATCTTTCACAGAAATAACCCTTCCCCCACTTTCTTAAAGCCAGCCATTTGCATCTTAACTATAAAATACTTCCCCTATTTTAACCCCGCCAGTGTTCATGACTCACAGGAGTCCTCCACCAGTATGTGTGAAGAGTGGGGGTGGGGACAGGCCTATGGCTGAAAACTTGACCTCCAATAATCAAATTCAACAATGGGCAAGGAGGCTCACAGGGACATTTGCAAATGGCTTTATTATTTGCATTTGCCATTCTTTTACTAGGAAAGCAGAGGGACTTGAGACTCTTGGTTGGCTCCCTACCCAACCCAATGTCCATATGGGCTTAAAAATCCTTCCATTGTATATAACCTGCCTGTTTTCCTAAGATGCTGTTTTACTTATGATAATGATATTTTAATCCCCTCAGATACATCCTTTATGATTTCTCCACCAAAATGGTATACAGAGGAACACCCATACTGTTTCCATCTTATTTTAAATGTAAATGCTTAAACTCTTGCAGACATCTGTTTGGTCTAACCTGGAAGTTTCCAAAATCAGAAGACACACTAAATATAAATAAACTTAGAGGCATTTATTTTTCCTAGCTTTCTTAAGTCAATCTTATCTGCAGTAAGAGGCAGAATATTTACTCCCAATCTAATCATTATTGGTAATGCTTTCTCATACAAAATTACTTAAATGATGATTGCTCTGCTTAATTTAGGACTAACAGTAATTTCTTAAGAGAGACAATCATCTCACATATTTCTACTTTATATGTCTTTGGATACGGAGGAGATAAAAAAAAGTAACTGGTATTCATTTTCAAGACAACAGAATAATAAAAATAATTTTATTTATAAAATATCGGCTTTGCAAAATAACTTGTAAGAAAATAGCATTTATCTCTGTGATGTTCTCTAAGAAACAGAAGAGTCTTACTTCTCACTAATTTTGAGGACTCATAACAGTAAAGGAAAATAGTATTACAAACTCTTCCCAGAATTGTAAGAAGTTTCAAAATCTATCTAGCTCAATGCCCACCTGATGTTAAAATTCCTTCTCCAAAAGCCCTTTCAGAAAGCAGCCTTACCCAATGTCTTCCTTCTCCAGTTCTTCCCTACACTCATTGCAATCTATCTGTGACATGCTGCTGAAACTATTCACACTGATCAATGACACGGATGATGATTTAACTTATTATCCAAACTTATGCACTACAAGGTGTTAATAATAACGATACTAGAACAACAGGTTCCAAGCAAACTCAGACAGATGGTCACTCTACTAATAGATATCATTTTTGTTACTACATCCAATAAACAAACTTTAGCATCTACTGTGCTGTGAGCAGCTACTGTAGGTGAGCTTTCTCAATATTTGATGTTGATTACATCATCCTTCTTAGACCTCCTTCTCCCATTTTACCATTCTTTTCTGTAACTCCATTTACCCTTGATTTGTCACCTAGCCCTTTGTCCCTCTCTACTCCATCTTCTCCTTCTGTGCTCACACCTTCAATGCTAGTGTTCTCTAAGATCCTGCCCCCATGATCTGCCATCTACAACATCAGTCCGTAGCTCCTTTCAGATCTTCAGACTGCACATTCTACAGCCTACTGAACATCTCCACTTACTTGACTCACAGACAACACAAACTCGATCTGTTCAAAACTAAACTAATCATAGTTCCTTATCCTGAATTTGCTCCTCCGTCTTTGTCTTTTAGTGAATGACATCATCTTCCATGCAGTTTCCCACGCTAGAAACCTGGGAGTCAACTATTATTCCACTCTCCCTCTTATCGCCCACTATCAGGCAATCACTTCCATAATATTTTTCAAACTTTCCCAGTTATTTCCATCCCCATGATCACCGTCTTTGTTTAGACTGCATCACTACTCATCTGTTTAGTCCTGTGACATTCTCCCTATTGATACGCTTGCTGCCAGTCCGTTCTCTGCATTTCAACCTATTCTCTATATTACAGTTGAAATATGCTCATGTCACTCCTTGATTAATATCCATCATTAGCATCTAGTTGTCCCAGGATAAAGTATAAAACTATGTAACATGATTTCAAGGCCTTTCATCTTCTGGTCTCTTTACTCTCCAGATTTATTGTCTGGCCATGCAGCCATCGGCAGCTTCTTCTCACCTTTGTGTGCCTTGGTAAAAGCTGCACTCTCTCTGTCTAGAATAACCACTGATTGACTCCTCTTTGCCCTTCAGAAGTAAACTTGAAACTCATTTCCGCAGGAAACCCTTCCTGGCCTTCAGAAGTCAAAGCAGTCCCACACAATATTCTACTGCCATTTTCCTTTCTCTCTCTTTATCCAGAACACCTTACAGAGAAGGCCTGGATTTAATTCATCTGTGTATCCCTGATACAGGGTGTGGCCAAAAGAGTCAGCTCCATGGGCAGAGCGACTTCATTGCATTCACCACCACATCCTCAGTGCCTCATACAGTGCCTGCGATGAAGTAGATGCTCAGTAAATAGACCTAGAATACATGAATAAAGAAAGTAGTCAAAATGTTTGAATGAGTGAATAAGTGTTTCAGTACCTCCAGGACAGTTTATCCTTAAATGAGATGTTGTGGCTGATTGATTAATGTCCTTCCTCATCTACAAAGTATTTTTTTTCCTGGAGAATTTAGCCTAAGCACATTGTGCTTCAGATTCTCACCTCCCTAAAGCAAGCATGCCAGGTAATGTTCACAGTTCCAAGCCATGGAGCACAGTGCTTAAAGCACAAGGCACAGGCATGACTTATTCCCTACAGAAGATTTAAAGCATGGGGCAAGTTACTTACCTTACAGTTCAGGGAACTCAACAATGTTTCTGAGATAATTTACTATGGGTTCAAAAGGAAAGTTGAGGTTGCATTTTTCATGGCCTGCTTCCACATATAGCTATGCCTCCAATCTATAATATGTGAAATAAATTTGCTTCAATCTATATCTTTATTCTGTGCTCAGCACACAGTAGAAGCTTCTGGGGAGAATGCTTAAGCCAGGGTCACTGGGTTTCATAACTTAGGATAACATAGATATTTTCCATTAAAGGCAAATTCTTCATACCAGAAGTCTGAATAGACTGCTACTTAAATAACAACTTCAATTGATAATATTTAAGGCACTAGAAAGGCTGTATGAAGAATGTTCACCAGGATATAGCATTTTCATTTGACTATAATCTTTTGTTCACATAAAGGACTTGGTTCTCATTCAACTTTTCCAAATTATAAATGGATACATTGAACTTGTACAACATGAAGAAGTGGAAATGGTTTTCTGTGCTGGCAATATTAATAATAATAGTGCTTATTATTTATTATAGGTATTTATTATGTTCTAGGCATTTGCAGATTCTCTTTTTATAGACTACAGTATTTAATCCTCAGAACAACTGTATGAAATGAGTATATTATTGTCCTCATTTTTCAAATGAGGAAACTAAGGCACAGAGAGGTTAAATGATTGCCCCAAATTACACAGACACTAAGAGGCAGAAACTGGATTCAGCCAAAACTAATCTTTCTCTGAACCCATGCTCTTTACTGTTATGCTGCCCTGTCTCTTATGTGTAGCAGAGAGATTTTATTATTTATGATTTAAGACCTATGTGACCATCTGCAAGTTTCAGAACCTCACTCTGGTTCCCTAAAATTCCTTTCAAACTTACCATTCTATGAGCCTAAATATACCAGTGGATGAACAGATATTCTTGGGTGGCCTAATACTCTGCCTTACAGATGTCCAGTTGCCATCTTTTCCTCCTTCCTTCATTGGAAGATGACTGGTGCTGTTCAAAATCTAGCTGTCTCTGCCTTTTCCAGCATTCACTAATTTTTGCTCTTCCTTTAGGTATTTTCCTTTGGCAGAAATGACAGATCAAAGATAACAGATCTTGTCATTCTCTTTGAAGGATTGATTGCCATGCCTAGCAGAATGCCAAGCATGGTGTCAGCACTGAAATGTGCTTGATGATCAAACAGGCCAGTTTAGGCAGATTCATGTAAGCCTCAGAGGCCATCTCCCTGCAATGTGGTTTAGTCCCAAATGATTCTGTATTTGACACCATTTCAAATGCATGGAGAGTAATTCACAAACATTCTCCGGCAAGGCCAAGGTGGAGGATACCTCCTTTCACTCCAATCCACACCTTTTCCAGTGAGCCAGAAAATTAGGTAATGGTATTTTTGTATGAGAGGGAGAAAAGAAGAGTATCCATACTATGATATTTAAAATAATGTTATCTGTAGATTCTAGTTGTATATTTCATCTCAAGTTTACATTAGAAAAAAATCCTTTTGTATTTCCTCATACAGAATTTAGTATTAGGAAAGTACATCTACAAACATACACTGTATTCCTTACGAATCAAAGAGTTTAAGCATAAAAATATTTTCAGAAAACTATGATAATTCAAATGAAATCAATTTGGTAATTTTATGATCTATTATTCTCATTTATTTATTTTATTATAATCTTCAGAAACACATACAATATATCAGGAAAAGGTCAGAATTATATCAGCAATGTCTCATCTAAAAATATGTATATGTATGTGTGTACGTAGTATTTCAAAGCATTTTATATCAATTATCTTTTTTCTTTGTTACAGGGATCCTGCAATAGACAGAAGAAAGATAATTCCCTGGGAAGTGCTGAGGTAAAATTCTGTGAAATAATGTTGGTAAAACTGCTTGTGAAAGGAAAAGATCTACTTTACTTTAACTGTAAATTCTTGTTGATATTATAATTATGCTGTATCCAGGTAAATATTCGGGGTACATAACAGCTAAGTCAGATAATGAGCTTGTTTTAAAGTTGGAAAACCAACAAATATTCATGGAGTACTTATTAGATGCCAAGGTCTTTGATATTATATAGTCTAATTTCCACAGCAATCCTTAAAGGTAGGTTATTACTATTAGATGAAAAGATGAATCTGAGATTTAGATATGGCTGAAAGAACAAAGATTTGCACTCAAACCTACTTTACCCACGTTTTGTCCAAGACTCTGCTCTCCAAGTAGGTGCCTTGTTTAACATCACTCTGAGTACCGGTGCCCTCACACTCAACTACACTCACATAATAGACACACATCCACACCCTGTCAGTCCTAAAGGACATCATTTAAGGGGTGTTGTAAAACTGCCCAAATTTGGGGAGGAAATAGAATATTGTTGTCATGATCAGAAAGATAAAATCTGTAAAGCCTAAATATTATTTGAAATATAAGAACATCAATAACTGCTGAACAACACTTCAAATTTGCATGGCTTCTGGGTGTTCTTAGTAATACAAAGAACAGTTTTTAAGTACACATAAATTTAAATTAATACAAATATAAAATAAGAAACAATAGCCATATTTGTTTTGTGGGTTTCTTTCATAAGAAAAGGATGAAAAATTAATACCGGTGACAACACTTTGTACAGAAAGTCTAACCAACTAACTCATCCATTGGTATGTGTGAATTTTTGTTTCCAAATTTTTAATATATATTGAATTGGGTTAACCCTTATAGCTCTTTACCTTGCTAAAAACTTACTTCAAATTTTTAAATTGAATATGAATTTTTACCTAGGAATACCAAAAGAAATTTTTATACTGAATGAAATAAAAATAGATGCTGCTGATATATCTAAGCCAAAACTGAAAATCATAGTGACCAAAAATATTTCTTTTTAAGTGTAACTCTATTTGAAATCTTTCTTGAAAGATAATACACTCCCTTACAGCCTATTTAGCCTATATTTAAATCTCAGAGGCTGGTTGGTTACATGTTCCATGGTGCTGACCAGAAGGAGTCTTTTTTCTGATGGATGAATTTTCAGATTGGCCATTATGGTTTGTAGGACTTCTGCATGAGTACTGGCTAAGGAACATCAGACCTGTGGGTAAAAAGTGACCCTGAATTCATTGACTTTCTTTAAATGTTAGCCAACTTACAGATATAAACTATCTGTACTAGGGGCAGGGAGAGTAGTCTACAAGGATAGAGAGGAGACTCTGAATTATCTGAAAGCATAACGTGACCAGAATTTAGCCCATGCTACACAGTTCACCTTTCACCACCTTTAGCTTAGTCCTAGCCTAGGACTAACTCTTGCCACATAAATACTCATTGTGTAGACTCCCTTGGCTCCCTTTAAAACAGCAAAGAAGCACACAATCATTTGCTCCCATTTGGTCCTGCTCTCAAGAAATGTTAAAAGTAGATTGGAATGAGCTCCATCAGAGTAGAGACACTGAAAACTTTTGTAACCAAAATAGATGCCAGGTCAGAATTAGAACAGACTGCAACTCAGGGAAGAAGGACCTATGTGACAGAGGATTCTAGAACCATTTTGCAGTTTTCTTTGGGGCAAATAA
Source organism: Homo sapiens (assembly GCF_000001405.40). Taxonomy (NCBI): domain Eukaryota; kingdom Metazoa; phylum Chordata; class Mammalia; order Primates; family Hominidae; genus Homo; species Homo sapiens. The sequence goes on along the minus strand of NC_000008.11, from coordinate 61,292,862 downwards.
TGCAAGGAGTTGAGGGGAATGCCAACTTATAAAGTATGAGATTTTTGTTCCTCCTCACTGTGTTTGGTAGAAAAAGTCTTTAATTGAAGTAGCATTTACCTTACACCTCAATGTATCTTAAACAAAGTTAATATATAGGGAAATAATTGTTGAGTCATAGAATATTAGACTGGAATGTTTCGTAGGCTATTCAACTATCCCCATAAGAAGTCATTGGCAGTTGATACCCCAATTTTTAAAACAGATTAGTTGTGCTTCCTAGGGGTATCAATGGGAAGAGAAAGGAAAACAAACAAACAAACAAAAACCTTGACCCTTCTGTCTTCAAAGGGAAAGAGTATTTCTCTAAGAATAGATTCTCTTTTTTAAGGAAGAGGACCTAAAGGAGATAAGAAAGGTAGGACTCACCCAAAAACGGCCATTAACTCTATTTGCCCCCTTTTCCACTAATTGTTTTCCCAGCAGATCCATGTAACCGTGACCCTTCTTCTGGATGTGATTGCACAGACAATGGCAGCAGTGGGAATCACAGCTAAGAAAACTGCCTGGGAAAAGTAAAACACATCAGCAAGCTTAAGGGTGAGGTGGGAGGAAAGAGGCTATTTTTATAACTTTCTCCTCAATTAGAAATAGAATTTCTGAGCTCTTATTTCTTCAGAACATGGAGTGGTTTTTGTTTCATTTTAGAATGGGTCTTATTATTTAATAGTCAGACGTAAAAGTGAGAATATTAAAAAAAAAAAAACTTTTCTTTGCCCTGGCTTCTCAAAGGGTGGTCCATGCATCAGCAGTGGCAGCAGAACCCAGGACCTTGTTAGTGACACAGCATGTCAGGACTCACTTAGACCTACTGAACAGGTAACAGAATCCCCAGGCAATTTGTATGCAAATTAATGTTTGAGAAAAGCTGGTCCAGAGGATTTATAACGACCCAGAGGGGTTGAGAGGTAGGTTAATTGCCTCTGAGGCTAGAACTCATGCTGTCTGTGGACAGCCCTAATGCACTGTCCAGGAGGAACATAAAAGTACCCACAATGTGTTCTTTACCTATGGAGCAATGGCACTCATAATAGTTTATCAGATCACCCTGTTAATTACTCTCACTATGTTTGCATGCTCTATATATCAACCACAAAAGAAGGAAGAGAGGAAGGCAGGGAAATTTAGAGAGAGGGAGGGAAAGGAGGAGGGAAGAAGAGAAAAAAGGAAAGAGTGAAAGATCTCATGGGTTTTGTTTATTTTGTTTTAATTTGACCACATATTAAGAAGTTTTTATGTACAGATCCTGTAATTTAACACGCCCCCCTACAACATGCTATTCCCAGGCCCATAACTTCTCTCCTACTTCCTCCAAAACTATAAAATAATGAACAATTGAATAAGCTATGTAAATGACACACAAATATATGGAACTTTGTCTAAGACCTTTGATACTATTTTAAGGAGCATAGATAGAAAAGGAGTCATCAGTGGTCTGCACAACATTTAGGAACAGATTTGGCTACAAGCATCCTAGAAACAAGAACAGATCATCTCAAACACATGTGGAGAAATTTCTGCTGGCTCAGAAATTATCAAGCACAAAAGCTCACAGGAAATTAGCCTACCACACAGGGAACTTTCTCTGATACTCCCTGTCACAGAACAGGTGCATAAAGGGACAGAGCCTAGGGCAACCTGACCTGAGAAGGTATAATAAAGGGCTATGGGAGGCATCAGACTTAGGGAAGAAAAATGAACTTATTATCTCAATAAATGGAAGCTTTTTATGGGGCAGGGGATGTTTGGCCAGTTCATTTTCAATCCATAAAGAATCAAGCAAAAGAATATAAACTTCCCTTAAACTAAGAAAAACTTAGATTGGCAATTAAGCATAAGTTTCAATAAAGAGACATACATCAGTTAGAGGTTGCAGACTTGTCAAAATTCACACTGTGGACCTTCTTTTGAAACAACTTTATTCCAGTGATATCTGGATAAAATTAACAATAATCAAAACAAGCAATATTTGGGAGAAGGTTGAAAAGAAGGTCTCTCTTGGCAATGTTGAGGACATATTTCTGGACTGATTGCATATAGTCAAGCTTCATATTTTGTATACTCATTCTGCTGTGCTGCCTCCTCTGTCTAAGTCACTGTGTAACAGGAAGAGTAGAGAAGATCAAAGTCAGCCTGGATCCATTTACTAAGGATGGAAGTCTCTGCTATCAGGGAGTACGTCAAGTTGTGAATAGACTTCTTAGGGATAATAAAGTGCCTCTCTTTGTAAAACCTTCAGAAGTGAGCAGACACTACCAATTCTGAAAAGTTCAAGATTTTGCCTTTTGGGAAATGAAAGACCTTCCAGCTGTCTACTCCATGATTCTAAAATGATGCACTCTTCTATGAGCATGTCTACAAAAATATATGATGACACTCGGCTGGAAAACATTTTCTCTTCACCTTTAAATCCATTATAAAAATGAGTAATTTCTGTTACTGAAAATATTTTTTAAAGGCAAAATAGCTCTCAATAGAAAAGATTTAAGTAAGGAAGCCAGGATACATCATTCTATAAAAATTAATAAGCTCAGCATAACATTTCAGTCAAGAAAAGTCATTGCTTACAGACAGATGCCTGTAAATCTCACTGAAGCAGCATGTTTTAAAATTTCCCCAGCCCCAGGAGATTGTATTAAGCAGAGGAAGACAGAAGCTCTAGAGGCACTGGATTCCTGGACTGCGTTTCTGGTGTGAAGCAGCTAGAATTGGCAATATGTACACTCTTAAAAATTTTCTGAGCTGAACCATTCTTTACAGACAGAAAAGGGAGTTTTAAGAATCTCCTTTCTCAGGGACTTTTAAGAGGTCTTGGTTACTGTGGATATTACCAAGCCAAGGACATTATGTGGATGACCAAATTTTCTTCTATAAAATCCATTTCACCACATATTTTACTAGTTTTCTTGCTTGGGATCCAAAAGTGAATGAATTTTAGAGGCAGGTGGAATTATGTCTATATAATTAGTGGCAGTAATTAACTTTTGACACAATGCGACTATTTCTCATTCTCAAAGAGACTTAAGTATGAATTTTCCTCAGAACTTCTTCCGCAAGATACATATTTGTGACTGTCTTTATTTTCGACAATGCCTCTAATGGTGAGCAAGCTGGTTTAGATGAAACGTGCTGCAATGTCTTTAAGAGGCAGAATAAATACACAACGACAATTTTAAAATCAAGCTTTTCTGTGCTCTGGTTTAAACTTTCTTATCATGTGTGACCTATTATTCCCATTTAAATAATCTCGTTTTTAATTAAGATGTTAATTTCATAAGAAAATAACTTGTCAAAAAATCCCAATGCTTTACTGTTCAGTAAAAATCAATTAAATGAACACCCAGCAAGACATTTTTATTGATGACAGGCTCAGGCACTTATTTTCTGGTGCTTGTTAGCTCTTATAAAACAGATAATCCTGGCTAAATCAAATAGGGACTATGACTTGGGCTTAGACTTTCAGGTTCAAATTAATCAGACATTTGAAAGGTGTTCCAACTTCCCTTCAGCTGAGATAGAAAATGATAGCACTCTAAAAGCAGAGCCTGGCAGAATGGAGTTACATAAAATGCCTTTTCAATTTTTGCATTCTATTACCCTTTACTATTATAGGAAAATGGTGTTATCACCTGATTACTGAGAAAGCACACAAAAATCTCGCCTTCCAAATCTGAGCCAGTCCTTGACTGGTGACAAACAAAGCAAGGCCATCTGGTCTGAATATCATTACTACTTTTGCCATTTGGGCAAGGGATCTATCTTCTTTGCTTCAAAGAGAGGTTTAAGATTGGAAAATAGAAATGAAATAAGTAGACAGGAAGAAACATTGGAACAAATAGTTCATTCGAATGAGAGCCCCCTTTCTTAAGTTACAATCATTACCATCATTTTTATTTTTATTCTTGCCAGAGTTAACCTTTAGGGTCCCTATTTTACAAAACATTTTAGTGAAAAAAGAAGAAAAAACTTAATTCTGGAGTTTCTGCATTAAACACTTAGGAAAGGAAACGGACGTGTGGGTGAATATGAGTCATCGGTCACCCCCACCCTGCTTCCTGGTGATTCTCCATTGGAAAACCAGAAACACAGGTTGAGCTTACATTTCTGTTTTTCTGGAATCACATTATGCCCTAGGCCATGTTAATTTCCTCAACTAAACAGACCCTAATCTGCTGAAAGGCAGCTGGCTAACTGCTGGTGTCTGGCAAGTGCCCCATCTGTCCCCGTGCCTGGGGTCTCTCCCTCCTGCCTTCACTTTCCCTTTCTCGCAAACAGGCGTCTCTCTTTGTTTTCAGGGGTTTGTTCACCTGAACTTTCCTTCCTATGCCTGTCAACTTGAGCTCTTTCCCTCTGCCCTGCGGACCTCGGGCTTTGTCTAAGTGGCAAGACACAGTTGTGTGACTATAGTTACCGCGCTGGTGATGGTGGCTATGATGACGGTGATGGTGGAGATGGGGGTGCTGATGTGTAAGGGGGCGCAGGCTGAGCGGGCGCCGGGAGGAGGATGGACCGCGGAGGCGGCGGGGAGCGGGGTGCGGTGCGGGAGGGATGGAGTGCAGAGGGATTGCAGATGGGAGCTGTCCACATACCGAAGTGCTGAAACGCCGCAGCCATGGCATCGAAAGAGCGGGGGAAAGGCGGGGAGGCTCGGCAAATACAGAGGGGAGAAAAAAGGTAACAAATACCTTCACACGGCCGCCCAGCCTTGCTTTGGGAATGTATTTCTGCAGGTGTCCTCGCTGCTGAACTGGGTGGGTGAGATCCCCTATTCTGGCAGGTTCGGGCTCAGATTTCTCTAGAAAGCTGTGAATGAGAGCTCGGGCTCCACAAGGGGCTGTGATTTTGGTAGGAGGCGTGTGCGCCCGATTCTCTGTCCTTCTATACGGAGCCTAGCTTTCCCCTGGGTCCTAAATGCCTCCGTACCACAACCCTCCCTGGTTCCGTTGAGACGTACCAATAATTATTTGTAATTTTGTTAACATCTGGGACAAAAAGTACCAGCGTCATCACTCCCCACACAACATTAAAAATAGAATATTTCAAACGGATTAATGAAAGCGCAAAAGCAGATGTGTGTGTCTGTGTGTGTGTGTGTAAATTTGACAGGTAAGAAAGTATCACAAACCTATGGGAATTATTTTACTAACAAATGGTATTAAGAAAATGAACTATTTGAAAAGACTCAAATCAAAGTCTTTTCACCAAAATAAATTACACATAGATGTTTTTATCAAAAACATAAAATTTAAAAATATAACTAGAAGAACAGAAATATTTTACCGATCTCAGGATAGGAAAGGTTTTCTAAGCACAAGAGGAATAGAAGACATAAAAAAGAAAAAGATCGGTAAGTTTGAGTGCATAAAAACACTCCTGAATGTCAGAATATAAAAAAAGTAAATACAAATTACCACTTTAAAAAATTGCAGCAAGTAGATGTTTCATACACAAAGTATCACATATAAGAGAAACACTAACAGCCTTTTAGAAAAAAAGGAGGAATGTTAAATGACAAAGAATTTATAGAAGAAATGGGGATGCATAATAAACACATTTTTTTAATATCAACCTCGCCAGTAAATGAAAATATGCAGTTTAATATGGCAGTTTGGGCTGAAGTTTTAAATATGCATGTCTTATATTGTTGGAATAATAGTGAGAAAGCATAACATTTTTAAAAATCTATTTCACAATGTATATCCAGTGTCATAAATATACATGGCATTTAGATCCAGTAATTTCACTTCTCGTACCTTATGCTAGGGATATATTCAGATATGCAAAGATTTATGTGTATAAATTTCATTTACGATCATAGAAATTGTCAAAAAATAAAAAAGCATTAATTTTTATATAGCCTGTAATGTTTATAGCTATTAAAACATATTTTTGAAAACTGTTTAAGGCCAAAAAAGAAATACTTGCAAAGTGTTAAGTGAAGGAAAGCAAGATATCAAATACAGCATTCCCATTAGTTAGATCACTATGGGTAAATTTTCTTTTTGCCAAGATAACTTGATTTTCTTACTTGTATTTGCTTAAAGTTTTCACATTTACTAAAAGGTTAGAAAACTTATTAAATATTTTAAAGTAATCTTTCTATCATGTATTTCAAAGACTTTAAAGTCATCAGAATTCTTCCAACTCTAACATAGTATTATATATTTACTTATTTGTTTAGTCATTCTCTCTGATGGAATGTAAGTACCATGTGGCAGATAATTTGTGTGTTTGTTCACTACTGCTTCCCAAGCACTTACAAGTATGCCTGGAACAACATAGCTTATACATTCCCAGAACGAGAGAATCCACATCTGGAAATGATGTAGCAATAAGACAACCATCTAAAACTTAGAGATTCAAAATTGAGAAATGGTTGCAGCAAGCGAAGGAATTTTTGGAGATGGGTTGGGTGTGATATATGGGTGGTAAGTTCTATGCTCTATGGCTCCATAGGGGCTAAGATATTTTTGATAACCACTGGAGCAGATTATTGCAGAAATATTGGCTGATCATCTAATATCCTGAGGCTTGCCCACACTTTCCAGCCCTATTACATATGGGCAGGGCCATGAGCTTACTCTGGCCATGGGCTATGACAATTCCTTACTTAGTCCCCAGGTGACTAAGTAGAACACAGTCTCACTTAGCCCCCTCTTCATTTCAAATTTCCATTCCCACTGTGAACAAAGAAGAAGCCACAGTTATGGGAAGTCACTGGGGCTGCAGAGTTAATTTGTTCTTCTAGCATTACCTAGCCTATCCTGACTAATTCAAACTCAAACTTAAAAAAAAAATGGCCTGCACATTAGATCATAGAAATATTAATGACAGCGTCTTATGTGCTAAAAAAAAAAAAAAAAACTACAGGGAAAACAAAATATGATCCAGTTAACTAGAATATTCTTCCTTCTACAATTTGACCTTATTCCTCACACATTTTCTTGGCTCTTAAACATCCATGCTAGTCACATGTTCAACAATGTGCTGTTTCACCCTTGTAAAATCATCCTGACATCTCCTTCATAAATATAGGTATTTCTCTGGGTATTAAGCCCATTATTCCTGGACTCTCAACTTCAGTGCACCCTCACGTGGATAGAGTCTTTACCTGTCACTGGTCAACACACACAAGGCACTCCCCCTGTACTCAAACCTACATCACAGCAAACCCAACATTAACAGTGCCCTTTAAAGGAGTACAGAAGTGAGTACTGAGTTGGGCGTGCCAGGAGCGAGGTCAGGCAGCATAAAAGATGCTTATAAGCAGGCCGGGCCTTCACCCTTGTCATTGACTGTTTATGCACAAAGGGGTTCATTGAGGAATCCTGGTAAACAAATATGTAGGCAGCTTCCATGTGCGGAGCTGAAATGGAGGTCAAGCAGAGTGTGCAAAACATCAGCACAATGTCAATCAGGGTAAGTGAAGGAAAGGAACTTCCTGAATGATTATATTCTAATCTGTTCTGTGCAAAGGACCTATATGCTTATCAAAGTAGCCCAGTTTCCTTTGCAATGACATTAAAAAGTGTAAAATCAAATTAAGTTCACATCTAGCCAATTTCCCAAGTAAGGCAGTTGCAAATAAGTATTTACAAACAGGATAAGGCATTCTTTACAATATTTTGAAACACATTCCTGGGGGATGTGCTAGTTTTGGGCCTACTTTCTTCCCATAGATGATTGGAAGTCCAAGGCTTATTTTAATTCTGTAAGGCTCCACAGACTTTTTTTTTAGTCCAATCTCATAGTTTCCTTGGAAGTATAACTGTCTGAAGACCTTAGAGGCGCAACTTCCATCTGACTTAATCAATTCCCTATTCCAGTAGCCACACCATAGGTCTTTAGAGGCACAGAGCTTAGATCTGCTATATTTATTTGCTTTTTCACTTCTATATCTTTCATAATGTATGTGAGTCTCTCTGGAGTAGTAAGTAGTAAGGCCAGATCATTTACCTGATCTCTTCTTTGAGACATTCTAAACCACTGAGAGATTTTAAGTAGACATGAAGGTCACACCCTTAATCTTATTCTTGGCATAAATATTTAGTTTTAACAGACTTTGCCTCAAATGCTTACTTAATTTTACCTCTTTCTTTTGGGAGCAAAATGTATTGGCTTTTCCAACATGGCAAGACCTTGGAATTATGGAAATATTTGTTCTTCTTTATTTGCACTTTAATAACCAGGCTTTTCTTTGTTTATTATCTTGCAAAAGCAGCAAGTAATAACCAAGACACACTACCGACACTTTGGTCTTTACCCACTTCTCACTAAAAATGTGAATTAAGTACACAATCTTTTTGTATGATTGACACATAATAGTTGTATACATTTATGGGGTACAATATGATGTTTTGATACGTATATTCATTGTGTAATGACAAAATTAGGGTAATTAGTACATTTATCACCTTAAACATTTACTTTTTCCTTTGTGATGAGAACATTCAATAACCTCTTTTCTAGCTATTTTGAAATATACAGTACATTACTGTTAACCCTAGTCATTCTGCTATAGCAGTGGAACACCAGAACTTATTCATCCTCTCTAACAGTAATTTTGTATCTGTGGCCAGTATCTCATTACCCTCCCTCTGTCCTGCCCTCTCCATCCTGTGGTAACCACTATTCTACTTTCTACTTCTATGACAACAACACTTTAGATTCCACAGATGACTGAGACCATGAGATATTTTTCTTTCTCTATCTGACTTATGTCACTTAACATAATGTCCTTCAGGTTTATCTATGTTGCCACAAATGTCAGGATTTCATTCTTTGTTACAGGTAAATAGTATTCCATTGTGTATATATACTACTTTTAAAAACACTTACACTTAGGCCGATTCCATATATTGGAATATATTGGAATAACTTACTTCTAAGTTATTGCAGGTGACCATTTTGCCAAATGTTTTATGACTGCACAACACAAATTGCTGTTTCCCACCTTTGATATCAGCTTCCTAACCATGTGTTGCCAACCACCAGGTCAACACTACACAATTTATTTTTTAATTCAGCACTTCACTTCCAGGACATGATAGGCTGTGCTTCAATAATAAATAAACCCAAAGATCTCAGAGGCTTGATACAATGAAGTTTAATTTCTCAGGCTAGTGGTTCAATGCTTTGTTGGCAGGGAGATGAGGTATAGGGCAACAGAAGATCTCTACTCCACAAATTCAGACTCAGGAAAGTTCTATCATTTTGAAAGCTATCATGGTGGGGGAAATGTATACATGAGAACTCTCACTCACTCCTAGAAGTGGTGTACATCATTCTACTCATAACCCATTGACCAGTATAAGAAATTTGGTCCTACTTGACTGCATGGAGCTGGAAAAGGTGGCAGTATTTGATGTGTAGTAGACTTTCAAGAGGAAGTACAAACTCAAGCATATTTCTGCAAGAATTGAGAGACTAAAAGCAAAGATCTAATGCTGCATCATTGTATACTGATACTCATCCCAGAGGACAATTGCATAGCATCAAACAGCAGGAAGTGTTCAAGGTTGGAAATTCTTGACAAAAAGGAAGAGTAAAGTAATTCAACCTGTAATGAATGTCTACAGTGAACCAAATAGGGTGGCATAACCACTGTTATCAAAATGATCAGTTCTATAACTTAAAAGAGCTCATTAACTGATATTAGAAAGGCTGAGGAAGGAGCATGGAAGTTGGAGAGAGAATATTTTCATTCAAATCTTATTTAGCTGCGGGATCTCAGATGAATTGCTACAGTAAAGACATGTTTTCTATCTGACCAGTACTCCTCTGGAGGAACTCTCCTTCCCCCGTTATCCAATATTCCTGTCCAGACTATATCATGGAAGGCACTTGACATTTTGATCACTCATTGCTGCACAGCATCACTGGGTAGGAGGGAATGAAGCCAGGGAGTGTTTGGAGATCTATGAAAACAGAGTACTATAGTTTCCATTTCCTATCCCAAGTTTTTTGTTCCTGCAACTTTTCATTCAATTATCTGAGCCACACTATGTGTTAGTCCCTTTCAGGTTGCAGGAAATAGATCCATACTTCATTTACTTTATCAGATGGGAACTTATTATAAGGATACACAATTTATAGTAATAATAATAGCTAAAACTTATTAATCTTTCCCCATGTATAAGCATTACTGCAAGAACTTTTCAAGCAATATGGCATTGAATCCTCACAGCAATTAACATGAGGGAGTACTTGTATTGTTCCCATTTTTCCAGGAAAACTGACTCATAAAGAAATTAAGTAACATGCCTGAATTATTTGGGCAGCTGGGATTGTAATCCATGTCCGCTTGTTCTCAAGGTCAATGCTCCAACCCACTGTTCTGCTATATTATCTGCATCCCAGAAGGATTAGGCTATCAGGCCTCTTGGAGAACTAAAAGTTGTCATAACTCAATGCCAGCTCCTGTGATCTTGTAACCAGGTTCTACTGTGGCATCTCCAACCATTTCCCCTGCTTCTACCAGCTGCTTCTTCTTCTCTTCTTCCCTCTACCTCATGATCCCTCCTTAATTATGGCCTCTGCTACTCAAGCCTTCTGCCTACTGCCACTTCGCTCTGCAACTTTCCCCATTCTGTCTTCTACTTACTGAGATTCTTTTTGTATGTTGCATTCAAACTTTCTTAGAACCACAATCTGTTTGGTTTATTTAGTCATTATCAGGTGAAGAGTAGTCCGCTCAGTTAAGATGCTTTCATAGGCAGCATAATAGGCCTCCCATTGCTAGTAGCCTTTTGCTCAGCACCAACCTTTGTTCTAATTAGTTGTGGCTAGGGTGATGGTGGAGGTGACATGATTATAATGAAACACCCATGGGCACTTTTCTCAAAAGGCATTGCAAAAGGTGTACAGAACTTCATGGCGTGTTAGTTATTTGTTGCTATATGAAGATCTTTGCAGTTTTTAAGACTGAAATTGGCAAGCCAGTCACTTGGACATGTTCCTAGGATTTGAGATATAGGAGTAGTATATTTATGTGGCTGGAGTGTCCAAAATGATCTCGAGTCAGAAGGGCAGGTTGGGATACAGGAGATAAGTGGATACCTTGAAGATGCAGAGTATAGCAAGAGGGCCTTGGATATTTAGTGGGATGAGGTAGGAAATGCAAATGCGGCAGAAATACAGAAAGAGATGAACCAGTAAATGGAAGGGCACTCTCTGTACTAGTGTGTTAGGGTTGCCACGACAAAATACCCTACCTTTGTTGACTTAAACAACATAAATTTATTTTCTAACAATTCTGGAGGTTAGAAGCCTCAGATCAGGGTGCCAGCAGGATTGGTTTCTAATGAGGGCTCTCTCCTTGTTTTGCAGATGGCTACCTTCTTACTGTGTCCTCACATGGTCTTCTCTGTTTATGCACATTCCTAATGTCTCTTTCTCTTCTTATGAGGATATCAGTCCTATTACATTAGGGCCCCACCCTTATGACCTCATTTAACCTTAATTACTTCCTTAGAGGCCCCATTTCCAAGTATCATCACATTGAGGTTTAGAGCTTCAGCATATGAATTTGGGGGACATAATTAAGTCCATAATACCCCCAAATGTGTTTCCCTACCCTTTAGGTGATGAACAGCCCTGCACTCATCCTTCTCACACAGCTTAACAACTGATGAAGACTTTCAATATATCTCATTTCAGGAATGAAGGAAAAATTACATTTCTTTGAAGTTTTCTGGAGATTTTTGCAATGATGCTGTTGATTCTGCTCAAAGGATAACTATGTAGAATAAATGTAGCAAATTCAAGTTTCTGAGTATAGATTTGAGGAGGATTGTCTCCAACACTGAAAAGTACATGCATTTCTCAAATGAGATGTAATGCCATTTGGGGAAAAAGACTATGAAGATGTGTATGTGCACATTAATAAGTTAATGATCTCCAAGCGTGGTGGCTCAGGTCTGCAGTCTGAGCACTTTGGGAGGCCTAGGTGGGTGGATTGCTTGAGCTCAGGAGTTCAAGACCATGTGATGCAACATAGTGAGACCTCATCTCTACAAAAAATACACAAAAAAAATAATTAATGATCACTTATGAGGGCTAAAGTTGTTTTGAAGAATATGATAATATCCCAAGACTTCCTCTTTTCTTGAGCTATTACATTCACAAATAAGGGACTTTGTTGCCATGAATAAGGCAAAGGCCCACGGAAATGTATATCTAGTTTCTTTACAAAAATACTTTATTGACATATGTTAATGCAGATATTTAATGGTCTTACTATTTTAATTATTTTCCTTTTCAATTTCAATGTAAATTCATAAAGAGTTTAAGTAACATGCCTAAATTATTTGAGCAGCTGGGATTGTAACCCACATCTGCCTGTTTCCAAGGTCAATTCTCTGAACCACTATTCTATTATACAATGAGAATCCCAGAAGGACTGAGCTATCAGGCCTTTTGGAGCACTAAAAGTTGTCATATTTCAATGTCAGCTCCTGTGCTGTTGTAATCAGGTTCTATCATGGCATCTCCCACCATTTCCCCTGCTAATACCAGTTGCTTCTTTTTCTCTTCTTCTCATAAAACTTACCATAAACTTCTAATAACATTTATAAAACTTATGATAAAATAACTCATCAATACCAAATATCAGTAGCCTGATTTTTAATGGATTCAGCAGAAATTCGACATCATTTTGAATTCCAAAAGAACAAATTTATCTAATGTAGAAGATAAACAGTAGCAAGTGAGTATTTAATTAGGTTTGTTACTTACTATCCATCTAATTTAAAAATGTACTCTTTTACCCCTATGCTTTGAATAATATGAATAACAATGTGTACAGAAAATATTTGTTATGCTGATTTTTTATCTTATTTAAAATAAGATATTTAAAGTTCACACTCTTTTATTCATGTAATTTTATACCTCCATGACAAATACTATCATATTAGATGAAGTCTCATTTCTCCTAATGACAATTAATCAATTTCAAAGTTAGTATTATTTCTGAATTCACATTAACCTTACCAAAAATTTTATTCAGACTCTGAAACTGGATAAAATATTTACTAGGTTTTAAAATCATTTTAACATATTATATAGTTGTATTCATAAATAATTATTAAGCCAATCAAACATCCAACTTACATGTATATCCTATAACACTGATATCTCAAATTACATTCTTGTGATGTAGTTCAAGTTTACATCCTTCTGGCCTCCCAAAGCTTCAGTGGATATCTTAATAGGGCATCAGAGGGGAGTTATGGTTTGGCAAATGAATGCTACAAATCATGTCTGAATGCATTCCAGCTGCTATGAGTTCCTCTTTCTGCAAAATTTGAATGCAGTTATTCAAATTTTGTGGAATTATTACTGCAGGTCTTTTTAGCTACTACAAGAGTTTGGTTTTAACATTTGTAACTTGCAAGTCAGTACTCTGAGAGATCATTAGAAAAAGAGGGAATTGGTCTTTGGGAATAGGAAAGAAAATATAAAGCAAGAGGCAGAGAGGGGCAGAGTTCTTTCATGAAGACTTGGGAGAGATGAGAAAACTAAGACACCTCTGGCCAAGAATGGCCTTCGCCTCACTGCCTGATGGGAAGCTGGAGCTGGGATGCAAAATAAGAGCCAGCTCTGAGTAGGTGCTTGTCATGACATCACCAAGCACAGCTGTGTTGTAAGGAGGAGGAAAGCTGGGGCAGGGATATACACTTCAGGTCTTTTTATACCTCAGATTTTTCCATTCATACCTCAAAAGCTAAGTCAGTCCAAAGGCGAGGCCCCGGCTCCCACACCCTAAAATCTAGAGCTGCAGTTTGATTGGCCCACTATGGCTAATGACTCTCTCAGCCACATGCCATCTCTGGTAACGGTTCTATGCAGGTGGTGCCAGCCTGTCAGTGAGGATGCCTGATCCATTGCTGTGGCCTCTGTCCCAAGCTTGTGCTGTCAATGCACCAGTGCTCACCACCAGCTCGGCCCAGAGGCCCCAGGAGCATGGGAGTAGGAAGGCAACAACTATCCTCATGTCCCAAGGCAAAGCCACCCTCAGTGATTCCAAGATAAACACCTCTTCTGAGGGAGACCCACTGAGTCATTCTAAAGGGCACAGCCCTAAACTGGAGGGTGTGCATTGGAGGAAAGAAGTTACCTTCAATTATTTCAAGGCTCCTGTTTCACTAAGAAAAATATATTTTATCTATATCTATATCTACATCTATACACACACACATTAATCCCTGATGACATTCACTAACACATATAACCAAATAAGTTTGTGTTATTAACACTAGCAGAGATCTTGGAAAGTTATGTCCAACACCTCCAAGTTATAACATCAGAAAAATTTTGAATATCTGCTTTGAAAACAAGACATGGGAGGAAAATCCTCAAAAAAAGGAAACACATCTATACGAGGATCCTTTTAAAATTGTAGAGGAAGATGGGCCTAAACATTTTCTAGCAATCCAAGACTGGTAAACAGAAATTAGTGTTACAGTAAACTTATGCTATTTAAAGAGATGTTCAATGGCATAGTGCTTCCTTAGCTTACTGGAGTATTTTTATATCTTTATTTAGTAGATGTAAAAAGTTTCAAGAGAGAAAAGGCCTTCTGTTTTTGCTCACCACTATGTTTATTGTGGGAGATCAGAATATACCTTCCTGAAATATGAAGGACTGTTGAGCTGAAGACAATTAAAAAGAAGCAGATGCAGGAATGCTCTCGGCCCCCACAATTTGCCTAAAATTAGGGCATAGATTTACAGTGACAATAGGTATCTACTCCCCACTCACCTGCCAAACCACCATTAGAAAGAACAAAAGTTAACCACTGAGGGCAGCTTTAGACCCTTCTAGGACTGGACATGATACCAGAGGACTCTACATTAACAAGCTTTACTAACTAACTTTTACCTGCTAGTTATTTGCCTTCCCACTAGTTGCTGCACACAGAGACTCAAAGTCCTTTTTTTTTGTCTTGTCACTTCTCTAAAGTACTGTTCTTTGTCGAAGATGATATATAAGCTGGAATTCAAATACATGCTAATAAACTTCTGTTTCTCTCTCATTAATCTGTCTTTCGTGTCAGGGGTTAATTCCAATTGAGAATCTACGGACGTTATTATCAACAAATATTTGTTGAAAGGATGAGTTTACTTGAGACTTCAGTAATTCCCTGTAATCTTGTTTTCCCCATAAGAACTTTATTTCTTCCCTACCCCCCCAAGCATTTGTTGGGAAGAACAAATGAGGCCATATATATAAAGCACCTAGCAGGCCTAGCTTTAACATTTATGGGAGCTGAAAGTAGTAATAGAGTAAAGACAGAGCCTCCCCTATACTCACCCATAGACCATCCCTTCTGTCTTCACCTGTGTCTTTGTCCTGCATTACTGGGGGCTTCAGATCTGTGTGCGGACGTCATACACAACAAAGCTCATCTGACCTGACCCCGAACCAGTAGCTCAGGCACCCTCAGGAAGCAGGACCTTATGCAGAAGTCCACACAAGCCCTGAATGCAGGTTTGGGGACAATTTGTGCAGAAGATCCTTGCATCCTGGTCCTTGGAACATGGGAGTGTGGTATAGACTCCAGATATCCATCAGCTGTGCACCTTGAGCTCCTCATCCTAGGAAAATGCTATGCACAGGGTGAGGGCAAAAGCTTCATTCTTTAGCCTAAAGGTAGTGCTTGGTGCTTAGAACATGCCTGGTATACTAAGTGCTATATCAGTGGAGAGAAAGAGAGAATGTGGCTCTGGAGTCAGCAAGACTTGACTCCAATCAGACTGAGTAGGTCAAAAGCTATAAAATAAAAAGATATTGATAAAGAATTTACCAGTAGGAGCAACAGCTCTCCTAAACATCAAGAGGTGTTAAAAGGGTAAGGAACAAGGCATCAAAGGAAAAATTTGACAGAGAGAACAATAGCAGCCACTGTGCTCGGATCTATTTGGGACATTGGACTGAAGCCAGCTTCTCTTCCTTTAAGGGCACCATCCCATACATAACTTGTCCTCCCTGACCCTCCCAGTTCAACCATTAGGTCACTTTTCTGTTTTTACATAATAACTAACATTTGAATCTTTAAAAACAAAAAAGTAAGATTTTTCATAAACACCTATTATCTTGTATCATTTTATTCATTTTTTTCTTTCAGTAATAGAATACTTACTGTGTTAAGTGCTAGGAATGCAAACCTGATTAAGACATAATCATTTGTCATTGAGGTGCATAGAGCCAAAAGAAGGAGCTGAATATGTGAGCAAATAATTATAGTGCAATCTGATAAGTGCTGCCTATGGAAAAATGCCGTGGAGCACTGAGGAGGTTTAAAAACTGAGTCTAGTTTAATTAAGATCTAAAAACAAACAAGAGAATGTTGCCAGAAGTACAACTTTACTGGTGCATGAATGCAAGGGTTTCTTGAGCAATCTTTCTAACTCATATACACCTTCCGCTGGGACTGTTTGGGATTATCCCTAGAAGAGAAAAACCAGAACAAGCAAAGGGGAAAAGAAAAATATATTCCAAGTTCATTGACCACACAGGGAATAAGAAATAAGAAGGGAAGGGAAGAAATTGAAAATAGAGTGTAAACTAATGTGGGTGGATATTGATGGCAACTGGTTGGACCAAGAATGACAGGAGAGTGTTTTCTAATTACCAATCTGGATTTTGTCCTTCATTTTGTGGGCACCTTCCCTGCTGATTGCTAATGGCTTAATCCAAGTATCTTAGAAAATCCCAAGCATAGGTTTCTTAATGGATGTTCAGTTCTGAGTCAGAAAGTGCAAGAAATCCAGAATTTCACAAACGAAACCTTTTTTTCCCCTTTAATGCTTAGATGATGTAGCAGTGACTCTCAATTAACCACATTAATGGCAACTTAAATTAAGAAATACCACTGCCTCTTATGCAAAACCATATGATCTTCTTAAAATGAAGTCCTGTTGACATAAAGAAATATTGCACGAGCAACATGACGGCTAAGAGAGAATAATTTCTAAACCTGTCATAGGGTCTTATTTATTTGAATTCAGTGGTTTGTTCTTTTGAGGGATGAATGGCATTGTAAAGGTAAGACCTTTGAGAGACTAACTTTAAGCTTATAGAAAGAAATGCTATAATCAAATTGGTTTTTATTGGTTGTTTTCTTCATTGCGCGAAATGAGCAATAAATTTAGCCTGTGGGGGGATTGAACTCAAGATCACAACTCAGCTTTCTCCCTTAGCTCTGTCAAATTCTTCAACCTTTCGAACTAAGCTTCCTTTTTACTATTCCTTCCAACATACTTTTGTTGTTTCACAAATATATGAAGTGTTATATTAACGACCTAAATTTTTAGTTTGTTCTGACTTTAATCTCTCCAATAAATACAACCATGTATGCAGTGGAAATGATGCAAGATGGGTAATTAGGATATTTGGGAGGTAAACTGTGTGTGAAACATATTGCTAACCAGTTACCTTGAATAAATTACTTAACTCACAGTTTTCTCATTTCCTTATTGATAAAAACTGGGCCACAGATTTAAATGCATCTAGGTGCCAGGCAGGTAGCATAAATTCATAAATGGGGTCAGGAATAAGGCAGCAGTAATGGTGGGGCATGTGGTAGACTGAAGATCAGTTTGTATTTCTTAAAGAAATTCAAAATAAAAACTAAAAAAATAAAAATAAAAGCAATCTGTAGGCCAGGCCAAGCCCAGAGGTCTCCTGTTTGCAATCTCTGGGTTCGATAATATTTTTCTTCCACTCCAATTATAATAATTTATAGCCTTTTGTCTTTCTTTTTTTAATTTTTGGCTTGAAGTCAAAATTTCCCAGCATCTGAGCAATTTATATTCCTGATTGCAAATTGGGCACCTTTAAAAACTTCATTAATTCTTTGCATCACCAGAGAGCCTTCCCATAAATTATTTATTTAGTTGGACTCTTTATGTATTACTCAATGATTGCAGTCTTTAAAGCTGTCTGACAACCCTATTTGTACTTGGAGAAATGGACAGAGTTGTAACATGAATTATGAAGACATAAGAAACTACAAGTGTTAATCAATTTAAGAAAGTAGCACCAAATTTCAAGTAACTCCATCTAAACAAAAAGGATGTGTTTTAAATCAGTTTTAAGCTACTCAAATTTAAAAATAGCCAGCGATTGTGTGCTCCTTTGCCATGATGTATCTTCAAAATGAAGATGAATTTTGGGGACCTGAACATCAATCTTGGTGTGATGAAAGAGAGAAGTAGCAATTTTCCTGATTTGATGAAAACATCTCAGATTCGCTACATGTTTAGAGACATAAGGTACAAATGGTAATGAACTCACTAATCAGAATTTGGTTAAGATGCAGGGGGAGAAGAAAGCAACAAGATAAAAATTCAAAAGAATTAAGTACATCCTTGGTTAAGTGATTCACCAGGGTAGAGAAATGGCCTTATCAATAACTATCAAGAAGATTTAAGCTCAGGGAAATAGAGCTAATTTCCACTAGAATAAGTG
Source organism: Homo sapiens (assembly GCF_000001405.40). Lineage (NCBI taxonomy): Eukaryota > Metazoa > Chordata > Mammalia > Primates > Hominidae > Homo > Homo sapiens. The sequence goes on along the minus strand of NC_000008.11, from coordinate 61,274,352 downwards.
AGTATATTCAGCATCAATGCAGGGAATATAAAAAGTCAAAGAAATATTTAATCTAGTCCAAGCAGATGGCAACAGAATGAAATAGATTCCCTAAAATAGCACTGAAAGAATGAATATTACAGCATCTTTTAATCACCCAATGGCTCACAGCACAATGCTGGGCACAGTGAAGGTGTTCAATAAATTACTGTTGATTGCCTAATACCATGTGAAATGTTTAAAATATTCTGAATGTTATTTTTAAGAAATTTTAGCCAGAATAATTAGCCATTTCTGATACTTACATATTCAGAATGACTCTCTTATCTCCCTACAGCTGGCATCAAGACTTTTATATTGGAGGAGCCAAGATGGCCGAATAGGAACAGCTCCGGTCTACAGCTCCCAGCGTGAGCGACGCAGAAGAGGGTGATTTCTGCATTTCCATCTGAGGTACCGGGTTCATCTCACTAGAGAGTGCCAGACAGTGGGTGCAGGTCAGTGGGTGCGCGCACCGTGCGCGACCCGAAGCAGGGCGAGGCATTGCCTCACTCGGGAAGCGCAAGGAGTCAGGGAGTTCCCTTTCCGAGTCAAAGAAAGGGGTGATGGGCAGCACCTGGAAAATCGGGTCACTCCCACCCGAATACTGCGCTTTTCTGATGGGCTTAAAACACGGCGCACCACGAGATTATATCCCACACCTGGCTCGGAGGGTCCTACGCCCACGGAGTCTCGCTGATTGCTAGCACAGCAGTCTGAGATCAAACTGCAAGGTGGCAGCAAGGCTGGGGGAGGGGCGCCCGCCATTGCCCGGGCTTGATTAGGTAAACAAAGCAGCTGGGAAGCTCCAACTGGGCGGAGCCCACCACAGCTCAAGGAGGCCTGCCTGCCTCTGTAGGCTCCACCTCTGGGGGCAGGGCACAGACAAACAAAAAGACAGCAGTAACCTCTGCAGACTTAAATGTCCCTCTCTGACAGCTTTGAAGAGAGCAGTGGTTCTCCCAGCACGCAGCTGGAGATCTGAGAACGGGCAGACTGCCTCCTCAAGTGGGTCCCTGAACCCTGACCCCCGAGCAACCTAACTGGGAGGCACCCCCCAGCAGGGGCAGACTGACACCTCACACGGCAGGGTATTCCAACAGACCTGCAGCTGAGGGTCCTGTCTGTTAGAAGGAAAACTAACAAACAGAAAGGACATCCACACCAAAAACCCATCTGTACATCACCATCATCAAAGACCAAAAGTAGATAAAACCACAAAGATGGGGAAAAAACAGAACAGAAAAACTGGAAACTCTAAAAAGCAGAGCGCCTCTGCTCCAAAGGAACGCAGTTCCTCACCAGCAACGGAACAAAGCTGGATGGAGAATGACTTTGACGAGCTGAGAGAAGAAGGCTTCAGACGATCAAATTACTCTGAGCTACGGGAGGACATTCAAACCAAAGGCAAAGAAGTTGAAAACTTTGAAAAAAATTTAGAAGAATGTATAACTAGAATAACCAATACAGACAAGTGCTTAAAGGAGCTGACGGAGCTGAAAACCAAGGCTCGAGAACTACGTGAAGAATGCAGAAGCCTCAGGAGCCGATGTGATCAACTGGAAGAAAGGGTATCAGTGATGGAAGATGAAATGAATGAAATGAAGTGAGAAGGGAAGTTTAGAGAAAAAAGAATAAAAAGAAATGAGCAAAGCCTCCAAGAAATATGGGACTACGTGAAAAGACCAAATCTACGTCTGATTGGTGTACCTGAAAGTGATGGGGAGAATGGAACCAAGTTGGAAAGCACTCTGCAGGATATTATCCAGGAGAACTTCCCCAATCTAGCAAGGCAGGCCAACGTTCAGATTCAGGAAATACAGAGAACACCACAAAGATACTCCTCAAGAAGAGCAACTCCAAGACACATAATTGTCAGATTCACCAAAGTTGAAATGAAGGAAAAAATGTTAAGGGCAGCCAGAGAGAAAGGTCGGGTTACCCTCAAAGGGAAGCCCATCAGACTAACAGCGGATCTCTCAGCAGAAAACCTACAAGCCAGAAGAGAGCGGGGGCCAATATTCAACATTCTTAAAGACAAGAATTTTCAACCCAGAATTTCATATGCAGCCAAACTAAGCTTCATAAGTGAAGGAGAAATAAAATCCTTTACAGACAAGCAAATGCTGAGAGATTTTGTCACCACCAGGCCTGCCCTAAAAGAGCTCCTGAAGGAAGCGCTAAACATGGAAAGGAACAACCAGTACCAGCCGCTGCAAAATCATGCCAAAATGTAAAGACCATCGAGACTAGGAAGAAACTGCATCAACTAACGAGCAAAATAACCAGCTAACATCATAATGACAGGATCAAATTCACACATAACAATATTAACTTTAAATGTAAATGGACTAAATGCTCCAATTAAAAGACACAGACAGACCCATCAGTGTGCTGTATTCAGGAAACCCATCTCACGTGCAGAGACACACACAGGCTCAAAATAAAAGGATGGAGGAAGATCTACCAAGCAAATGGAAAACAAAAAAAGGCAGGGGTTGCAATCCTAGTCTCTGATAAAACAGACTTTAAACCAACAAAGATTAAAAGAGACAAAGAAGGCCATTACATAATGGTAAAGGGATCAATTCAACAAGAAGAGCTAACTATCCTAAATATATATGCACCCAATACAGGAGCACCCAGATTCATAAAGCAAGTCCTTAGAGACCTACAAAGAGACTTAGACTCCCACACAATAATAATGGGAGACTTCAACACCCCACTGTCAACATTAGACACATCAACGAGACAGAAAGTCAACAAGGATACCCAGGAATTGAACTCAGCTATGCACCAAGCAGACCTAATAGACATCTACAGAACTCTCCACCCCAAATCAACAGAATATACATTTTTTTCAGCACCACACCACACCTATTCCAAAATTGACCACATACTTGGAAGTAAAGCTCTCCTCAGCAAATATAAAAGAACAGAAATTATAACAAACTATCTCTCAGACCACAGTGCAATCAAACTAGAACTCAGGATTAAGAATCTCACTCAAAACCGCTCAACTCCATGGAAACTGAACAACCTGCTCCTGAATGACTACTGGGTACATAACGAAATGAAGGCAGAAATAAAGATGTTCTTTGAAACCAACAAGAACAAAGACACAACATACCAGAATCTCTGGGACGCATTCAAAGCAGTGTGTAGAGGGAAATTTATAGCACTAAATGCCCACAAGAGAAAGCAGGAAAGATCCAAAATTGACACCCTAACATCACAATTAAAAGAACTAGAAAAGCAAGAGCAAACACATTCAAAAGCTAGCAGAAGGCAAGAAATAACTAAAATCAGAGCAGAACTGAAGGAAATAGAGACACAAAAAACCCTTCAAAAAATTAATGAATCCAGGAGCTGGTTTTTTGACAGGATCAACAAAATTGATAGACCGCTAGCAAGACTAATAAAGAAAAAAAGAGAGAAGAATCTAATAGATGCAATAAAAAATGATAAAGGGGATATCACCACCGATCCCACAGAAATACAAACTACCATCAGAGAATACTACAAACATCTCTACGCAAATAAACTAGAAAATCTAGAAGAAATGGATAAATTCCTCGACACATACACTCTCCCAAGAGTAAACCAGGAAGAAGTTGAATCTCTGAATAGACCAATAACAGGATCTGAAATTATGGCAATAATCCATAGCTTACCAACCAAAAAGAGTCCAGGAACAGATGGATTCACAGCTGAATTCTACCAGAGGTACAAGGAGAAACTGGTACCATTCCTTCTGAAACTATTCCAATAAATAGAAAAAGAGGGAATCCTCCCTAACTCATTTTATGAGGCCAGCAGCATTCTGATACCAAAGCCAGGCAGAGACACAACAAAAAAAGGGAATTTTAGACCAATATCCTTGATGAACATTGATGCAAAAATCCTCAATAAAATACTGGCAAAATGAATCCAGCAGCACATCAAAAAGCTTATCCACAATAATCCAGTGGGCTTCATCCCTTGGATGCAAGGCTGGTTCAATATACGCAAATCAATAAATCTAATCCAGCATATAAACAGAGCCAAAGACAAAAACCACATGATTATCTCAATAGATGCAGAAAAAGCCTTTGACAAAATTCAACAACCCTTCATGCTAAAAACTCTCAATAAATTAGGTACTGATGGGACGTATTTCAAAATAATAAGAGCTATCTACGACAAACCCACAGCCAATATCATACTGAATGGGCAAAAACTGGAAGCATTGCCTTTGAAAACTGGCACAAGAGAGGGATGCCCTCTCTCACCACTCCTATTCAACATAGTGTTGGAAGTTCTGGCCAGGGCAATTAGGCAGGAGAAGGAAATAAAGGGTATTCAATTAGGAAAAGAGGAAGTCAAATTGTCCCTGTTTGCAGACGACATGATTGTATATCTAGAAAACCCCATTGTCTCAGCCCAAAATCTCCTTAAGCTGATAAGCAACTTCAGCAAAGTCTCAGGATACAAAATCAATGTACAAAAATCACAAGCATTCTTATACACCAGCAACAGACAGAGAGCCAAATCATGAGTGAACTCCCATTCACAATTGCTTCAAAGAGAATAAAATACCTAGGAATCCAACTTACAAGGGATGTGAAGGACCTCTTCAAGGAGAACTACAAACCACTGCTCAAGGAAATAAAAGAGGATACAAACAAATGGAAGAACATTCCACGCTCATGGGTAGGAAGAATCAATATCGTGAAAATGGCCATACTGCCCAAGGTAATTTACAGATTCAATGCCATCCCCATCAAGCTACCAATGCCTTTCTTCACAGAATTGGAAAAAACTACTTTAAAGTTCATATGGAACCAAAAAAGAGTCCGCATCGCCAAGTCAATCCTAAGCCAAAAGAACAAAGCTGGAGGCATCACACTACCTGACTTCAAACTATACTACAAGGCTACAGTAACCAAAACAGCATGGTACTGGTACCAAAATAGAGATATAGACGAATGGAACAGAACAGAGCCCTCAGAAATAATACCACACATCTACAACTATCTGATCTTTGACAAACCAGACAAAAACAAGAAATGGGAGAGGATTCCCTATTTAACTAATGGTGGTGGGAAAACTGGCTAGCCATATGTGGAAAGCTGAAACTGGATCCCTTCCTTACACCTTATACAAAAATCAATTCAAGATGGATTAAAGACTTAAACGTTAGACCTAAAACCATAAAAACCCTAGAAGAAAACCTAGGCATTACCATTCAGGACATAGGCATGGGCAAGGACTTCATGTCTATAACACCAAAAGCAATGGCAACAAAAGACAAAATTGACAAATGGGATCTAATTAAACTAAAGAGCTTCTGCACAGCAAAAGAAACTACCATCAGAGTGAACAGGCAACCTACAAAATGGGAGAAAATTTTCACAACCTACTCATCTGACAAAGGGCTAATATCCAGAATCTACAATGAACTCAAACAAATTTACAAGAAAAAAACAAACAACCCCATCAAAAAGTGGGTGAAGGACATGAACAGACACTTCTCAAAAGAAGACATTTATGCAGCCAAAAAACACATGAAAAAATGCTCATCATCACTGGCCATCAGAGAAATGCAAATCAAAACCACAATGAGATACCATCTCACACCAGTTAGAATGGCAATCACTAAAAAGTCAGGAAACAACAGGTGCTGGAGAGGATGTGGAGAAATAGGAACACTTTTACACTGTTGGTGGGACTGTAAACTAGTTCAACCATTGTGGAAGTCAGTGTGGCGATTCCTCAGGGATCTAGAACTGGAAATACCATTTGACCCAGCCATCCCATTACTGGGTATATACCCAAAGGACTATAAATCATGCTGCTATAAATACACATGCACACGTATGTTTATTGCGGCATTATTCACCATAGCAAAGACTTGGAACCAACCCAAATGTCCAACAATGATAGACTGGATTAAGAAAATGTGGCACATATACACCATGGAATACTATGCAGCCATAAAAAATGATGAGTTCATGTCCTTTGTAGGGACATGGATGAAATTGGAAAACATCATTCTCAGTACACTATCACAAGAACAAAAAACCAAACACCGCATATTCTCACTCATAGGTGGGAATTGAACAATGAGATCACATGGACACAGGAAGGGGAATATCACACTCCGGGGACTGTTGTGGGGTGGGGGGAGGGGGGTGGGATAGCACTGGGAGATATACCTAATGCTAGATGATGAGTTAGTGGGTGCAGTGCACCAGCATGGCACATGTATACATATGTAACTAACCTGCACAATGTGCACATGTACCCTAAAATTTAAAGTATAATAAAAATAAAAAAAAAAGACTTTTATATTGTGTTGAGTATCCAGCAGGGCCCATGAATGGCAAAGTCTCCTCCTCTGATCGATCCATCAATAAAGAGTTAATTAATAGCCTTTTTCATGCTCGACTTTGAAAAAGATTTCTTAATAGCAGTGAGCTGAATTTTCTTAAATAAATTAACTCAAAATGACAATATAGTTACAATAAATTAAAGCCTATTTTATGAGTTTTGAAACATAATCATGCTAACTGCGGAAGCTTACATTTGTTATATATATAAACAGGCAATAAACCCAAATTAGCTATGTACCTCAGTCATGATTATCATTTAATATATTTGCAGTTGAGAAGGATGCTTAGATTAGTCACAAGAAGAGGAAAATCTGAACTGGTATGGAAAGTTGTTTGCTTTTTAAATCACAGCTGTTTAAGCAGGATTTGGGAAATACGAATGGGTCTATCTTTCAAGGCTGAAGATAATTTTCCCTATAAAATTATAGTTGGCTAAATACTCCATGCTCAAAAAACAGAGGCTAAATGTGACTGATATAAAACAAAGAAAACTTTAAAAATAGTTGACGGATATAGATGTGTGTATGTATTGGAGATGGAGAATGGATTTATGGCTTATTTTATTCTATTTTGTTTCTGTGCATCTTAATTTTTAAATACAGCCAGGAACACAACACAAATTTAGATACAAGATTTATAAAATTATAAATACATAATTGAAAAATGAAAAACTTAAAAAATAATAATAATAATACCCTTTGATTACATGGATAGTTAGTCTCCATAAATACAAAGACATGCCCCCACACTACGCTTATCTTTCTTGCTGGTGGTATGCTGTGAAGGACTGAGTGGGTAACAGGGAAACTGAAATCTGCAGATGATCAGAACATGCATTTCTTTCTGCAAGTGAATAAAATGAAATGAGATAATAGGTTAATGGCAATTTTATTTCTACCATCAGGCACCCATTCTGGGCTTGAATGCCTTGTCTCTCCTGAGATTCTGTCTCTGCATCCTGCAGCCAGTTCAAAGTGAAACTGCCTCTGTGTGGCTCCACAGTGTTGGGATTTCAACAACAAGCATTGGGATTCACCAGGCATACGGGTTGACAAAAAAGAGCTACAATATTTTGGCTAGAATCCCAAATAGCAATCTATTTTTAGTCCATAACAAATATCCATTAGCTATCTATCATGAGCCAGGCACCTTTTAGACACTGGGGACTGTCAAATAAAAAAACAAATCTGGATTTATTAAGAGAGACTTTATTTGAAAAGATTATTGGAAGAGGGGAAAAGAACCATTGCATAGGGAGAGTGAAGCTATTGCCACAGGGACAACACTGATCTGTAATCATCTCAAGGGTTATGCAAAAAGGGCTTTTCTTTTACAGGAAGGAGCAAAGAGGCTAGGAAAAACATGTGTAGAGAAATAGGATGAAAGAGGATTTCAACAGGATCCAAATAGATGTGGAGAAATAGGATGAAAGGGTGGCATGATTGGATGATAGGTCCAAGAATGTTTTACCCAGAGGCCAACCTAGTCTCTGGGGCTGTCTGCTGGCTCAAGCAGAATGTGAGCCAAAGTTCTTTGGCCTGGGGGAAGAAAAGGATATTAACCAAATCTGGTTAACAAGCATTTTGTTCCAATTGATCAGTGGGGATTGGCCAGTGGGGAAAAGCAGTTCAGCTATGCATTTATGAGGCAGAAAAAAAAAAAAAAAAGAAAGAAAATTTGGAGGGTTTGTGTCTGGCATTGTCACAAGTAAACAAGGGAGGTCATCTGTTAATCTTATCAAAGATAAGGATGGGGAAGGATGGTTCTTTTAAAGTAAGCTGTTTCCCAGGACACAAAGGGTAAAGGGATTTCTCAACTTCTGCTGTCCTTCAGGATCATAGAAATCAGGTAAATTTTAACATTGTCAGGACATAGCAACAAAACAGACAGGCTCTCATCTGACATTTCATGGGGAGACGAACAGGAAGCCTTAGACCTGTCCATTGCTAGAACTCAGATCCTGCTAAGAGCCAGGAATAAACCCAGATGGAATAACAATGGCAGGCAATGGCTGGTGAGGGGGCTTCTCTGTGGAGACACAGGAAGATCTCTTGGAAGGGGTGACAACTGAGTTGAGAAATAATTGGTGCACAGGAGCAATCATGGCATGCTAGCTCATTCTGAATGTGGTAGAGAGAAGCCATAAGATGGGAAAGAAGGCAGGACCTGAGTGGCTGTGGCCCAGCAGGCCTGGTGAGGGGCCCAGATGCTGGCTGCTCTGTAGTAACAGAGGGTAAGTGGAGCAGGCAACAAGTTAGGAAGTATCCAGGACTTCAACAGAGAAGGAATTACAGTCTGGACAGGGGCTGCGATAATGGAATAGTGAGAAGTGGTCAAATTTAGAGTATATTTTGGAAGCAGAGCTGACAACATTTGCTAGTGAAACCTAGGTGTTGTGGGAAAATCATAACAATAGCAACAAGCCTCTCATAGAATTGACGATGTGTTAGGCACTAAATTGAGTGCTTTACATTTAAACTTCACAAAATTTCAAAGAAATAGGTAGTATTATTATCCTCACTTTACAGATTAAAAATGGAGATATAGATTATGCCCATTTATAGTTAAGGAAACTGAAGTAAAGAAAGATTAAGTAACTGATCCAAAGTCACCAAGCTAATAAGCAGCAGACCTGGGATTTGAACACTTGGCAGACTTCCATGCAGAGTCCAGCATGAATGTTTCTCATAATTTGGGCCTGAACCAGCGGGTGAATGGTAATGCCATCTGTTAAGATAAATAAGCCTTGATGGGAAGTAGATTTGAGGAGCAGAGAGTAGCTCAGTATAGGCCATGTTAATTTTCTAATGCCTATCATACATCCATGTGATAATGTTGAAAATTTAATTGGATGTATGTTTGGAGGTCATGAGGAGTCAGGACCTCCCCTTATGGACCTGTGGGACCCCAAGCATGGAAATAAAGGAAAATCTTGAGTTCCTTCAAGGGAAACTCCAGGCACCTAGCTAGCTCTGAGAAGTAAATAAACAACTTGATAAGCAAGAAATAGTAGCTTAAAACAATAGCCAATGAAGCTAGAATCACGGGCTAGCTGGTTTCCTATAGAAACTAAAGATAACCCCACAACGTATGTCTCTGAGTTGTTTTTCAGAAACCCCAATTCCCACCAACTTCAGATCTCCATTCCTACCAACTTCAGCTCTGCTGGTATGTGGACATCAGAGAAGGGGGAACTGGAAACTGAACTCTGACCATATCATTCTGTGTTCTAAATGTCTTCCTGAGGGGCCTGGAGGAAGTTACACTCACAAGCCAGAGCTAACATTCTTTTCTGCTGACCCCAAATTTTAAAATAAAGCTTCTCTTCCTTAACCAATTGCAATTCAAAAAATCTTTGAATCTGACTACGGTCTGTAAGCCTCCACTTCAAGATATCCTGCCCTTTTAGGGCGAAACCAATGTGTAACCTTGATGTATTGATTTACGATTTTGCCTGTAACTTCTGCTTTCCTGAAATTTACTCCTGCTGTTAAAAGACACTTACCTGTAAGCTACTGGGGAGGTCAGGACTCAAGCATTAGCTGCTTGATCCTCCTTGCTTGGCACCCTGAAAATAAATGCCTTCCATTTTTCCCACTGCAATCTTCGGTGTGCATATCTGGTATTACTGCACCAGGTGAGCAGACCCCATTTCATATCGTTAAACTCAGAGAAAGTTCCAATTTGGAGCTAGAACATTCAGCGTCTTCAAGCATATAGACGGCATTTAACATCGTGGGATTGAATGAGATCACCCAGAGAGATACAGAGGGAAGAAAAAGACAAGATCTGCAACCAGCTAATGTCAGAGGCTCAAGTGCCAGCTTGAGCCTCTATTATAGGTTCTCTTCATTTTGGCATGAGGGTATCTGTTCTGATACCTCCTTTTCACACTGTTTCAGCTTGAAGAGAAATTTTTGAAAGTCCACTGAAAGTTCATTTGCAATTATTTCAGGTAGTCTCTCTCTTTGTAAACAGAAACTCTCACACTCAATCTCTGCGACAATTACCACTTCCTCAACCCAAGATGCTTGTTTAGTGCCAGAACCCTAGACTGCTTGAAAGGAACACGTTGCAGTTTACTAAATGCTTTCATATCTACCATCTCATTTGATCTTCATAACCATCCCATGGCATAAGCATGGTACTGGCAATGATAACCCTTAATGAGGAAGGTCTAATGCTTAGAGAGACTAAATAGCTTGCCTAAGGCTCTATTATTAAGCAGCAGGACTCAAACCCATATCTTGTGATACCAATTCCTATGATCTTTCTGCAATGCCATGCCTGCTCAGGACACCTAGTATGCTGCATTATAGTGTTTGCAAATTCCATTCACTTCATCAAAAAAAGAAAAAGTAGAAATGCAAATATTTAACTTTCTCCTACTAGCCAAAATGTCTAAAGGTTGATACTGTTGAATCTCAGTACATCATGGATTATAAATAAGAGCCGACGAAAGGAGTTAGACAGGAACTGAGCAGCCTTCCAACACTTGCTGAAGGAGAGCTACCCAGTGGGGCTTCATTATTTTGCTAAACATGAATTCTCAAAGCATGAAACACATTTTCATATGTAAATACAAAACTATATTCAAAAGTCAACTGAAAATCAACTGTGCATTTTTAAACCACAATTGTATATTTGTGTTATTACAAATAATTGATAATTTATATTCAAAGAAAAGCATGGGGGTAAAAAATAGCAACATATAAAACCCAGACCCCATCCTCTGCTGGGGAAATGGCAGGGAGTTTTAGCAGAAATCTTAAGTAAATTATTGTAAACATGGAGAGGTTTTCAGTACCTTGTGCCAATCAAGCTGAATACTTAGCCGGGGACATCTTTGGGTCATTTTTCATCTATCAAGTTTCCCAGGGAGGTGACTCTTTCTGGCTCCTGCTCTTTCGAATGCCAGCTGATTCAATCACTAAAAATTACATTCATCTTCCTGCCCTGAGACAATGTGGCACAGCAGGTTTAACTAAATTGCCCATAAGATCATCTTAAATCACGGGCAGCTTCCCCCAACAACCCTCAGTTCTAGTGTCTACATCAGGAGCAGATGCGTAGTGCCTCAGGCTCCTAGAGCAACGAGTGCTGTTTGCTGCTGTAGCTCTGAATCTCCTGGTAGACCTCAGGCAAGAAAGGGCAAGTCAACTGTAAAGAACAGGGAGGGTGGGAGCATCCTGAACGCCTGCCACCCTGTCACTGTGCACTCTGCCTGCAACCTGGGAGGCAAGAAGTGATGTGTCAAGGGAAAACTCATCCAAATATGAGCTGGGTGTTGGTCAGCAGAGGGAGGATGCCTAATCTCTATCTTTCCAGGTGCTGAAGTCAAAGACAAGTTTAGCACATGTGCTTTCCTTGAAGTGGTACAATTCCTCTTTTCAGAATAAGTAATAAAAAACCTTCTCAATTCTTATCAGATGGGCCTGGAGACTCTACTTTTTTTTGAGATAGTGTCTCACTATGTTGCCCAGGCTAGTCTTGAACTTCTCAGCTCAAGCAATCCTCCTACTTCTGCCTGCTGAGTATCTGAGATTATAGACACTGTGCCTGGAAGGACTATACGTTTGATGAGTGGACTCTGTTCTATTGGAGAGACAAGCAGCATCGTATGACATGTTTTAAAAATACAAGACAGCCAAGCACAATCACTCACATCTGTAATCCCCACTAGTCCAGAGGTTGAGGCAGGAGGATCACTGGAGCTCAGAAGTTCAAGAGCAGCCTGGGCAACACAGTGAGACCCCATCTGAAAAAAATTGTTTTTTAATTAGCCAGGCACGGTGGCCATGTGCCTGTACTGTCCACTACATGAGAGACTGAAATGAGAAGAGATCACTTCAGATCATTTAAGGCTGCAGTGAGCTATGATTGCAACATTGCATTCCAACCTGAGCAACAGAAGAAGACCCTGTCTCCAAAAAATACACACACACACACACACACACACACACACACACACACACACACACACACGCAGCAATGAGAATTGCTGCCAAATGGTAGAAGAAAGAAAAGAAGCAGTGATTCAATGCAAGAAGAGTGGGTACCTTGCCTGAAGAACATGCAGCATGGAGTCCTCACTGTCTTAATGCTTTCAGGCTTCTGTAGCAGAATACCATAGACTCAGTGGCTTATCAACAATACAGATTTATTTCTCACAGTTTTCAAGGCTACAAAGTCCAAGATCAAGACATCAGCAGATTCAGGTTCTTATGAGGGCCCCTTCCTGGTTCACAGATGGCTCCTTCTAACTGGTTTCTAACATGAGAAGGGACCAGGGAGCTATTTGGGGTCTCTTTTATAAGATCACTAATCACATTCCTGAGGGCTCTACCCTCCTGATATAATCACCTCCCCAAAGCTCCACCTCCTAATACTATCACATTGAGAGTTAGGACTTCAACCTATAAATGTGGGGTGGGGTGGGGCGACAAAAACATTCCATCTCTGGCACTCACACTCAGTCTCCAGGACTTTGTGTCTTTCTGGATTTGTAGAGTGGGTGGCAAATGGCAATGTCTAACAGGGGACCCTCTTGCACTCAACACTAACCCTGAACTATATCTTTTCTTCACTCCTGTTAGTTCTGAAATTAACTTTGTTAGTCAAAGGATAGTAAACCCATTTGAGATTATAAAATAATGTTGCTTAACCAGTGTTTCACAACTGCTTTCACATGAAGACACTCAGAACAAATGACAGCATTTACAAGGCACAGCAAGGTAAAGGGATGGGGCTGGTCAAGGGTCATCCCTCTGGACCAGGGCTCCCTAGCCACTTATGGGAAGCAGTATTGGAACACACATCAGTTAGAAGCTCTGACCTAGATCACAGAGCTCAAGCCACAGATGCTTGATTCTTTGATGACAGGTAAAGATATAAAACTAACTTTTACAATATTATCAGGTGTCTCTTTAAAATATAGATTCTGAGGTCTAACACTCCCACCCAAACCTACTGAATCCAAATTTCAAGGGGTTAGGGAAACCCGGGAATTTGAATTGAAACAAGCTCCTTGTATCATTCTCAAGCACACCAAGTTTGCAAAGCTTTGTGTTTCTGTGTCTGCATTCTGAACACCATTACAACTTCCTCAGCATGGTTATCTACTCCCCCTTGACTCACTTTCTGGATCAGGCTGCTTCCTTGTTTCCTCTGGGGAGCTGACCCTTATCAAGTTAGGGTAACAGAAAATGGAAACCGGACAAAAGACTCAGCACAGGACTTGGGCCCTAGGAGCCTGTCAATATGTTCGGGCTGGACCAGGCAGGACCACTTTTCTTTATCTCCTCCTTTTATAAGCAAGACCTGAAGTCCCTGAAGATCAGATGCCCCTCCCAGATGCCCACTCCAGATCCTATTAACCAATATTTTATCCAGAGTGTTAGAGAAAGAAATGATGGAGCCCTGGTATGGAGAGGTGGAGAGGAGATGGAGAGAGGGGTAAATGTACTTCTTCCTATTCAGTGGCTGTGTATGAAGAAGAGGGAGAACAGATGTCTGCTAGCAGCCTAAGGAAAAATGTTTTGTTCCTTCCTTTGGACTATGTGTTTGCTGTTTGCTTTATCACTACTCATCCGTTTTATTTGCAAACAAATGGTCTTTCAGATGTCCCTGCACTTTCAGATGTTATAGACGTAGTTAAGGGCACCACTATTAATTTAAATAAGCAAGCTTGAGCACTTTCTCTAACTCTCTGGCCATTAATATCCCTGTTTAAAAAAGGAAGAGAATGGACTGAATGGCATGCAAATAAGCAAAGTATAGCATGTAAGTGCTCTGAAGAGAACCAAGAAGGAACCAGAATAGAGTAATAAAGAAAGGTAACTGCCATCCTACGTTACATGACGGAGGGAGATGGCAGGGAAGGAGGTGACATTTAAACTGAAAGCAAAGGGGGAGAAATCAGATATGGGGGTTATGCATTCTAGGCAGAGGCAACACGTGTGAAGGGAGCAATCAGCGGGCTCTGGAGTTACTGCAGGGCTATGCCACGTGACTGGATAAAGGAGGAAATGTAAGGTGGTGCTGCAGACTCTCCTGCAAGCCTGGTGCGGCAGCAGGGGGAGCTGGGGCCTGAGTACCCTCTGCATGCAGGGATATACCCACAGCTGCAGCTGAGGCAGCCTGCCACACCGCCAATATCCTGCTCCGCGTCTGCTCTTAACCATAAATACCCATGAAATTCTTCACAATGTTCAGTGCTTCAGAGAGCCCAACCAGCACCAGTTTTCAAATTCTGAACTAGAAGGTGGCTTTGAATGCATAGATGCTGCTGCATGTGCCGTGCTATTGAAATCTCTCTCCTTATGATGCATATGAGCAACATGCTGCCTACATCATCTCGTTCTTTTATTACCAGATCTTCGATTTTGTCCTAAAAGCCTTGGCTGCAGTTACTGCCATAGTTAATCAAACTCTACACAGGACTGCATATGATAGATGCCTTGCAATAATTTCCCAGCAAGGAAAATATCATGTTAGTGATTCCTGCCTAAATAGCATTGACTGGACATTTAAGGACTACCTGACCTGCTGTGTTTTGGGAATTTCTACTGATATGTCAAGGTCAGGAACCCCTCTGACATCTCAGCTTATATACGAGTGAATGTACCATGGTGCAATAATTGTCATAAAATGGGAGCTCTGTGAATGGAGCTAGGAGGAAACCCCTATCACCTTTCATGTCAGCCCTCAGCCAAATGGAAACCCCACCCAGGAAAAACAGCTTGACTTTCCAAGTATCTAAGCACTAGCTATTGTATTTCATTTTTTAGATGTGCTCGCTGGAGTTACTTGCTAATGATATGCCTCAGTTTCTAAACAGAGATGATATATTAAATCACTTTGTAGGTGATTTTTAACACATGTTCCTGCTACAATACTGTGGTAGTTTGACCATAGAATTCTTTCCTAAGCTTTACTTAGGAATCTGTAATAATGCAATTTTTTAGACATTGGAACTTTTTAATGTTTTGTATCTATTAGGATACAGTTAGGGAACATGTATCACCCTCCTCCTCTCTGTTTACTCTATACCTTTGGAATGTATAAAATAAAACCAAAGCTAGGCACTGTTTTTCCCTAAAACATTCTGTTGTGCAGAATATGCACTTATAGGAACAAGAATGTTAATTATGTTAATTATGTAATCATTGTACTAGACGAGTAGATGGAAGTTCTAATCTAAGTATACAGAAATTCACTTACAACTCCCTTTTATGACATAAACTTAGTGGCGATTTTGAATTCACTCACAAAGGATGTTCTCCGTGGTTTAGGTGAAAGCCATTCAGCAGCCCTGGGTAAAGAGAGCAATAAATAACCTGTTCTGGAGTCTCGGATAAGATGCCTGGGTCACAGAGGTGAGAACTGATTCTGCTGGTGCAACTAACTTGCACTTTGTTAGATGCTTCTGTCTCCTGGTCCCCTCCCTCCACTGGGCTGCCTTTATTAGTACTTGACTCAAGCCTGATTCAGAAAGGTCCTCCTGATATGCATTTGCTCAATGATATGAAATAAAATTTTCTTCTCCTCCCCTCACAAGATGTATGGCACTGCTTTGCACTCTCTGGGACATAGAATAAAAAATAATCTTTTAAAATATAAAATAGTCAATCTTTTGGAAAACTGAGACAGGTTGCTTTCTTGCTGAATGCTATTATCTTGACTACTTGGATGCCAAGGAATTTTTACACATGCAGTAGCTCAAAAATCTGCAGATACATTTCTTGTTCATTATCAAAATCACTGTCAGTAAAGGCTTTTGCTATTAAAATGAGATTTGCCTCCATCTAAATTAAAAAAGGCAAGAGCGTTTGTGCAACAGAGATATGGCCCATGGGAGCAGAGAAGAGAAGATTGGCTGGGTCTGCCCTATTAGGAGGTTTCACTGATGGCTTTCCTTCATGCATTTCTTTCTTCCTTTTGTCTTGCCTTTCCCCCTGCTCCTGGCTCTCTCAGTGGTAGTAGTCACTACCACCACCACCATCATCATCACCACCACCATTGACATTAATAGCCACCAATACATATTTTGTAAACTAGCAATGCATAGCAAGTCTCCTATTCTAGAGAAACAAGACACATAAATAAAATATATATGGTCATTCAGGGCAGCATGAGCCAATGAGTGGCACAGAGGCATATTTATTTTCTCAACTCCAAATTTAAGTTAATATATCTCTTTATAAACATATCAATGAAGCCCAGCCTACTTATTTTTTTAAATTAGGTCCTGGGTTCCTTTTGCCAGTTTCTTCCTCTTAATTATTCAGCTTTTTCTAGCTAAGTCTCCCAACCCTCATCCCTTTAACTTTGGAAAAATACTCAGTAAGCCCACTGTAACGTGGTTACAGATCTTACTGGTTTTTCAGCCTTTGCTCTGCAATGGTACATAGAAAATCTTACCACTCCGTCTTTAAAAGCAGACAGGAGCATTTCCAAAGTTAATTTTAGAGGACAGAGAATTGAAGGCATTGAAAATCATTCACCTAGCCTTTTCAAGTATGCTTGAATCATATATAATTTAAGTGTTTCTGGTCTTGAGTTAAAACATATTTAAAACTTAATAAAATCTTAAAAGTCAAGATTTTTAAATGTGTAGCTTTGCTGAATATAGATCAAATTTGTAGGAAGTCAAGGCCTGAACGTCATCAGTTTAATGGGTGACAGAACAGCAAAAGGGATTTTATCAGTATTTGGTTGCTGCAAAAGAAAAGTCTTGTCTACTCAATTAGCACTGGGACAGAAAATGAAAGTGATGCTGCTAACGCATTTGTTAGCATTATCCCCACAATCTGGGTTTTGTTTAAATCAAATGGTGCAGCTATAATTGATTTTACCCCATTATAAAATGTATGTGTTATGATCGATCAAAGCCATCTTTTTGGTGTTGTTTCAGGGGAAAAATAATGTTGAACATTAGGAAAATGTTTCATTTGCATGGGAAACATCACCCCAAAACTATACAGTATAATACCTTACAGGTCTTATAAACTTATACCTCCAGTAAGGAAATCAATAACAATAATGTAAAAGTAATTAAGAAGCTCTGGATTCTAAAACTTGCCTTCTTTAAGCCAACAGAAGCTCTGCATGACATGGCAAGGCTCTAGTGATTTATTTGGTTTGAAATTTTCTAAAATTGCTTCCTTCACTTGTCACCTCACAATTCTCATAAGCAAAATGCATAAAAACCACAATTAATAACAATGGTCAGAACAAAGTTACCTGTGCTAGTAATTTGCCATTTGATTCCTATAAAGAGTAGGTTAGTTTTTAAAATAATATTTTTTTTTTTTGTTTTTGAGATAAAGAGTAGGTTAGTTTTTAAAATAATATTTTTTTGTTTTTGTTTTTGAGATAAAGAGTAGGTTAGTTTTTAAAATAATATTTTGTTTTCTTTTGTTTTGTTTTGTTTTGTTTTTTGTTTTTGAGACGGAGTCTCGCTCTGTCATCCAGGCTGGAGTGCAGTGGCACGATCTCGGCTCACTGCAAGCTCCGCCTCCTGGGTTCACGCCATTCTCCTGCCTCAGCCTTTCAAGTAGCTGGGACTACAGGTGTCTGCCACCACGCCCGGCTAATTTTTGTATTTTTAGTACAGACAGGGTTTCACCCTGTTAGCCAGGATGGTCTTGATCTCCTGACATCGTGATCTGCCCGCTTCGGCCTCCCAAGGTGCTGGGATTACAGGCGTGAGCCACCGCGCCTGGCTAAAATAATATTTTAAAACATTGTATGTTCCACATACCTGAGGTACCTTTAGTAGTCAAATTCATACAGAAAGAGAGTAAAATGGTGGTTACTAGGGGCTAGGAGGATGGGGGAATTGGGAGTTATTGTTTTATGGGAATAGGGTTTCAGTTTGTGATAATGAAAAGCTCTGGAGACAGATGGTAGTGATGATTGTGCAACAATGTAAATGTTCTGAATGCCACTGAAATATACACTTAAAATGGTTACAATGGTAAATCTTATGTTATATATATATTTTATCATATAAAAAATAAAACTCAAATAATATTTTTGTTATTCAAAGCACTAATATGTAATTCATGTGAAGGAAAGTTGAATTACGCATTCCTTAAGCCAAAGATGATACTTTGATTTCAAAAGTATACATCTTCTCCTCATTCAGTAAGGCCTACTTCTTATAGTAGGTTCAAGTTTCAGAGTTTTTTTAAATTATGGCAAATCTTTTGGTTGTTTTGACAGATAGTACAAAACGTGCTGCCCTAGAGATTTATTTGACCTCTCTTCCTCCTCTATTGTGTTGCTTGAAAAGATGTGCCTTGGAACCAAACATGAGACCTTTTTGTGCTTAGAAATCTACTTGCAGGATAGGAATGATGATAATGAGAAGCTCATAAAGGAGATAGAATAACACTTATTGATGGCTGAAATTATGTTATACCTTTGCTTACTGGTTTATTTTCGCTCCTTCACCTCTCCACACACACATACAGACAAGAATTCGACTTCTGCTGGCACTGAGGTTTTGTCTGTAGTGTTTCCTGCTATAACCTCAGCACTTAGCAAGTTTCTTAGATGATTAGTAAACATTTGCTGATTGAATGAATAACGGAAGAAGCTTAAAGAGAAGTCTGGTAATGTGAAGGTACCAGAATTCTCTCAAAAGATCAGATGTTTAGTGTCTGCTTTAGCATTACTGTTAATTCAGTCAGGCCACCTCAAGCACTCACCCCAACACTCTGGAAATCAATATTCTTCTTTTAAAAGGAATTCCAAGTTTCTTCCCACTGAAATATTCTGTGATCTCATCCTGTCTTCCATAAAACTTTATAATTATAGTTTTACAAGGTAGTGTCATCTCATTGAATCCCCAGAATGTTACAACCCTACCTAAAAAAATATACAAAAAACCACAAATAGGGGGGTGAAGCCAAGATGGCCGAATAGGAACAGCTCCAGTCTACAGCTCCCAGTGTCAGTGATGCAGAAGACGAATGATTTCTGCATTTCCAACTGAGGTACTGGGTGCATCTCACTGGGGATTGTCGGAGAGTGGGTGCAGTGCACCAAGTCTGAGCCAAAGGAGGCTGAGGCATCACCTCACCCGGGAAGTTCAAGGGGTTGGGGAATTCCCTTTTCTAGCCAAGGAAAGGGGTGACAGAGGGCACCTGGAAAATCGGGTCAGTCCCACCCTAATACTGCACTTTTCCAGTGGTCTTAGCAAGCAGCACACCAGGAGATTATATCCCGTGCCTGGCTCAGAGGGTCCTATGCCCACGGAA
This sequence comes from Homo sapiens, assembly GCF_000001405.40. Taxonomy (NCBI): domain Eukaryota; kingdom Metazoa; phylum Chordata; class Mammalia; order Primates; family Hominidae; genus Homo; species Homo sapiens. The sequence goes on along the minus strand of NC_000008.11, from coordinate 61,254,692 downwards.
CCTCACTCATTACTAGCACAGCAGTCTGAGATCAAACTGCAAGGTGGCAGTGAGGCTGGGGGAGGGGTGCCCGCCATTGCTGAGGCTTGAGTAGGTAAACAAAGTGGCTGGGAAGCTCAAACTGGGTACAGCCCACCACAGCTCAAGAAGGCCTGCCTGCCTCTGTAGACTCCACTTCTGGGGGCAGGGCATAGCCAAACAAAAGGCAGCAGAAACCTCTGCAGACTTAAATGTCCCTGTCTGACAGCTTTGAAGAGAGTAGTGGATCTCCCAGCACGCAGCTTGAGATATGAGAACGGACAGACTGCCTCCTCAAGTGGGTCCCTGACCCCTGAGTAGCCTAACTGGGAGGCACCCCCCAGTAGGGGCAGACTGACACCTCACACAGCCGGGTACTCCTCTGAGACAAAACTTCCAGAGGAAAGATCAGGCAGCAACATTTGCTGTTCACCAATATCCGCTGTTCTGCAGCCACCGCTGCTGATACCCAGGCAAACAGGGTCTGGAGTGGACCTCCAGCAAACTCCAACAGATGTGCAGCTGAGGGTCCTGACTGTTAGAAGGAAAACAAACAAACAGAAAGGACATCCACACCAAAATCCCATCTGTACGTCACCATCATCAAAGACCAAAGGTAGATAAAACCACAAAGATGGGGAAAAAACAAAGCAGAAAAACTGAAAATTCTAAAAATCAGAGCGCCTCTCCGCCTCCAAAGGAATGCAGCTCCTCACCAGCAACGGAACAAAGCTGGATGGAGAATGACTTTGACGAGTTGAGAGAAGAAGGCTTCAGACAATCAAACTACTCCGAGCTAAAGAAGGAAGTTCGAACCCATGGCAAAGAGGTTAAAACCTTGAAAAAAGATAAGACAAATGGCTAACTAGAATAACCAATGCAGAGAAGTGCTTAAAGGACCTGATGGAGCTGAAAACCATGGCACAAGAACTACGTGACGAATGCATAAGCCTCAGTAGCTGATTTGATCAACTGGAAGAAAGGGTATCAGTGATGGAAGATCAAATGAATTAAATGAAGCAAGAAGAGAAGTTTAGAGAAAAAATAATAAAAAGAAATGAACAAAGCCTCCAAGAAATATGGTACTATGTGAAAAGACCAAATCTACGTCTGATTGGTGTACCTGAAAGTGACAGGGAGAATGGAACCAAGTTGGAAAACACTCTGCAGGATATTATCCAGGAGAACTTCCCCAATCTAGAAAGGCAGGCCAACATTCAAATTCAGGAAATACAGAGAATGCCACAAAGTTACTCCTCGAGAAGAGCAACTCCAAGACGTATAATTGTCAGATTCACCAAAGTTGAAATGAAGGAAAAAATGTTAAAGGCAGCCAGAGAGAAAGGTCAGGTTACCCATAAAGGGAAGTCCATCAGACTAACAGCTGATCTCTTGGCAAAAACTCTACAAGCCAGAAGAGAGTGGGGGCCAATTCTCAACATTCTTAAAGAAAAGAATTTTCAACCCAAAATTTCATATCCAGCCAAACTAAGCTTCATAAGTGAAGGAGAAATAAAATACTTTTCAGACAAGCAAATGCTGAGAGATTTTGTCACCACCAGGCCTGCCCTAAAAGAGCTCCTGAAGGAAGCACTAAACATGGAAAGGAAAAACCAGTACCAGCCACTATAAAAACATGCCAAATTGTAAAGACCATTGAGGCTAGGAAGAAACTGCATCAACTAACAAGCAAAATAACCAGCTAACATCAAAATGACAGGATCAAATTCACACACAACAATATTAACCTTAAATGTAAATGTGATAAAATGCCCCAGTTAAAAGATACAGACTGGCAAATTGGATAAAGAGCCAAGACCCATCAGTGTGCTGTATTCAGGAGACCCATCTCACGTTTAAAGACACACATAGGCTCAAAATAAAGGGATGGAGAAATATTTACCAAGCAAATGGAAAGCAAAAGAAAAAGCAGGAGTTGCGATTGTAATCTCTGATAAAACAGGCTTTAAATCAACAAAGATCAAAGGAGACAAAGAAGGGCATTACATAATGGTAAAGGGACCAATTCAGCAGGAAGAGCTAATTATCCTAAATATATATGCACCCAATACAGGAGCACCCAGATTCATAAAGCAAGTTCTTAGAGACCTACAAAGAGACTTAGACTCCCACACAATAATAGTGGGAGATTTTAACACCCCACTGTCAATATTAGAGAGATCAATGAGACAGAAAATTAACAAGGATATTCAGGACTTGAACTCAGGTCTGGACCAAGCAGACCTAATAGACATCTGAAGAACTCTCCACCCCAAATCAACAGAATATACATTCTTCTCAGCACCTCATCATGCTTATTCTAAAATTGACTGGATAATTGGAAGTAAAACACTCCTCAGCAAATACAAAAGAATGGAAATCATAACAAACAGTCTCTCAGACCACAGTGCAATCAAATTAGAACTCAGTACTAAGAAACTCACTCAAAACCACAAAACTACATGGAAACTGAACAACCTGCTCCTGAATGACTACTGGGTAAATAACAAAATGAAGGCAGAAATAAAGACATTCCTTGAAACTGATGAGAATGAAGACACAATGTACCAGAATCTCTGGGACACATTTAAAGCAGTGTGTAGAGGGAAATTTATAGCACTAAATGACCACAAGAGAAAGCAGGCAAGATCTAAAACTGACACCCTAACATCACAATTAAAAGAACTAGAGAAGCAACAGCAAACAAATTCAAAAATTAGCAGAAGACAAAAAATAACTAAGATCAGAGCAGAACTGAAGGAGATAGAGACACACAAAAAAACCCTTCAAAAAATCAATGAATTCAGAAGCTGGTTTTTTGAAAAGATCAACAAAATAGATAGACTGCTAGCAAGAATAATAAAGAAGAAAAGAGAGAAGGATCAAATAGATACAATAAAAAATTATATAGGGGATATCACCACTGATCCCAGAGAAATACAAACTACCATCAGAGAATACTATAAACACCTCTATGCAAATAAACTAGAAAACATAGAAGAAATGGATAAATTCCTAAACACATACACTCTCCCAAGTTGAAACCAGGAAGAAGTCAAATTCCTGAATAGACCTATAACAAGTTCTGAAATTGAGGCAGTAATTAATAGCCTACCAACCAAAAAAAGCCCAGGACCAGACAGATTTATAGCCCAATTCTACCAGAGGTACAAAGAGGAGCTGGTACCATTCCTTCTGAAACTATTCCAAACAATAGAAAAACAGGGAATCCTCCCTAACTCATTTTGTGAGGCCAGTATCATCCTAATACCAAAGCCTGGCAGAGACACCACAAAAAAACAAAATTTCACGCCAATATCCCTGATGAACATAGATGCGAAAATCCTCAATAAAATACTGGCAAAGCAAATCCAGCGGTACATCAAAAACTTATCCACATGATGAAGTTGGCTTCATACCTGGGATGCAAGGCTGGTTCAACATACACAAATCAATAAACATAACCCATCACATAAACAGAACCAATGACAAAAACCACATGATTATCTCAATAGATGCAGAAAAGGCCTTAGACAAAATTTAACAGCCCTTCATACTAAAAACTCTCAATAAACTAGGTATCAATGGAACGTATCTGAAAATAATAAGAGTTATTTATGACAAACCCACAGCCAATATCATACTGAATGGGCAAAAACTGGAAGCATTCCCTTTGAAAACTGGCACAAGACAAGGATGCCCTCTCTCACCACTCCTATTCAACACAGTATTGGAAGTTCTGGCCAGGGCAATCAGGTAAGAGAAAGAAATAAAAGTATTCAAACAGGAAGAGAGGAAGACAAATTGTCTCTGTTTGCAGATGACATGATTGTATATTTAGAAAACCCCATCCTCTCAGCCCTAAATCTCCTTAAGCTGATAAGCAACTTCAGCAGTCTCAGGATACAAAATCAATGTGCAAAAATCACATGCATTCCTTTACACCAATAACAGACAAACAGAGAGCCAAATCATGAGTGAATTCCCATTCACAATTGCTATTAAGAGAATAAAATACCTAGGAATACAACTTACAAGGGATGTGAAGGACCTCTTCAAGTAGAACTACAAAACACTGCTCAAGGAAATAAGAAAGGACACAAACAAATGGAAAAACATTCCATGCTCATGGATGAGAAGAACCAATATCATGAAAATGGCCATACTGCCCAGAGTAATTTATGATTCAATGCTATCCCCATCAAGCTACCACTGACTTTCTTCACAGAATTGGAAAAAACTACTTTAAACTTCATATGGAACCAAAAAAGAGCCCACATTGCCAAGATAATCCTAAGCCAAAAGAACAAAGCTGAAGGCATCATGCTACCTGACTTCAAACTATACTACAAGGCAACAGTAACCAAAACAGCATGGTACTGATACCAAAATAGAGATATAGACCAATGGAACAGAACAGAAGCCTCAGAAATAACACCACACATCTACAACCATCTGATCTTTGACAAACCTGACATAAACAAACAATGGGGAAAAGATTCCCTATTGAATAGATGGTGTTGGGAAAAATGGCTAGCCCTATGCAGAAAACGGAAACTGGACCCTTTCCTTACACCTTATACAAAAAAATCAACCCAAGATAGATTAAAGACTTAAATGTAAGACTTAAAACCATAAAAATCCTAGAAGAAAACCTGGGCAATACCCTACAGGACATAGGCATGGGCAAATACTTCATGTCTAAAATACCAAAAACAATGGCAACAGGAGCCAAAATTGACAAATGGGATCGAATTAAACTAAAGAGCTTCTCCATAGCAAAAGAAACTATCATCAGAGTGAACAGGCAACCTACAGAATGGGAGAAAATTTTTGCAATGTATACATCTGACAAAGGGTTAATATCCAGAATCTACAAAGAACTTAAACAAATTTACAGGAAAAAAACAACCCCATCAAAAACTGGGCAAAGGATATGAACAGACTCATCTCAAAAGAAGACATTTATGCAGCCAACAAACATGAAAAAATGCTCACCATCACTGGTCATTAGAGAAATGCAAATCAAAATCACAATGAGATACCATCTCACACCAGTTAGAATGGCAATCATTAAAAAGTCAGGAAATAATAGATGCTGGAGAGGATGTGGAGAAATAGGAATGCTTTTACACTGTTGGTGGGAGTGTAAATTAGTTCAACCATTGTGGAAGACAGTGTGGTGATTCCTCAAGGATCCAGAACTAGAAATACCATCTGACCCAGCAATCCCATTACTGGGTATATATCCAAAGGATTATAAATCATTCTACTATAAAGACACATGCATGTGTATGTTTATTGCAGCACTATTCACAATAGCAAAGACTTGGAACCAACCCAAATGTCCATCAGTGATAGACCGGATAAAGAAAATGTGGCACATATACACCAAGGAATACTATACGGCCATAATAAAGGATGGGTTCATGTCCTTTGCAGGGACATGGAGGAAGCTGGAAACCATAATTCTCAGCAAATTAACACTGGGACAGAAAACCCAGTGTTTGCATCACATGTTCTCACTCATAAGTGAGATTTGAACAATGAGAACACATGGACACAGGAAGGAGAACATCACACACTGGGGCCTGTCAGGGGGTGGGGGACTTGGGGAAGAATAGCATTAGGAGAAATATCTAACGTAGGTGACAGGTTGATGGGTGCAGCAAACCACCATGGCACGTGTATCTCTATGTAACAAAACTGCACATTCTGCACATGTACCTCACAACTTAAAGTATAAAAAAAAGAAGTGCATTTCATATAGCTCATAGTTGACGATCCCTCATTAACCTCATATGTATGATTAGCATAAATGTATTACATGCCCTAATAAAATCACACAATCAGATTATCCTACAGCAGGTTGTGGGTTTTAATAAATAAGAGAGGACTTCTGGGTGTCTTAGAGGCACAATATGAAGGTGTGATTGGAGATCATTTTATCTATTTGCACTCTAAGCATTGTCTACAGACTGAATAAAATATAACTTACATTGTACATACTGTCATATATATATATATATAAATGACTTGGTGATTAAAAAAATGTATTCAAAATCTCAAAAAAGTATTTTTAACCAAACCGACAGCCCAATCAGAAAGGCAATCCCATTCACAATTGCCACACACACACAAAAAAAACTAGGAATACAGCTAACAAGGGAAGTGAAAGATCTCTACAATGAGAATTATAAAACATTGCTCAAAGAAATCAGAGAACAAACAAACAAATGGAAAAGCATCCCAGGCTCATGGATAGGAAGAATCAATATCATTAAAATAGCTATATTGTCCAAAGGCAATTTACAGATTCAATGTTATTCCTATCAAAGTACCAGTGACATTCTTCACAGAACTAGAAAATATTATTTTAAAATTTATATGGAACCAAAAAAGAAAAGCCAAATAACCAAGGCAATCCTATGCAAAAAGAACAAAGCTGGAAGAATCATGTTACCCAACTTCAAACTATACTACAAGGCTACAGTGACCAAAACAGCATGGTACTAATACCAAAACAGGCACATAAACCAATTTAACAGAATAGAAAGTCCAGAAATAAGGCTACACATCTACAGCCATCCAATCTTTGACAAAGCTGACAAAAACAAGCAATGAAGAAATGACTACCTATTAAATAAATGGGACTGGGATAACTGGCTAGCCTTATGCAGAAGATTGAAACTGGACCCCCTTCCTTACACCATATACAAAAATCAATTCAAGATGGATTAAAGACTTCAGTGTAAAACCCAAAATGTTAAAAACCCTGGAAGGCAACCTAGGCACTCCCATCCTGGACCTAGGAATAAGCAAAATTTCATGACAAAAACACCAGAAACAATGGCAACAAAAGCAAATTTGACAAATGGGATCTAATTAAACTTAAGAACTTCTGCACAGCAAAAGAAACTATCAACAGACAGTCTACAGAATGGGAGAAAATTTTTGCAAACTATGCATCTGACAAAGGTCTAATATCCAGCACCTATAAGGAACTTAAACAAATGTATAAGAGAAAACAACCCTATTAAAAAGTGGGCAAAGGACATGAACAGACACTTCTCAAAAGAAGACATACATGTGGCCAAGAAGAATATTTAAAAAGCTCAATAGCACTGATCATTAGAGAAATGCAAATAAAAACCACAGTGAAATACCATCTCACACCAGTCAGAACGGCTATTATTAAAAAGTCAAAAAATAGTAGACGCTGATGAGGTTACAGAGAAAATGGAACCCTTATACACTGTTGGTGGGAGTGTAAATTAAATCAACTATTGTGGAATCAGTATGTCTCTTAGCCCTCAAAGAGCTAAAAGCAGAACTACCATTTGACACAGCAATCCCATTACTGGATATATACCCAGAAGAATATAAATCATTCTGCCATAAAGACACATGCACACAAGTGTTCACTGCAGCACTCTTCATGATATCAAAGACATGGAATCAACCTAAATGCTCATCAATGACAGACTGGATAAAGAAAATGTGGTGTATACACACCATGGAATATTATGTATCCATAAAAAATAATTAGATCATGTGTTTTGATGGAGCTAGAGGCTATCATTCTTAGCACACTAAGGCAGGAACACAAAATCAAATACTGCATGTTCTCACTTATAAGTGGGAGCTAAATGATGAGAACTTATGAACACAAAGAAGGAAACAACAGACACTGGGGTCTGCTTGAGTGGGGAGGGTGGGAAGAGGGAGAGGAGCAGAAAAGAGAACTACTGGATACTGAGATTAATACCTGGGTGATATAATAATATGTACAACAAACCCCCATGACATGTAGTTATCTATGTAACAAACTTTCACAGGTACGCCCAAACCTAAAATAAATTTTTTTAAAAAAAGAAAGAAAATAACTACCAAGCTAGAGAGAACATGTATGCAGTCAAAAATGGGAGAAAAATGAAAACATTTTCTGACAAACAAAAACTGGAAGAGTTTTCAACCCAAATTATTTTTATTAAGAATTTTTTTAAGACACTAAGAGCCATTGTTCTACTATAAAGAAAAGGACTGCAGATAGAAGAATTTCAAGAAAAAGCTAAGGACAATTGAAAGGGTAAATATATGGATAAGTCTAAGTAATTATTGAGTATGCCATGCAATAATAATGCCTTTTGAGATTTTACACGTAGAACTAAAATATATAACAATAATGTAAAAGTTGGGAAGGAAGGCCTGGTGCAGTGGCTCACACCTGTAATCCCAGCACTTTGGGAGGCCGAGGCAGGTGTATCACTTGAGGTCAGGAGTTCGAGACCAGCCTGACCAACATGGTGCAACCCCATCTCTACTAAAAATGCAAAAATTAGGCAGGCATGGTGGTGGACGCCTATAATCCCAGCTACTTGGGAGGCTGAGGCAGGAGAATCGCTTGAACCTGGGAGGCAGAGGTTCCAGTGAGCCGAGATCACACTCCAGCCTGGTGACAGAGTGAGACTCCGTCTCAAAAAAAAAAAAAAAAAAAAAAAAAAAAAGTTGGGAAGGAAGAGAAAAAGGGTTTAAAGATGTTAATGTCCTGCCTCGTCTTGGAAGAGATAAATTACTCATTTATCTTAAAACATATAAGACAGTGCTGGGTGCAGTAGCTCACACCTATAATCCCAAAACTTTGGGAGGCAAAGACAGGAGGATCATATGACGTCAGGAGTTCGAGACCAGTCTGGGCAACATAGTGAGACTCAGTCTCTCCAAAAAAATTTTTTTTTAATTAACTGGGTGTAATGGTACATATCTGTAGTCCCAGCTACTTGGAGACTGAAAAGGGAGGATCCCTTGAGCCCAGCAGGTCAAGGTGTCAATGACCGATGATCACAACACTGCCCTCCTGCCCTCCAGCCATCCCTAAGATAATAATAAAATGGTGTATAGCTACCAAGCTAATAATGAGGAAAGAAATAAAATTTTTAAAGTAATAAACTTAAAAAAAGCCAAAAGGTATAATTTATATATATGTATATATATATCCATTCATATATATAATGAAACAGGATAGAGGGTAAATAGTAAGATATAAGATGCTGATGATATAAGATGTTTGCCCCAGTATATCTGTAATTATATACAATATAAATGGACAAAAGACGACTATAAAATATAAAAGATGTCAGATTTAATGTTAAAATAATACAACTATATGCTTCTTATGAAAGACAGATCTGGCCGGGTGCAGTGGCTCACACCTGTAATCCCAGCACTTTAGGAGGCCCAGGCAGGCAGATCACAAGTTCAGGAGATTGAGGCCATCCTGGCCAACATGGTGAAACCCCATCTCTACTAAAATACAAAAAAAAAATTACCCAGGCATGGTGGCGCATGCCTATGTTCCCAGCTACTCGGGAGGCTGAGGCAGGGGAATTGTTTGAACTCAGGAGGCAGAGGTTGCAGTGAGCTGAGATCACCTACCAACAGAGCAAGACTCTGTCAAAGAAAAAAAAAAGACAGCTCTAATATGTAAGGAGACTTCAAAGTTGAAAGTGGAAGGATGAAAAACAATACACCACAAAAATGCTAATCAAAAGGAAGCCAGTATAACTGTACTAATATATGCCAAAGTAGTCATCAGGATAAATATTGTTAAAAGTAAAAAGTGGCATTTCATATGAGAAAAGGCTGGATATACCAGAAAGATATAAAAATTCTGATTATTTATGCATGTAATTACATAACCTAAAATATATGTAAAGAAATTCTTGACAGGATTGTAGAAAAAAGTGAATAAATACACAATCATATGGAAACTTTTAAAAATCAATAGACTTTTTGCAGTTTTGTTACAATGTAGTAAAAAAAATTTTTAATGAATAAATAAAAATTTTAAAAGATTAAAATCAATAAATTTTTAAGAGCAGTTTTAGGTTTACAGAAAAATTGAGCAGAAAATACAGAGTTCCCCTATACCCCCATACACACATGCCACACACAAAATAACCACTATTATTAATGTCTTGCATTCATGTGGCTCATTTTTTACAATTAATGAGCCAATATGGCATTATCACTAATTAAAGTGCATAGTTTATATTGGGGTTCCTTTTTGGTGTTGTATAAGTTTTCATTATGGACATTTTAACAAATCTCTCTCAGCAACTAATAAAACAAGGCATGCAAAATATTAGTACAGCTACAGAAGAACTGAACAACATTAAAACTTGACTTAACTGTCATATGTAGAGCACTACATCCAACAACTTCAGAAACATATTGTTTTGAATGTACAGGTAACATTTACAAAAATTAATCACACATTTGGCCATAAAACAAGACAACTTTCTAATAATTTTTTTATGGAGAGTATGCTTTCTGTCCAAAGTGCAATTAAGAAATAAATCAGTAACAAAACCTTTTTATTAATCCCATATATTTGGGAATTAATAAATATATTTAAATAACTTATGGATCACAGAAGAAATAAAAAAGAAAATTTAAAAGTATTTTGAACTAAAGGATTAAAAAAAAAATGCAATGCCCTATACTGCACTGCCCCCTACTGTCTCCATCCTCTGGTCATCTCTGCATGAAAGCTAAAACAAGCAGTCATTTGGTTCGACCTCAGCTGGGATGTTTGCCCTGGGTGACAAATTTTTCACCACTCTGTGCGTTCTATGAATGACCACAAAAGCATAACAAGTATTGATTTGGGGATACAAATAAATTTTGGTGAATTCGAAAATATGGAAACCACAAATAATGAGGATCAGCTATATTAGAAAAGAAGATCTTAAAAATGTATGAGTAAAGTATCCGTCTCAAAAAGCTGAAGAAGAAACAGCAAATTAAACCCAAAGAAAACACAAGGAAGCTAACAGTGAAAGAGCAGATATTAATGAAACAGATAAACCATACAGTAGACATAAATAGCTAATAATTGGTTTCTTAAAAGGCTAAAATAATTGATAACCCCTTAGTGATACTGCTTGACAGGGAGAAGCCTTAAATAATATCAAGAACAAAAAAAGAAACATCACTACAGATCCTACAGACATTAAAAAATCACCAGAATACAATATGAATACATTTATGCCAACAAATTTATCACCTTGGATGAAATAGATAAATCAGAAAAACTAACCAGAAGTTACTCATGTTTCTGGCTTTTTGTGAGGGCAGTCACAGTCACGGTGACAGTGATAGACAACTAAAGCCCCAATAGAAAAACCTGCATATTTCAGGCTGGAGAAACCAGATGGGGAGCCTGGGGCAACCAGGATGATCAAAGAATGAGGAGGGACTCCTGTAAAGGACACTCTAGATGAATACCAGTCTGTATATAAATTCTGCCCAAGCCTCTGCCTGGCCCTTGAATCATGCATGTGTGAATCAGCCTAAAAGAAACCTGATATATGTTAATACATTCCACTATAGTAACGATCTTACTGTATATATGTATCTTATAACATCATGTTAAATATGTACAATACTTTTTTAAAAAAAGAAGAGCAGTCTCATCTTAGATCTGAACCACCCATTGCTGGCATGAGAAAATTTGCCATATAAGTCTATCCAAATTAATTTCCTGAATAAATTAAATGAATACTCTTCTGAGCAATATGACAGAACCCAGAACAGTAAGACAAAATGAAAAACAACATTCACAAGATCCAGATACAATTCAAAATTTCTCCACATGAGAAAAGCAAGGAAAATGAAGCCTATTGTTAAAGGAAAAGACAACAAATGATAACTCTGAGATGAACTAGACTAGTGTTATCAGTCTAAGGATTTTAATGCACCCATTATTACTATGCTCAAAGAGGTCAATTTTAATATGTTCACAATGAAAGAAAGGAAAGGTCAGCAAAGAAATAGAAAATACATTTTATTTTGTTTTATTTTTATCTATTTTTTTTTTTGAGGCAGGGTCCTGCTCTGCTGCCCAGGCTGGAGTTCAAAGACATAATCACAGCTCACTGCAGCTCACTCAATGCCCCAGGCTCAAGCAATCCTCCTGCCTCAGCCAGAATGAGTATCTGGGACTACAGGCATGTGTCACCATGTCTGGTTAATTTTTTATTTTTTGTAGAGATGAGGTTTTGCCATGTTGCCCTGGCTGGTCTTGAACTTCTGGGATCAAGTGATCCTCCCGCCTCGGCCTTCCAGAGTGCTAGGATTACAAGCATCAGCCACCATGCCTGGCCTTAGAAAATATATTTTAAACATGGAAATTCTAAAAGTAAAAAGGAGAATACCTGAAAATTTAAAATCCATGAGATATTCAAAGAGCAGGAAAGAGATGAAACAAGAATCAGAGAACGTGAAGGTAAATGTACAGAAACAATTCAATCTGAAAATGAAGGAGAAAAAAGATTGGAAAAATACACAGAGACTCAGAAATATGTGGAGTAATTTTTAAAATCTACCATGAATAACTGAAGTCTCAAAATGAGCAGAGAGAAAGAATGGGGCCAGAAGAAATTTGAAGAAATAATAACTGAAAATATCTAAAATTTAATGAAACATACAAATTTACAGATTCAAGAAGCTCAGCAAGCCTTAGACAAGATTATATTTGAAGAAAACCATGCCTGATCATATCATAGCTAAACTGCTAAAAACTCAAGATGGGTAGAAAATCTTTAAAGAAGCCAGAACAAAAAAAAAAGTATTACATACAGGGAAATAACAATTCAACAATGACTGCACGTTTAGAAAAAATAGAGACCACAGAGACTGTAAAAATACGTTTAAAGCACTGGAGAAATGAAACAACAACTGTGAAGCCAGAAATCTATACCCAGTGAAAATATCCTTCAGGAATGAAGGCCAACTAAATCAGACTAAAAGGAGTCATCACCAGCAGATGCACTACAAGAAATGTGAAAGAAATTTCTTCTGGAAGAACTGAAATAATTCCCAAAGGAAACTCAGATCTTAGAAATAAAAGGACTCGGAAATGGTAAATATTTGCATAATCATAAATGTTGGTTTTCCTCTTTCGTATGATATACGCTCATTTTAAAGCAAAAATTTCAACACAGTCTTGCAAGGTTCCCAATGTATGTGGATGTAGTACAAATGAAAATTATACCATAAAAAATGGTGGAGAGAAGGTAAATAAACCTGTAAGCCTACTTTTATCTTTGTATTTTGCATTTTTTTAATTTTTATACTTTTTACATGAAGTGGTACAATCTTTAACCCTAAGTGAACTGTGAAAAGTTAAGATTATATATTGGAATATATATTCTCCCCAAAGCAATCATTAAAAAAAGTTAGCAAACTGAATTCAACAGCATTTAGTAAAGATAATATATTATGACAAACTTGACTTATCTCAGAAATGCAAGGATGGTTGAAAATTTGAAAATCTATCTAATTCATCTCGTGAATTAAAAACATCAAATAATCACCTTAATTGATGCAGAAAAAGCATTGGCTACAATTCAAATTCATTCATAAGAATTCATAATAAACTATGAATTGAAGATGTCTTTAAATCTGATAAAGGATATTGCTATAGACTAAATGTTTGTATACCTCCAAAATGCATATGGTAAATCCTGACACCCAATGTGATGGTGACAGAAAGTGGGGCTTTTGCTAGGTGACTGCCATGTAAGGATGACTGTCTGTGAACAAGGAAGCAGCCCTCACAAGACACCAAATCTGCCAGTGTCTTGATCTTAGACTTCCCAGCCTCCAGAACTGTGAGAAATAAATTTCTGTTTATGAGCCACCCAGTCTATGGTAGTTTGTTATAGCAGCTTGTATGGATGAAGATAGTTCTCTATTTTAAAAAAAAAAAAAAAAACCTACAGCAAACATCATTCATTTTAGAATTCTGAGAGTTTTACCCGTGAGATCAAGGCAAAGGCAAAAAAGCCCACTATTGCCACTTCTATTTAATGTTGCACTGTAGATTTTAGCCAGTGCAGTAAGATGGGGGTGGGAGCATACAGGTGAAAAAAATAATAATAAAAGTGTTAGTATTTGCAGATAACATACTACAGTGCACACAAATCAAAAACAAACCAACAACACATTTACCATTGGAATCAATATGTGAAACTAGCAAAGTAGCCAATTAAGGTGAATGTAGGCACTGGGAGCACAATTGTGAATAAAATAGACAAAGATCTTGCCTTTACTGCAGCATAAATTTTTGTGGCTAAACAAATAGACATGTACAAATAAATCAGCGTGTTTCACATAGAAATTGTTTGACAAAATGGACTCAAAGTGATGTACAGAGGGTGACCAATTGCTGGGCAGAGGGCTATTGTGGAGTCACAGGAAGGAGGAAGCCCTGGGAAGTTATGTGTGAAGGGAAGTCCAGGCACTGACACTAGATGAGGCCCTAAGTCAGGAATGAACTCCGCCTGTTGAAGAAACAGGAAAATGGTCAATGAGAGTTGAGCACAGAGAGCACGGGGGAGAACGGAGGTGAGAGAAGAAAAGACCAGGTCTAGTGATGCATGCAGGGAGTTTGCTTTTATTCTAATGGTGGTGGGAAGTTGTGGAGAGTTTAAGCAGAAAAAAAGCAGCGCTATAACCTCTCCAATGTAATCTCATCTCTACCTCTCATTGTTTATTGATCTTGTTTTCTTCTACTGAAAATGGATTTTCCCTGTATGGTGGAAAGACTTGGCTACATTAAAAACAAATCCCAGTTGTATAAGAAGTGAGTTCGTCTAGTGGCTTACTGGGGAAAAGCACTGTGCTTGACGGAAGGGGTGTGAACTAAGTCTATGGCTCTGCAGCCTCCTGGGTTTGTACCCAGGGCATGGTACCCACCCCTCTGAGTCTCACGGCCTTTATTTTCCAAACAAGGAGATAACAAGGGTCTCAATCTCACAGGACTGGTATACATGTTAAAAAATACATATTGCGTGAAAGCTTATCATAAAAACTGGCTCAGAGGAAGCACTTTCAAAAATGAGTTTTTGTATTGAAAAAATAATTACTTTTTGAGACAGGGTCTCCCTCTGTTGCCCAGGCTGGAGTGCAGTGGTGTAATCTTGGCTCACTTGCAGCCTCGACCTCTCAGCCTCAGGCAATCCTCCCACCCCAGCCTCCCAAGTAGCTGGGACTCCAGGCACAAGCCACCATGCCCAGCTAATTTTTAAATTGTTTTGTAGATACAGGGGTCTTACCACGTTGCCCAGGTGGGGTCTCGAATTCTTGGGCTCAAGAAATCCTCCCAGCTCGGCCTCCCAAAGTGCTAGGATTACAGGCGTGAGCCACCACACCTGGTTAAAAAAATAATATATTAAAAGACTAAAAAAAATACCTATATTAGAACATAATTGATCTCCAGATAAGGCGTGGCTTTCTAAGCACAACAACAATAAAAGAAATCACAAAAGAAATATGCAGAAATTCTACATGTGATTCCACCAACGTTAAGCAATGTCTCTGCAGGGTTGATATGTCCAGTTGTATAGATTCTACAATGTACAACCCTAGGGGGCAATAGTACATTTGTGTAAAATGGTAACAAATAAAATTACAGAGGGGATTAAACAAATTAAACAAAAAAATTAAACAAAGCAGTTAATAGCATGCTATTTAAGGAGTTATTTAAAAAGGTATAGTTTTTTGTTTTGAAACAAAAATTAGATACCATTTTTCAACTGTCCAAGTGGCAAAGGTAAAATGCTGAAGTGGCAGAGATGGACACTGTTATATCTGCTGGAAGTGCTGGAGTGTGAATTGGTTTGCTTCTTCCTGAAAGAAACTTGGCAGAATGTATCAAGACCACTAACACATATGTATCTTTAAACAAGAGAATTTTCCTTCTCAGCATGTAGGAGTTTACTTTACAGAAATAGTCCTGGGTATGGACCAAGATTGATGTTTAAAGATATCCATTAGAGTGAAAAATTAGAAACTACCTCAATAGCTCCAATAGCAGATTGATTAAATAAATTATCTTCATTTGATGGAATCTTCTTAAAGAATATTTAATAGCACGAAAAATTGCACACAGTAAAATATTAAGTAAAGTATAAAAAAATTTTGTTCAAACCAAGAGTGGTATGATGCCAATTGGCAGAGTGTAATTGTTGGAAGCAGAAAGAGCTTGCAAGTGTGGGTGGGCCCTCTACCTGTCACTTGAATTGAGAAGCAGAGAAAATCTATCCATCTGGAGAACAGAATGAAGCCATTCGCCAAGGGAAGCAGAGATTCCCTGGTTTACCAGCAGCTCAGGCCCAGAACAGCCATCCTCTTTGCTTCAGGAGTCGCACCACAGCCTTCTAATAACTTATCTCTTTGTGGGGGAAAAAGAAAAGGAGGGAAGGAAGGCAGGAGGGGAGGAGAGGGACAGTCAGAAGAAAGAAAGGAGAACAGTGGAGGGTAGTAAGCAGGGGAGGGAAAGAGAGGGAAGGGGAGGCAAGGAAAAGGGAAGGAAGAGGAAAAATGGACAGAAGGAAGGCTAGAGGGAGGAAAGGAAGGAAGGAACAAAAACTGCAGCCGAAGGTCCTGAGTGTTAGAATTATAGGTAATTTTTGTTTCTCTTTTTAAAATATTTACAGCATAGTCTCAAATGATCTCATAGCTTCTTTATTTCTTAAATAAGAAAGTAGATCTTCTATAGGACCCCCTGCTGTGTCAGGAAGAGGTGTGGGGCAGGGTAGGAGGAACTCTACAAATTAGGCCTTCTTAGACCAAATCAGACTCTCAGACCAAACCAGTAATTAAACTGTCTCTTTAGCTAATTCAGCCTCGGCTTGGATGCCTCAGTATTCACAGTTCTGCCCTCTCCCAGTCTCCTCTTATGGGAGCACCTGGATGGATACAACATTGTGGCTTACATGACCCTAAGGCAGCAGAAAGCCCACCACACATCCTCTGGGCTCCCTGTGTCTCTGAACCCCCGTGGATTTGGAGAAAACAAAAGGCCCCAACCTTTCTTGGTCTGACCATCTCCACATGTTGCAGATTCATAGGTAGTACACAGGCCTTTGCTTATCTGTGGGCCCTCCTCACACCTCTCCAGCCTCTGTAGCATCCCATCAAACCCCTGCCTTCTGGAGAGTGTGCTGTGCCATGACCTATCCCAAGGTCCTAGAATTTTTGTCAAACTTGGAGGATAATTCACTTTACCTCTCTAGACCGCAATATGCTCAGCTCTTAGGTTAGTAATTGAGGAAGTTTGGAGAAACAACCTCTGAGGTCCCTTTCAGCTCAATGGCTTCAAGATTCTCAAAGTAGAGAAGAACTTTTCTTCATGAACTTCCTCCTCTTATTTTTCCTCTTTTTCCAGTCTTGCTCTATCACCTTGGCTGGGGTGCAATGGTGCAATCATAGCTCACTGCCACCTCAAACTCCTGGGCTCATGGGATCCTCCTGCCTCAGCCTCCTGGGTAGCTGGGACTACAGGTACGTACCACCATGCCTGGCCTCCTTTTTTTTTCTTTTCCTATTTTGCCCTTACAGGCACTACCAACAACCTTCTTGAAATGGACTCTATCACAGTGACCAGTAGCTTGCTACCTTGGCCAGCTATGCTGAAAATAGGAGTCATCCTGTGGTTTGACTTTAGTTCACTGGACTTCTCTTGGGTTTAATAATAAAGGTCCAGCTAATTTTAAAAATCCCCCTTTGTCTTACTGATCATCCTCCCCTGGTTATATTTCTCTTTGGGACGTCACATAAAGAATCAATCGATTTATCTTGAAGACAGGATTTAAGTGTTTCTGAGCCAAATTGTTTATGAAGCCATATTAATAACACAACTTTGTTCCTTAATGAATTGCACTCTATTCTGCCATCCACCAGCATTGTAGGCAGTCAGAGGTGCAGATGTTGGCTCCCTGACCTCTCGCATCCCAAGTGCAGCTCTTCCATTGGAGCTAATTCCCTGCGCCAGCTCTGTGACCTGGGGAAGCGACTCAGCTCTCTTGACCATAATTTCCTCATTTGTAAAATGAGGTCGGTGAACTCCATGATCTCTACAGTCTTTTCCATTTAGAAACATGTAATCCTTCTTGTTTGTGTAAATGAAGCCCAGCTGAATCTAGGCCCTGGGGAGCTATTAAAGAGCCTAGCAGGTGTTGAGCATGGGGAGGAGAGATGGGCTTTCACAAAAAGAAAAAGGCTGCCCACCCAGGAACAGTGCTGCTGCTGCTGCATTTGTAAAATTTTACTCTCAACTCCAGAGCTCTGTTGTTGGTTAGACTTCTGGGTCCCAGGGGGACGTCTGAGCAAGCGAGCAACAGACTGTCTCAGAAATGTCAGCATGCCCCACTGCAGGCTTCATCTTGGAAGGAGTCCTTTTCAGGGCCTGCTGCTACTGGAAATTAACATCTAGCAGGTAGGTTTCACTCCGGACCCCATGATGTACGAGCTGAACACGTTCATCTTTAATTGGCACTGTCATCACATCTACTGCCTCTCTGAGCCACTGTGTAAATATCGGTCTCATACCCTTTGTGGCTCTCATTCACTCCTCTGGCTTCAGGTGTTGTGCCCATATCTCATGCCCTTAGCCAATGCACTGTTCTTTCTCTACCCTTGGCCCTGGCAGTGTCTTGCCTCATTTTAGCATCAAATCAGCACAGCCAAGATGAATGGAAGGAAGCTCGCCTCAGAATCTATGGCACAGCCAACTCATTACTGGCAGACTTTGCTTTCTCACCAAGGGTGGAAAGCAGTCCAGGAGGATCACAAAGGACCCTCACAGCAATAGCAACTCTCAACAGATTGGACCCCAGCCTCCAATTTCATGGGTCTGAAACCTGACAGCCCAGTAGTGTCAGGTCATCTAACCATGTGCCAGATGTTACACTGCTCTTGTCCACAGGGCTCCCAGCTTGGAGATGAGGACTAATAACACAGAAGTAAAGTCTCAAATGATCTTGGCCCTAATGATCTCTATCTCTAGCAACAAGAAGTGGCTTGTACATTCTGTCTTAACCTCAGAACAGAGGGTGTGCTGGGGAACAAGGCATTCATATATTAACCTTCCACTCAAATCACCTGATGTTTGTGAGTTCCACCCTCCTTACAAATGCAGACTTCCTTCCTTGATATATCAGGCAAGGAAAAGGATTGTGTACAGACAAACAGAAAACTCTCCTTTCCCCTACTAGTCTCTACTTTCTAGACAATCTTGCCTTCAAAATGTTTAATTGTTTTAGTTGAAAGACATGTTCAGAAGCTTTAAGAAAATGAAGTGGCAAGTTGGGCTAAATTTGAATAAAACAAAAAACTATTCTACAAAATGTGACCTCTCAAGTTCCATTTTCTTGAGCTTTAATTGTAGTTATTTGTAGTTATTGATAATAGCACAGTACTAGGTAAGTGCATCTGTGATTTGAAATTCTTGCCTCCTGAAACCACTTTTTTTAAAGCATTTCCATGTAGCTCACTGGAGTCCTCTGCAATTTGCCAGAGCATTGCAGTGGAATCACCCTCAGGCATGGGTACTTTCTCTGGTCACTTTTGGGACAATCACAGCTCCTCAGGCAGCTAGGACAGTTTTGTGTTCTGCTCACATGCTTGTGTTTTGACCTTTGAAGTCTTTACTCCACAATCTAACCAGCAATTGCTTAAAGGAAAGCAGAGTCATTGAGATGCTCTCTCCACAAATTCTTAGTGCCTTCAGCTATGCCCAGTTCCCTAGACTGCCTATTTAAGTGGCTACTAGGTTCGTCTGTGAGCTGCAGTTAGACCAGTCAGAAAAAGCATCACTCATCTCACTTTGTTTGGGATGACAATGATCATTCCAAAGTTGCCTAGAACTGTATGTCCCATACAAAGAAGACAGCCTGCTCCGTAGAGATGCAGGGTAGAAGCTAACCATAGCAGCCATTCTGTCCATTCTATTTTTTTTAAAGACCTAACTGTGAAAACCAGCATAATTACACCAGTTATGCTGAGGCCTGTGAGCTCTGAGCATCCCCATTTTTCTGCGGAGATCCATATCTGCTAGGCTGGGAAAGACTTAGTGCCACACAAAGGATAGTGGTTAACTTCAACACCAGTGGCTGGGGACTGAACCTGGGGTCTGCCATTGTCCGCCTGCGTGATCTTGGGCAAGTTATGCACACACCTAAGCTTCAGGTTTCTCATATGAAAATTGGATAATCCAATTCCCTCATCTCCTAGGGTGGACCTGAGGGTGCAACGGGATAGCGTGTAGAAAGCCCAGAAAGTCTCAATATGTGCCTCATCTTGATTGGATCTCCCTGGCTCATTGTGACCGGATATATGCACTTCTAGTTGTCCTCAACATGAGAAAAAGGACGTGTCTTTCTGTGTTGTGTACCCTGAACTTCTGTCACAGAATCTGGCATATAAAAAGCACTCCGGAAATGTAAGCTATTGTGATTCATGAGAAATGTATCAAGGGGATACAGCCTCCTGTGCCATGCTGACACAGCAGAACAAGTGACGTCAGGCACTGGTCGAACCAGGCTGTTTCTCTCACATGAATACGCACGCACACAGTCCAGCCAAGCCAAGGACAAGATCCAGTCCACCCTCATTCTCTACCCCCTGGCCACAGCAGACTTCTGCCCCTGGGCTGGTACCCCCTAACGCCGGTGGTCTGTGGTGGGCCTCCAGGATTTACCAGGAAGCTGGCCCCCCTACCCTCCTACCCTTGCCACTGCCACCTCAGCCCCTCCCATCATCCCTTCCCAAGTAGGGCAGGGAAAGAAGAAAAGAGTATCACTTCCTCCAGGGCAAAGACTCACCATCCAATCATTTCCTCTCTCTTTGAGGGACTCCTCACCAAAAGAAAGAGAGAGAGAGCGAGTCTCCAAGAAAACCAAGCCAAACACTGGATGTGCGGAGACAAGAGGCTGGGTTCCCATTCCCCGGGATGAGGTCAGCCTGGGGCAGCCTCATGCAGCCCACGTGCTGATTCACCCACCAGGCAGAGAATGGAGTGTGTGGCAACCCAAAGCCCATGCATCAAGGATGTACGCTTGTCTCCTTGGGCTCCACGGACACTGTGCCTGTCACAGGCCCTTTTCCCAGCCAGGAGGGCAGGCTGCAGGAGAGGAGACCTGGCAGTGAGAGGCCAGGGGGCACCAGCCCAGAGACATGGCTCTGGAGGCAGAATGGGAAGGAGTCTGGTTCTAGGAGTAGGGAATTAAGCCAGAAGCAGTTTGAAATCTTAAACTAGATCTGACTGACGTGGACTTTTTTTTTTCTTTTTCTTTTTCTTTCTTTTTTTTTTTTTTTGATACAGAGTCTGTCTTTTAAGTAACCAAATGTTACAAAAAGCTACGGGTTCTTTCTGAGACTTCACTATGGCAAGAGAAAGGAGAAAGAGTTGATAGAGAATGGCTGACAACAATGGTGAAGAGAAACATAAATCCATTCCCTGTTTGTACCTCACTGAATATCATACATTGAAATAACAATTATCCTCCAATTCCGAGGTCCTCACAAGGCAAGGGTGTTCAGAATGTGTCGATGCCCTGAAAATTCTCATTTACCTATTGGAACACAAAATTACACACTCTTGCTTAACTTGTCTGGTAGATAAACATTTATTTCCTAATACTTCTCAATTATTACTGAGGGAGAAGGATGGGTACAATTTCCTCTTAAGTGATGTCCTTTTGAAGGTTCAAACTGTCAAATGTTCATATGCCTGTTAAGGTGTTTGTCATTTGATTAATAAATAATGAGTTTTTGAAAAGTGTTAACACAATTACTATCTTCTTCAGATATGCTTAAAAAACATATTTTACCCTCTACTAAATTTTATATGGTTATATGGTTTTTATGTATTATTTTCCAAAGATTCTAGGAAACAGATGAAAAGTGAAGAAAATTCCAAACATCAATGAGGAGTTAAAGAGATGTTCAAATGTGGTTAATTTTAATGCAAAATGTTGAGATAAAGCATGAGTAATACTGTTGCCGTTTGTCCAACTAGTCCCACCTTTCCTAGAGCAGATAGAATGATATTGTCAGACAGTTGCCAAGGTAACTGCATGATGCTGGGTCAAAAAGTCCAAGGCAGAGGATATTCAAATATGGAAATTGGGGGTGTGGGAGTTGTTCAGTAAGTTTCTAGATTTATGAATATCCATATATTAAGAAGACTATGGAGCATTTTATGGCAACCTCTTTCTCACATCACCACATGCAGATCTGATCAGTTTCTATTTAGTAAAATATTTTATGGAGATGAATCCCTCAAAGGAAGGAAACTAGTTTGGAGATTTGGGGAGTTACATAAGATTTTATTTTGAGCCTGGTTTCTTACTCAAAAAGATCCACAAACTTTCCATATTCACAAAAGTCCCAAACGTGGCCTCCCAAATAAGAAACAGACCTCTTGCATGTAGCTAACTGGAGGTCTCCTGTGCAAACTGTACCTTAACACTATCCTAAAACTTTCCTCGGCCAGGCGCGGTGGCTCACGCCTGTAATACCAGCACTTTGGGAGGCTGAGGCGGGCGGATCACGAGGTCAGGAGATCGAGACCGTCCTGGCTAACATGGTGAAACCCCGTCTCTACTAAAAGTATACAAAAAATTAGCCGGGCATGGTTGCAGGTGCCTGTAGTCCCAGCTACGTGGGAGGCTGAGGTAGGAGAATGGCCTGAACCCGGGAGGTGGAGCTTGCAGTGAGCCAAGATCATGCCACTACATTCCAGCCTGGGCAACAGAGCGAGACTCCATCTCACAAAAAAAAAAAAAAAAAAAAAAAAAAACCACAACTTTCCTCAGGGCTCCTTCTCTGGCTGCTCCTTTGAGCACTAGGATCTAAGCATCCAATGTTACTTCAGCAAAATACATGCATAGAGGGCACTGTGCCCACCTCCCCAACATCCACCCTTGCCCCCCACTCCTGCATTGTGTAGCATGGGTAAGGTTCGACTGAAAGTGATCCCAACTTCCTTGCTAGGGATGGGTCCCTACTGGTCTACACCAAACTTCAGCCCATGCTGGCGTTACCCAGATAATTTATTCAGGCAATTCCCTGTCCTCCCCCATTCCCAGTTTCAGATTCTGTTGTCTGGGACAGGGCCTGAGGATTCGTATTTCCGGCAAGTTTCCAGGTGATCCTGTTTCTACTGGGATTTCTGTTATTTGCCATCCATAATATCTTAAATAATACAATAGGTGAATTCCAAAAATGTTCTTTATACTTAGGAGGTGAAACTCTCCTTGTGCCAGGGAGGTGGGTGGGAGGAAGGGACAAGGGGAGTGGATTTGCTTTAGAGCAGTGGGTCTCAACCTTGACTGCACATCAGAATCACCTAGAGAGCTTTTAAAAAATACAGAGACCTACCCTGACACTCAGAAAATTCTAGTTTCATAGATTCATTCAACTGAAATTCTATTACAACTCCCCACATGATTCTAATGGGTATCCAGAGCTGAAAATCACTGCTCTGTAAAATAAGAGATGTTTCCTAATATTAGAGTGTGTGTGTGTGTGTGTGTGCAAGCACAGGTGCCTATATGCATGGGTTTTGCAGGAAGAGACTGGAGGGTGTTTAACCTGAACTTTTGCTGCTTTTATAATGGCAGCAGACTCTCTCATGGGTATTGGCCTGGCTGGCTCATGGATTCAAACAGCTTTTAGGATAGTCAGCCTCCCTGAGTCGTGCATCCCCAAATAGACAACATTGTCCAGTTTTGCATACTACTATAAACTAAAGATTTGTATGCCTCTAAGATACACATGTTGAAACCTAATCCCCAAGGTGATGGTATTAGGAGGTGGGGCTCTGGGAGGTGATTAGGTCATAAGGGCAGAACCCTCATGAATAGGATTAGTACTCTCTTAAAGTACACCCCAGAGAGCCCCCTTGCCCTCTCCACTATGTGAGCACACATCAAAAAGGTGACATTTATGAACCAGTAAGCAGGCCCTCACCAGACACCAAGTCTGCCAGTGTCTTGATCTTGGACTTCCCAGCATTTGAAACTGTGAGAAATAAATTTCTGTTGTTTGTAAGCCACCTAGTTTATGGTATTTTTGTTATAGCAGCCCAAATAGAACAAGACACATGCTAAGCCAAGGGGCTAATCCTGCTCAGCTCAAGTAGGAAGCTTGAGTGATGAGCAGGAAAGGGGGAAGTAAAGAAAAAACAGCAAATTATAAAGTACACAATTAAGGTTAATTTAAATAAAAGCAATATTTGCCTTACACATAAGATCAATACACTTTAGACTTGAATAATTATAGCTAAAAAGATACTTCTTGTGCTCCAGCCACAATACTTATTGCCATTTTTAGTGCTTATGTCTATTACCTAATTAATTCCTCTTAATAAGCTTCAAAAATATGCTACTTTTATCATTATCATTTTATAGATGAGACCACTGAAGCTCAGAGAGGTTAGTCACGGGCCCAGTATCTCACAGCCAAGAATGGGAGAGCTAGGATCTAGAACTGGGCAGTCCAAGGTCTGTGAGATCAACCACTGTGCTACATCCTGTCCCTCTGTTCGTATTAACATTTAAGATATTTAACTTATTGGCCCTCACAAAGAAAAGTAGAAACAGGCTACACGGTAGTCTGCATCAGGGTTCAGCAAAACAGCCTTGAAGAACTTCATCTGTGACCACTCCCCTCAACCTTAGTTTATTCCTCCCTCTCACTTATCTTCCCTTTTAGTCTAACACTCCTTCCCCGACCCTGAGGCCCCTCACCATAGTGTAAGGATCATTGGTAACAGAGAGCTTCTCAGATCTTAGAGAGAAAGGTCCCTTTCAGATAGCTCAGCATTTTTCTCCTAGCTGATGTGAACGTCAAATAAGAGTACTCTAGGTGAAGGCTGTTAGAAATGTGCCTGGCTCAGCTGGGTGCGGTGGCTCAGGCCTGTAATCCCACTCTTTGGGAGGCCAAGGTGGGCAGATCACTTGAGGTCAGGAGTTTGAGAGCCTGGTCACCATGGCGAAACCTTCTCTCTACCAAAATACAAAAATTAACCAGGCATGGTGGCAGACACCTGTAATCCCAGCTACTTGGAAGACCGAGGCAGGAAAATCGCTTCAACCCAGGAGGCAGAGGTTGCAGTGAGCCAAGATTGCGCCACTGCACCCAGCCTGGGCGACAGAGCGAGACTCTATCTCAGAAGAAATAAACATGCCTGGCACAAGGTAAATGCTCCATGACTCAGGCGTTTCTTGAATCCAGGGCTTTTCTTCAAGGATGAGAGAACTCTCCCTCTGCCAATGTGGTGCAGTGTCATGCATGGGGGCTTTTGTTTCAGACTCACAGTGGCTTAAATCCCACCTTCTGCCTTCAGCAAGCTACTTTGTCATTCCGAGCCTCCAATTTGCTGTCTAGAGAGTGGGGCTAACAATAGG
Organism: Homo sapiens; assembly: GCF_000001405.40. NCBI lineage: Eukaryota > Metazoa > Chordata > Mammalia > Primates > Hominidae > Homo > Homo sapiens. The sequence goes on along the minus strand of NC_000008.11, from coordinate 61,229,412 downwards.
ATTCAGGAATTAGTTGTGAGGAATGAATGGGAACAGAGGTAAAGCATTTGGCATGAGCAAGTGGTCAGTAAGGGCCAGGGACATTGCTTTGAATGTAAATCTCACAAGAGGAGGAACACTGTTTTGTTCTCTATTTCTACTGGCAGTGCCTGGCATAGAAGAGGTACTCAATAAAGATTTCTGAAGGAATTAATGAGTGAGTAGATGAGACAAACCACTTAGCTGTTGAGCTTTAACTTACTCATTGAAATTCAGGGAAACTTGACCTAAATAGACATTTCTCAAGACAGTCAAATGACCAAGAGGTAAATGAAAAGTGCGCAACATCATCAATCATCAAAAAAGATGTAAGGTAAGTGTTGGGATGATGTGGGATGTGGAGAAAAGGGTGTCTTTGCACACTGTTGGTGGAAATGTAAATTACTATAGCTATTATGGAAAACAGCATGGTGGTTCCTTTAAAAATAGAACTACCACATGACTCAGCAATCCCACTGCTGGATATATATATATCCGAAAGAAATGAAAACAGTATGTTGAAGAAATGTCTGCACACTTATGCTATTGTTGTGGCATTATTCACAATAGCCAAGAGAAGGACTCAAACTGAGTGTCTACCAATGAATAAATGCATTAAAAATGTGGTACATGTACACAGTGGAATACTATTCAGCCTTAAAAAAGGAAAGTCTGTTACTTGCAAAAACACAGATGAACCTGGAGGACATTATATTAAGTGAAATAAGCCAGGCAGAGAAAGACAAATACAGTGTGATCTCATTTACATGTGGAGTGTAAAAAAGTAGAACTCATAAAAACAAAGATTACATGAAATATTCTACACTTTATGATAAAATAGGCTCTGTGATAGATGATTTAACCCAGCTATAGGCTGCTTTATAAGTGTTCTCAGCATGTTTAAGGTAAGCTAGGCTAAGCTATGATGTTTGGTAGGTTAGGTATATTAAATCCATTTTCAACTTACATATTCAGCTTATGAGGGGTTTATCTGAATCTAACCCCATCATAAGTTGAAGAGCATCTGTATATGGTATGCTTGAAAATTGCTAAGAGAGCAGATTTTAAGTGTTCTCAACACACACAAAAATGATAAGTACTTTAGGTGAGGCATGTGTTAAATAGCTTGATTTAGCTATTCCATAATGTATCCATATTTCAAAGCATATTGTCTACTATAAATATATATTTTTTACTTGTCAATTAAAAATTTTTTAAATAAAATCAAATTTTAAAATGGATCATAAGAAATTACTAGAAAAATGAAACAAAAAGACATACCAAAAATTCAGGAAACCTAAAAACAGGCTTTCTCAGAAAAAGTCACTTCTCTTTGGAACTTAGCACAGAATCCCACAGACTCCACTTTCTAAGGGCACTCGTTTTTTGTCTTCACATCACTTCCGGTATTGTATTCTACGTACTTTATTTTCAAACAGGAAACACTTCCTCTTCACACCAGGCTTCACTCTCTTTCTCCTTGCTGCTCCATTATTCAATGAATTACTTGGTTGACTAACAGTATTTTTTTGTCTGGGCCTTCACAGCTTTAGCATTGAAAGTCCTGTGCCCAGGAAAACCCCTCACATCACCCTACTGGGCACCCAGACATCTGTGACTGTAAAAACTTAACTTTTGGGTATCAATTATTCCAATATAAAGTATCTCCAAATGACACTCCTTCTTTTGCAACTGACCTTTGACAGAGAGCGAGATGAGCCTTCTCTCTCACTGTCTCCATTTAAACATGATCACAACAGCAAAAAGGTAAACATGAGAATAACTATGTCACATTTATGGGAAATAACTACAAATTTATTGGCAGATTTAAAACAAGAATTATATGAAAACAGTGACTCATGTCCCTTCAAAGTATTTCTTTTTAAGTTGGATTATTTAAACAGGAGAGAATGTGACAAAATGCTTATAATGAGGCAAATAGCAGCAAGTTCTCATGAAAATGTAATGGTGTGGTTTCAGCTCAGGGTACATCAAAGGACTGCTGGAAATGTGATTATATAGCTTCCCAGAATCAGATTTTACAGCTATGTACCTGATCAGAAATATTATAAGACCTCAACATATTAAAAAAAAAAAAAAGCATTTCTCGCCTAATCCTTGAAGAGCTAATTCCTCACATCCAAAAGGACTTCATTCTTAATGAGAATTAATTCAAAATAGCACTGCTGGTCTATGGTAGAATCAGTCTACTTTGCTCATTTATTAGGACACATCTACACTGCTAAGGACACATGCAAACATTGTCCACCTATTGACAATACAGCTTTGTCTTGTAGTGTGCCTTCCAACTACTCGGATCTTATTATCAGTTAGAATCAGCCCTCGATATAATGTTGAACTATTTCTGAAAAGCTAAACTTAACACTGAAGCTGAACAAAAAAAAAAAAAAAAACATGTTTTCGTAATATAGCAGGTGTTCTTCATATAATTCTGAAACCCTGGATCATCAGAAAGGAACTCTTATTCATTCAAATTACTTTCTAAAGGGAGACTGTCATTACTGCAGCTGCACCATCCTCTTTAGATCCCATTGCCTTCCGATGTCCTCGCTGGATGGGTGTGAGTTATCACTGCTGACACCAAATAGCAACCAGTTATCTTTCCCCCCAGTTTGACCCTCTTCCCTCCCCAGCCTCAGTGTTAAGAAGCTGAGGCCAGTGAACAGAAGATGATTTTGATCTTAAATCATTATAAGGAAGATTCCAAGATTATTCTTCATTCACTCGAAATTTTATTGATTTCAAGGGCAAATAGTTCAGTCACAAATGCTGCTCCAAGAAAACATCAAGATACAAAGTGGAGGATTTAATACTTCTTCACTACTCAGGTTCCACAAAGTCAGCTATGCACAAAATTAAAGTGCTCATGTGAGAAAAATACCTTATAGTTTTAAGGGCCAAGGCTGAAGTTGGAAAACTTTTAGTGTCTGAAAAGTTTGTTTTAATTTTTTAAAAAAATTTCATTAGTGTCTTGCAAGCAAGAACGCAGTCAATTTTCTGAAACAATTTTTAATAATACCTTTGAACAATAAATTGTGGGCTGACTTTCCTTTAAAAAGTGACATTTATTATTCACTAATTAATTCAGTGATCTTGAAAAGAGCCAGTAGGTTTTATAAAACTAATGATATGACCAGCTTGTGCTTTTTTGTTTCTGGAGCACATTAATTTTACTTCAGTATGCATCTCTGCTCCATTTGCAACACTTCTAATACTGAAACAAGCACAATGATTATGTTCACTGTAGTCAAAGTTAGGTGGTATCGTCCATGCATCTCAAACTGGAAATTCAGAATTTGTTTTTTCTTCTTAAAAAGCTTACATAAAATGTCTTGACAAATAAGCAAAGATGACTTTGCCATGGTAACATTAGAAACTCAACAGTTACACCATCTTTCCTGGTATAATTGGAAGTAGTGGACATACTTTGTTCAGTGCACTACATTTAGCAGTTGCTACCCAGGAGGAAGCACTACCATGAAAGGCAGATGCAACCTGGGGATTAATGACAGCACAGGAGTTGCCAATAAACTGAGTTGAAGCCCAAATTCTATTAATTCCAACTAATCATTTTCCCTGGGTGGTACTGTCCAGGTAAGTGGCTCAGACCATTGTACATTGTGCAAATTGCCTGAAATACACATGCTGGCTTATAGAATGCATTTTCTTTCCACCATTTGAATTGTGCCTTCTGCACAGGAAAAAATAAAGTAGGATTTTTTTTCTTCTTATTCAAGTATCATACTAATGGTTCATATCCTGTAAAACCAGTAAAGGTAACTATGATATGAATTTAGAAAAATCCCTTTGGAGCTGAAACTGTTCAGATTTGAGAATCCAGTGGAAAAATCTCATTTTCAAATCTTAACAAGTTCAGAGCATTGAAATAAGGCTGCAAATAATCACACTTAAAAATAACAAAGTATGATTTTTAAAGCTTGTTTTTCAGGATTTCATAAGTATAAAAGGTGGTTGACCATAATTAATAATAACCATCTACTATGCATAAAGAAACTTTTACATTCTTTTTTTTCTTATTATTTTATTTTATTTTTTGAGACAGAGTCTCAGTCAGTTGCCCAGGCTGTAGTATAATGGTACTATCTCAGCTCACTGCAACCTCCACCTCTAGGGTTCAAGTGATTCTCCTGCCTCAGCCTCCCAAGTAGCTGGGACTACAGGCATATGACATCATACCCAGGCTAATTTTTGTATTTTTAGTAGAAATGGGGCTTCACCATGTTGGTCGGGCTGGTCTCAAACTCCTGAACTCAAGCGATCCACCCGCCTCAGCCTCCCAAAGTGCTGGGATTACAGGCATGAGCCACCATGCCTGGCCACATTTATATTTTTAAATTTCCATTTTCCAAACTATGAAATTACTTTGGTAAAACACAAATATATCATTCATTTCTATTTCTCTAAAAGCTACAAAAGAGAATTCGTGGTGCACTTAGAGGGTTAGAAATTCTCCCATTATTATTGTGAGAGAGTCTGAGCCTCTTTGTAGGTCTCTAAGAACTTGTCTTATGAATCTTGGTGCTCCTGTATTGGGTGCATATATATTTAGGATAGTTAGCTCTTTCTGTTGAATCGATTCCTTTACCATTATGTAATGCCCTTGTTTGTCTTTTTTGATCTTTGTTGGTTTAAAGTCTCTTTTGTCAGAGACTAGGATTGCAATCAAAGTGCTTTGTTAAATGGGTCCTGCTCCCTATGCCACCCAACGGGGTGAGACCCCCCAACAGGGGTTGTCAGACACCTTATACAGGAACGATCCTACTGGCATCAGCTTGGTGCCCCTCGAAGTCGGGTCCCAGAAGAAGGAGCAGTCACTCATCTTTGCTGTTCTCTAGCCTTCTTGAGTGACATCTCCAGACACGGAAGTGAATCAGATGAATAGGGCCTGAAGTGAACCCCCAGCAAACTGCAGCAGCCCTACAGAAGAGAGGCCTGACTATTGAAAGAAAAGCAAACAAGCAGAAAATGACAACAGCATCAACAACAACAAAAGGCCCTCACAAAAGCCCCATCCAAGAGTCAGCAGTCTCAAAGACCAAAACTAGACAAACTCACGAAGTTGAGAAAGAATCAATGAAAAAATGCTGAAAACCCAAAAGGCCAGAGTGCCTCTTTCCTCCAGATGATCACAACATCTCTCCATTAAGGGGGCAGAACTGGACGGAGGAGGAGATAGATGAATTGACAGAGGTAGGCTTTAGAAGATGGTTAATAAAAATCTATGCTGAGCTAAAGGCACATGGTCTAACACAAGGCAAAGAAGTAAGAACCTTGATAAAAGGTTAGGGGAATTGCTAACCAGAATAACCAGTTTAAAGAGGAACATAAATGACCTAATGGAGCTGAAAAACATAGCACGAGAACTTCGTGAAGCATACATAAGTATTAACCAAATCAACCAAGCAGAACAAAGGATATCAGAGTTTGAAGACCACCTCACTGAAATAAGACATGCAGACAAGAATAGAGAAAAAAGAATCTAAAGGAATGAGCAAAGCCTCCAAGAAATATGGGACTATGTAAACAGAGCAAACCAACAATTGATTGAAAGAGTTGGAGAGAATGGAAACAAGATGGAAAACACACTTCACGATATTATCCAGGAGAACTTCCCCAACTTAGCAAGACAGGCCAACATGCAAATTCAGGAAATACAGAGAACACCATTAAGATACTCCATGAGAAGATCAACCTCAAGACACATAATCATCAGATTCTCCAAGTTTGAAATGGAGGAAAAAATGTTAAGAGCAGCCAGAGAAAAAGGCCAGGTCACCTACAAAGGAAAGCCCATCAGAGTAACAGTGGATCTCTCAACAGAAACCCTACAAGCCAGAAGAGAGTGAGGGCCAATATTCGACATTCTTAAAGAAAATAATTTTCAACCTAGAAGTTCATATCCAGTGAAACTAGGCTTCATAAGTGAAGGGGAAATAAAATCCTTTCCAGACAAGCAAATGCTGAGAGATTTCATCACCACCAGGCCTGCCCTGCAAGAACTCCTGAAAGAAGCACTAAATGTAGAAAAGAAAAACCGGTACCAGACACTGCAAAAACACACCAAAATATAAAGACCAATGACACTATGAAGAAACAGCACCAACTAGTGTGCAAAATAACCAAATAGCATCTTGATGACAGGATCAAATTCATACATAACAGTACAAACCTTAAATGTAAATGGGCTAAATTCTCCAATTAAAAGACACAGACTGGCAAATTGGATAAGGAGTCAAGACCTATCAGTGTGCTGTATTCAGGAGGCCCATCTTATGTGCAAAGACACACACAGGCTCAAATTAAAGGAATTGAGGAAAACTTACCAAAGAAATGGAAAGAAAAAAAAAGCAGGTCTTTTTTTTTGCAATCCTAGTCTCTGACAAAACAGACTTTAAACCAACAAAGATAAAAAAAAAAAAAAGACAAAAAAGGGCATTACATAATGGTAAAGGAATCAATTCAACAAAAAGAGCTAACTATCCTAAATATATATGCACTCAATACAAGAGCACCAAGTTCTTAGAGACCTACAAAGAGATTTACACTCCCCCACCATAATAGTGGGAGACTGTTAACACCCCACTGTCAGTATTAGACAGATCAACAAGACAGAAAACTAACAAGGATATTCAGGACTTGAACTCAACTCTGCATCAAGTGGACCTAGTAGATGTCTACCGAACTCTCTACCCCAAATCAACAGAATATACATTCTTCTCCATGCCACATGGCCCTTACTCTAAAATCGACCACATAATTGGAAGTAAAAGACGCCTCAGCACATGCAAAAGAACTGAAATCATAACAAGCAGTCTCTCAGACCACAGTGCAATCAAATTAGAACTCAGGATTAAGAAACTCACTCATAGAAACTCATGGAAATTGAACAACCTGCTCCTGAATAAAATGATTCCTGGGTAAATAATTAAGGCAGAAATCAAGAAATTCTTTGAAATTCATGAGAAAAAAGAGACAACATACCAGAATCTCTGGGACACAGCTAAGGCAGTATTAAGAGAGAAATTTATAACACTAAATGCCCATATCAGAAAGCCAGAAAAATCTCAAATTGACACCCTAACATCACAATTAAAAAAACTAGAGAGGCAAGAGCAAACAAATCCAAAAGGTAGCAAAAGACAAGAAATAACTAAGATCAGAGAAGAGTTGAAGGACATAGAGACAGAAAAAAACCCTCCAAAATATCAACGAACCAGGAGCTGGTTTTTAAAGAAAAATAACAAAATAGATAGATCATTAGCTAGGTTAATAAAGAAGAAAAGAGAGAAAAATCAAATAGACACAATAAAAAATGATAAAGCAGATATCACCACTGACAAAGAAATACAAACTACCATCAGAGAGTACTATAAACACCTCTACGCAAATAAACTAGAAAACCTAGAAGAAATGGATAAATTCCTCAATACAAACATACTACCAAGACTAAATTGGGAGGAAGTCAAATCTCTGAATAGACCAATAACAAGCTCTGAAATTGAGGCAATAATTGACAACCTACCAACCAAAAAAATCCCAGGATTAGATGGATTCACAGCTGAATTCTACCAGAGGTACAAAGACAAGCTGGTACCATTGGTTCTGAAACTATTCCAAACAATTGAAAAGCAGGGACTCCTCCATCACTCATTTTATGAAGCCAGCATCATCCTGATACCAAAACTGGGAAGAGACACAACAAAAAGAGGACACTTCAGGCCAATATCCTTGATGAATGTCGATGCAAAAATCCTCAATAAAATATTGGCAAACTGAATCCAGCAGCACATTGAAAATCTTACCCACTGTGATTGAGTCAGCTTCATCCCTGGGATCAAGGCTTATTCAACATACACAAATCAATAAATGTAATCCATCACATAAACAGAACCAAAGACAAAAACCACATGATTATCTCAATAGATGCAGAAGAAGGCCTCTGATAAAATTCAACATCCCTTCAGGTTAAAAACTCTCAATGGACTAGGTATTGATGGAATATATCTCAAAATAATAGGATCTATTTATGACAAACCCACAGCCAATATCATACTGAATGGGCAAAAGCTGGAAGCATTCCCTTTGCAAACCGGCACAAGAAAAGGATGCCCTCTTTCACCACTCCTGTTCAACATAGAATTGGAAGTGCTGGCCAGGGCAACCAGGCAAGAAAGAGAAATAAAGCATACTCAAATAGGAAGAGAGGAAGTCAAGTTGTCTCTGTTTCCAGATGACATGATTTTATATTTAGAAAACCCCATCATCTCAGCCCAAAAACTTCTTGAACTGATAAGCAACTTCAGCGAAGTCTCAGGATACAAAATAAATGTGCAAAATCTCAAGCATTCCTTTACACCAATAATAGGCAAGCAGAGAGCTAAATCATGAACGAATTCCCATTCACAAGCACTACACTAGAGAATAAAATAAGCACTACAAAGAGAATAAAATACCTAGGAATACGGCTAACAAGGGACGTGAATAACTTCTTCAAGGAGAACTACAAATCAATGCTCAAGGAAATAAGAGAGGACAGAAACAAATGGAAAAACATTCCATGCTCATGGATAGGAAGAATCAATATCATGAAAATGGCCATACTGCCCAAAGCAATTTACAGATCCAATTCTATTCCCATCAAACTACCACTGACATTCTTCACAGAATTAGAAAAAACTATCTTAAATTTCATATAAAATAAAAAAAAAAACCTGTATAGCCAAGACAATCCTAAGCAAAAAGAACCAAGCTGAAGGCATCACGCTACCTGACTTCAAACTATATTACAAGGCTACAGTAATCAAAACAGCATGGTACTGGTACCAAAACAGACATATAAACAAATGGAGCAGAACAGAGACCTCAGAAATAACACCACTCATCTACAACTATCTGATCTTCAACAATCCTAACAAAAACAAGCCATTGGAAAAGAATCTCCTATTCAGTAAATGGTGCTGGGAAAATTGGCTAGCTATATGAAGAAAACTGAAACCGGACCCCTTCCTTACACCTTATACAAAAATTAACTCAAGATGGATTAAAAACTTAAATGTAAAACTCAAAGCCATAAAAATCCTGGAAGAAAACTTAGGCAATACCTTTTAGGATGTAGGCATGGACAAAGACTTCATGACAAAAATGCCAAAAGTAACTGCAACAAAAGCCAAGATTGACAAATGGGATCTAATTAAACTAAAGAGCTTCTGCACAGCAAAAGAAATTATCATCAGAGTGAGCAGGCAACCTACAGAATGGGAGAAATGCAATGGGAGATTTTGCAATTTACCCATCTGACAAAGGTCTAATATCCAGAATTTACAAGGAACTTAAACATATTTATAAGAAAAAAACAAACAATCCCATAAAAAGTGGGCAAAGGATATGAACAAACTCTTCTCAAAAGAAGACATTTACATGGCCAACAAACATATGAAAAAAAGCTCAACATCACTGATTATCAGAGAAATGCAAATCAAAACCACAATGAGATACCATCTCACGTGAGTCAGAATGACGATTATTAAAAAGTCAGGAAACAATAGATCCTGGCAAGGCTGTGGAGGAATAGGAACACCTTTACACTGTTGGTGGTAATGTAAATTAGTTCAACCATCGTGGAAGACAGTATGACAATTCCTCAAGGATCTAGAACCAGAAATATCATTTGACCCAGCAATCCCATTACTGGGTATATACCCAAAGGAATATAAATCACTCTACTATAAAGACACATACACACATATGTTTATTGCAGCACTATTTAAAATAGCAAAGCCATGGAAACAAACCAAATGCCCATCAATGATAGACTGGATAAGAAAAATGTGGTACATATACACCATGGACTACTATGCAGCTGTAAAAGGGAATGAGATCATGTTCTTTGCAGGGATATGGATGAAGCTGGAAGCCATCATCCTCAGCAAACTAACACAGGAACAGAAAATCAAACACCACATGTTCTCACTCATAAGTGGGAGTTGAACAATGAGAACTCACGGACACAGAGACGAGAACAACACATACCAAGGCCTGTTGGTGGGGGGAAGTGAGAGAAAGGAACTTGGAGGACAGGTCAATAGGTGCAGCAAACTATCATGGTACATGTATACCTATGTAACAGACCTGCATGTTCTGCGCATGTATCCCATTTTTTCTAAAAGAAGAAATAAAGAAAGAAAAAAGAAAAAGAATTAATAAGACCTACTAAAAAAATAAAAAATAAATGACTGCAGCCATCAGCTAAGCTTCCCACTACTCTGTCCTTCAGTGACCTCAGAGATCCTATGAACACCTCTGTCTGAGCATTAGCCACATTTTAGTGAGCTTCTTTGTCTACCTTCATCTCCTCCCAACAATTGTGAGTACCTTGAGCTCAGTTGTTTCCTCTTGTTTTGTTTTATTTGAGACGAAGTTTCACTCTTGTTGCCCAGGCTGTAGTGCAATGGCACGATCTCAGCTCACTACAGCCTCCACCTCCCGGGTTCAAGCGGTTATCCTGCCTCAGTCTCCCTAGTGGCTGGGATTAGAAGTTCCTCTGACTACTCCCAGCTTTTTTTTTTTTTTTTTGTATTTTTACTAGAGATGGAGTTTCACCATGTTAGCCAGGCTGGTCTCGAACTCCTGACCTCAAGCTGTCCACCCGCCTCAGCCTCCCAAAGTGCTGAGACTACAGGCGTCATCCACCATGCCTGGCCTTGTTGTTTTTTTTTTATTGACATATAATAATTATACATATTCATGGAGTACATAGTAATGTTTCAATACATATAATGTGTGGTAATCAGATCAGGGTAATTTTGTATCCTTTAACAAATTTCTTCCTATTCCTCTCCTTTCCTCCTATCCTTCCCAGCCTCTAGTATATTCTGTTCTACTTTTTACTTCTATGAAATCAATTTCTTTTTGCTTCCACGTATAAGTGAGAACATGTGGTGTTTAACTTTCTCTTCCTGGCTTATTTCACTTAACATAATCTCCTCCATTCCTTCCATGTTGATGTGAATAACAGGATTTCATTCTTTTTTATGGCTGAGTAGTATTCCATGGTATACATACACCACATTTTCTTTAATGATTCATCTGTTTTTGGACACCCAGGTTGACTCCATATTGTGACTATTTTTGAATACAGCTACAATAAACATGGAGGTGCAGATGTCTCTTTGATATTATGATTTCATTTCTTTTGGATAAATTCCCAGTAGTGATATTGCTGGATCATCTGGTATTTCTATTGGTAGTTTTTTCAGAAACCTCTATACTGTTCTCCATAGTGGCTGTTCTAGTTTACATTCCCACCAACAATGTATGAGTCCCCGTTTCTCCATATCATCACCAGCATTTGTTATTTTTTGTCTTTTTGATAATAGTCATCCTAACTGGGGTGAAATGATACTTTACTGTGGTTTTGATTTGCATTTCCCTGATGATTAATTATGTCAAGTTTTTCTTCATATATTTGTTAGCCATTTGCATGTCTTCTTTTGAGAAACATTGATTCATATCATTTGTCCATTTTTTAAATTGGGGTTTTTTGCTGTTGAGATGTTTGAGTTCCTTGTATATTCTGGATATTAATCCCCTGCTGTATAAGTAGTTTACAAATATTTTCTCCCACTCTGTGGGTTGTCTATTCACTCTGTTGATTGTTTCCTTTTGCTGTGCAGAAGTATTTTAGTTTGGTATAATCAACTACTTTGACTACTTTTGCTTTTGTTGCCTGTGCTTTTGAGGTCTTAATCATGAAATCTTTTCCTAGGCCAGTTTTTATGAAGTCTAGTATCAAGCCCACAGTTTAGAACATAATACACGTTTAATTGAAGTGTGTTGAACTGAACCATGAGGTTAATATATTCAATATTCTAAAGGAGGAGCTAAATGGCAAGTTGAGACATACCTTTGATCCAAAATACAATATCCATAGCATTGACATTTTAGAAGAGCTTGAACATTTGTTGCAAGCTACTTTCCCTCCTCCTTCTCCCCTTAAAGTTAGCTAGTCTGTTAAATAAAAAGTCACAATCTGCACTATAGCCCCTTTCATTTGGCCCCTCCCATTCTCTTCTTGTGGTTCATGGTGTTTACTATCTCAGTGAATGAGGAATATCTGCAACTCCAACTTTCTATTCTGTAAGTATAAGAGATCTTTTATAAATCAAAACAAAATCCACCTATAGTTATGAGATGCTATGTATCACAACACTTGGAAAATTGAAGGAAAATCATGAAAAAGTCTCAGAAAGGATAATGAAAAATTTTAGAGGAGCTGAGATTTCAATAAATTTTGGTTCATTAAAATTGTATTTTAGAAAAGAGAAGATGGAAAATTTAGACCTAGATGAGTGATGAGCAAACTTTTCACGTGTAATGGAGAACTTAGAAAGACTAAAAATGCTTAAATCTGTGCATTTGTTTCACCCTTCAGAAGGAAAATATATGTATAATGGCCCAGGAATTGAATGATATGTTTTCAAAGACTATATACTGACATAAAAAAAGAACACCAATAAGAAATCTGCCCAAATTTCACATGGTCAGAAACTATCTGCTAGGCTATCGGGATCCAAACTAATGTTTAGCTCTGAGGCAGAGGCTGAACTCTGCTCAGCTGTCTCCTTGCTTTGCACAGGTTGAGGGGCCAGATCATAATGGAAACAGAAAACTGTGGGTTCAAATCCTTGTTATAGCTACAATATTTTTTCACTGCCCTGGATAAAATACTATTACTAAACTGTCATCTTATAATCCTGCTTCCAAGGTAATGAAATAAATCTGGTTCCTCCATCTTCCTCCTCTCAGATAAGCCCCTCTTCTCTGTTCAAACGCACAGACACATTGGAGTGCCTATGATGCAAAGCTTAGCCACTGAAACAGCATCTTCATCTTTCTGAGGAAGCTGAAAGACAAATACTAGCAAGGTCTGCTAAACTCCTTCCTTCAGACAGACTAGAGGGTGGATGGAGCTCAACAGATATATCTCAAGAGCACTCTGTGGCTTCCAGAGCATGTTTTTGGCTAGCAAGACTTTGGGGATCTTCCAACTTATTCTTAAGGATTCTAGTCTCTCAATCATATTCCCTCAGCATCCAGTTTTTGCCATGTGACAGTGAGCTCTTAACGATTTCAACAGTAAGGAGCCTGTGCCAATATTTCATCTATTATCCTGTGAGAGAAGCCAGTGTACAATTCAGATGGCAACACTATTTATTAAGAGAACTCTAAATTCACGATGACCATAAAGAAATCTCAATCCCCAAGGCAGTCTAGGAGAGGAGAAAGTGAAGGCAAGCGGATATTTTCTCCCCTTTCTCCTCCCACCCTGCCTGTTGGTTAATCTGCCCTATATAAGATAACTCCTTTCACAAACCAGGATTGGGTTTCCACTGCTCAGTTGCTGTGTTCACACCTTGGAAAGGATCCAAGAAATGGATTGAACAAGGGGTGGAATGACCCAGGGGCGGTAGGAGATGGGAATCCATTTACCCAAGGTCAGCTTCCTGAGTAGCAACAGCACTCGGTCTGGAAAACAACAAAGCTCTCCTATTGTCAATTAAATTCCACCTCCCTTGGCAGTGACTTTGAAACCTTTACATGGATGAATAAAATGGCACACAGAAAACACACACACACACACACACACACACACACACACACACACACACACATTTTCAATTTCAGGGCCATAATTCCGAGTTCAATACCATTGAATGCAAAGGAGGAAATATGGGGCTTCAAAGTTCTAGCTAGTAGGATCCTGTTTATAGATTGATGAAAATTAAAGTGCAAACTTGATTTTTCTCCATAATCATAGTAAAAAAAAGACATCCGTTAAACTTTACCTTCAATCACTGGAAAACAAGCTAGCTCATGAGGTTGACCCAATATAATAAGCAGCTTGAATTCATAGGCTATCAAGCTCAGGTACACAGTGACTTTAGTACAATTACTCACCTCTTGAGCTATTTTTATGTACATTCCCACTGACCATGTGCCATGTGGCCAGAGCAGTAAATTTAATGCTACTTTTATATAGCCCATTATAAAAGTATAATTATACTTTTATATAGCCCATTTAAAGTGACTGCTAGGATATTTAATACAGCTTAAAAATAAACTACTAAACTTTAAGTCTGATTTTTCTGACTAAGTTCTTTGAATACCTGACATCCTCATCCTGTGCCAAAACATTATCCCATCCCTCCATCCCATCTTTGACCATAAAACTTCAGAAGATAAGTGGTTAGGGTTGGAATGGGGCTATCTGCTGTACAAATTTCTTTAAAAAAATAATAAAAGGCACTTGAAAAGCTAAATACTTACTTTATGTTACACAATAGGAATTACAGCTAAAACATTTTCAATGTGAAAATGGTTATTCAGGTCCAGGAGCTCAATTTTGCCAGCACACACAAGTATGAGAGGTATTCAAAATGAGCCATCCTATACATGCTCATAAGACAGATGCATTAACCAGAATGCCAGTTAAACTCACAGTGGGAAACAGAGCTGCCAAGTGGGCCAGAATTCTCATGATATATGGTCAATGCATTCTTTGCCCATAAGGACAGAGACATGGATCAAATTATAACCATAAAGTTACCCCAGGCATCTGAAATCAGGTGCAAAAAGTTGGACGGATGCCTGAGTTTGCTAAGGCTGCCATAACAAATCACCACAAACTGGGCAGCTTAAGCAAGAAAAATTATTTTCTCACAGTTCTGGAGGTAAGATGTCGAAGATCAAGATGTCAACAGGTTTGTTTCTTCTGAGGCCTCTCTTCATGGCCTTTAGATGGCTGCCTTCTCCCTGTGTCTTCACATGACCTTCCCTGTGTGCATATCTATGTCTATTGGGGAACCTGCCCCGATAGTCACATAGGTTCTTTTCTATTTTCCTTAAGCGTCAGCCAGCTTGAGAAATAAAGGGACAGAGTACAAAAGAGAGAAATTTTAAAGCTGGGCGTCTGGGGGAGACATCACATGTTGGTAGGTTCCATGATGCCCCACAAGCCGCAAAAACCAGCAAGTTTTTATTAGGGACTTTCAAAAGGGGAGGGAGTGTGTGAATAGGTGTGGGTCACAGACATCAAGTACTTTACAAGGTAATAGAATATCACAAGGCAAGTGGAGGCAGGGCGAGATCACAGGACCACAGGACCGAGGTGAAATTAAAATTGCTAATGAAGTTTCAGGCACCATTGTCATTGATAACATCTTATCAGGAGATAGGGTTTTGAGAGCAACCGGTCTGACCAAAATTATTAGGTGGGAATTTCCTCTTCCTAACAAGCCTGGGAGCGCTATGGGAGACTGGGGTCTATTTCACCCCTGCAGTCTCAACCATAAGAGACGGGCACACCTTGAGTGGGGGGGCATTTATAGGCCTATATCTCCAGGCACATATTCTCTTTCCCAGGGATGTTTCTTGCTGAGAAAAAGAGTTCAGCGATATTTCTCCCATTTGCTTTTGAAAGAAGAGAAATATGGCTCTGTTCCACCCGGCTCACCGGTGGTCAGAGTTTAAGGTTATCTCTCTTATTCCCTGAACAATTGCTGTTATCCTGTTCTTTTTTCAAAGTGCCCAGATTTAATATTGCTCAAACACACATGCTCTACAATTTGTGCAATTAATGCAATTGTTACAGGGTCCTGAGGCAACATACATCCTCCTCAGCTGACAGGATTAAGAGATTAAAGTAAAGACGGGTGTAGGAAATCACAAGGGTATTGATTGGGGAAGTGATAAGTGTCCATGAAATCTTTACAATTTATGTTTAGAGATTGCAGTAAAGACAGGCATAAGAAATTATAAAAGTACTAATCTGGGGAACTAATAAATGCCCATGAAATCTTCACAATGCACATTCTTCTACCATGGCTTCAGCCGGTCCCTCCATTTGGGGTCCCTGACTTCCCGCAACATCTGTCCTAATTCTTCTTCTTAAGAGGACACTAGGCTGGGCACAGTGGCTCATGCCTGTAACCCCAGCACTTTGGGAGGTTGAGGCGGGGATCACCTGAGGTCAGGCAAACCAGTCCTTTCCAGAGATTAGCAGCAGTCAAAGAGCAGAGGCTCCCTGGAAGGAATGCTTAGAACATGAGAACAGACCTGGAAGCTGGGAGTGAAGCAAGTGGACACATTTCAGTAACTGGGAACCTAAACTGAGCCTTGAATATCCCCAAGGGGTGACACTAAACCAAGAAGCTCAGAGCAGGTAAGAGCCTCCTTTTCCCTGGTCCAGATACCCCCGGGGATGGGAGAAGGTGCCACCTACACCCTAATATTAAATGCTACCTGGGAGTGGTGAGGGATAGTGGGACCAAAATGTAGGTCTAGGATGAGCTGGAAGAAGCCACTAACCTAACCGGTGGGCTTGGTCAGATCCTTAATTAATCTCTTAAGCAGGTGTTTCCAAGCTTCACCTGTCCCCGACACTGGCACTGCCAGAGGATGATGGAGGGCACTAGGGAAGCAGGCAGTCAGGCACCACTACATACACCTGCTGTTCCCCTGAGGTTTACTTCCTGCCCCACCTGCTTCATCTCCAAGGCGCCTCCCTGCTGGCAGCAGCCCGGCTGAGGAGTGTCCATTCAGCTCCCCATCTTCTGTCTTCCCTAGAACTTCACCTTATTCACACCCGCTCTGTGGCCTTAAGGAATTTTAGCTCTGTCTTTTCTCTCCATTGACACCACCACCTTAGCTCCTATCACTGTGACAACCACGTGACTGGACTTCCTGCTTCTATCTTTCCAATCCCTTCCTCCCTCT
The DNA here is from genome assembly GCF_000001405.40 of Homo sapiens. Taxonomy (NCBI): domain Eukaryota; kingdom Metazoa; phylum Chordata; class Mammalia; order Primates; family Hominidae; genus Homo; species Homo sapiens. The sequence continues at coordinate 61,212,579 of NC_000008.11, read as the reverse complement.
TCCTCCAAAATCATTTCCCCAACATCCACACCTTACCATGTGTATTCCCCCACACAAGCCTTTCAATGGCTCCTCTGTGTCGTCAGGATCTCTTGGGACCAACTGGGCAGCGCCAGCCTCAGTACCCTGGGCTCCTCACTTCACGCTCTGGAGTCCAGCCCCCGCTGCATCTGCTGAGGCATCTGGGGTTTCTCCTGCACACTCCTGACGCTAGGTTTTGTCCCTGATGCTCCCTCTCTGAAATGTCCCCCGCCACCTCACTGCCTACCTCTGTTGCCGTTTGATCCGCACTCTTCCTTCTGAACCCTGTTCAGACACTACCTCCCTGGGAAAGCTTTCTGGGAGTTCCTCCCCAGACGCTGCAGCCCTGGTGGTTCCCAAGTAGAGCATGGAACTGGAGGGCGGAGAGGCTGCTTCTGCTATCAGCCTCTGTGTGAGTTTCTTATGGCTACTGCGACAAACTGCAAGCTCAGTGGCTTAAAACAACACGAATTTATTATCTCCTGTTCTGGGGGTGGGAAGTCTGATACAGGTTTCACTGAGCCAAAATTAATGTGTCAGCACAACCATACTCCCCCCAGAGGATCGAGGGCCAAATCTGTCACTTGCCTTTTCCAGCTTCCAGAGGCCACCTGCCTTCCTTCACTTGTGGCCCCTTCCTTCCCTTTCAAAGCCAGCCGCAGAGGCTCTGCATCTCCCTCTGATGCCACCTCCCTCTGCTTCAAAGCTCTTTTCTCTGACTTTGACCTTTCTGCTTCCCTCCTATAATAAGAACCCCTATATTGGGCCCATCCATGTATTCTAGGATAACCTCCCTGGCTCAAGATCCATAATTGAATCACATCTGCAAAGTAAGAGGAAACATAGCCAGTCTCGGCTTAAGATGCAGATGTCTTTGGGGGGCCATAATTCTGCCTAGCACAGCTGCCTTCAAAGCAAGAAGCAGATTTGTACTTGCAACCATTGCCTGGCACACAGTGAGTGGCAAATCATGAACGACTCATGAGAAGTTAAGCTCAAAGACTTGCCCTCCAGTGGATCTTTTCCTTCATCCCACAAACATTTCAGAACTATCTCATTCCGAAGGAAGAGGAGGAGGAGAGGGGGAGGCAGAGGAAAAGGAGAGGAGGAGAAGCAGGAAGAACAGGAGGAGAAGGAAGAGTAGGGGGAGGAGGAGGAGGTAAAGGGGGAAGGAAGAGAAGGGAAAGAAGGAGAAGGAGGGGGAAGAGAAGAAGGAGGGAGAGGAAGGAAAGGGGAAGAGAAGGAAGAGGGAGAAGGAGGAGCAAAATACAAAAGACTCCTCATTGGATTCTCGGAATCTCTAGGGACTATCTATTTTTTCACTTAGTGTTTTGAAAAATCATCCCACCTTCACTCCTCAGCCCATTGTATATGACCCCCACATTTCTCACCACCACCCCTGACTGAAACTGTTCAGAAGGTCCCCCACGATTCGTACATTGGCCACGTTCTGGTCTTCACTTCCTGGATCTCTTCACTGCATTGTACATGGTTGACCACTTGGCATTTCTTTAAGCCCTCCATCCCTTTGGCTTTCCTCTACTTTACTCTCCCCTTGCTCTCTTCATCCCTTCCTGATGGCATCTTCCAGATTCCTTTTTTTTTTGGTAGGAAGTCTCCCTCTCTTCCCTAAAATGTAGCTGTTCCTCCAGGCTCTTTCTTTGACACACTGATTCTCCTACTCTACAAGCTGTCCCTGGGTGATAGCATTTATTTCTCTATGTCGTGGAATCCCCAATCTATACATCCAGTCCTAGTGTTACCTGTAGTAGTTTTCTATGCTGTGAACAAATATAGCAGCATACATTTATTATCTTACGGTGTCCATAGTTCAGGAGTCCAGGCAGGACTTATTTCTCCTCGGGTGCAAGTCTAGATATTACATAAGCTATATTCCCTTCCAGAGCCCAGAGTTCTCTTCCAAGCTCACAAGGTTGTTTGCAGAATTTAGCTCCTTTCAGCTGTAGCACTCAGGCCCATGACTTCTTGCTAATTGTCAACCACATTAGCAGCTGGAAGCTCCACAGTTCCCTGCCATGTGGCCCTCTCACAGGCCCTCTCATGACATGGCAGCTAATTTATTTAAAGGCAGCAGGGAAGTCATCTTAGTCTGCTTCTACTGCCATAACAAAACACCTGAGACTGGGTAATTTATCAATGACAGAAATTTATTTCTCACAGTTCTGAGGCCTGGGGGTCCAAGACCAAGACATCGGCAGTTTCAGTGTCCGGTGAGGGCTGTTCCTCAATACAGTCCCCTCTTATATGTCCTCACATGGCAGGAAAGTGGGAGAAATAGGAGAGTACTCCTTTCTACCTCCTCCATAAGAACACTAACCCAGTCATTAGGGCAAGCCCTTAACTACTTCCCAAAAGATTCCACCTCTTAATACTATCACCTTGACATTTAGTTCCAACATGGGAATTTTAGAGTGACACATACATTCAAACATAACAGGAGTGTCTCACTTTGAGTGTTTACTTTCAGGGAAGACCTGATCCTGCTTTAAAGATCTTACCTGATTAGGGCAGGCCCACCCATGATAATCTTTCTTTTGATGAAGTCAGAGTCAATTTATTAGAGAATTTACTGTAGTTACATTTGCAAAATTCCTATACCTTTAGTGTAATCAAATCATGGGAGTTACATCCCATCACTTTTGCCATACTCTATCGGTTAGAAGCAAGTTATGAGTTACTCCCCCAATCCCCACCACAAAAACACACTCAAAAGATTGTACAAGGATATTGGTGGCATCTTTGAATTCTGCCTACCACACTGACCTTGAAATTCATCTATTTAATTGGCTATCTGAGACATCACAGGCATTGACATCCATGTGCAAAAGTAAGCCAATCACCTTTTCCTTAAATCTTCTCTTTCCTCCTCTCTTCAGAGGCTCAGTTAACTTTAACCCAGTTGCTCAAGTCGAAAAACATGGCCATCATCATGGACTCATTTCTTCTCACCACTCATTCAGACAACACAAAGTCAAACTGGTCTCTTCTTCTGTCTCTATTGCCTCTGCCTCAATCAGGCAATGGTCATCTTTTACCCTGGACAACTATAGTACATAGTCTTTAAGCAGGTCACCGTGCTTATGGTCTTGCCTGCCCAACTCCACACTATAGCCAATGTTCTATCATAGTTCAGTTTATCTCTTTTTGTAGTTGTGCAAAATGTAAAAATGTGACAATGAGCATTTTCTATGAGAATGAAATAAAACTCTCTAAGTTGGAGGCAATTCAGCCTGGGCAGCCAACACTGCAGCCTCCAAACCAAGAAAACAAGCTTAGCCCCACAGCTGGGTGCCCAAAGATTGGCCCCTGAGCCTGCCTTACACATCCATGATTCAGTCTATTCATTTTGCATCTTCCTTAAAGTTCTAGTTTTTCCTACTTTGAAAATATGGTCAATGTTTGTGCAGAAAGGTTGATATTTTAGCAATGGAGAGATTTATTAAAATAGCTTCTAAATTTAGGAAAACTGGCTTTCCTAGTAAGGACTTACTTTCCAGTGTGAGGACTTACACTGCCCTATCAACTGGCTAGTTTTTGTGTAATCACTTTGTGTCTTTTACACTATTTTTAATGGGATTATACCCCTGCCCACAGCTGTGTCTTAGGAATCCAAGAGGATTTATGAGGAAACAACTCCAATCCTGTTAGAAAAGGCCAGGTGTGCTGGCTCACACCTGTAATCCCAGTGCTTTGGGAGGCCGAGGTGGGCAGATCACAAGGTCAAGAGATCGAGATCATCCTGGCCAACATGGTGAAACCCCATCTCTACCAAAAATACAAAAATTAGCTGGGCGTGGTGGCGCGTGCCTGTAGTCCCAGCTACTTAGGAGGCTGAGGCAGTAGAATCACTTGAACCTGGAGGCAGAGGTTACAGTGAGCTGAGATCATGCCACTACACTCTAGCCTGGCGACAGAGTGAGACTCCATCTCAAAAAAAAAGAAAAAAAAATGGGGTGCAGTCAATCTAGTAAATTATTTTTCTTATCCAGCAGATATGTTCTGATAATTTTTATAATCTGTTGAATTTAACATTCAAACACTGCAAAATATTTTAGTATCTAAAATGTGAAATCTACCTCAGCTTTGCAATTTTTTAAAGCTGATTTCTTAAACTATTGCAGCTCTTGCCAGGAAAGACTAAGAATGTAATATTTTTCTGATTTATCTGCTATTTTGTCAGAGCCCTTTCTTCAAAATTAATCATCTGGATACCTTGCTCCAAAGTCTATGAAAGATAGGGTCTTTAAGAAATTCTGCCATACAGTTGAAACTAAATCAGCATGTGTGCCTGGAAAAAATCTATCATTTTGTGAAACTAATAAATAACCTCCCTTAGCAAGTGTTCTGGTGATGGATCACAGAGAAAAATTACTTCATCTATCAGTGTGCAATAAAATATTTGAAGGCATTTCTGTTTTCTGACTTTGCATTTTCACTTCCATTGTAAGACCAAGACTCGTTGAGAAAAGGTGATGACAATGGAGCTAAATTTCCTGAATTTCCTGCTGGCTGTGGCCGCTAAGCCCACCATTTGCTCCTCGCTTTTATCTACCTGCAATAATCAGGGTGTATCCCATGGCTAACACAGCTTCTTGAAATATCAGTCAGAAATCTTTCCAAGGACTTCCAGTGTCTGAAAAGCCAGGTAAACTGGGCTGCCTGAGAAGCCTGAGTGATTTTTCAATCTTCACCTGCCCTCCCTGTGAACAAAGTTAGAGCTGAAAATCGTGGTTGAAAAAATTAAACCTTTCCCCGAGATGTACTGTGCAGCCAGGAACCACGTGAAATTACCAACCAACTACATTATAATCATTTCCCCCTTACCAAAACCCAATATGCAAATGGGAAACTGAGGCTTAGAGTGGAATATCTGTGGCCACACACCTGGAATATTTTCAGCCACAGAAAACCATAGACTTTTCTGTAAAATTGTGGTACGATGTTGAGCTCTATCTGCAGACAATGAAACTGCATATATATTGGTCACAAGAATGTAAAAATTGTGCATGCACACAGCAGAGACTGAAGGAGGACTTAAAAAGATAAAAAGAGTCTGAAAAGAGTCTGTGAATTAGGATGCTGGGGTCACCTCTGCACTTCACTTGAGCCCAGGCACCTCTGCACTTTACTTGAGCCCATGCACCTTTGCACATCCCTGGAACCCATGCACCGCTGCAAATCCCTGGAGCCCATGCACCTCTGCACATTCCTGGAGCCCATGCACCTCTGCACATCACTGGAGCCCGTGCATCTCTGAACTTCACTTGAGCCCATGCACCTCTGAACTTCACTTAAGCCCATGCACAGCATGGCTCAGAAGCAACTTCACTGTTGAGTCTTCAGATTCCCTCCCTCTGCAGTTAGAATTACTTTTTCCTTCTCTTTGCTTCTACAGTGGTTTGTTTATATTAATATTTGCGATGCTAAGGCATTTTGTATCTCCCCTATTAGACAGCAGGCTCCCTCAGTACAAAGATGCTTCGTGAGCTCTTTCATTCATTCATCAAATGTCTCCTGACTGATAGAGATGGGCCAGGCCTTGTGTTAGAACCAGAGAAAGATGTGAAGAAAGCATATACAGCTGTTCCATCATTGACCTCAGAATCTACTAGGAAGAAAATTATTCAATAATTAATGAAAATTAGGATAGATGCCGGGCGCACTGGCTCATGCCTGTAATCCCAGCACTTTGGGAGGCCGAGGCGGGTGGATCACAAGGTCAGGAGATCGAGACCATCCTGGCTAACAAGGTGAAACCCCTTCTCTACTAAAAATACAAAAATTAGCTGGGCGTGGTGGCAGGCGCCTGTAGTCCCAGCTACTCGGGAGGCTGAGGCAGGAGAATGGCGTGAACCCTGGAGGCGGAGCTTGCAGTGAGCCGAGATCGTGCCACTGCACTCCAGCCTGGGCAACAGAGCGAGACTCCATCTCAAAAAAAAAAAAAAAAGAAAGAAAAAAAGAAAAGAAAATTAAGATAAATGCTGTAAGGCAGTACATAACAAGGGAGTCTAATCTGGCTTAGAGAGTTAAGGAAGGCTTCCCAGTGGAAGTGATATTTATTTAAGCCCTCAATGCTGAATAAAATATTAATTAGTAGAGACTGGAGATTTCTCCAGACAGAAAAAACTGATATCCCTGTACTTTTAGTCATTCTATTCATTACCATACACACCACCTCCTGCTCCAAACCTACTGCACACTTCCTTGCCTATACACAGTCCTGAATATATACTCATTGGATTAATGACGTTAGTGGGGATATTACTCTGCCAAATTGCCTCAAGTTCTGATGGTATGGGTTAGGGTTTTAACAAAGATAACCAGTTTTAAGAAAGACAACATCTGAGCAAAGATATTTAACAGTATTCTCAGGATACTGTTAAATACTATTTGGTAAATGGTAGGTGATCATTCAAATTTGCTGAATAGAATGAAAATGAACTAGAAAAGTACTGACCTGGGAATTTATTAATTCTGCTACTTATACGCTTGACAGATACTTACTTTATTGAGCACTTATTATATGCTGGAAAATTTTGCTAACTAGACATATTCTACACTCTTTTGAGCTTACAGGCTAATGAAAGAGACAGAACTAGTCAAGTAACTATCAAAAAAGTATAAAATTACATCTAAAAATATAAACAATTTAGTAGAGATCAGTGAGTTTAAAGAACTTTAGCAAATAAAAAAAATTTTAAGTTTAGTGTTAAGAACATTCTTCTCTCACACCCAAGAGGATGAATATTATTTTTAAAAAATAATTACATGTGTTGATGAGGAGGTGGAGGAATGAGAACCTTTGTGCATTGCTGGTGGGAGTGTAAAATAATATAATCATTTTGAAAACTAGATGGTGGTTGCTCAAAAAATTAAACATGGAATTACCATATGATTCAGCAAGTCCACTTCTGGAAGTATACCCAAAGGCAGCATACATAGAAAGCATGGACTCCAAAAGATATTGCACATCATGTTCATAGCAGCATTATCTGCATAGACAATAGATAAAAGCAACCCAAGTATCCACTGATGAGTCAATAGATAAACAAAATGTAGCATACATGTACAAAGGAGTATTTATTTAAAAGAAAGGAAATTCTGACACATGCTGCAACATTCACGAACACTGAAGTCTTTATGCAACACGAAAGGACAAATACTGTATGATTCCATTGATGTGAGACAGAAAGTAGAGTGGTGGTTGCCAGGAGTGAGGGGGAGAGGGGAATAGGGAGTAGGGAGTTCTTGTTTAATGTACAGAATGTCAATTTGGAAAGATGAAAAACTTGTGGAGATGAACAGTGGTGATCATTGCACAAAAATGGGAACGGACTTAATGCCACAGAACTGTAAACTTAAAAATGGTTAACATGGTACATTTTATGTTGTGTATATTTAACCACAATTTTTAAATATTTTTTTAAAATTTTTAAACAGCATTCTCATAATTAGGTTTATGAATTCCCTTGTGATGTATGAATTCTTGAAACCTGGCAGATTTTTCCATTCTTCCCACTGATGAAACAATTCTATCCATCTCTAAAATTTCTTTTGTAAGCAATGATTCTTTATGAAAAGTTCAACCATTTCTAATGGCTTAAACAACAGATTTTGAAACACATACATCCTCAAATGGCAGTTTACAAATTTGACACCCACAAACTATTCCAATTTTGCTTTTTGGTGGGGGAATGGGTATGGATTTTGCCTATTTTTTAGTGGCAAAAGCTCTTGAAGAAAGCAAAGGAATTACACTAAGTACTGTTGGTGATCTATTAGTGGAATAACCTGACCTGTGAGAGCTTAATGAAGCTGGATTCCCATTTATAGTGTAATCTGCTTTAATAGAAAAGTAGCTATACAAAGCAATTTGTAGCACTTAACATTTATTTTGTTCTATGAAATTCTTTTATTTTTAATGAGGAAATAATGTACTTAATGTCATTTACAGAATGTTTAGGAAGTCTCATTATGCTTTTCCTACATTTAACATTTTCAGGCAGAAACAGTCAAGTTCTATAGGCATGCTAAAACGTCCTTAGCATTAAGTACATTTTTAATAGTGTGAGCAATTTGCATTTATAGCCCCTGAAAATTCTGCTTGGATATTTATCTAGCAGAAAACAATCACAAATCCAATAATTTGCTTCCTGAAACCCCATCAATTTTCACTTCAATGCAAAAGCAGTCTCTCTGTACTTTATTTTGCTTTTTAAAATCAATCTTTGCCCAAGAACATAGGCACCATGGAGTTTGGTTAGCAAGAACCAACAAAATAATTATGATACTCTTTTCTCATTGTCTGTCAATAAGTTCTTCAGTCATTATAGGTCTCTGTGCAAAGCTCTTCCACCTATGATCAGGTTATGCTGAGCAAATCCAGCAGGAGCACAGGTCTGTGAAAAGAGCACCAGTTTTGATGCCAAGAAACCAGAATTCAAATCCCAGCCCCACTGAGAGTGGAATCTTGAGAAATTAATTGACTCTTCTTGACCTCATTCCTGTCATCTGAAAAATGGGCCAATATCTTCTACATGGCAGGATGATTTTAAGAGTTTAATAACTCATATGAAGGTAACTACCACCTAGCAGTTGCTTCATAAATATTGGTTGAATCTTTCTGTAGAGCTGTTTAAGTCATCATTAGATCATTCACATTGCATTTACAATAAACCCTACTGTGTGCCTTGCTTTCCACTGGGGATTAAACTTCTCATATGAGATGCTAGCAATCTGTGTAAGGGGCAAGTAGAAATAACATCCAAGGATGTTCAGAAAGCAAGAGAAGCTGTAAGATAATCAATTGGAAGTTGAGTGGGACAAGCTCCAAGTGTCAAACAGTTCCATGTGAGCTTGACCTGCATGGGACATGTAAAAAATAAAGGTTCCTCTTCAAAGACTTTCCTCCCCATTTGATTAGAAATAAATAGTAACTTATCCTACAAGCAACATTTATTTAAAGACCTGTGCTACCATTCTTTTTTTTTTTTACTTTATTAAAATACTGAGTTTTATTTCACAGGTATATTTTTGTCTCCCCACGATTTCCATGTCTGACCACCGCTACTACTGTGTCCTATCATAACATTCCATACATACTTAAAACCAAGCAAAGGGTGGAGTTCCATCTTTAAAAACTAAACAGGCATTTTGGACAACACATTCTTGGCAATAGAACCTGGACAACATTTATCAAACACGGTAGGGAAAGTTCTCACTCTGCATTATAAAAAGGACAGCCAGATATCAACTGTTACAGAAATGAAATAAGACGGAAAATTTTTAACAAATTGTTTAAACTATTTTCTTAAAGAGACTTCCTCCACTGCCAGAGATCTTGAATAGCCTCTTGGTCAGTCATCCGGAAGCAATTCTTCACGTAATTGATGAACTTGGCTTCCACTTTGGGAAGAGAACCACCTTTTTCTATACTTGCTTGCATTTTTGCTTTAATGTCTTTTACAGAACTAGGTCCTTTTGGTGTTTTAGGAGTTTTTTTCCTGTTTTTTGAAAGATTCTTGTCCTTTTGATCTTGGTGTTGATGGTTTTGAGTCTTTTCCATTCTGATTTGACTTTTGTGCATTTTTGGCTGGAGTATCTTGTATAGATTGCTTCACTGGCACTTTTTCTTCAGCTTCCTCATTAAAATCATCATCATCATCTTCATCATCATCATCTTCTTCATCATCATCATCATCTTCATCAGCAGCAAGTTTTACTTTTTTCTGTGGAAGCTTGCTACTACCTCCGAGGGCAGATCGCTTTCCAGATATACTTAAGAGTTTCACATCCTCCTCCTCTTCATCTTCTGACTCTGCATCTTCCTCCACAGCTACTAAGTGCTGTCCACTAATATGCACTGGCCCTGAACCACACTTCAACCTTAAGACTACTGGTGGTGTTGTTTCAAAGCCCCCAAGGGAAACCGTTGGCTGTACAGACATTTTCAAAGTTGCCAGTGTTACTTTAATTGGGCTGCCTTCGTAATTCATTGCCTCTGCTTCAACAATGTGCAATTCATCCTTTGCACCAGCCCCTAAACTGACCGTTCTTAAAGACAACTGGCGCTCATTTTCATCATTATCCACCTTAAAGTGACAATCTTTGTCAGCCTTTAGTTCACAACCAAAAAGATAGTTCTGGGGCCTCAGGGAGCTCATGTCCACGTCCATCAGATCTTCCATCGGGAGGCAGCACGCACTTAGGTAGGAGAGAAGGCGGACGAAGATAAACGAATGCTGCTCCAGAGAACAGCCACACAGGATGGAATCACACCAGGGGACATTCTTAAATATCTGCTAGCCATGATAAAGAAATCAATGTACTTTATGTTCTTAGCTCCTACAACTTAGCCTAAATATTTGCCCTGGCATGCTTATAATGGTCCAAGCAAGCATTAGGACATAACCTGTTCCTCTTCCTTATTTAAAGGTGTTTTTACCTTTCTCAGCATTCCACAAGTTACTTCCTCCTTCCTTTGTTTTCCTCTACCTTTGCCTCTTTTAAAAAGTTCTAAGTTGCTAGCCAATCGGGTCAAATACAGAATGTTAGATCCCATTCCAGCCGATGGAAACCAGACACAGCAGTAGGGTGGATCTGTCAGGTTATAAATGACCCTGTCTCCTTTGTTTGGTGTACTCTCATGGCAAAACTGCTGGCGAGTGTACCCTTTCTGCAGAAAGTATAAAAATGGCCTTGCTGAGTAAATTAAATTTATGTTCTAGTGCTATTTCTTTACGGCAGTGGGGAACAAGCATTTCAAACAGACACTTGTTAGAGGAAGAGGGATTTAGGAGGCACCAACCTTCTAGAACAACTGGGATTCGAATTGTCAGGAAACAGAATAAAGGGCAATAAATGTAATAATTAAAACACAGAACTTTTAAAAACATGAACTCTTTGGCCCATCACATTACTGACCATAAACATAACTTTTCTCATGACCAAATCAGCCTTTTATTTATGCTAGAAAGAAAGGTTTGAACATGTCCTGCCTCCTCTAATCAACCATAGCTGTCCTACGAAAGAAACAATCATTTTCTTTCTCTTTAGATTTCCTTTGGTCTTCTTTTGCTTTTTGTTTTTGTTTTTTATCAAAAAGACACTGGATTTGTAGACAGATCTGAGTTTGAGTCCTGATTCTGCCCTTGCTCAGAAGCTTCGGGAAATGCATTTCCCCTTCTTCATACTAACTTTTCTTACTTGCCACTGCACAAAACTGGCCTATGTACTGTGTTGCTATCACTAAGTTGGCTGGGCCTCCTGAGCTTCCTTCCATCTGTAAGGTTAGCTAACCCATCATGATTATCTTATTCCTTAAAAGCAATAAGTTCCTGACCCTTAGATGATAAGAGATACATGGTTCTATTACAAAACTTTTTTGTTTGATTTATCAAAATTATTGGATGAATTTATTTCATTCTGCTGGAATTGCTTTGTGTGTGTGTGAGTTATAGGGGCAAATGATTGAAAAGAAGGTCAAGGAAAGGATTGCAATTTAGTAAATTTCACCATGAAAGGATTGCAATTTAGTAAATTTCACCATGATCGGTTATGGCTAACAATATCTTGAAAACATTTTCCAACCCCAAAATCATATGGTACATGGCCAAATGTTAAATTACAATTCAACCTCAGTAGGAAACAAATATATAATTTTAAAAATCAACAATCAATAAGAGTAAAACAAAAAAAGATAAAAACCAAAAAATTCAGATTCACTAATGAAGAAATAAATGAAATAATTATGTTGCCTATTGAATTGACAAAGCTTAAAAAAGTGATGATAACTAGTCCTGGCATAATTGTGGCACAAATGATATCTCACATCATTAGTAAAAGACAAATTGGTAAATCTTTCTGAAGGGCAATAAGGCAAAATTTTCATTAATGTGCATTCCTTTGGACCAGCAATCTCACTTTACAAAACTTGCTCAAAATAAATAAGTTGAAAAATACTCAAAGATGTATGTCCATGGATGTTCACAGCAGGTTTTATATTAATAAAACATTTTTAACAAATTAAGTATTCACCAATAGAAAACAGAGTACATATACAGATACCACCTGCATATGGAACGATGCATTGTGTAGTCATTACTAATGGTAAGTGTAGGCTGGCCGTGGTGGCCCACGCCTGTAATCCCAGCACTCTGGGAGGCTGAAGCAGGCAGATCACCTGAAGTCAGGAGTTTGACACCAGCCTGGCAAACATGGTGAAACCCCATCTCTATTAAAACTACAAAAAAAATTAGCCGGCATGGTGGCAGGCACCTATAATCCCAGCTACTTGGGAGGCTGAGGTGGGAGAATTGCTTGAACTCAGGAGATGGAGGTTGCAGTGAGCCGAGATCGCACCACTGCACCCCAGCCTGGGCAACAAGAATGAAACTCCATCTCAAAAAATAAAAAATAAATGTGCACTTGTTTTTTCCATGGAAAATTTTCACAATATATTAATGATGTAACATTGCAGTGATAGTTTTATTAACTCCCGAGTGTTTATATTTTTCCTCCTTTACAACTTACTAAAGAGAAGGTTGTCCTTGCCTGCTCAATGCCTCACCACCCCTTTCAGTCCTCAACAGAGCACCCTTCACTTTCTCAACAAGGTCCCTTATCTTTGGTTACATAGACTAGAGAATGGTAAACTAATAATGGACACTAACCCACAAAGGTAAAATATGAGGGGGAAGACTTAGCAGAGAAAGCAAGTTTCTCTACATAAAAAGGTGGAAAGTGGGATGAGACAAAGCCCCTTTGGGAATGAGCAAGACATTGGATCATGTGGCATATCTTCAGCAGCTTTGTATACAAACAAAGCAAAACAACACAAAACACCTGAAGAAAAGAGGAAGAGGTTGTGCTAGTTTACATTCCCACCAGCAGTGATAAACATTCCCTTTTTACCACATCCATTTAAACAAACCTCTATTGTTTTCTGATTTTTGGGCCATTCTGGCTGGAGTAAGGTGGTATCTTATTGTGGATTTAATTTGCATTTCCCTAATAATTAGTGATATTGAGCATTTTTTCCAATGTTTGATGGTCATTTGTATATTTTCTTTTGAGAAATGTCTGTTCATATTGTTTGCCCAATTTTTAATGGAATTATTTGTATTTTTTTTCTAATTTGTTTGAGTTCCTTATAGATTCTGGATATTAGTCCTTTGCTTGGAGATATAGTTGGCAAATATCTTCTCCCATTCTTTAGGTTGTCTGTTTACCCTGTTGATTATTTCTTCTGCTGTGCAGAGCTTTTTAGTTTAATTATGTCTCATTTATTTATTTTTGGCTTTGTTACATTTGATTTTGGAGTCTTAGTCATAAATCCTTTGCCCAGGCCAATGTCTGGAAGAGTTTTTCTTAGGTTTTTCAATGTGGAAAACAGTATGAAGATTTCTCAAAGAACTAAAAATAGGCCTACCATTTGATCCAGCAATCCCACTACGGAGTATCTGCCCAAAGGAAAATAGGTCATTATACCAAAAAGACCCTTGCATATGAGTGTTTATTGCAGCAGAATTCACAATTGTAAAGATATAGAATTAACCTAAGTGCCCGTCAACCAATAAGTGGATAAAGAAAATGTAGTACATATACATCACAGAATACTACTCACCCTTGGAAAAGAATGAAATAATGTCTTTTGAAACTACTTGGTTGGAATTGGAGGCCATTATCCTAAGTGAAGTAACTCAGGAATCGAAAACCAAATACAGGATGTTCTCACTTATAAGTGGGGACTAACATATGGGTATGCAAAGACATACAGAGTGGTATAATGGACTTTGGAGACTTAGAAGAAGGGAGGAGGGAAGGCGGGTGAGGGATGAAAAATATCTATTGGGGCCCGGCATGAGATAAGTGGCTCACGCCTGTTATCTCAGCACTTTGGGAGGCCGAGGCGGGTGGATCACTTGAGGTCAGGACTTTGAGACCAGCCTGGCCAACATGGTGAAACACCATCTCTACTAAAAATACAAAAATTAGACAGGCATGGTGGTGCACACCTATAGTCCCAGCTACTTGGAAGGCTGACGCAGGAGAATCGCTCGAACCCAGGATGTAGAGGTTGCAGTGAACCAAGATCGTGCCACTGCAATCCAGCCTGGGTGAAAGAGTGAGACTCCCTCTCAAAAAAGAAGAAAAAGTATCTATTGGGTACAATGTATACTATTCAGGTGACAGGTACAATAAAAACCCAGATTTCATTTCTATACAATTCATCCGTGTAATCAAAAACCACTTATACCCCTAAAGCTATTGAAATTTAAATATTAAAAACAAAAGGAAGGGACTTTCAAGAGCATAATTGTGGGTTGTATATTAGATTTCCATTAATATAATACCTCTCAAGAAACAAAAGGACAGGGCAAAGAAAGATGGCAGAATAGAAGCCTACATCATTTGTACCTCTGGAAGGAACACCAAATTTTAACAACTATCTGCACACAGAATAGCACCATCACAAGAACCAAAAATCAGGTGAACAATCATAGCACCTGGCTTTAACTTCATATCATGGAAAGAGGCATTGAGGAGGGTCAGAGAGACTGCATTGAATTGCAGATGCCACCCCTCCCCTATCCCCAGCAATGGCTGTGTAGCAGGAAGAGTCTGTGCACTTTGGGGAGGGAGAGAACAGTGACTATAGGACTTTACATTGAACTCGGTGCTGCCCTTTCACAGTGGAGAGTAAAGCCATACTGGGTATGAATGAAACTGTGGCTTATGCCTGTAATCCCAGCACTTTGGGAGGCCGAGGTAGGTGGATCACTTGAGGTCAGGAGTTCCAGACCAGCCTGGCCAACATGGCCAAATCCCATCTCTGCTAAAAATACAAAAATTAGCGGGGTGTGGGGGCAGGCGCTTGTAATCCAAGCTACTTGGGAGGCTGAGGCAGGAGAATCGCTTGAACCCAGGAGGTGGAGGTTGCAGTGAGCCAAGATAGCACTACTGTACTCCAGCCTGGGCAACAGAGTGAGACTCTGTCTCAAAAACAAACAAACAAACAAACAACAACAACAACAACAAACTGGAGGAATCACATTACCTGACTTCAAATTATACTATAGAGCTACAGTATACAGTAATCAAAACAGCATGGTACTTGCATAAAAACAGACACATAGACCAATGGAACAGAATTGAGAACCCAGAAACAAACCCAAGAGAACCCAGAAACAAATCCATATGTCTACAGTGAATTCATTTTCGACAAAGGGGCCAAGAACATACACTGGGGAGAAGACAGTCTCTTCAATACATGGTGCTGGGAAAACTGAATATCAATATGCAGAAGAGTGGAACTAGACTCCTATATCTCACCATATACAAAAATCAAATAAAAATGGATTAAAGACTTAAAATTAAGACCTCAAGCTATGAAACTACTGCTAATACCATTCTTGATGCATAGGAGAGAACTCAATGCATTATACAACGGATGCCTCATGCCTGAGGACATTAGGGCTTAATTCTTTTCTGAAACCCCTGATTGAGAAAGGTTGCTAGAGTGCTGTCTACATGGATGAAGCAGGTGAAACCAACACTGTGTCTTCATTTCAGCACATGGAAAAGAGATAGAGCCCGGGAGAGGGCAAGTGATTTTTAAAAGTGGTACAGAAGTTGCACACATCACTTCCAATCACATTGCATTGTTGAAGAATTGGCCACACTTAGCTGCAAGGAAGACTGAGAAACATGTTCTCTAGTTAGATGGCCACATGCCTAAATAAAATTTATGAAGATGTTATTACTAAAAGAGCAAAGGGGGAAATGTCTGTCTGCCTCCTAAATGCCTCCTAAATGACCTAAATACAGCAATCCACAAACACGTTTGTTCCTCCATTGTCCCTGACTGTAGCCACCATACACTCAAGCTGGAGATAATGTCTGCTCTTATGAAGCTTATCTCTGGCAGTAGGGTAGGGGAAACAGGTAAGAACAAGTAACCCTGACAATATCCTTCAAGACACCAAGTTCAACTGTGCCTAAGCCAACCCTGGGCTTCCAAAATACATGAATAAACACATTCCATTTTTTTTTAATTAAGCCAATATTGGTTGGGTTTCCACCTTTTGCAACAAAATGAGTCCTGACTAAAGATCAGCTCTATAGGCTTCTAGAATAAAATTGTGATCTCAACCAGCATTTTATTGTAAGTTAGGTACAGTACCAAGAAGCTTTCAAACATCTCTTTTAATCTGTATCACAACACCCTATTACTCATATGGCACATGTCACATAGTATTTTACATTTTTGCATAATATTTTACCTGTTTAGAGCCCATCTCTTTAATAGAAGAGAAATTCTATGGTGAGAAAGACCTTGTCTCTATCCTCAGGGTCTAACACAGAGCTCCTGGCACATAATAGTTGTTCAATAAATATTTGTTAAATGAACAAATGAATTCATGACTCTAAAGTCTATGCTTTTAATTCTTCTAGAATGTTTCCTTTCTAACATAATAACCATCCTATTTTGAAGATTTGGAATTATCTTATCCAGTCTACTCATCTAGTAGAAAAAGAAGCTGAAACCCAAAGCTCATATGTAGTTTTTCCAAAGACACAAAACAACTCTGTAAGATAGTGTCTATAGAAATGATTGTACACAGATGTTTTAATTACATACTTGTAAATAAAGTGATTTGTCTGAAATTACTGACTTCCTACTTTTACTTTTTATTACTGTGGCCATTCACATTTACAAGTCTCACCATTTCTGTGTCATTTCTACCTTTCCCAGTCATTAACTTCCTCATAATCATCATCTTCACTTTTCCCCCTTTTTTAAATTCAAGGACCATTCTGTTCTATCAATAAATTTTGAAATAAATAATTTCTCATATATTTTCATCTGATACTTCCAAACTTTCAGGAGCTCATATTGCATGAATCTAATGAAAAGCTAATTTTTTTATGATATGGCAGTCATTTATGATTTAAGATAATCCTTAATTCTAAGTAAAATATAATTGAGAAAAAAATACACTTTCCTTTTGAATAAGCACATCATAGGGAAAAAAAAAGCCAGGACTACAAACTAAGCAAGCACCAGCTGTTTGTTTTACATGATAAGTACTCACTACAATATATTAAGTAAGAAAAAGTATGTAAAATACTTTATTAGTAAGAATAACTTTTAAAAGTGGGAGAAAATGTAATTCTGCAGTGATTCAGCTTTTAATTCCTGATTTGGATCATTTGGAATCTCTCTCTCTCTCTCTCCCCCAATCTCTGTCTCCCACCCTTCCTGATTTCACCAGAGGTTTGTCAATTTTATCAGTCTTTAAAAAAACTTTTGACTTTGTTGATTCTCTGTTTTATATTTTATTAATTTTTGCTCTTGTTATTTGCTCCACTACTTACTTGTATATTTTTCTCTCCTTTTTCTAACATCATCATCAAATTTCAGCCTTTCCTCTTTTCTAATTAATTCATTTAAAGCTATGATTTGTATCTAGCTTTAGCTGTATCCCGCATGTTTTGATATATAATATTTTCATTATCATTCTGTTCAAAATACTTTCTCATTTGTATTCTGATTCTCTTTTGATTGTCAGTTGAAGTGTATTTTAAAATTTCAAAACATATAAGAATTTTCTAATTTTCAATTTGCTACTGGTGTTGTGGTCAAAGAACATACTTAATAAAATACTTAATATACTTAATACAGTATTTGAAATTTATAAATTTTTGTTTTAGCATGACATTTGGTTGTTTTTAAAAAATGTTTCATATGAGCCTCAAAAGATTATAAATTCTGCATTTCTTCAAAAGGATATGAATTTTTATATATCTAAATATGAATTTATATACATAAATACATATATATTGTTGTGTTATTGAAATCTTAAATAACTTTACTAATTTTTCTGACTTTCCCATCAACTTTTGAAAGATGTATGTTAAAATTTCCCATCATGATATTTATTTATCTATTTCCCTTTGGGGAAAGGAGGCCTATATACATAGAAACATAAAATCTTAAAATTGCTAAATTCTCATGTTGAATTAAACCTTTTATCATTGTGCACTATCCCAATTCATTTCTAGTAATGCACCAACTTAATGTCTAATTTGTCTGACATTGATATATCAGCCATTACTCAAAAGAAAATGCAAAATAATGCCAGGGTTTTTTGGTTAGTATTTGGCTAACATACATTTCTTTCGTCTTTGGCTTTTGGTCTTTCCTTAACCTTAATTTTTAGATGTGCATTTTTTCAACAGCATATAAATGGTTTTTGTCTTTTATCCAAGCTGACAATCTTTATATTTTAACTGGAGCATCTAGTCATTTACATTTAATAGAATTACTGGTACATTAGGATAAATGTACCATTTTATTCTATGCTATCCATTTGTGGTGTTTGCTTTATCATGCCTTCTTCCTTTTCTTCTTTGAATCAAACATGTATTTTCATTACATTGCTTCCCCACTATGACTTTGAAATGAATACCCTCTTTCTCTTATATAGTATTTATCTATCCATTAAAACATATATATGAAACTTTCACAAATTGTAAAAATAATTAATAACTTTAATCCAAGACATTACAAGTACTTAGAATGGATTCCTTTCATTTACTTATGTTCCAATTTATATGCTACTGATACGTGTTTTATCGTTTTAATCCCTCAAGACATTAATACTATTGTTTAGCACAATGTTTGCTTAAATTTACCCAAATATTTAACACTTCCTAAGCCTTTCCTTTCTTTTTGCATTTTAGACTTTCTATTAGAGTGTGTTTTTCTTCTGCTTGGGTGTATCTTGTAGAATTTCTTTTAGTAGGGTTCCATAGGTGTCAAAATCTCTTTTTGTCTGAAAATGACATTATTTTACCTTCATTCTTGATAGTTTTGTAGAAAACTTTGTAGAAAATTTTAGTTGGCGGTTGTTTTCTTACAGTACACTGAAAACATTTCCTCGTCTTCTGACTTTTGTTGTTAAGACTACTGTCATTTCTGTGACATTGCTTTGAAGAGTTTTTCTTTTTTTTTTATTATACTTTAAGTTCTAGGGCACATGTGCACAACGTGGAGGTTTGTTACATATGTATACATGTGCCATGTTGGTGTGCTGCACCCATTAACTTGTCATTTACATTAGGTATATCTCCTAATGCTATCCCTCCCCCTCTCCCCGCCCTACGACAGGCCCAGGTGTGTGATGTTCCCCTTCCTGTGTCCAAGTGTTCTCATTGTTCCATTCCCACCTATGAGTGAGAACATGTGGTGTTTGGATTTTTGTCCGTGTGACAGTTTGCTGAGAATGATGGTTTCCAGCTTCAACCATGTCCCTACAAAGGACATGAGCTCACCCTTTTTTATGGCTGCATAGTATTCCATGGTGTATATGTGCCACATTTTCTTAATCCAGTCTATCATTGATGGACATTTGGGTTGGTTCCAAGTCTTTGCTATTGTGAATAGTGCCGCAGTAAACATACGTGTGAATGTGTCTTTATAGCAGCATGATTTATAATCCTTCGGGTATATACCCAGTAATAGGATGGCTGGGTCAAATGGTATTTCTAGTTCTAGATCCTTGAGGAATTGCCACACTGTCTTCCACAATGGTTGAACCAGTTTACAGTTCCACCAACAGTGTAAAAGTGTTCCTATTTCTCCACGTCCTCTCCAGCACCTGCTGTTTCCTGACTTTTTAATGATCGCCATTCTAACTGGTGTGACATGGTATCTCATTGTCGTTTTGATTTGCATTTCTCTGATGGCCAGTGATGATGAGCATTTTTTCATGTGTCTGTTGGCTGCATAAATGTCTTATTTTGAGAAGAGTCTGTTCATATCCTTTGCCCACTTTTTGATGGGGTTGTTTGTTTTTTTCTTGTAAATTTGTTTGAGTTCTTTGTAGATTCTGGATATTAGCCCTTTGTCAGATGAGCAGATTGCAAAAATTTTCTCCCATTCTGTAGGTTGCCTGTTCACTCTGATGGTAGTTTCTTTTGCTGTGCAGAAGCTCTTTAATTAGATCGTATTTGACAATATTAGCTTTTGTTGCCATTGCTTTTATGTTTTAGTCTTGAAATCCTTGCCCATGCCTCTGGCCTGAATGGTATTGCCTGGTTTTCTTCTAGGGTTTTTATGGTTTTAGGTTTAACGTTTAAGTCTTTAATTCATCCTGAATTAATTTTTGTATAAGGTGTAAGGAAGGGATCCAGTTTCAGCTTTCTACATATGTCTAGCCAGTTTTCCCACCACCATTAGTTAAATAGGGAATCCTCTCCCATTTCTTGTTTTTGTCCAGTTTGTCAAAGATCAGATAGTTGTAGATGTGTGGTATTATTTCTGAGGGCTCTGTTCTGTTCCATTGGTCTATATCTCTATTTTGGTACCAGTACCATGCTGTTTTGGTTACTGTAGCCTTGTAGTATAGTTTGAAGTCAGGTAGCGTGATGCCTCCAGCTTTGTTCTTTTGGCTTAGGATTGTCTTGGCAATGCAGGCTCTTTTTTGGTTCCATATGAACTTTAAAGTAGATTTTTCCAATTCTGTGAAGAAAGTTATTGGTAGCTTGATGGGGATGGCATTAAATCTGTAAATTACATTGGGCAGTATGGCCATTTTCACAATATTGATTCTTCCTATCCATGAGCATGGAATGTTCTTCCATTTGTTTGTGTCCTCTTTTATTTTGTGGAGCAGTGGTTTGTAGTTCTCCTTGAAGAGGTCCTTCACATCCCTTGTAAGTTGGATTCCTAGGTATTTTATTCTCTTTGAAGCAAGTGTGAATGGGAGTTCACTCATGATTTGGCTCTCTGTTTGTCTGTTATTGGTGTATAAGAATGCTTGTGATTTTTGCACATTGATTTTTTTATCCTGAGACTTTGCCAAAGTTGCCTATCAGCTTAAGGAGATTTTGGGCTGAGATGATGGGATTTTCTAAATATACAATCATGTCATCTGCAAACAGGGACAATTTGACTTCCTCTTTTCCTAACTGAATATCCTTTATTTCTTTCTCCTGCCTAATTGCCCTGGCCAGAACTTTCAACACTGTGTTGAATAGGAGTTGTGAGAGAGCACATCCCTGTCTTGCACCAGTTTTCAAAGGGAATGCTTCCAGTTTTTGTCCATTCAGTATGATATTGACTGTGGGTTTGTCATAAATAGCTCTTATTATTTTGAGATACATCCATCAATGCCTAATTTATTGAGAGTTTTTAGCATGAAGCGCTGTTGAATTTTGTCAAAGGCCTTTTCTGCATCTATTGAGATAATCATGTGGTTTTTGTCTTTGGTTCTGTTTACATGCTGGATTACGTTTATTGATTTGCATATGTTGAACCAGCCTTGCATCCCAGGGATGAAGCCCACTTGATCATGGTGGATAAGCTTTTTGATGTATTGCTGGATTCAGTTTTCCGGTATTTTATTGAGGATTTTTGCATCGATGTTCATCAGGGATATTGGTCTAAAATTCTCTTTTTTTTGTTGTGTCTCTGCCAGGCTTTGGTATCAGGATGATGCTGGCCTCATAAAATGAGTTAGGGAGGATTCCCTCTTTTTCTATTGATTGGAATAGTTTCAGAGGGAATGGTACCAGCTCTTCGTTGTACCTCTGGTAGAATTCAGCTGTGAATCCATCTGGTCCTAGACTTTTTTTGATTGGTAAGCTATTAATTATTGCCTCAATTTCAGAGCCTGTTACTGGTCTATGCAGGGATTCAACTTCTTCCTTGTTTAGTCTTGGGAGAGTGTATGTGTCCAGGAATTTATGCATTTCTTCTAGATTTTCTAGTTTATTTGCATAGAGGGCTTTATAGTATTATCTGATGGTAGTTTGTATTTCTGTGGGATCAGTGGTGATATCTCCTTTATGATTTTTTATTGTGTGTATTTGATTCTTCTCTCTTTTCTTCTTTAATAGTCTTGCTAGAGGTCTATCAATTTTGTTGATCTTTTCAAAAAACCAGCTCCTGGATTCATTGATTTTTTGAAGGGATGTTTGTGTCCCCAACTCCTTCAGTTCTCCTCTGATCTTAGTTATTTCTTGTCTTCTGCTAGCTTTTGAATGTGTTTGCTCTTGCTTCCCTAGTTCTTTCAATTGTGATGTTAGGGTGTCAATTTTAGATCTTTTGTGCTTTCTCTTGTGGGCATTTAGTGCTATAAATTTCCCTCTACACACTGCTTTAAATGTGTCCCAGAGATTATGGTATGTTGTGTGTTTGTTCTCATTGGTTTCAAAGAACATCTTTATTTCTGCCTTCATTTTGTTATGTATCCAGTAGTCATTCAGGAGCAGATTGTTCAGTTTCCATGTAGTTGAGCAGTTTGGAGTGAGTTTCTTAATCCTGAGTTCTAGTTTGATCGCACTGTGGTCTGAGAGACAGTTTGTTATAATTTCTCTTCTTTTATATTCGCTGAGGAGTGCTTTACTTCCAACTATGTGGTCAATTTTAGAATAAGTGCAATGTGGTGCTGAGAAGAATGTATATTCTGTTGATTTGGGGTGGAGACTTCTGTAGATGTCTATTAGATCTGCTTGGTGCAGAGCTGAGTTCAATTCCTGGATATCCTTGTTAACTTTCTGTCTCTTTGGTCTGTCTAATGTTGACAGTGGGGTGTTAAAGTCTCCCATTATTATTGTGTGGGAGTCTAAGTCTCTTCGTAGGTCTCTAAGGACTTGCTTTATGAAACTGGGTGCTCCTGTATTGGGTGCATAGATATTTAGGATAGTTAGCTCTTCTTGTTGAATTGATCCCTTTACCATTATGTAATGGACTTCTTTGTCTCTTTTGATCTTTGTTGATTTAAAGTCTGTTTTATCCAAGACTAGGATTGCAACCCCTGCCTTTTTTTGTTTTCCATTGGCTTGGTAGATCTTCCTCCATCCCTTTATTTTGAGCCTATGTGTGTCTCTGCACATGAGATGAGTCTCCTGAATACAGCACACTGATGGGTCTTGACTCTTTATCCAATTTGCTAGGCTGTGTCTTTTAATTGGAGCATTTAGTCCATTTACATTTAAGGTTATATTGTTATGTGTGAATTTGATCCTGTCATTATGATGTTAGCTGGTTATTTTGCTCATTAGTTGATGCAGCTTCTTCCTAGCATCCATGGTCTTTAGAATTTGGCCTGTTTTTGCAGTGGCTGGTACCGGTTGTTCCTTTCCATGTTTAGTGCTTCCTTCAGGAGCTCTTGTAGAGCAGGCCTGGTGGTGACAAAATCTCTCAGCATTTGCTTGTCTGTAAAGGATTTTATTTCTCCTTCACTTATGAAGCTTAGTTTGGCTGGATATGAAATTCTGGGTTGAAAATTCTTCTCTTTAAGAATGTTGAATATTGGCCCCCACTCTCTTCTGGCTTGTAGAGTTTCTGCCAAGTGATCCACTGTTAGTCTGATGGGCTTCCCTTTGTGGGTAACCCAACCTTTCTCTCTGGCTGCCCTTAATATATTTTCCTTCATTTCAACTTTGGTGAATCTGACAGTTACGTGTCTTGGAGTTGCTCTTCTCGAGGAGTATGTTTCTTTGTCTCTATTTCTCTATAGTTTTGCTACAATATATCTAAATGTATAATTCTTTTAATTTATCCTGCTTAGGATTTCTTGGTATTCTGCAAATGTAATTTATCATCTTTCATCTGCTTTGAGTAGTCTTAATAATTATTTTTTAAATATTACCTATATCCCATTCCTTTTCTTCTTAAAGGGAAATTCTAAAGCATTCTAAAGAATTACAGAGCATTTCTGTTAAATATAAATTATTTTTCTGAATTGAATGCTCCATAACTTACCTTCTTTCATGTTTTTCCTCTTTTTATTCCTCCATGCTATGCTACATACATGAAATTTTCTTCTGATTAGTCTTCCAGTTCATTAATATTCCCTTTAGCTATGCCTATTGTTTAACATGTTATAAAGGTTCTAATTTTAGCAATTTTAATTTTTATATTGATATCCCTTTTAACATTACCTATATCCTGCAGATGGCCTTCAAATTCTTCTCTAATTTGTTTAAGAATAATACTAGTTTCAAGTTTTTCTCTAATTTATTTAAGCATAATCTGTTTTTGATCATTTTAGTTAATAAGGTCTTTTTCTCTATCTGTCTGTTGTCTGTTATTAGGTTGTCCCTAATGTGTTCTGATTTTTTTGTATGCCTGGCTATCTTTGTGGTCATTATGCCTTAAAAGTTATTTGTATGAATACTCTGTGGTCTAGAATGAATGTCCTTTCTCCAAAGAGCACTTGTCTGCTTCTGCCCCATGCCTGCTGAACTAACATTATCAGGAACAACTTAATTTAAATTCAAGATTTGCAGTTTTATTCAAGCCTGAATGATTTGACTTGGTCTTCAATGCCATGAGAGGTTTAGTCTACATCCAATTCACTATCATAATAAGAGTAGAGTTTTTCAAATTCTCAGCTAATTTTTCAGCTACATTACCTATCTTAATGCAAGTCTGGTTTTACTTCTGTCCTCACATCTCATAAAGCCATCAAAACAAAAGTTCAAATTTGTCAGTCTCAGTGAATTACCTCAGGACTAGCTTCCAGATGCTCATGCAATTTTTCTGCGTTGCTGTTCTCTTGCAATGTTAACTTAGTACTTTCTCAGCTCTATAATATATCTATGAAGACGTGAATATATCCTATTATATCCTATATTCTAAAGAATAAATATTAATAAATAAATATTACATATATGTGTGTACATGTATGTATACATATATAATCAATTATATATAATCTATGTATAAGATTTTATACATAGATCTTATATATAATTATTTTATAAGTTTAAAAAATAAATTATCATATATTTAATATATTCATTTTAGCTGTTTTTACTGAGACAGCTGGTCCAAGCAACCAAGCCTGACATTGCTGGAAATAGAATATATCTGGCATATCTGGCAAAGTCTAAAGGAAGGAGAGAAGCAGGGTTCAAAATCCTGGCCTTCTGGGCAAACTGTCAAACTTGTCTGTACTTTGGTTACTAAATAAGTTTGTTGTAAAGATTGAGTGAGATGAGTAATGTACCATATACATCACAATGTCTGGCATAGAATAGTTGCCTTTTTCCTTTTATTATCACATTAAATGACTTGATTTGAAGGCTTTTTAATGGGGGAAGGTCAGCACATGTTTTGTGAGAGCAAATGTTGGGTAAAAGGAAAGGTTTGAGGTGGTAAGCTGTGTGAAAATCAAAGACAATAAGGAAATGAGGTTGCTGAAAACAAATTTTTATTACTTTGAGCTATAATAAATATGGGATATCTAGCATGCTTAAATGAATGGTAATTTTATTTCCTTTTGTCTGCCTGTATAATTAATTTCTGTCTTTATGACCCAGTTCAAATGTCACCTCAAACCCAAAATGCTCATTGAATGGATGAGAGTCTTTTCTGTGGAAAAAAAAATATTGCAATGCCTTGGAAAATGTTTGGAAACACTCATCGCTGTATAATTTCCCTCAGTTTTATACTTTAGGCTTCCATTTCATGTTGCCAGCTATAAAAGAAATAAGTTTAGCTGTGTAGTACAACATAGCAGGATCTGAGTAAACCAAGATTGGTCTTGAACTTTCCCCACTCTCAGACCTACCCACCTTTAGCATTCCAGAGCAATGAGGCTATTTTTAAATCTCTCAGGGAAGGTGCTACAATTTTTCTCAGTCCAACTGCCCTTTCTGTCCAAAATCCTTCCTCACATGTCAGTTCACTCCTTTCTGAAACTACAGAGCTAGATGAAACATGTTTGGAGTTTTACATTTTTAAAAGTCCAATTGCTAGACTCTCAAGGTTATTTTAAGGCATCTGTTGTAACTATTTTCAATTACAGAGTCTCTTTT
This sequence comes from Homo sapiens, assembly GCF_000001405.40. NCBI lineage: Eukaryota > Metazoa > Chordata > Mammalia > Primates > Hominidae > Homo > Homo sapiens. Next base: position 61,186,701 of record NC_000008.11, on the reverse strand, counting down.
TCTCTCTCCCTCTCTCCCTCCCTTCCTCTCTCCCTCCCTTCTTTTGTCTTCTCTTTCTTTCCTTCTTCAAATAGTTATAGTGCCCATTCTTCATTGTTCTCGTATATACTTTCCACCTAGCAAAACCACAAGGGTGGGTCATGGGAGGAAAGGCAGTTTGATTGGCCCTGATTCCAAAAGAGCATTTATCTGTCACTTTCTTCCCTCTCTCATCCCTTCAAGTTCACACATCCCAATGCATCCTGAGACACTTGGCCTCACCTGTCTTTCCTTCTCAATGTTTGCAGTGCTTCAGGTATGCAGAGAAGGAATGAAAATTGCACCTTCTCTTGAGGGGGGCTGCAACTGCATTACATTTTTATTTCATTATGTGCCCCTGACCAGCTACAGAGATATGACATCAGTTTATTCAGCTGAAAGTTTTAATCTTGCAGAAAGTAAATGCCAGCTGCAGACAGCACCTTTTTCCCATTTGCCCTTACTTGATTTTCTTCTTCAATTCCAAGCACATTTATGGTAATAAGTTAACCTATCTGCGTACTCTCTGTGACCCTTTTCCCCACAGGCCATGCAGTGTTGGCATGAGATGTCAGAGAGACATAAATTCTTGTTACAGAGATTTCTAGTGGAAGGTAGGAAGCATCCTCCCCTACCCCTGTTAGCCCTGAAGAACAGCCTTGCTTACTCTGTCCTTATCTCCATGGCGTATACAGAACCGGGTTATGGCTGTCATATTTCAAGTGGCAACTAGGGAGGAAACAAGATTTGGAAACATGGCAGTAATACCAACGGCTAACATTTGTATAGCCTTTACACCTTGCAAAAGGCTTTTGTATTTGCCCATTAAATTATCATGGTCCTTCTGGAAGCTAGGTGTTTTTATTTTGATTGTCATTTTACAAATGAAGAAACTGAGCCCTGAAAAGATATTACTAATAGCCTAAGACTATACCACAAGTAAATGACTGTCTGGTTGCCAAAACCAAGATTTCTGGCTCCAGAACCCAAAGTCTTAGTATTTAAATACTAAAATATATACATATGCTTTGTTCTAATGTGTAGAATTCCTAATAATTTATTATTTTAAAAAGTCAGAAATATACATAAAGTTTATTTACAGAAATTTTCAGTACAATGTGGAAATGTGATATAGCTACAAGCTAACATTTAAAAATAGAAGATAATGTAAAAAATATTAGGCTGCATTTGTAAGACGTGATACAGTATAGCCATTAAAACTGAATTCTTAACTGAGAGTGGTGGTTCATGCCTATAATTCCAGGACTTTTGGAGGCCGAGGCGGGAGGATAGCTTGAAGCCAGGAGTTGAAGACCAGCCTGGGCAACATGGCAAAACCCCAACTGTACAAAAAAATGCAAAAAAAAAAAAAAAATTAGCCGGGCATGGTGGTGTGTGCTTGTAATCCTAGCTACTTGAGAGGTTGAGGTAGGAGGATCCCTTGAGCCCAGGGGTCAACGCTTCAGACAGCGTAACGCTGCCACTGCACTCTAGCCTGGCTGATGGAGCAAGATCTTGTCACAAAAAACAAAAACAAAAACTATACTCTCTAATGGCATTTAAGCATAATTGTTATATACCATTAAATAAAAATTAAAATAGATTACAAATCTATACATAGTATGATTCCAATTTTGGAAAATATGTGTCTAGAAAAAAACCTAAAACCATTATATACACACATGTAAACATAAATATACACACATATATTCACGAAAATATTGTAGGTAGTATTTTCTTATTCTTCTGTGAACTTTAAAAATTATATGTTATGAATGCATATTAATTTTATCAGCAAAGAAAAACAATAAAATGATTTTTCAAATGTTTATCAGATAATACCATTCTTTCTGAGTACTTCCTTACTCCTCTAGGGATCTATTTATTCTAACGGTCTGCTATCACTTGCATTTGTGGATATTTTGTATACCCCAGCTGTGCAAAATCCTCCCCTCTTCTCTCTCACCCAGGTAACTTCCTGGCATCTTTTGTTTGGCGGTGGGATGGTGGGGTGCAGGGAAAGATAATGAGGAAATTCAGTTTCCGTTTTGCTGGCTCTCCAGCCTACCGTTTTCTCTCTAGGCAGCTGATCCCCAGTGAAGACAGTCTAGTGCCCCACAGGGAGGGCTGAGGCTCCTGCCACTGCTTCTCCGCTACAGCCTTCCCTTAACCCCTTGCACCCCACATAAAACGAATTGAAGTTTGCTTCTGTGCCATTTCAGAGGATCTACTGTGCCTCCCACGCCTGGTAGAAGCAGTGCTGTGAGTGAGGCTAGGTCTTTTTCTTGTACATATATTGCCTCATCCTCACTGCATAGGAAGAAAGTCCTGACAGGATTAAGCCTTTGGAAAGTTGATATCTGCACAAATGCTCACTTTCTCCTCTCCTTCATGTCCATCCTCTTACCCTAGACTCCTACTTCCAATGCCTCGGTTGGGTGTCCTGACTCCCCGCTCTCCATGCGAGGAAGAGGTTCCTTCCACTCCTTGATCCTTCTTCTTGTTTTCTACAAACTACCAAGTTTCTCAAGTTTGGGCTGGAGGCTAATGAAATTTTTCCTTTGGTTAGTTGAAAGGGGTCAAGTAGGTTCTGGCATTATTAAGGGGTCAGCAGGGGGTTGTCAGTGCTCCTTATTCCAGTTCAATCTCCCCACCTGGAAGCTGTAGCTGATTTTCTTGGAAGTTGCCTAGGAAGCTGGCACACTTCCCTACAGCAGACATTACTTTTTCCGAAACAACACGTTATATTCTTATATGAGGAAAACACATCTTCCCATTAGCATGTCTTTTATTATACCCTAACGTTGCTCTGCTAAGGGTCATCTGATTTTGTCCTGAGCTTGTCATATGCATCAAGAAAGATAGCTGTGAGTGGCTTCTACTTACTCATTCGGGGTGGGGGAGTATTAGATTCAATTAAGTTTTCTCTAATATTCAAATCTCTTCCTTAATAGAGTGAGAAATAGGAGTTGCAAATGCTAAGAGGAAGAAAACATCCTTATTTCTGAAGGTCTGATTCTGCCTGAGGCTTCTTCCTTGGGGGCTATTAGTGTGGCTTCTCTGTGGGATCTGCCAACCTTTCTCTATCAGGTAGGACTTGCTGCATAACAAACCACCCCAAAATTCAGCTGCGTGTAACAACACCATTTATTCACCTCCGCTCTCAGGATGCAGAGAAGAGATAAAAAAAATTAACTGTCTGACAAAGAGTTGGTTGAGATAACAAATATGACAGGAAACTCAGGACAAATTTACAATGTCATCTGATCATCATTAAAAGCCAATAGTGAAAATTCAGAGGATATACTTACAGTTACATAATCTTTAATTAATAGAAGAGTCTTACTTTTTTAAATTTTTATTTTACTTTAAGTTCTGGGATACATGTGCAGCACATGCAGGTTTGTTACACAGGTAAACGTGTGCCATGGTGGTTTGCTGAACCTATGAACCCATCATCTAGGTTTTAAGCCCCTCATGCATTAGCTATTTGTCCTGATGCTCTCCCTCCACTTGTGCCTGCCCCCCTCCGCCCTGCCCACAGGCCCTGGTGTGTGTTGTTCCCCTCCCTGTGCCCATGTGTTCTCATTGTTCAACTCCCACTTATGAGTGAGAACATGCGATGTTTGGTTTTCTGTTCCTGTGTTAGTTTGCTGAGGATGATGGCTTCCAGCTTCATCCATGTCCCTGCAAAGGACATGATCTCATTCCTTTTTATGACTGCATTGTATTTCGTGGTGTATATGTACCACATTTTTTTATCCAGTCTATCATTGATGGGCATTAGGGTTGGTTCCATGTCATTGCTATTGTAAATAGTGCTGCAATAAACATACATGTGCATGTATCTTTATAGTAGAATAACTTATAATCCTTTGGGTATATACCTGGTAATGGGATTGCTGGGTCAAATGATATTTCTAGTTCAAGATCCTTGAGGAATAGCCACACTATCTTCCACAATGATTGAACTAATTTACATTCCACAGCCTCGTCAGCATCTGTTGTTTCTTGACTTTTTAATAATCGTCATTGTGACTGACGTGAGACGGTATCTCGCTGGGGTTTTGATTTGCATTTCTCTAATGATCAGTGATGTTGAGCTTTTTTTCATGTTTGTTAGCCACATAAATGTCTTCTTTGAGAAGAGTCTGTTCATATTCTTTGCCCACTTTTGGATGGGGTTGTTTGTTTTTTTCTCATAAATTTGTTTAAGGTCCTTGTAGATTCTGGATATTAGACCTTTGTCAGATGGGTAGATTGCAAAAATTTTCTCTCATTCTGTAGGTTGCCTTTTCACTCTGATGATAGTTTCTTTTGCTGTGCAGAAGCTCTTTAGTTTAATTATATCCCATTTGTCAATTTTACCTTTTGTTGCAGTTGCTTTTGGCGTTTTCATCATGAAATCTTTGCCCATGCCCATGTCCTGAATGGTATTGCCTGGGTTTTCTTCTAGGGTTTTTATGGTTTTGGGTTTTGCATTTAAGTCTTTAATCCATCTTGAGTTAATTTTTGTATAAGGTGTAAGGAAGGGGTCCAGTTTTCATTTTCTGCATATGGCTAGGCAGTTTTCCCAGCACTATTTATTAAAAAGGGAATCATTTCCCCCAGCATTATTTATTAAATAGGGAATCCTTTCCCCATTGCTTGTTTTTGTCAGGTTTGTCAAAGATCAGATGGTTGGGCAGGACACGGTGGCTCACGCCTGTAATCCCAGCACTTTGGGAGGCTGAGGCGGGTGGATCACGAGGTCAGGAGATCGAGACCATCCTGGCTAACACAGTGAAACCCCATCTCTACTAAAAAATACAAAAAAATTAGCCGGGCACAGTGGCGGGCACCTGTAGTCCCAGCTACTCGGGAGGCTGAGGCAGGAGAATGGCAGGATCCTGGGAGGTGGAGTTTGCAGTGAGCAGAGATCACGCCACTGCACTCCAGCCTGGGAGACAGAGCGAGACTCCATCTCAAAAAAAAAAAAAAAAAAAAGATCAGATGGTTGTAGATGTGTGGTATAATTTCTGGGGTCTCTGTTCTGTCCATTGCTCTATATGTCTGTTTTGGTACCAGTACCACGCTGTTTTGGTTACTGTAGGCTTATAGTATAGTTTGAAGTCAGGTAGCATGATGCCTTCAACTTTCTTCTTTTTGCTTAGAATTGTCTTGGCTATACAGGTTCTTTTTTGGTTTTATATGAAATTTAAAATAGTTCTTTCTAATTCTGTGAAGAACATCAATGATAGTCTGATTGGAATAGCATTGAATTGATAAATTACTTTGGACAATATGGCCATTTTCATGATATTGATTCTTTCTATCCAAGAGGATGGAATGTTTTTCCATTTGTTTGTGTTCTCTCTTATTTCCTTGAGCAGTGGTTTGTAGTTCTTGAAGAGGCCTTTTATGTCCCTTGTTAGCTGTATTCCTAGATATTTTATTTTCTTTGCAGCAATTGTAAATGGGAGATCACTCATGATTTGGCTGTCTGCTTGTCTATTGTTGGTGTATAGGAATACTTGTGATTTCTGCACATTGATTTTGTATCCTGAGACTTTGCCGAAGTTGCTTATCAACTTAAGGAGTATTTGGGCTGAGACTATGGAGTTTTCCCAATATAGAATCATGTCATCTGCAGAGATAATTTGACTTCCTCTCTTCCTATTCAAATACATTTATTTCTTTCTCTTGCCTTATTGCCCTGGCCAGAACTTCCAATGTTATGTTGAATAGGAGTGGTGAGAGGGGACATCCTTGTCCTGTGCTGGTTTTCAAAGGGAATGCTTCCAGGTTTTACCCATTCAGTATGATATTGGCTGTTGGTTTGTCATAAACAGCTCTTATTATTTTGAGATATGTTCCATCAATATGTAGTTTATTGAGAGTTTTTAATATGAAGCGATGTTGAATTTTATCAAAGGCCTTTTTTGCATCTATTGAGATAATCATATGGTTTCTGTCTTTGGTTCGTTTATGTGATGGATTACGTTTATTGATTTGCATATGTTGAACCAGACTTGCGTCACAGGGATGAAACCATCTTGATCATGGTGAATAAGCTTTTTGATGTACTTCTGGATTAGATTTGCCAGTATTTTATTGAGGATTTTTGCATTGATGTTCATCAAGGATATTGGCCTGAAGTTTTATTTTTTTGTTGTCTCTTTGTCAGGTTATGGTATCAGGATGATGCTGGCTTCATAAAATTAGTGATGGAGGAATCTCTCCTTTTCAATTTTTTGCAGTAGTTTCAGTAGGAATGGTACCAGCTCTTCTTTGTATCTCCAGTAGAGTTTGGCTGTGAATCCACCTGGTCCTGGGCTTTTTTAGTGGGTAGGCTATTAATTACTGCCTCAATTTCAGAATTTGTTATTAGTCTGTTCAGGGATTTGACTTCTTCCTAGTTTAGTCTTGGGAGGGTGTATGTGTCCAGGATTTTATCCATTTCTTCTAGATTTTCTAGTTTATTTGCATAGAGGTGTTTATAGTATTCTCTGATGGCAGTTTGTATTTCTCTGGGGTCAGTTATGATATCCCCTTTATCATTTTTTATTGTGTCCATTTGATTCTTCTCTCTCTTCTTCTTTATTAGTCTACCTAGTGGTCTATCTATTTTGTTAATTTTTTCAAAAAACCAGCTCCCGGATTCATTGATTTTTTGGAGGGTTTCTCATGTTTCTATTTCCTTCAGGACTGCTTTGATCTTAGTTATTTCTTGTCTTCTGCTAACTTTTGGATTTGTTTGCTCTTGCCTCTCTAGTTCTTTTAATTATGAAGTTAGGGTGTTGATTTGAGATCTTTCTAGCTTTCTGATGTGGGCATTTAGTGTTATAAATTTCCTCTTAACCCTGCTTTATCTGTCTCAGAGATTCTGGTATATTGCCTCTTTGTTCTCATTGGTTTCCAAGAACGTCTTGATTTCTAACTTAATTTCATTATTCACCCAGGAGTCCTTCAGGAGCAGGTTGTTCAATTTCCATGTAGTTGTGTGGTTTTGAGTAAGTTTCTTAATCCTGAGTTCTAATTTGATTGCACTGTGGTCTGAGACACTGTTTGTTATTATTTCAGTTCTTTTGCATTTGCTGAGAAGTATTTTGCTTCCAATTATGTGGTTGATTTTAGAATAAGTTCCATGTGGCACTGAGAAGAATGTATATTCTCTTGATTTGGGGTGGAGAGTTCTGTAGATATCTATTAAGTCGACTTTATCCAGAGCTGAGTTCAAGTCCTGAATATCCTTGTTAACTTTCTGTCTTGTTGATCTGTCTAATATTGACAGTGGGGTGTTAAAGTCTCCCACTATTATGGTGGGGGAGTCTAAGTCTCTCTGTAGGTCTCTAAGAACTTGTTTTATGAATCTTGGTGCTCCTGTATTGGATGCATATATATTTAGGATAGCTCTTCTTGTTGAATTGATTCCTTTACCATTATGTAATGCCCTTCTTTGTCTTTTCTGATCTTTGTTGGTTTAAAGTCTGTTTTTCCATAAATTAGGATTGCAACCCCTGCTTTTTTTTCTTTCCATTTGCTTGCCAAATTTTCCTCTATCCCTTTATTTTGAGCCTATGTGTGTCTTTGCATGTGAGATGGGTTTCTAAAACACAGCACACCAATGGGTCTTGACCCTTTATCCAATTTGCCAGTCTTTCTCTTTTAATTGGAGCATTTAGCCTATTTACATTTAAGGTTAGTATTCTTTTGTGTGAATTTGATCCTTTCATCATGATGCTAGCTGGTTATTTTGCACATTAGTTGATGCAGTTTATTCATAGTGTCATTGGTTTTTATATTTTGGTGTGTTTTTGCAGTGGTGGATACTGGTTTTTCCTTTCCATATTTAGTGATTTTTTTCAGGAGCTCTTGCAAGCCAGACCTGGTGGTGATGAAATCCCTCAGCATTTGCTTGTCTGGAAAGGATTTTATTTCTTTGGCTTATGAAGCTTAGTTTGTCCGGATATGAAATTCTGTGTTGAAAATTCTTTTCTTTAAGAATGTTGAATATTGGCCCTCACTCTCTTCTGGCTTGTAGGGTTTCTGCTGACAGATCTGCTGTTACTCTGATGGGCTTCCCTTTGTAGGTGACCTGGCCTTTCTCTCGGGCTGCCCTTAACATTTTTTCCTTCATTTCAACCGTGGAGAATCTGATGATTATGTGTCTTGGCGTGGATCTTCTCGTGGAATATCTTAGTGTTGTTCTCTGTATTTCCTGAATTTGAATGTTGGCCTGTCTTACTAGGTTGGGGAAGTTCTCCTGGATAATACCCTGAAGTGTGTTTTCCAGCTTGGTTCTATTCTTCCCATCTCTTGCAGTTACTCCAATCAATCATAGGTTTGGTCTTTTTACATAGCCCCAAATTTCTTGGTGGTTTTGTTCATTCATTTTTATTCTTTTTCTCTAATTTTGTCTGCCTGCTTTATTTCAGCAGGATAGTCTTCAATCTCTGATATTCTTTCTTCCACTTGATCTACTCAGCTATTGATACTTGCGTATGCTTCAAGATGTTCTTGTGCTGTGTTTTTCAGCTCCATGAGGTCATTTATGTTCCTCTCTAAACTGATTATTCTAGTTAGCAGCTCCTGTAACCTTTTATCAAGGTTCTTAGCTTCTTTGCGTTGAGTTAGAGCATGTTCCTTTACCTTGGCAGAATTTTTTTATTACCCACCTTCTGAAGCCTACTTCTGTCAATTCGTCCATCTCATTCTCCATACAGTTCTGCACCCTTACTGGAGAGGTGTAGTGATTATTTGGAGGAGAAGAGGCACTCTGGCCTTTTGGGTTTTCAGCATTTTTTCATTGATTCTTTCTCATCTTCAAGAGTTTGTCTAGTCGATCTTTGAGGCTGCTGACCCTTGGATGAGGTTTTTGTGGGGACTTTTTTTTTTTTTTGATGCTGTTGTTGTTTCTTTCCGTTGTGTTTGTTTTTCTTTCAATAGTCAGGTCCCTCTTCTGTAGGGCTGTGCAGTTTGCTAGGGGTTCCCTTCTGTCCCTATTCTTCTGGTTCACTCCCATGCCTGGAGATGTCACTTGAGGAGGCTGGGGAACAGCAAAAATGGGTGCCTGCTCCTTCCTCTGGAATCTCTGACCTTGAGGGGCGCCAACTTGATGCCAGTAGGAAAGCTCCTGTATAGGGTGTCTGACAACCCCTGTTGGAGGGTCTCACCCAGTTGGGTGGCATAGGAAGCAGGACCCATTTAACAAAGCACTTTGATTGTCCCTCGGTGGAGAGGGTGTGCCGCACTGGGGGGAATCTTACTCGTCTGGGCTGATGGATTCCTCAGAGCTAGCAGAAGGAAAGACTAATTATGCTGGTCCATGGAGACTATGGCCACCCCTCCTGCTAGTGGCTCAGGCCCAGTGAGATCAGAGTTCTGACCCTGAGCCCCTGGCTGCAGTTGAAGTTCCTGCAGGGAGGCCCTGCCCAGTGAGGAGAAATGGGCCAGTGTCCGGCCTGAAGAGGCACTCTGGCCACAGTCTGCCACAGCCGGTGTGTTGGGCTGTGGGGAATACCTCTTGGGACCAAGAGGTCCATTATCCTTGGCTCCAGCAGGGGAAAAGTGTTGCCTGGAGCCATAGAAATGGCTGCCGCCATTCCTTTGCCCCCCCGCCCCGCCCCCTCGCCACTCCGGGAGCTTAGTGTGTTAGGCAGCTAGCAGCCCCAGTGTTGGCTGCCACACCTCCCGCAAGGAACTCAGATGGCTTAGACAGCAGGCAGCTGGGCTGTGGTGCTGGCCACCACTCCCCCTGGGAACTCAGCAGACTTAGGCAGATTCTAGTCAAGTGGCTGTTCTGAATCTGAGTGGCTCCGTGATTGGGATCCTAGGCTCCAATGGTGTGGGCTCATGAGTGGGATCTTTCAATCTGTGGGTTGCACAGATCCGTGGAAAAGGCACGGTTTCCCAGGCTGGGTAGCAAGCTAACTTATCACCTCCCTTGGCTGAGGGGTGAGGGCTCCCCCGCCTCATGTGGCTCTCCCGTGGGCTGCCGCACAACACTGCTCTTCCTTCCTCTCCATGGGTCATGCCAGCCACCTAGTCAGTCCTGAGACAGAACCTGGATACTTGGTTGCCAGTGCAGGATTCGCACACTCTTTTGATTCTTTTCAATGTGAGCCTCTGACCACCACTGCTTCTAGTCAGCCATCTTGGTCCTGCCCCCTCTTCTTTTAAAATTTAAAAAAAAAAATCATAATCATACTTGATAGTAGCTATACTTTTAATACCTACTTATTAACAAAATTCACAAGAGTAACTTGGACTGGACTCAGCTGGGCAGAAATTCTGCTCTTGGGTGGGCCTTGTCAATCTTGGCTGGGCTTGTTTATGAGTCCGGGGTTAGTGTGTGAGCCAGGTGGAGCTGACTGGCTTATGAAAGCCTCAGGTGGAATGACTGGGATGTCTCTCATTCTCCAGCAGCCTCTCCCAGGTGGGTTCACATAGCAATAAGGTCTGAGAGCAATAAGAGGGCAACCCCAGATGTTCAAGCACATCCTATATCTCTGCTTGAATTGTATTTGCTACTGTCCCACTGACCAGAAAAAAACAAAACAGCACCACAGATCCAAACCCAGTATGAGAGAGCACTTTCAAAGGGAATGAATAAAGAGAGACATTAAAATTGAGGTTATTGCTGCAATTGCCCTTAACTCTGTAAAGGAACTATATGTCTCTCCATCTAGAGTGTGTTTGGTCTGGAGAAAGTTGGCAAGTCAGGAAGTACTCTGGAAAGGGATGGCAACAACTTCTTGCCCCCTTACAAGTTTGGGGCATGGGCATTGATTAGGCAGATGTTGAGCTGAGATGGCACTCTCTCCTACAGTATCAGTTTCCTAAAGCTGCTGTAACAAATCACAAATGGGAAAGCTTACAACAGAGATTTTTCATCTCACAATTTGAAGGCTAGAAGTCTGAGAATGTCAGCAGGGCCATGTTCCCTCTTAGGGTCTAGGGGATCATACTTTCTCACTTCTCCTAGCTTCTGGTGGTTGCTGGCAATCCTTGGCATTCCTTGGCTTATGGCAGCACAGCTCCAATTTCTGCGTCTGTATACCCATGGCCTTCTTCCCTGTGCCTTTAAATCTCTCTCTTCTTATAAGGACACTAGTCATCCACTTTAATCCAGGGTGACGTCATCTTAACTTGATAATATCTGCAAAACCTTATTTCCAAATAAGGTCACATTTAAGGTATCTTAGTCCATTCAGGCTTCTATAACAAAATACCATTAACTGGATGGCCTATAAACAACAAACATTTATTTCTTACAGTTCTGGAGGCTGGGAAGTCCAAGGTCAAGGTGCCAACAGATTCAGGGTCTGATGAAGGCTTGTTCCCTGGTTCATAGATGGTGCCTTCTCACTGTGTCCTCACATGATAGAAGCACAAGTCAGCTCTCTGGGGCTTCTTTTATAAGGGCACTAATCCCATTCATGAGGGCTCTATTCTCATGACCTCATCACTTCCCAAAGGCCTCACTTTCTAACACCATCACATTGAGATTAGGTTTTAACATATGAATTTTGGGGGCTACAAATATTCAGACCATAGCAAATAAATACTTGAATTAAAATCTCAATATGTTTCTTTTGGAGAAATACAGTTCAACTCACAACACCTATCTATGACTTACTAAGTAGAGTCACTATTAGACCTCAACATCCTAGGACTTGCAAGCCAGAAGCAACCAAAAAAATTCAAACATAAGATAATAAAACTGAATTTCTTGAGTCCTAGGTCTCCGCTCTTAGGTTAACAACAAACAGCTCTTATAGACAGAAAATAGAAGACCTTTTGACCCTCAAAACTCTACCCTTATAGAATAGAGTAATGATAAGGGAAGCTGACGGGGGGGATAAAAATTTCAATACATTTCACCATGTCATTTTGCATTTACTCTCTTCCTACCTTCATGAGGGTTCAGTCTTTCCAATTAAATTGTAAGTTCTTGAAGCCAGGTACAATTTTCCACTTGTAAATATAAATGAACCCTTAATCATTGAGGAATTAACATTCATGACTTTATTCTCAATCAAGCCCTAAAATTCATGAGGCACAGTAATTTATAATGGTCAAAAAGTCATTCTGAATTCCAACAAAAAATACTGGTTGGGGAACAATTTACTTAGCTAGAGAGTTCTAGCTGGTCACACAGTGTATTTTTAACTTTGCACATTATCATTTTTTCCTTAGAAGTTGAATTTTGGTCTTTAAAATATATGGTTTTTGTTTGTTTGTTTGTTTGTTTGTTTGTTTGTTTTTTGAGACAGTCTCACTCTGTTGCCCAGGCTGGAGTACAATGACATGATCTTAGCTCACTGCAACCTCTGCCTCCCAGGTTCAAGTGATTCTCCTTCCTCTTATGACTTAACTTTTTGAATACACAGAATACAGTTTTAGTGTCCTTGACTGCTAATTCTAACATCTGTGTGGTTTGCAGACAGTTTTCATTGATTTGACCTTATAGGTTGTATTTTCCTGCTTTTTTGTTTGCCTGGAAATTTTGGGGAGGTGCTAAACATTGTGAATATTACCATGTTGAGTGATATTTTTTGTTTCATTCTAAATATTCTTGAGCTCTTTTCTAGAGTGAAATTAAGTTACTTGAAAACTATTGTATTGTTTCAGATCTTGCTTTTGATATTTGTCAGACAGGACTAGAGCAGTATTCATTCTCTGGCTAATTATCCCATTACAGATACAAGAAACTGCCAATCAGCACTCTAACCAATGCCCCACGAATCTTGTCATTTTCCAGTTTAACTGGCAAAAATAACCCATATTTTCAGTTGTGCATAAATATCAGACACTATTACCTCTAATCCTTTCAGTTGGTTCTATCCCCAGACTCAGGTAGTTTCCTCACATGCATGTGCTGATCAGTATTCGGCTGAATACTTGAGGGGACCCTCTGAACATATCCAAAGTTTCCTCTATACACAATTCTGTTTCCTCTAGTACACTGGCCTGCAAACTCCAATCACCTGAGTTTCATTTGACATAGCCTGAGCTCCCCTTTTCTCTTAGCCTGTAAACTCTCTAGGCAATATGCTGTGATAATCATAGGGTCTCCTTCCCCTGAATGATCTTTGGGTCAACAATAAAATCAAGATGGAAATGTTAAAATTCTTTGAACTAAACAATAACAGTGACAGAACCAATCAATACCACTGGGATACAGCAAAAGCGGTGCTAAGAGGAAAGTTCACAGCATTAAATGCCTACATCCAAAAGTCTGAAAGAGCACAAATAGATGATCTAAGTTCACACCTCAAGAAACTAGAGAAACAAGAACAAACCAAACCCAAACCAAGACCACATTGATCTCCACAAATTTCTAAAATTAATATTTAATGTAATGATTGATATGCACTAAAAAATAAAAGAGTGATTCATTCAGTCAGAACAAGTCACTTCAATCTAACTTCATTTTCTTTAACACAGCATTAATAGGTTGATATTCCAGGGGAATGCTTACTTATATCTCTGAATTGCACCAAAGCCACTAATACCCTATCTACTTGTGTGTGTGCATATGAAAATGTTAACCAGATAATAATTAAAGAAGGAACTGAAAAGATGCCAATAAGATGCCATTGTAGAGGGAAAGTACTGAATGCGCACTTGACACATGAGGCAGAATTTTCCTAGTTTGCCACAAAACCTGTTCACTATTCTTACTGGACACACAAGCCAGAATATAATTCCCAGCCTCCATTGAAGATAAACCCATGTAACTTAGTTCTAGCCAGTGGAATATGAGAAGTGATTTGTGCCACTTTCAAGTCTGGAGCAAAGAAATGCCTCATGGAAAAATCCTCCATGCTTTTTATTTTTCCATCACCTGAAGAAGACAAGGGTAGCAACCACAGAAGGCACACACTAAAGATGGGAGAGCCACAGATGGAAAGTACTAGGTCCCTGACTTCCTTTGGAGGAGACTGCTCACTAGTTAGGAACACTGTTTTTGTGCTTATGTGAAAATACGATAAATTTTCATTGTGTTGAGACATTGCACATTTTAAAGATTCGTATGGCAGCAGTTGAAGATACCCTCTGTAATGAAGCCTCTAAATTTGGTGCTTTGCTGTTCACATTTTTATAAAATAATTGGATCAAAATAAAATCTCATGAGTAATATTAATTTTTTAAAACTCTTGAATTGTTCATGTTATTTATTATTTTATTTTTTCTACTTTTAAAATAATACATGTGCATTACATATTTTGCAAAATTGTTGCTCCTTGCAAAGAGAAAGAAAAGTGAGAAAGAGAAAATAACAATTTTCTGTCATAAAACACTCAATGATAGCTATAGTTAATTCCACAAGTTGTCTCAAAGTCACTTCAAACTCAATTTATTCAACACCAAACTAAGGACCTTTCCCCCAAATAAAGTCTTCTTTTGATGTTTCCTACTTGGCTGAATAACAATATCCTCCCTCCAACAGCATGAGCCAAAAACCTCTAAGTGCCCTCCTCAAATGCCTTTTATGTAACCTGGAAGAATACGTAACATAGACAAAAGATGCAGTGGTTAACGAAACAACAATATATTGATACGTTGAAGTGATGGATGAAGTCTAATAATCCTATTTCAAGACAGTTTGGGATTGGGAAGAGTCACAGTACAGATGGACTAGGCAGAGGAATATGTGATTAGCAAGAGTTTGGAGGTGAATTTGACCTTTCATTCTCTGAGGATTCGCTTTTGTCATTCTCCACAGTCTTCCTGATAAAATCCAACCCTGAGTCCAGCTCAGAATCTATGTCTTGCACCAAGCCTGCTTGATTTCCACGCTTGCTTGACTTCCACACCACAGTAACCTGACTTTAGCTCAAAGTAATTTCTTTCTTACAAAAGTATTTCTCGTCCATATCGTTCATGTGGTGCCTGTTTTTAGCCATACACTATTTTTTATTTTTTAATGTGGATATACTTAGCTGTCCCAGCTAAAATTAAAGATGTATAGCTCTTAAGAGATAAGGAATGTGGCTTTTATCCCCTTGTGCACTCAGCATCTAATACATTGCCTGTTTCTTAGCATGCTTATTTTAAAAAGAGGAAAGAACAAATCCTGTTGACTTATTTCATTTTATATTGCCCTCTGCTACTGTCAGCGAAGCCATATGGAGAGTTGGAGTGAACAAAGAGACCCTTTGTGAAACTTCCCACCTCCTTATTGAACAGAAGGCAAATGACCAGGTTTCCAAAGTAGGTTATTTACATTCTGATCACTTCCTGAAATGTCTGTAAGACCAAGATTTACAAGGTAAGATTTCAGTTATATTCCAAAGATATGAATAACCCCTGCTGTGATTATTTCTCATTTAAAAGAAAAAAAATCCACTTAAATTGGCCCTCCTCCAACATACTTTTTATACTGATTAATTTCTCTCCAGTATTGACCTGCTGATCTCTTGAACATTCAAATTCACTATCTATTTCAATGACAATCTATTAACTTGATTTTTGTATTGACCACAGGACCTGGAAAATGTTTTCGAATTTGCTGATCTGCTCAAAGATGATTGTGCATATATACTGAAATTTGAGCCATGGAATTTAAAACTAACAAAATGAGGACTAACAGAAAGCTGCGAAACTCATTCCTGGCCTGACACCTGGGCAGTTAAATGGAAACTTGTGAAAAAAAGAAAAAGAAAAAAAAACCTACTAATATCTAAAGAGTCATATGTTTTACTCAAAAATCTTTTACCAAAAATAAACATAAAAGGACAGAAAGTAAGGAAGATGTTAACCATTTCCAATTTTCTCTACTCCTTTTCAAAAACACTGTATTTTCTGTTGTTCTGGTGTTATACAATATGGTAAATCAAGACATGCTCTTGTGTGTATATTTATTTACCAGTGTAGAAAGAACTCTATTCTTTAAGGAGGAAAATCATGCTATGATGCTTTTAATAATCATAGTTTTGGAATACTTGCTATTATCAAATATGGTGCTAAGTAGATTATGCCATGAGGTTCTCACATCAGTTCTAAAATAGGCATTATTCTCCGTTTTTCCAGTAAGGATGTCAAGGCTCAGAGAGGATGCTTGGATCACCCAGGGTTATTCAGGAAATATGAGGACTAAGGTTCAAACCTGGGTCAGCCTGATTGCAAGGTCAAAATTTTAAGGGCCACGTTGCCTCAAATATGGCACCATATAAGGAATTCTTCACAGTGATTTGTCATACATGTTAGTTGTAATTGGCATTTCTGGTTATCATTGTTACTGGCTTACAATGACAGTGTTGAGAATCTAAATATATACCCTTTAACTCAGAGTGAGTGCCCAATATTAGAGGCAGAGAGACAGAGGCAGAAAGACAGGCAGAGTGGAGAACGGAAAGAGAGGGGGAGAAAGTGAGAGAGAGGGACAGAGACAGACAGATAGACACAAGCTGATGCTGTGGGAAGAGAGATGGTTCTGAAATCTAGCTGACACAGCTTCAGGACCTGGCTCACCACATAGTAGCCAGTGTAATGCCCAACAAATGAAATCAACTATCTTATCGGTAAAATGGTGTGAATAATTATTGCTTCTATTGGGGGATAATGGTATGCTCATTATCTTGATTGTGGGATGATTTCACTTGTGTGTGTATATGTGTGTATATATATATATGTATATGTCAAAATTTACAAATGTACACTTTAAATGTGTGCAGCTTATTATATATTAATTATACTTCAATAAAAGTACCACAATAATAAGTAGCTTCTGTATCATTAGGAAGCATGAGAAGTAGAGTAAATGTATACTTAGGTGCCCACATAAAAGTGAAGATAATTTTTCCTTCCCCTTTGAAGACTTGAGTCTGTTAAACAAACTGACAATAGACAAATTAACAGGAGAAAAGGCATACAAACTTACTCATGTGTACATAGCCATGGGAGTCTCACAAATATGAGACTCACAGAAAGCCCAGATGGTTGAGGCTTAAACACCATCTTTATAGGGGAGAGGGAAAGGTGGGGTGTAAGCAATTTTGAGAGGTAGTAAATAATTTTAGGGGAATTAACTGAGCCCAAATAACAGACAACGGCCTGGGACAAAATATTTCTGAGTTCTTCGGGGCAGTGGTAAGAAAGAGTGGGATGGAACTTTGCTATGAACAAAGGTTGTCTTATTATGTAGATAAAGTCTCTCAGGTCATTTTTTGGAGTTGTCCTTAGAAGAATAAATGAACAGCCTGTCTGAGCACAGACAATGACTTTTGATCTTTTTTTTCCTGGCAGTTGATTATTTTCTGGCTATTTGATAAGATTTCTAGGGAGGGGCTTTTAAGACAGCTGTATTTTTTGGGGAAATAATTGTTCTTCAGTTAGGTAAAGGAACTTTTAGAAAGAGCCTCTCCCTGTGCTTGGTGGGCACAAAAAGGTAAGGTTAAAAAGTCTTTGGTTCTGAGGCAGCTTCTATGGTCTTCCAATTTCCTTTAATTGAAAGTATGCCAAAGCACCATACTTTGGGGTATCAGTCTCTGTGCCCTGCCATACCCCTGTCTGAAACTTCCCTAGAAGTTTCACACACACTAAAAGCTGAACTGGTGGCTGGAGAGACAGAATTTGAGTTAGAAGCTAAGTGGCAAAGGATACCACTAAACCCATCTCCCAACCCTGGCCAATCCAATTGAACAGTTGTAGCTCATTTAAGGAGACAGTAGGACTTTCGTCAAGGCTAGGTCTCAATATGGTGCAAGTACACAGGTATTTAATAAGAGACTTGTCTATGGAAGCAAAAGAAAATTAAAAGTTGACGTCTGGAGCAGTATATAATCTAGTCTGCAACTGGACGGCAGTCAGCTGAGAATATTTTTAAATCTGGTCTGAAGCATCTTTAGTTGGAGCAGGGTATGCAGTAGCAATCTGACAGAGTATCCTGGTGTGCAGGCTAAATGTCATAAAGGCTGTCAATATACAAGCCATCACAATGATTTCTCTGGAGTTTATTTATTAGGTTGACTAGCTTCAGCTTGCAGAGCTTCAAAACACAGTTTTTAATTTTTTGTGATTCCAAGTCAGCCGAGTGAGAGAAAATTTGGAAACATTAGTTTGGAGATTTGCAGCCAGACGTTGGAAGAAACAAAAATAATTTAATATTTAGTCCAGATTGTACATAAATAATAAAATCTCAAAAACAATGAACTAGGATCTAATAACAGGTATGCTATAGGTTTTTCTAAAATATAATTATTTTCTCTACATTGCTACCAAAGATAAATCATAGCAAGTTTAATTTACTTGTAAAATTAGTTTTGTTATACTTGGCCTGACCATTTACATAAGTCTAGCAAGACTAGTGACTGATTAGGCTCTTTTTAAGTCTGCTTTGTTGGAATTTTTAATAAAGAATGTTAGATTATTCTTTTAAAAGCCTGTCAAGGCTAGAAAGCTAGGGCAAGGAGTCACCATTGAATTATGGCTGTAAAACATATAGACTTGGCTCAATGAAGAAGAAACAAGACCCCAAAAAGAGGGCTAGTGGCACCTTTTCTGTGTTTCTTAGGGGATCTCAGGGTTGTTAGAAGTCTCCTTTAGATCTCTTTATGTGGTAGTCATGTTACAGGAAAGGGGTCCCGATCCAAACCCCAAGAGGGTTCTTCGATCTCTCACAAGAAAGAATTCAGGGTGAGTCCATAGAGTAAGGTGAAAGCAAGTTTTCCAGGAAAGTAAAGGAATAAAGAATGGCTGCTTCATAGACAGAGCAGCCCTGGGGGCCGCTGGTTGCCTGTTTTTATGGATATTTCTTGATGAAATGCTAAACGAGGGGTGGATTATTCATGTCTCCCCTTTTTAGACTATATAGGATAACTTTCTGACATTGCCATGGCATTTGTAAACTGTCTAGGCGCTGGTGGGAGTGTAGCAGTGAGGACAACCAGTGGTCACTCTCATGGTCATCTTGGTTTTGGTGGGTTTTAGCCGGCTTCTTTACTACAACCTGTTTTATCAGCAAGGTCTTTATAACCTGCGACTTTTTGCTGACCTCCTATCTCATCCTGTGACTTAGAATACCTTAACCATCTGGGATTGCAGCCCAGTAAGTTTCAGCCTCATTTTACCCAGGTCCTATTCAAGACGGAGTTGCTGTAGTTCAAACGCCTCTGACAGAACTCTGATGTTTCCTCACAGTAATTTTTATCCACTGACACTAAATAGAGAAGGTAGAGGCTTGAAGGGTACACATTAAAAATTAAAGGAAGCTGGACCGGGCACGGTGGCTCACACCTGTAATCCCAGCACTTTGGGAGGCCGAGGCGGGTGGATCACCTGAAGTTAGGATTTCGAGACCAGCCTGACCAACATGGAGAAACCCCGTCTCTACTAAAAATATAAAAAAAATTATCCGAGCCTGGTGGCACCTACTCTGGAGGCTGAGGCAGGAGAATGGCTTGAACTCGGGAGGCGAAGGTTGCGGTGAGCAGAGATCATGCCATTGCACTCCAGCCTGGGCAACAACAGTGAAACTCTGTCTCAAAAAAAAAAAAAAAAAATTAAAGGAAGCTGGATGGAAGATTGAAGGTAAAAAGGAGATAGAAGGAGCAGAAGCAAATAAAAGAACAAGACTCAGGGGAACCAGATTGAGAAGATCTTCAGTTTCCCAAAAGTCTAATAAAATTTTACATTATCTTTGGCAAAATTTATGCCATCAAGAAAGGAAGCAAATGTATTTAAATTTATTGATTAAATTAAAATAAATTAATAAATTTATTAATTTAAAAAATGGTGTTTCAGTTGACTAAGAAAAAAGTTATGGAAAAAACAGGATCCAAAGAAGAAAGTTCTTAAAGAAAAAAGAAAAAAAAGAAAAAAATTATGACCTAAGCATTACCTTTTAATTAGGCGACTTTTGACCATAGAACTTTTTAAATTTCTTAAGCTATTTTATTACCAGGTTTTAGCTGGGCAAACAGTAGAAATTCCTGTTTCCCGGCTCTTTGCATTGAAATTTGCATTTTAAAGGGGGTAGTTTCTTAGGTAAGACTGAGGAAAGAGTTTACACCTCAAAAGGCACAGAGAAATAATACAAGTGGTTAGTGGCTTAGGGTAATTACTAATCAAAAAAATTTTTTTTAGCATAAAGTTCTCTTTTACCTCAGAGAAGGGAGAAAGCAAACAAACAATTGAAACAAAAAAAAAAGCTTTTATTACGTTCCAAATATAAACAGAAATTTAAAATTTTAAATTTATGTCTCAAATGACATAAGGCTGAAACAAATAAGCACATGAGACCAAAATAAATAACGGCTTTCAGGTCGGGCACGGTGGCTCACACGTGTAATCCCAGCACTTCGGGAGGCTGAGGCAGGAGGATCACCTGAGGTTAGAAATTTGAGACCAAAAAAATTGTGGGCAACATGGTGAAATCCCGTCTGTACTAAAAATACAAAAATTACCTGGGCATGATGGCGGGTGCCTGTAATCCCAGGTACTTGGGAGGATGAGGCAGGAGAATCACTTGAACCCAGGAGGCAGAGGTTGCAGTGAGCCGAGATCGTGCCACTGCACTCCAGCCTGGGTGACAGTGCAAGACTCTGTCTCAAAAAAAAAAAAATAAAATAAATAAGGGCTTTTAAGCAAGGCCTATAAAGAGGGAGAAAAGACGCAGCCCTTTCAAACCTGTAGCATTCCAAAGGCAGGCAAAAAAAAAAAAAACGCTTAGATGCTTAGCCACAAAAATATGTAACCCACGTTCTTGCCTTGCTATATTTTGGGAGCTCCCAACCTGTGGTTGGCCACATGCACACAAAAGGCTGATAACATGTATGTTTCCATTGATGGAAAATCAGAAGAGACAAGTAGTCCATTTGAAAAATAGAAAATCAAAAGCTATTGTCAACAAAAAGAGTCAAACTCTGTAAGTTATTTGAAGAGATTTATTCTGAGCCAAATATGAGTGACCATGGCCCGTGACACAGCCCTCAGGAGGTCCTGAGAACATGTGCCCAAGGTGGTCGGGGTGCAGGTTAGTTTTATACATTTTAGCATTTTAGGGAGGCATGAGACAGCAATCAAATACATTTAAGAAATACAAAGGCAGTGATATTGAGAGACAGGACAAGCTGGATTTCCTAGGCTGACTAAGAATCCCTAAGCCTAGTTGGGAAGGTGACCGCATCCACCTTTAAACACAGAGCTTGCAACTTAGCTCACACCCAACCAATCAGAGAGCTCACTAAAATACTAATTAGGCAAAAACAGGAAGTAAAGAAATAGCCAATCATCTATTGCCTGAGAGCACAGCAGGAGGGACAAGGATCAGGATATAAACCCAGGCATTCGAGCTGGCAAGGGCAACCCCCTTTGGGTCCCCTCCCCTTGTATGGGAGCTCTGTTTTCACTCTATTTCACTCTATTAAATCTTGCAACTGCACTCTTCTGGTCCGTGTTTGTTAGGGCTCGAGCTGAGCTTTCGCTTGTGGTCCACCCCTGCTGTTTTGCCACTGTCGCAGACCCGCCGCTGACTTCCATTCTTCCGGATCCAGCAGGGTGTCTGCTATGCTCCTTATCCAAGGAGGTGCCCGTTGCCACTCCCGATGGGGCTAAAGGCTTGCCATTGTTCCTGCACGGCTAAGTGCCTGGGTTTGTCCTAATCGAGCTGAACACTAGTCACTGGGTTCCACAGTTCTCTTCCGTGACCCACGGCTTCTAATAGAGCTATAACACTCACTGCATGGCCCAAGATTCCATTCCTTGGAATCCGTGAGACCAAGAACCCCAGGTCAGAGAACATGAGGCTCACCACCATCTTGGAAGCTCTGTGAGCAAGGACCCCTGGTAATAATATGGCTCCAATGACTGGAGGAACATCAGGGTTCTTGGTCTCACACGGGTTTGGATAAAATGACATGGACACACATGGAGTGGTTTTAAAGTGCGAAAAGTTTAGTAGGCAAGAAAGAAGGAAGGAAGAAAAACAGCTCCCCCATACAGACACAGAAAGAGGGGGGATTCCAACAAAGAGAAAACCTCGTGTGTGGGGGGAGAAGTAGCTGCTTATATGAGAAGGTTGGAGGAGGTGGTGTCTGATTTGCATAGGGCTCAGGGGATTGGTTTGACCAGGCATGTCATTCATGTAGCCTGGGCGGGGGGGACTTGCCCTCCCACTCTAGCCTTTTAATATGCAAATTCAGGGCGCCATGATGTTCTGCACACATGGGGATATGTGGGGGCGGCCATGTTGTCAGACAGATGTTGGGGCAAGGGCAAGAAGACAGCGGGAATCGCAATGTTTGGGTGGACACAGTTTCTAATGGCCTGTATTTGCATACCAAAGCTTGCCAGCCCAGCTTTAAGAGCCAGGGCTTTCCTGCTAGACAAGAAACATTTCTGGAGCTGCTTTAAAAGAAAAATAACTTCCCAAGGACCCTTTTCCTCCCTATCTGTCTAAAATAATTTCTTAATAACTCCTATAATAGCAATGAGAGACAGGACTAGCTGGATTTCCTAGGCCGACTAAGAATTCCTACGCCTAGTTGGGGAAGGTGACCGCACCCATCTTTAAACACAGGCCTTTAACTCAGTTCACGCCAGACAAATCAGGTAGTAAAGAGGGCTCACTAAAATACCAATTAGGCTAAAAACAGGAGGTAAAGAAATAATCAAATCATCTATCGCCTGAGAGCACAGGGGGAGGGACAATGATTGGGATATAAACCCCACGCATTCGAGCCGGGAGTGGGCAACCCCCTTTGGGTCCCCTCCCATTGTATGGGAGCTTTGTTTTCACTCTGTTAAATCTTGCAGCTGCACACTCTTCTGGTCCGTGTTTGTTCCAGCTTGAGCTGAGCTTTTGCTCAGCTGTTTGCCGCCATGGCAGACACGCCATTGACTTCCACCCCTCCAGATCTGTGTCTGCTGCGTTTCTGATCCAGCAAGGCGCCCATTGGTACTCCCCAACGGCCTAAAGGCTTGCTATTGTTCCTGCAAGGCTAAGTGCCCGGGTTCGTCCTAATAGAGCTGAACACTAGTTGCTGGGTTCCACGGTTCTCTTCCACAACCCACGGCTTCTGACAGAGCTATAACACACACTGCATGGCCCAAGGTTCCATTCCTTGGAATCTGTGAGGCCAAGAACCCCAGGTTACAGAGCAAAAGGCTTGCTGCCATCTTGGGAGCAGCCCACCACCATCTTGGGAGCTCTAAGAACAAAGACTCACCCGTAACAAATACACATAAGGCAACGGCTTGGAGGGAGAGCTTTCTGAGATCGTTTTTTTACATATAGAGTCTTTCTAAGTCAAAAGATCCATTATCTGTCATTGACAATTAGGGTCCCCAATGGTGTACTTATTTTTGTACTGACGTAATCTAATAAACCTCTTCAAGGAAAGACTAGGATGTAATTTTTTTAAGTTTAGAATAAAATTTTTCATCAAGGTAAGAAGCATTCCCAAAGAAGGTGTGGAAGAGGCAGCTCCCATGATACCCAAAAATTCACTCCCGGAAATAGACTAAAGAAGCCAAAAGATCCTGTTGACACAGATGGTTAAGGCTGGTGTCTGTGCAGTGTCTCTGGTCTCCTTATGAATATGTGGACACATGGACAGATGGGGGTGCCTTCAGTCACAGACTCACCAACCTATGAGTCCAGGCAGGGTTTTCTGGGGTTGGACTTTCCTAGGACTAACAAGGCAACAAAGCCTGAAATGACAGAAAGCCCCATGGGTGAGACTTCTTATTAAGACAAATGCCCCTGTGAGTTTGGCACTTTGGAAAAGAGAGTATTACTTAATAATTTTACGTGTCATGGGTTACCAGGCCTTTCAGACTGGCCATCTGATGTGATCTAATAACCATGCCCCCAGCTGGCAGGCAAGCAGAGAGAGTGTTTTCACTTGGCCCCAAAAGCCAGGCTCTCGAGATATAAAACAAGACAAAAGGCTAGCTCAAACAACAGGTTTATAAGGGCCTTAGGCCCATGTTGTACCCAATAGTTTTCTTCTTTGTGACAAACAACACAGAAAGATAGAGACAAAGGAAAACAAAGGCCATTTCTGGAAGCAAAAGGATCAGATAAGATGAGTGCTCATACTAAAAATACACTGGAGTTGCTATACCCAAGGACCAGTCCATACAAATGCTTTTCCCCTATTAATCTAAATTTTGATAGGAAAGAGAGAAAATAGTGTGTTTTGCCATTCATTCAACT
This sequence comes from Homo sapiens, assembly GCF_000001405.40. Classification (NCBI taxonomy): domain Eukaryota; kingdom Metazoa; phylum Chordata; class Mammalia; order Primates; family Hominidae; genus Homo; species Homo sapiens. The sequence goes on along the minus strand of NC_000008.11, from coordinate 61,162,535 downwards.
GGAATTCATAGACAGAGAACGAGGAGTCTGACTGGTAAGAAATTCTTCCCATTTTTGCTGGTTTTTCAGTCCTAGTTTCTCTCAACTGCAGATTCCAAAGGAGCAAGAGTGGTTTTGGTATCCTGCCAGCTATGCCAAATCTATGAGGCCAAGACAATTTTCCCTCACTCCCTGAAGGTTCATGTCTGCTACACAAACTGACAATAAACAGACTAATAGGAGAAAAAGCATACAAATTTATTAACACACAAGTGTCTGCAGGAGTCCTGCAAATATGGGATTCAAAGAAAGGCCACTTGGTTGTGGCTAAACTATCTTCTTCATAGGGGAGAAGAAAATGAGGGGAATATAGGCAATTTTGAAGGGTAGTGAACAATTCTGAGTGATTGAATGAGCTTAAAGACCATGCAATGGCCTGGGACAAAGTTTCTCCAAGCTCTGGGAAAGACGGCAAGAAGGTAAGAGAGTGATCTTTCAAACAGCTCTTGCTATTATCCAAACATTTGCATATTATCTTCATCAACACTACGTTTTTTTTTTTTGTCAAAAAGTAGTTGTAACTATAGAATTATATTTCCTTGCAGTTTTTCTCCAGCTTTATTGAGGTATAATTGTCAGGTAAAAGTTGTATATATTTAAGGTGTACAATGTGGTGTTTTGATATACATAGACAGTTTAAAAATGCTTATTAAGCTAATCAACATAGCCATCACCTCACATATTTATTTTTTTGCGATGAGAACATTTAAAACCTATTCCGGTAGTGATTGCCAAGTATAAATATGGTACTATTGACAACAGTCATGATGCTATGCATCAGATCTCTAGAACTTATTCATTCTGCATAACTAAAATTGTGTACCCTTTGACCAACATCTTTTCTTCCCTAACCCCAGCCCTGTGAAATACCATTCTCCTCTCTGCTTCTATGAATTCCACTTTTTTAGACTCCACATATGAGTGAGGTCCTGTAGTATTTGTCTTTCTATGTCTGGCTCATTTTACTTAGCATAAAATCCTAGATGTTCATCCATGTTTTCAAAAATGACGGAATTTTCTTCTTTTTTAAGGCTGAATAGTATTCAACATTTGCCTCATACATTCATCCATTGATGAACACTTAGGTCAAACCCATGTTGTCACTATCGTAAATAATGCTGCAATGAACGTGGGAGTGCAGATGTCTCTTTACATACTGATTTCAATTTTTTTGGGATATAGCCAGAAGTAAAATTGTTGAGTTATATGGTAATTTCTAGTTTTCTGCGGTGCCTCCATAGTGTTTCCCATAATAAGTGTACAAATTTACATACCAACTGTGTACAAGGGTTCACTTCTCTCTACATCCTCACCAACACTTGTTATATTTTGTCTTTTTGATAACCCTTCTAACAGGTGTGTGTTGATACTTCATTGTGGCTTTGCTTTGCATTTTCCTGATAATTAGTGATGTTCAGCATTTTTCATATACCTGTTTGCCATTTATTTATTTTCTTTGGAGAAATGCCTATTCCGCTCCTTGGTCTATTTTTTAATATGGTTATTTATTTTCTTACTATTGGGTTATTTGGGTCACTTATATATCTTGGATATTAAAAACTCATGAGACATATGGTTTGCAAATATTTTCTCCTCTTCTACGAGAGTATTCTTGCTAAACTGACAGCAGGATTTTTTCTAAGACTGGGTTATGCAGACCTGGCTAGAACAGGGGCAAGGTTGAGGCCTAGTCAAGAAAAAGACTCAGAGAAGCCTGGATAAAGTTTTGTCAAGTAAAGGGTGTTTGTCAATTCCATCCTCTAAATATTTAACTGGACTCAACAAATCCCTGCTGAAAAGTAAATGCCCACCAAAAAAAGTCATTTATTTCTGTCATTTATACCTGGCTACTAATTAATCTCAGGAAAAAAAAAATCTCTTAACAAGAAGAGGTAATTTAGAAATTTAGAAGCACAATCTTTGGAAAAGGGTAGGTGGGGATACTCTAAGGCCCTGAGGGTAGAGATGTAAGCAAGTCTTCTCTCCTTTTTCCATTTTCCTTCTGCTCCTGCAGTCTTGACTGCAAGTTCCCCTGGGCTGCCAGAGTTGGCAGGCATTAGGAAGGCCCTGGTAGAATTGTTTTTGTTTCGGGAGGATGCTTGTTTTGTTTTGTTTACTAAATATAGATTCCTTCACATAGTAAGGAATCATAATGGGTAAAAGAAAAGCTAAACAAGCAAATGTTCCTCATGAATCAGATACTGATTTCAGTCATTTTTAATGGCTTATTGACTTAATATTGGTACTGATTTCAAAGATTGTACAATTAATTTCTACTATCAATATGTATGTAAAAATTTAAGGTTAGAATTCAGCTAAATCTTATAAGTTGTACAAACAGGGCTCTTCCATCCTCATCTGAAGACCTAATCTGTCCTCTGTTTCTTCAGCAGAGAAGCTCAGGCCAGAGAAGAAATGGAAATGCAGCACCCCTCAGCTCCACTTACAGTGAGCAGCAAGATCAAAAGTTTATCCTCAAGAAGTGTCAGCCACTTCTATCTGCAAAAGTCTAAGCCTGGGTGGAGAAGAACTATAAATACTTCTGAAGGCCTCCCACAAATTGCTGGAGAATGCACAGGAAAATCAAGGTGATTCTAACCACTCTGAATTCCTTTCCTGGGTGTAGACAATGGTTTGATGTCTCCTTGCTCTTGCACCCTTGGTGTTTTGTTCAGGACGTAGCTCACTTTCTTTCTGTTACACACATGACAAAGCTCCAGAGAGATGTCACGGCAGCCATTCTCTCTCCTGACAATAAATTAAAGGTATGAAGGTTTGACTTTCTCTAACTGATTTAGGTCCATGACTTGACTCATGACATTTCATATTCTCAGTGAGTTATTTCGTTCATGATAAATGATTTGAGTGCCTGAAAAAGAGCCACCCCAGTAGGATGGACTAGATAGCTCAGGAGGCTGAGGAAATAAAAGTGCTTTTCTCTGTTTCAAATCCAATTTGATTAATGGAGACAAAAGGCTGTTATTTTAAAGCTGCTCACCAGGAGGGAAGGAGTACATCTCCCCCATATCCAGCAGTTTTTGCAAAGTTTTTCCTTTGGTACAATCCACTTCAGCATCCTTTCTCAGCATTATCTTCTTGAGCATGCCTTTGCAGCTTGTCCTAAATCATGCCAGCCCCAGGAGTAACTAGCAAAAGTAGGAAGAGAAGTTTAAGGCAGATGAGGTAGGTTAAGGTAGAAAAGAAGGCCCCTCCAGAAGAACATGCATTCAACAAGTATTTACTTAGCATCTCCTAAACATGTGGTTCTGCCCAACAATGTCACTTGTAAGCACAACCAAGGAACATAAAGAAATCCATTTTCAGCCATTGCATGGCTCATCGCTGTAATCAATCCCAGCACTTTGGGAGGCTGAGGCAGGAGAATCACTTGAGCCCAGGAGTTTGAGACCAGCCTGGGCAATAAAGTGACACCCCCATCTCTACCAAAAAAAAAGTGTTTTTAATTATAGCATGGTGGCTCATGCCTGTAGTCCCAGCTATAATTAGCAGAGCATGGTGGCCCATGCCTGTAGTCCTAGCTACTCTGGAGGCTGAAGTGGGAGGATCACTTGGGCCCAGGAGGTTGAGGTGGCAGTGAGCCACTGTACTGCAACCTGGCAATACAGCAAGACCTTGTCTTTAAAAAAATTAAAAATTTAAAAGATCTACATTTTAAAAAGAAAAGAGAATTATTTTATTACTGTATATCATGTCCACATGCTGTGGCAAATTTTTTTTTTTATTATTCTTACCATTGTCATTTAGTGTTTTGGAATCCATTTCAAGTGAGATCTTTCCTTAGTCTCCTTTCTTTTCTACTCTTGACCCTACCCTCACTCCTAGTCTCATTTTGCTGCTGTCCCTTCTGGTTAAGCCTGTGAGAGCTGCTTTATCCTAGTAACCCAGGCCACCTGAGCCCCCTCATTATGCACTGCTCTATCTTCTGCTGGGACCACTTACAAGACAATCAAAGCTACCAATTTCACTACCAATGATCATTTGGCATTCTTTTGGCTGTGATTTTTATTTTACCTTTCTTTTCTTTAAATTGAGGTTTAATTTGTACACACTGAGTGCTCAGATCTTAAATGTACTGTCCAATCAGTCTTAACACGTACACATCAAATGGTGAGCACTTCCATTGAGCTGGAGAGTGTCTCCACCCCTTCCCAGTCTGTTCCTCCAGAAATAGCCACTGATCTGATTTTCATCACCGTGGAACATTGTTTTGCCCCATTTCGAATCTTATATGAGTAGAATCACACATTATGTAGTTTAGGGATGGGGGATCTGGCTTCTTTCACTCAGCATAATGTTTTTGAGATTCATCTATATTGTTGCCTACATCAATAGTTTGTTCCTTTTTATTTCTGGGTAATATTTCATCACCTGAATAGATGATAGTTTATCCATTCCATTGATAGGTATGCAGGATGTCTCCAGTTTGGGGCTACTGTGTATAATAAGGCTGCTATAACATCCTTCACATGTTGTTTTCATTCTTCTTGGATAAATACATAGGTCATAGGCTGGATGTATGTTTAACTTTTTTAAATTGCTAAACATGGTATACCATTTTACACTCCCACTGGCAATGTATGGAAGTTCTGATTGGCTCATATTCTTTCTCATTTTAGCCATTATAGTGGGTGTGTAGTTGCATCTCATTATGGCTTTAATTTGCATTTCTTAAATGATATTATTTGATTTTCATGTGTTTACTGCCATTTGTATATCATTTTTTGAGAAGTGTTTAGGTCCATTGCCCATTTTTTATTTTGTTGTCTTTTTTATTATTGAGTTGTAGGAGTTCTTTATATACTAGATAAAAGCCATTTGTCATATATATGTGTTGTGAATTATTTTTCCCAGTCTGTGAATTGACTATCAATTTCTTGATGCTTTTTATTAATGCACAGAGATTTTTAATTGTGATAGCCTAAACAATTAATGTTCGCTCTTTTTAATAATTTATGGGTTTGGGTACTCTCTAGGAAATTTGTACAGATATATAGGGTTAGCTTCAAAGTTATAAAGCTAACCCTATATTTTATTCCAGTAGCTTTATCGTTTTAGCTTTTTTATTTAGGTCTGTGATTCATCTTCAGTTGATTCTTGTGTATGGCTAGATAAGTCAAACATCTTGATTTTTCTATATGAATATTCAGTTATCTCAGCACAATTAGTTGAAGAGATTTTCCTTTCCCTGTAAATCGTTTTAGTGCATCTGTTAAAAATCATTTAATTGCCTATGTGTGGACTTAGCCTTACTTTTATGTGTTTTATGCAAAAAAAAGAGCCTACCCTTAGCAGGGGTCAGAATCCAGAGTTCAGCTTAGGGAGGTAACTGACACAAGCTAGAGTGCCTTTATACCTGAGGCCTGATTTCTATACCACTTTTTCAGGCTCTCATAGGTTTAGGAAAACCTAAGGAAATACATTCAAAAGAGCTTTTGGCATTGATGAAGTGTGAAGTCAAAATTCATTGTTTTCCTTCTGCAATCAAAAAAGAATTGCCCAAGGTGCTTCGTAGATCTCTGCAATGTGGGACCCCCTTGATTATAAATGCAGAGTCATTGACTCCCATCTCTAGAAAATTGCTTGGAAACTTCATCAGTGCTACAGCACTGGACAGATACATTGAGAGTTTTTTATGCTGCCCTAAATCAAAATTAAGGAGTAAGTGGCCTGACCAATTTTTATTTTCCTATTTCCCCTTCATAAACTCTACAGTGATTTTTATCACAGGTAAGTTGACATTTTGGGAATAATATTTTTTAAAACCCATGGCAGATATAACTTTTTGAAGGTTTGTTTAAAAATTTTCCTTCCAATTATTACTGTTATTTATCAAAATCATAGTGTAGTAATCTTTTAAATATATATTGAGTGCTTGGTAATGGAAAAGAAACTCAAAAAGAAACAAAACAAAACACACAGATACACATCCTCTATAAATTGTATTGACTTTTGAGAATTTTCTTGTATAGGAAAGTTCGGACTTTTCCTGTGAAAATTTAAGTCTGAGTCTATTGAAATAAACTGACAAAAGACAGACTAATAGAAAAAAAAGGTATACAAATTTATTAACATGCACATGGACACACGAGCCATATCCGAAGTGTGAGACTCACAGGAGGGACCAGATGGTTGAGGTTTTTATATTATCCTGAGGTTACAGAATGAATAGGGGCATAGAGCTTCTCGGGGGAGGTGGAGACCCAGGTGATGGGAGGGTGAGGGTAGGAAAGCCAGCAAAGGCTTTTTTTTTTTTTTTTTTTTGAGATGGAATCTCTCTCTGTAGCCCAGGCTGGAAATGCAATGGCGCCATTTTGAATTACTGCAACCTCCACCTTCCGGGTTCAAGCGATCCTCCTGCCTCAGCCTACTGAGTAGCTGGGATTACAAGCACCCACCACCACGCCCAGCTAATTTTTGTACTTTTAGTAGAGACAGAGTTTCACCATTTTGGCCAGGCTGGTCTCAAACTCCTGAACCTCAGGTGATCCACCTACCTCAGCCTCCCAAAATGCTGAGATTACAGGCGTGAGCCATTATGGGCCAGGCCCACAACAGGCTATCTTGTTTACAGATGACATCCCTCAGGGAGGAGCTCTCAGAAAGAACAGATGAGTGCCTGGGGTAACAGTTTCTCTGTGGGACCTTTAAGGTGTCAGGCTTTTAGTCTCCTTTTCTTGTGAGTTCATCTTTCCTAGATCTGGATAAAGAGAGCCTCAGAGAAAGCCTGGCTATTTATTTTACCCATGTGGATTTTCTCTACAGATGCAAATCTCCCCCACAAAAGACAATTTTTTCATAGCTATTCCTGTGGTTTGCAGCCCGTCTAAATAGGCTTATCAAAATATGCCAAAGATGTATATTTTGGGGTTAAGTACCGTGGTTTCCTTCACTCAAAAGTCTTATTCTGAAATTAAAAAAAAAATTGTTCCTACTGGCATGAAATAAGTTAAGGTTTAGAGAACATTTGAATAATCACCATTAAAAGGCTAATCAGAGCTTTATCCCAAAGCATAAGAGGATTTCAGTGATTGAAGCACAGATTCCTGGTGTTACCTTCATAAGGAGATATTGTAGTACTAATTAATAGTTGCCATCCTTTTGGCAGACTCAGGATAGAGGAAGGCAATGCAGGCAAGCCGGGGCATTTTCTTGCGGGTTGTTTGTCAAATAGTGCAGAAAATCCTGCATTGGGGAAACAGTCCTTGTAGATACTTGCAAGTAATCAAGACAATGTAGAGGTGCTATGCGTATCCTTTAGGAGAGAGATCCTGGAGGGTTTTCCAAATATATGACACCCAACACACTCACGACCCACAATACGCACTTATCCTTCATGTACTTAACATGCAGTTTGCTCGAAATTTTATATTTCCTGTTTCTGACAACATCTGTGTGGGCCTGCTCAGCCCAAAGCTCCAGAGCCTGCGACTCTCCTTCACCTTCTAGGCACCTGTGCAACCACGCACACACAAACACATGCACACACGCACACACACCTACTCACATGGGCCTGCTGAGCCCTTTTAATGGATGTGAGAATAATTAGCATCAGCTGGCCTGGACAGCTCATGCTTTCTCTGTTTTTCACATTCTTTTTCTTCCCTCCACAGCTGAATTTACAAAGAAATGATCAATAACAATAGCTAAGATTTGTTGAATGTTGACTCTATGCTATGAATAATGAACTCCACAGTTAAGTTATTTACAGTTCTCAAGGAGATAGATCTCCTCAAATTATCACAGCCATCCTCTAAGGAAAGTTTTATTATTATTATCTTGCAGATAAAGAAACTGAGGCTCAGTGTCCACATTCAATAACTTGCCCATGGCTACAGAGCTAATTAATCCTGAACTTGAACAAAGGATTGTCAGACTTCACTGTTGGCTCCTAACTAAGATGCATTCTCAAGTCCGTGGCAAACTCTCTGATGTTGCTTTGGGTTTTGTTTATTTTGTTTTCTTTTTTGTTATATCGAACCATCCATTAAAACAGAACATTTTTTTCTTCCCACTCCCTATCAAAAAATGGTATACTGCCTTCATAAGCTTGGTAGCTACTATTTATGTCATGATTGTTTCTGATTTTTGAATTGAAATGTTTTGTAGAGAAAAGATGTTACCTCCACTGCATTTGATTTTGTAGCTGAATAGAGCCACTTTCATTCAGAGCTTCATTCAGAGCAGACAAAAATCAACGTCTGCCTGCCTAAAACATAAAATACCATGCTCCACCAGCAAAAAACAAACAAACAAACAAAAAAAAACAAAAAAAGCATCTTGGGTTTCATATTAATAGTGTGAACAGTGGAGGATAGCAAAGCCAAAGCAAGACCAAACTACAGAAAAGAAGCAACAAAAGCAGGAACAGTGCTGAGCCTCTTGTAATTGCTGCCTTGGGTTTCCTTTTGCCGCTCTCTTCTTTGTGGGGAAGAAGAAAGTGGTGTCTGATTTATAGGATTTTTTGTCCAGCTCCCAGATATTCACTCTTAAAAACCTAGGGATGTAGCTAAAAATGGATTCTGAAGGACTTGGAAAGGACAAGTTATTTTCCACATCTAAACCTCATCCAATTGTATTGGTGCAATTTTGCTTGAAAATGCCCCCAGGACACCAGTTTCAGGCCTGCCAGGTGGCCTAAGTTCATCCCTTCCTCCAATATCCCTGAGACTACCTGAGACCCAGGACAAGCACTGGAACCATCATTTTGCAGGGACAGATGGCAGCGAACACTGTAAGCAGGGCACAGAGTTTCTAGGCAACCCCCATCTCCTTTCCCAGCCCTGAGACCACGAGGCACCTTCCCTTGGGCTGACTCAGAGCCCTGAGTGTGGGCTGTGCTGGGTCCCAGTCTCTCAGCTCCCCGACCGTGGCACAAACCTGCTCTCCCGCTTCCCTTTATTCTTATTGGAGGATTTTATTTTCCTGCTTACCTTGCCAGATGCCAAAAACAAAACAAAGCAGCACTTCTTATTTTCTTCACACCATTGACCCTGGAGAAATCCCTTGCCCACAGCCACCATCTGGGAGAGCCATTTCTTTCTTCTAACCTGTAAACATTTTCACAAGGCCTCCAAAGGCAAGCATTTGGCACACCATCGTGACTGCTTTCCTGCGAACATTGAGATTTCAAATTTTAATTGCAGCTTCTTGATTAGGCATCAAAAGTCCATATTTGAGCATTTGAACTGGCAATTCTAAAATGCAAATCTGTCCATTTCAAGTCCTTATTTACGATGTCTCAAATACTGAATTTGTTATTACTCATTTTGAAAATTTGCTTGTGCTCTGCATAGAGAAAATAATTTGATGGTTAGTACTATTTATCCCTGGTCTTCTTCTTTTTTTCCTTTTTATTTTTTTGAGACAGGGTCTCGCTCTGTTACCCAGGCTGGAGTGCAGCCCCCCTCAGCCTCCGGAGTGGCTGGGACTACAGGTTTGTGCCACCATGCCCAGCTAATTTTTTGTGTGTATTTTGTAGAGACCAACTTCACCATGTTGCCCAGGGCTGGTCTCGAATTCCTCAGGTTATCCGCCCACCTTCTGAAAGTGTTTGGATTACAGGTGTGAGGCACTGCACTTGACCTATTCCTAATCTACTACTCACCATTTTCAGATACCTGTAGTGCTATGCATGTGACTCTCCAAAATTCATATATTGAACCCCTAACCCCCAACGTGATAGTATTTTGAGGCAGCGCCTTTAGGAGATGCTGGGGATTGAATGTTTATATCCCCTCCAAAATTTAGTTAAAATGTAATCCCCAATGCAACAGTACTGAGAAGTGGGGCCTTTGAGAGGTGCTATGCCCTGAGAGCCCCACTCTCATGGATGGGATCAGTGCCTTATGGAAGGACTGAAGGGACGGGACCTAGCTAAATGCTTTTGCCCTTCTGCCTACCACCATGTGAAGACACAATATTGACCCTTTCTGCCTTGTGAGGACGTGGTGATAAGGCGCCATCTTGGAAGAAGAAAGCAGCTTTCTCCATACAAACGAACCCACCGGAGCCTTGATCTTGGACTTTCCAGCCTCCAGAACTATGAGAAATAAATTTCTATTATTTATGAATTCCCCATGCAGTGGTATTTTGTTATAGCAGTACAAACGGGCTGAGACAGGAGGTAGTTAGGTTCAGATGAAGGCCTGAGGGTAGGGCCCTAATGATGGGATCCATGCCCATACAAGAAGAGATACAAGAGCAATCTTGTGCTCTCCCTCTGCCATGTGAAGACATAACAAGAAAGCAGCCATCTGCAAACCAGGAAGTGAGCCCTCATTGCACCCCAAATCTGCTGGCACCTTGATCTTGGCATCCTGGGCTCCAGAATTGTGAGAAATAAATGTTTGTTGTTTAAGCCACTCAGCCTATGGTAATTTGTTGTAGCAGCCTGAGCTAAGACATATAGATAGATAATCTTAACCCACACCAGCCAATAGAAGAAGAAATAGAAAAGAAAGCTGGGGGCGGGGGGCAAAATATCCTCCTCCATGGCATGCCCAGCAGGTGGAGAGAAGAGCAAAGGTTAGGATGTTTATCTGACGTCTGCCTTCCTCTAAAGCTCTCAAACTCATTACTTCAACTTTCATAAACTAGGACCCTAAAGACCTCAGATCAGAAATTCAGCAAGGAAGGGGCCTTATATTTGACTGGATCACCCCTAGCAAGGGAAAAAGACATGAATTAGAAACTACTTCTTTCAGGAAATATTTGCGAGCCACTTGTTAGATGCTAGGCACTGTGCAAGGCCCTGGGTGAACCAGCAGGGTCCCTCTTGAACTCTGCACATCCAAAGTTGGACTCATCACTTCTCCCCTGCCCCTGTGAAAGGCACACCTGGGGCCCGGGTGCTCCCATCCCTCACTGCCTCCTACTGTCCCCTGCTTTGATATCCTGTCATTCACAAAAACACACAGCTCTCCTTAGGGCCCTATTCTCACTTTAAGAAGTCTTTGGGGGTACTAGAAACAGAAATAAGGCTGATCTAGCCTCCATAAAACTGCCTCTTTCTAGGCATGGGGTCTTGAAAGAGTAATTCAACCCCACTAAGCCCTAGTGTTCTCATGACTAAAATGGGGAGAATATATACTTCATAGGGTTATTGCGAATATTAACAAGATAACGTAATTAAGAATAGAGCCCAAGGGCCTATAAATAAATATTTCAATATTCAGTAAATATTAGTTTAACCATTTGGACCCTTTTCCATTTTGTTTATTGCAATATCTTCTGAAGAGCCCCCTTGACTTCAGTACCTACCTTTCAAATTCCACCAAGCTGCTAAACTGTTATCTCAGAAGCTTGGCTCTCACCTCTCTTCCCCTCTCATTGCCTTTCTGTTGCCTATAAGTAGATACGAGAGTTTGTGCCTGTCTTGCCACTGGTAGCTCATGCATTCATTGAAATTCTTTTTCTTGCAAGTGACAAATCTAAACTGCTCAAACATAGTCTGGGGGTGCACTGGCTCCCACATCTGGCTTATACAGGCCCCCAGAATGTCCCTGGCTCTCTCTGGTTCCATTTGAGGTTGTGCTTTGGTTTGTGGCCAACTCACCTGCTGCAGGTAGCTTTTTGCTTGTGGCCAGGAACGATGACTTTCAGGGGTCTAGATGCTCATCCTCCCAGCATAGCAACCTCTGTGAAAAGTGGACTCATCACTCGCAATGTCTACGTATCAACTCCAGGAACCAGCTCACACTGGGCCAGTTCGAGCCACAGCTTCAAGTGAAACCACAGAAAAGAGGGAGTGGCCATGATGTACCAAAGGGTGGATGCTACCTAGGCAAGGAACACACATGCACACACCAGCTGGGATTCCTTGACACAGCTACTGCTGTCTCACCCCTGAAGCAGTAGAGGAAGCTCTGCTGGACTGCTGATCTGCATTGTGGGCAGGGGGCCAAGCTCCCAACATGGTCTGCATGGGAGGGGAGGAGGGCTGGGGGTGGAATCAAAGCCAGGCTTCCCAAACGCCCCCGACCCCCATAGAAACTGGATGTGGGGGTGAGGTGTGGAGAATGAGACAAAGGCCAGTCTCCCCTAGCATCTGGTCTCAGGAGACTAAGCTTAGAGAAATGTGGAAAGGAATAGATAAGTCACCAAAAGCTGCCCAAGCGTCTGGTCAACCATGGGAAGTCCTAAGCGCCATGCCCCTGGCTCTCTGTGTAGCTTTCCTTTGGCAAGCTCAGTGCCTTCCCCTGCTGGACCAGAAGTGAGGCATTCCTGGGCTTGGAGAAGAGCAAAACTGGAATGTGGGAAACTAAATCATGTCTTTTAAGGGTTCTCATCTCACTGACAAAGGATTTCCTGGCCTGCACCAGGTCGAGTCCATCCCCTTGCAGGAGAGTCACACACACACACACACACACACACACCTTTCTCAAATGAGAAAACTGAAACAAAAAGTTAAAATTGACTTTCCCAAAGCTACTCAGAAGTGGGATTTTCAGCCTTGTGATAGTGACAGATTCTGAGCACAGTCACATTCTCACCTCTTCCCCTCACCCGCAGCTATGTGCTTCCTTAATAAGCAGAATCCACATGGCTTAGCTGATAAGGCTTGATGTTATAGAATGTTGAATTCCTAAAAAGGATGGCAAATTTTAAGTATAAAATATATTTTTAGCTTAATCTCAAGGTCAGAATAAATTGTAGGGGTCATTGAATCTATTTCACCTTCTAGTTTTGGGCTACAATACTCTCTTTGAAAATATCCAGTTAGAGGGACTGTCTCCAGAAAGAGCTGGCTCAAATGCCAGATGCAATTATTAGAACATCCCACCTCATGTTAAGTTCAAATGAGTCTCCCACAACTCTATCCACTGCTTCTACTTTTCTGCATTGGAATTCACTGATACTCTCTTTTTTTCTGTTGTCTTTTTTCTTTTTCTTTTTGTTTTGTTTTTTGTTTTTTTTTTTTTTTTTGAGACAGAGTCTCGTTCTGTCGCCTAGGCTGGAGTACAGTGGCGTGATCTTGGCCCACTGAAACCTCCACCTTCCGGGTTCAAGTGATTCCCCTGCTTCAGCCTCCCAGGTAGCTGGGATTACAGACATGCACCACCACACCTGGTTAATTTTTGTATTTTTAGTAGAGATGGGGTTTTGCCATGTTGGCCAGGCTGGTCTCAAACCCCTGACCTCAGGTGATCCACCCACCTCAGCCTCCCAAAGTGCTGGGATTACAGGCATGAGCCATTGCGCCTGGCTGATTCTATCTCTTTCTTTGTTTCCTTCCTTTCTTCTTCCTCTCCTCTCTTTCTTTCAACTATTTTTTTAGTAAGTAACTACTGTGTGCAATGTATTGGCTTGGGCACCTGGGATACAGCATTGAACAAGAAAGACAAGGCCCTTGCTTCATGGAGATTATATTTTAGTGGATTTTTTTTAATAAGAAAACAACCAAAAAAAATTTCAACTTATGCTAAGTGTTTATAGCAGAAATTAAATGGGAGTGTGCCTGGGAGGGGCTGCTTTTTATGGGGACCATAAATGGGTCCTCTGAGCCTCTGAGAAAGTGAGATTTGAGCTGCAATTGGAATGTTCCTGGAATCACACAACATATTTCCAGTCCTCTTTCTGCAAGTGACTCTTGCTATGTTTGAACCCAGATATCACGACACACGTACACATGTGTCGGCACACACACATCAGTCTTCTTTTCTCTTGGTTGAACATCTATATTCCTCAGTCATTTCAATCATATACACCTGTTTAGCAATGTCTCTCTGAAAATGCACTCTTCAAAGTGGGATAGAGCAGTCTAGATTTGGTCTGGCTGTCACAGGAAAGATGGGCCCATCAGAGAGCTCCCTTGCTCTGGACACCACACTGGTATCAACTGTGCTTCTAAATCTCAAATTCCAAAGCTGCAAAAGCCTGGAGGAACCTGTATCTTGTTAGCTCTCCATTATTAATCTCTCAGCCAACTAAAAATGGCATCTATCCATCACATGCTACCGCAAAACCTCATCACGAGTAGCCTCTCACTGTATCAATGAGAGTGGGGAGGGGCAGGCAAGGGTAGGAGCCTTGTGTGGACTTTTTTCTATTGAGGCCATCTGGCCACCTGTTTAATATTGTTCTTTTGTACTGTGGATGTTGTCATTTAGGATTTTAACTGTCCTTCCATATGTCACCACAGATTTGATAAGCATGCCACCCACCTCCACATCTGTGTTGTGATAAAAGCATCTCCCAGGCTGGGACAGAGAAAGAATATGAGTATTCAAGCAGTTACTGATCCAGCTAACAATATTACGAGACAGTCCACATAAGTGAGAAATATGCAAGACATCTTGCTGAAATTCAAGTACACCATATACATTCATTCAGGACCCAAAGAATAAAGAAAGGTTGTCAGTGTGACAGGACATCCTTAAGAACCAATGCTGAATTTGAGAGATCACTGCTCCTGACTTGGAGTACTCAAAAACTCCCGTTTAAAACTATGTTCTAAATATGTGTTCTGAAATATTGCCTAAACTATACATAGGCTCACCAGTTCAGAATACACGGTTTTGATTTTTCTCATTTGAAAATTCTGTCTTTACTATAAGGCCCCTGGATCATGCTCCAAGACCCCTCAGGGGTTCCTGACAGCGTCATTGCAATTGAATATATAAGTTTTTTTTCTCACTTTCCTATGATACAACCCAGTTTGGCCAGAGACTTAAAAATGTATAAACCATAACAGACTCACTTTTATAAGCATTGATCTAATGCTGAGTTCCTTTTATGGTAGTCAATGCTATCATTTCCAATAAAATTCTTATCCCTGAGAAATATTTAAATGGAAAACAGGAATTAAGCAAGTTCCATTTGTTTTTGCCTTTTCCTATGTTACTTTTGTTTTTCATACCTTTTATTTGAGGATATGGAGACATTTTCAGAGGGTAAAGCAGAAAGTGATAGAAAAGAAACCCACACAAGAATTAAATAGAGTTACACCTATCTAGGATATTTTGAAAACTGAATTTCTAAATGCATAGGTGCCCAGTATAACTACTATGCCCAGAAATGTCTTTGTGGCTCAGATGACATTCTCTTTTACACCCGGGTTTTTTCAATTACTATGTATTCCCCTAGTTGATCTGAACTAGTTCCACAGTTGCAATATCCACCTCTCCTAACTTCCAAGAAATAGAACTGCCATCAAAACAAGTGAAAAATCTCTTGGCTGTTCTGTTTCATTGAGTGAGGCTTCAAGCTGAGGTCTGGATATTTAAAGACCTTGCTCATGACTAGGTCTTTCCCCAAGCCAGCTTGAGGTTTGCACTGGAAACACGTGATTCCCTTTCTCCCTCAGGCTGAAGCATCAACAAGGACTTTCAATGCCCAGTCTGTTCACCTGCTCTGAAAAGCTCTCCATCTTATAAAGGGGACACCCCCAGTAGAAGGAGGTCCTATTTCAGCTGCTCTTTGTCAAGGGTTGCTATTGCCCTGATCTGCTCGATTTGGCCCCCAGGAGAGTCACCTCACTTGCAGGTTGAGCATACATACCTAGTTCAGATATGTTGCCAAAACAATACCTAAAGGGTGTCTTTAACTAAAGACTGTATGAAGACCCCACCACCATGCTGATGATATGAATTCACATCACACCATGCCATGACATAAACGCTGTATACAAGTCACAGTGTGAACATTTATTTACATGTGTATGGATGCAGACAGATAGAGCAAACTACAGATAAAGTTAAGTGAGGCAGCTGGTGAAGCTCAGCCAGCATGGCTGGGGACACCCCCAATCCAATAATGCTCCTCGCCATTTGTCCTGTTCTTCTTTGCTGATTCTGTGCCATATGTTATTAGGCCAAGAACTAATATCTTATCTGCTGAAATGTGATCCATCAGGAACAGTTTTTCTAATATGAATATTATTTTATTTCACCATGCTACATGGTTCCCTAAATGTCACTCACAAATCTGTGGTGCCACTGTAGGGAATGTGAGTCCTCTCTGATGAGAGGGCATTGCAGGATGCCTTCCATGGGCCTGGGCACAGATTTCATGGAGAGCACCCCCATTTCCAGGGGGATCCTCCCTCATTACTCAGAGTCCTTTCTTGGGGATTGTGTCCTGCCTTCCAGTATCAATTGGAACCCCTTCCTCCTTTTCTATGGCAGCTAGAACCCCATTTAATCCTTACTAAATAGGGGTTAAACTTGGAATATTAGGTTCATAGGTTTATGCTAAGATACTTATTTCCTTGACTTAGAGTGACATACTTCCCTCTTTTAAAAAAGTGTATTTCACATGTGAATTCAGCTAATAACAAGCTGAAGTCCTGTGCATTTAATTTTTTTTTCCTGTGAAGCCACATGCTGCAAGAAAAGTAAGATTTTGGAACTGATGTTGATGGTGATGACAGCCTCCAGATACAAACAACCAAAGAGGGCACTGCTGCCACTCACCATGAGAAACAAAGGAGGACACATTTTCTGACTGCACAGCAATGCAATAGGTCTGAGAAACATGCTGGGATAGAAGGAAACTGGTCTTAAATCTGAAGCCTTCCAGTAACCCACAGAAGAAATTTCCTCTGATTACTTAATCTTTCTGTGCCTCCGTTTCCTCACCCAGAACTGGGAATTTGTAACACTTACGTGACAGAATTATGATGAGATCAAATGCATGGAGAAGAGGCATGCTAGTGGCCACCTTGGATACTGTGAGTGCCCCACAAAGAGACGACATCATAACTGCCCATATCCACTGACCACAATCGTTTCCAGCAGCCGTGGGTGCCTGTGTGACTTGCCCGAGGGGAGGGGTTGGTAACTGAAAAGCCTGGAGACACTGCATAAATGTCTTCTTTTGAGAACAAAAGCCAAAATTGACAAATCAGATCTAATAAACTAAAAAGCTTCTGCACAGCAGACACTGGAGACACTGATGCAGCAGGAGGGGGAAGGACAGGCAAGATGCCCCCAAGGACCTGGCCTGGCTCCTCCTCCTCTTGTTTCATCTTCAAAGCTATCAGCTTAAACCTAGTTTTGAAATGTAAACAGTACAACGGGTCTTTGTACCTACCATATTTGAAGAGTCACCTTTTATTCTTTCAGAAAACCAATCACACTCCAACCCCAACGTTTTTATTTCAGTGTATGTGTTAACGGCTGTTGTGATATCACGGTTCTTGTCTTTTTACTGTAAAAAAATTAAAGAAGTGTCTGTTCATATCCTTCGCCCACTTTTTCATGGGATTGTTTGTTTTTTCTTGTAAATTTGTTTAAGCTCCTTGTAGATTCTGGATATTAGCCCTTTGTCAGATGGATACATTGCAAAAATTTTCTCTCATTCTGTAGGTTGCCTTTTCATGCTGATAATAGTTTCTTTTGCTGTGCAGAAGCTTTTTAGTTTATTAGATCTCATTTGTCAATTTTGGCTTTTGTTCTCAAAAGAAGACATTTATGCAGCCAACAAACATATGGAAAAAAGCTCATTGGCCGGGTGCGGTGGCTCACACCTGTAATCCCAGCACTTTGGGAGGCCAAGGTGAATGGATCACCTGAGGTCAGGAGTTCGAGACCTGCCTGACCAACATGGTGAAACCCTGTCTCTACTAAAAAGACCAAAAATTAGCTGGGTGTGGCAGCGGGCACCTGTAATCCCAGCTACTGGGGAGGCTGGGGCAGAAGAATCACCTGAACCCAGGAAGCGGAGGATTATTGGTCATTAGAGAAATGCAAATCAAAAGCACAATGAGATACCATCTCACGCCAGTTAGAATAGCGATCATTAAAATTCAGGAAACAACAGATGCTGAACAGGATGTGGAGATATAGGAATGCTTTTACACTGTTGGTGGGAGTGTAAATTAGTTCAACCATTGTGGAAGACAGTGTGGCGATTCCTCAAGGATCTAGAACCAGAAATACCATTTGACCCAGAAATCCCATTACTGGGTATATACCCAAAGGATTATACATCATTCTACTATAAAGATACATGCACACATATGTTATTGCAGCACTATTCACAAAGTGAATAGCAAAGACTTGGAACCAACCCAAATGCCCATCAATGATAGGCTGGATAAAGAAAATGTGGCACATATACACCATGGAATACTATACAGCCATAAAAAAGGATGAGTTAATGTCCTTTGCAGGGACATGGATGAAGCTGGAAAGCATCATTCTCAGCAAACTAACACAAGAACAGAAAACCAAACACCGCATGTTCTCACTCATAAAGCGGGAGTCGAACAATTAGAACAAATGGACACAGGGAGGGGAACATCACACACCGGGGCCTGTTGGGGGCTGGAGGTCTAGGAGGAGGATAGCATTAGGAGAAATACCTAAGGTAGGTGATGGGTTGATGGGTGCAGCAAACCACCATGGGATGTGTATACCTATGTAACAAACCTGCACGTTCTGCACATGTATCCCAGAACTTAAAGTATATATATATGTATATATATACAATAAAGCAAAGTTGAGAATGGATATTAATAATAGCTGAAGAGAAAACAATTTAACTCATCTAGTTTAGGTAATTCAAACAAGAATGCTATTAATTTGCTTCCTTCAATAAGATGTTTCATCTCTCCATCTTAATTTGCTTGGGTGGTTAATCCCATATTTCTCATTTTAATATGAGAATATTATATGTATATATATTATGTATATATAATATATACATATTATATATGTGAATTTAAATATGAGAATATTATGTATATATAATATGTACATATTATATATAATATATTCATATTATATATATGAATTTAAATAAGAGCACAGCAAAGAAGATCCAGCATAGAGTAATTTATTGTAAAATAAAAATAACATTTTTAAAATTAGGTGCAGAATAGACAGTACACTCTGAGAGAGAGAATTCAGGGCAGGCTGCTCATAAAAGGATGAGACAGCAAAGACTGGCACTAGGGAGACTCTCTTTATGGGAGTCCTACATGATTATTCATAAGGGGGTGGGAATAGGTGTTTGCTACTAGTAAGCATGTTCTGGGTGGTTCTCTGAGTGCACACACACAGTAGCTGTACATGCTTGCTCATATGTCACAAGTCTCATTAGCATCTTAAATCTCCACCCAGAATGAGCAGTTTGAGGACAGGTAAAATCAAAGTGCGCATGCTTTCTGCAGGGGAAATTCCCTGCTGAAGATAGCCTTGCTTGAATGAGCTGGACCACAGTGCGAATCCTGGGGCTTATTGTGTTGACTGTACGGTCACCACAGTTGCTGCACCACAAGGACAGGGTTACTTCCTTGACTCTACCTGTCTAGCCTCAAGTGTATTTTTAAAAGTATATTTTATCCAAAATTAAGATTATGGTTTCTGATTTGTCTGGTGGATGTGGTAGGTTGTTTTCCCTTCTTTGTTTCTGTTTCAGGATTTCAATCTAATTTGAATCTAATTCGAATCTAAAGATTATGATCACATACAAAGCAAAGTTGAGAATGGATAATATCAATAGCTGAAGAGAAAACAATTTAACTCATCTAGTTCAGGTAATTCAAACAAGAATGCTATTAATTTGCTTCCTTCAATAGGATGTTTCATCTTTCCATCTTAATTTGCTTGGGTGGTTAATCCTATATTTCTCATTTTAATAGCAAGTATGTCCATTCACAAGTGTCGAAGAGGTTTGAAAGCTGGGTTCACTTGCTCTATGAAAATATCACCAGATCAGAACAACCAGAAAGGAGCAATCCCTCCTGGCATTACAGAAGGTGTGTATCTGTTTCCCCCTCCTCCCCTCTAATCTGAGCTGTACTCTCATAAATTAAAGTTGACAAGACAAGCATGAGAAGCCTGTTTTGCTCAGGTTCAGTGGCTCCCCAGAAGGCCAGGACTCAATGTAAGAGGCAGAAAGGCTACAAAAAAGAAAGGTGACATATTTGCCAAGCAGTCTGGTAGCCTCAACTTGATATGCTTTATCTGTGATGGCAAGAGGCGGGCATTGTTTCTTCCTTTCCCTTTTTTCCTAGTGATGCTTCTCAATCAGCCAGTGAGACTTAAGTGAGGCCCACTTACTCATGGCAAGGCCAACGTCCCAATTGTATTAGTCCATTTTCACATTGCTATAAAGAACTACCTGAGACTGGGTAATTTATAAAGGAAAGAGGTTTAATTAACTCACAGTTCCACATGGCTGGGGAGGCCTCAGGAAACTTGCAATCATGGTGGAAGGCGAAGGGGAAGCAGGGCACATCTTACATGGCAGCAAGAAAGAGACAGAGAGGGAATGTGCCACATTTTAAACCATTAGAGCTCATGAGAACTCACTCACTATCACGAGAACAGCATGGGGGAAACCACCCCCATGATCCAATCATCTCCCACCACGTCGCTCCCTCACATGTGAGATTACAATTTGACATGAGATTTGGGTGCAGACACAGAGCTAAACCATATCACTGGCTATTGTGAGAGTTACAAAGAGGGTCTGCACAAGTTTATAATCCAGAGGTGAGGCCTGTGCACAAGAAAAACTGTGCTGTATAAGAAACTTCTGAAAAACAGCAATGCCTAGCCAGAAGAAAAGATTAAGGGAAGATGGACACCTACAAATCTGGAGTATTTCAGAAAACAGAATCAGGGCCAATAGAGCCCTGCTCAAAATAAAAACAGACTCTCTAAGGCCATCATATGGTAGACGGGGCTGACTCTGGAACTACGTCACCAGCAGAGACTGGCCAACAACCTGTCCTATGCTGGGGAGTGGAGGCAAATATCAGACATATCAAAAATTATCAAGTGAAATGTGGAATCAGATGAGCAAAATCTTGTCCAATCCTGATATTCTGTACAAAAGTTAATTAAAATAAGTGAATAAGTGAAGTATTATTTGTGACTTGGGCTTCACAAAAGAGCCTTGTGAGAGTAAGTGGTACTCAACTCATACAATACCTATTTTTATGTATTCATCTCCAGGAAAAGTGTAGCAGGGATGGAGAGAAAGAGAGAGAGAATTAATGTTCATTGTTGGCCTATAGGCCCATATGTAAAATATATATATATATACATAAGCCAATATATTGGTCAATGGAGCCAGTATTCAACTTACAGATAAATATAGAAATAAATATGTGTGTGTATGCACATAACATACACACACACAAGACACACATATATTCCATTTGCCAAATGCTGTAACTTTTTTTAAGTGAGCTTGTATACAACTGAGGTTATAAGGTAGGCTCCATTTGTCTCAATGTTTATTTTATGGCCTTTCGACCATGCAAAGTGGGAGAAGGACAAGAAAGAAAAGAAAAAGGAGGAGGAGAAGCAGGAAGAGGATGAAAAAAGGGAAGTTAATATGGAGGACCTAGAGGGCTGCAGACATTTTATACACATTATTTTGCTTTATATGTATTTGCATTCAAGGTGAGTGAACCATTATTACACCCATTTAGATGAGTTCAGATGAGCGCAGATAAGTGAAATAATAAAATTAGTAAAAGGCAGAGCTGTGTTTCAGACCCAGTTCCGTCTGATCACAAATCTCTGCTCTTTCCTCACCACTCCCTTAGTAACAAGGAGAGAGGTGCCTGACTCAGTTAAGGTCCCACAACTGTAATACGTCACCACTGACATGTTTAAACAACAGGATTTTTTTCCAAGAAATTTTAATTTAAAAAAAATTACGGTGGCTCACGCCTGTAATCCCAGTACTTTGGGAGATCGAGGCGGGCGGATCACGAGGTCAGGAGATCGAGACCATCCTGGCTAACACGGTGAAACCCCATCTCTACTAAAAATACAAAAAAAAAATTTAGCCGGGCATGGTGGCAGGCGCCTTAGTCCCAGCTGCTCGGGAGGCTGAGGCAGGAGAATGGCATGAACCTGGGAGGCGGAGCTTCCAGTGAGCCGAGATCGCGCCACTGCGCTCCAGCCTGGGCGACACAGCGAGACTCCGTCTCGAAAAAATAAAAACAAATAAAAAATAAAATAAAATAATAAAAAAATTAAAGTATATATTCCTAAATATGCTTTGGGTTCTCCAACTAGTTACAAGCATTTCCTTTGCTGGTGCCAGGTAGGAATTTGACTCAACCAGCCAAGTGTATCACTTCTAATAGGACGGAAGAAATGCTTCCCTTCACTCCAAATCTCTTAGCGGAAGTTAATTTATGGTCTTCATGATCATCAAATGAGACGGCTTTCATTTACACCAAGACCATGAGTGCGGGTGAAATTGGGGCTTTGAGGGTAACCATCCAGAGGAAACAATCAATACTATCTGTAAAGAAATAAAGCACGCTGGGGAACAGCAAAGATTCAGCTTTTGCAGCAGCAAGGAACCTTCGCCCAAGGATAAAATCATTATTTAATGGGTCTGAAGGAAGGAGATCTCACAGTGACCGCCTCCTGCTAACCCAGCCCTCCCAGCTCGCTTGCTGCTCTCTTTCTGGTCTCCATGGAATGCGCCCTTCTAGAAGGACTTAACTTGGGCAGCTTGGGGTCCGTGGCGGAGACGCACCTCGGCTGCTTCCTGCAAGAGCTCCGCTGAGGGCCAGTTCAGACTCTGGAACGTGGCTCAGCCTCCACAGTGTGGAGGCAGGAAATGGAGACAAAAAGACTCCCTCCCTTCTGGCCAAATAGAGAGGATCCAGGACCAGGTGTAGCCTCGTGCTGCGCCCAGGAATCTGCGACGGCACAAGAGGGAGCCGGGAAGGAGAATGGCGGGGCCGCAGAGGGTCAACTGAGACCGTGAAGGACAAAGAAAACTCCAAACATCCCCCCCAGCCCTCCTGATAAACAGAACCGACGCGGAAGCGGACCCCGACCACCGAGGGGAAGCACGATCCTGGCAGCCCTCTCTCGCGCCCTCCCCGTGCCTCCCCCTGAGGCCGGGATGTCGCCTTCCACCTGGCCCCAGCAGGCTGGAAATACGCCTGCGCCCTCCCTTCTGCACGGGCCCTGGGTCCTTAGCCCCCGCCCCCGGCCTCCGCTCGGTCCCCTGACGCCCCTCCCGCTGCTGGCAGCGCCACCACTTTCTGCCCTGGGGAGGTCCCCGGCTCCTGCCCGCAGACAAAGCCATCTTAAAGCGCGGAGAAGGTGACATCGGCAGATAAGATGCTAATTGACAACTCATTTTCATTCTGCCGAACAGAATTGTTTCATTTTTCACTCCTATCACCTGCTCATTTTCGGCAGCCCACACCCGGCAGAAAGGGTTCCCGGGGGAGTCGCTTGAAAGGTTGGAGCCGCCACGGAGCTGGGGTCCTGCGGTTCCGCTGCCCCCGCGGCGCCTCGCGGGCGCTCCCTCGTTCGTGTCTCAATGCTGCCCTCTGCTGGCAGCCGGCGCCACCGGCGGCGCCAGGCGATGAGCCCCTCACTGCCCGCGTGCGTTTTGAGGAGGGCAGAGCGCTCGGGCAAAGGCAGAGGTCAAGGGCGGCGTAGCAGCAACTCGCCTCCTTTGAGGGCATCCTGGAGAGGCAAGGATGTTCAGCTGTCTTCCCGCAGCGCGGGTGCTTCTAGCAGTTCTCAAAGCTTCAGTGCAACAAGAGCAAGGAGAAGCCATTGTCGCGGACGACTTTCCTCTCCTGCAAGAGATCTGGTTTGGAACAAAGATGTGTGTGAGGCAGAGATATTGTATTTACAATCGGGAAAGAGCGAGCCAACACCTGGTAGTACAAAGGCCAGACCTGGGGTGAATGCAAGATTTCCAGCTTCAGGGTCCAAGGACAAACTACCCTTTCCCCATGAGATGTGACGCCCAGCTCTATGGGGCACTCCCAGAGATAACTCAGCCCTTCCTGGGAGCCTGCTGCTCTCCCCCTTCTCTGGCTCGGTCCATGATACCACTCTTCAGACCACTGCCAGCGCTGGACTCCTGGGGACCCACTGGACCCCTATCCCCCCACCCTTACCCCATGTTCATTCATTCCTGCTTCTGATCAACCTCCCTGCCCCCCGTCTCCCCTTCCCAAGCCCATCCTCCCCTCCGTGCTAGAGGGAGCTACATTAAATGATTCAATTACAGTGAAACGCTTAAAACAGTGCCTGGCACGTGGTAAGCACTCAAGACATTTTAGCTAGACATTTAGTTAAGTCTGATCAGCCACTCCCTGTCCCTGCCCAATGGACACTTATAGGGGCTGCCCATTCATTGGATAAAATTAGCAGGCCACAGCCTAACTCAGCCTTATCTTCAAACATTATCTCAAACTGTACAGAGGAACAATGTAATTTTCTGGGGTTCTCAGGAACACACCCTGTGTGTCTTATCTCTGTTGTTGGTAATACTGGCTCCTTAGCTAACAGGCCATCTCATGACCTCTTCACCTATTTAATTGTCTTTTGAGACTCAAACCTTCCTGAAGGCATCCTCCTTTCCTGACGGGCACACTCTACCCATCTTGTTGACTTATGCCTCCTCTTCTGCATTCCCCAAATACTCTATTCTTCATTATAACTTTCTGAGTCTGTCTACTCTCCAGGTCTGAGTTTCTTGACTTGCAAGACTATCTCATTCATCTTTCCTTCCCCTGTAACCAGCACAGTACCTGGCTCTTGTAAGTCAGACCCTCCACCCGTTCACTGCATGAATGAATGAATGGAGGCAGGAGAGAACGCATCCATGAGAGGAGATCCCAGAAGCACCTATCAGCCCCAAGGTGCACCTTCTCCATACACCTGCCAGCAGGAGAGTCCTGTGGCTTAATCAGCTCCTTTGCAGACTGGAAAGGGCAAAGCAGTGAGCACCTGGGAGGCCTTGCCCTGTCAAGTTCAGCAGGATCATCAATTTCTTTAATTAGATGGTAATGGCAACATCGAGCCTGGCTATGTTGGAAAGGGGAGGTTATTATTGGAGGAGGAAAGGAAAGTAATTCTGAAGACTTGAGGACATAGCAGAGAAACAGTCTGGCAAGAGTGTAAGACTTGCGACTCAGGAGGGCAACATGAAGACGCTCGGCACTTGAGGAAAGGAGACTGGGGAAGTATAATAGATGGCTTAGAGGAGAGGAAAATCAACTGAGTATGTTTTATGTATCAAGTGCTTCTTACATCCCTTCTACACCTCATGACAACTGAAGAAGACAAGTATTATCCCCATTTTCTAAATGGAAAAACAGGTGCTCAGATGGATTTGGTCCCATATCTAAGGTCACACAGCTACCAAGTGATAGCACCAAGATTCAAACTCAGGTTCCGTGACTTCCAAGCCCATGTTTTCTCCCTCCATGAATGTTTACTCTGCTGTGAGAAGTAAAGCAAAAGTACCTGGCACCAGCAGGTACTCACCTCCTACCTCTGAGGAAAGTGATTCAGACTTTCCTAAGGTCATTTCCCCCTCCATCTTAACTGGGAGTCCTGGTGGATTTCTGTGTCTCTGAAATGCACCCCATTAAATGTCTTCTATTATGCAGCACGCTGCATAGCTCTTAGCCCAGTGAAGCCCTAGATAGAGTAAGAATCCATTATCGAAGAGCTTCATTTTCCATTTTATATAGAAGACACCCGCTTTCGTACACCCCATTGTACTTGAAGAAGTGGGATGCTTCCTCATTGATCACATTCTCTTCCATGACACCACACTTCATCAGGAGCCAGTGGGATTATACAGCTGTGACTAAAGAGATCTAAATCAATCATCACAATTTCCAGAAAAGAAACCAGAACTCACAAATCACTGCCCTTTGTTTTCTTAACATTTATTTTAACTTCCGGGCTACATGTGCATAGGTTTGTTACATAGGTAAGCTTGTGTCATGGGGTTTTGCTGTACAGATTATTCCATCACCCAGGTATTAAGTCTAGTGTCCATTAGTTACTTTTCCTGATCCTCTCCCTCCTCCCACACTCCACCCTCCAAAAGGCCCCGGTGTGTGTTGTTCCCTTCTATGTGTCCATGTGTGTTCTCATCATTTAGCACCCACATGTAAGTGAGAACATGTGATATTTTGTTTTCTGTTCCTGCATTAGTTTGCTAAGGATAATGGCCTCCAGCTCCATCCATGTCCCTGCAAAGGACATGATCTTATTCTTTTTTATGGCTGCATAATATTCTGTGGTGTCTGTGTACCACATTTTCTTTATCCGGTCTATCATTGATGGGCATTTAGGTTGATGCCATGTCTTTGCAACTGGAAAATCACAGCACTTTGATGTTTCAGGAAAACCCAAACCTGTGTTTCAACTTCTATCACAAAATCATGTTGTTGCAGTGAGGCTGTGAACCAAGTGTTTAAAGGTAAGAATTTCAGTGTGTCAGTTTCAGCAGGGAAATCACATCTCCAGCCTCCCTTGACCTCAAGATCCACTGAATTCCACGTGCATCCAATATGACCCTCCAGTGATACTCTTCCCTGCAACAGTTAGAAACTGCAGTCCAGGAACAATGGTTCTCAAACCTTAGTGTACATCACAGTCATTCGGAAGGCCTATTAAAAATACAGACTGTGGGCTTCCACAGTCACCAGAGTTTCTCATCCAGGAAGTCTGGAGAAATCTGAGACTTTGGATTTCTAACCAATTCCCAAGTGATGCTGATGTGGCTTGTGCCAGGTCCATGCTTCCAGAGCGGCTGCTCTAGAGCAGTCATCACCACAGAGAGTCAGCCGGAGAGCCCGAGAGGGCACAGGCCCAGCGGGGAGCCCTCTCTGAATATCCTACAGGCTTCATCTTTTAACATATGGTAGTCACCAAGGCGAATGCATCTCTACTAGAGGCTCTTTTCTTTTGTGAGGTGCATTTTTAGCACACCATCTTCAAGCTTCTACTCACCGATTCTGCACGGCAAAAGATGCTAAAGACCCCCAGATCAGATAGGATTCATATGGCTCAAGTGACAGAAAGCCAGGCTCCAACTGACTTCAGAAAAATAAAAACAAATATATTGGTTCCAGAAGTGAGGTGTCCAGTCTTGGCTTCAGCAGGGCTCACATGATGTCATCTGACCTGATTTCTCCTTCTCAATCTCTCCTTTCTCTTGCTCTTATTCCTACTCTCTCTCTTCTCTCCCTTACTCCCTCATCAAACCTTCTTCACTTGGGTGTAAAGATGGTCACGGAAGCCACAGGCCTGGAAAAACCCTACATTAAAATCATCCCAGCACAATCTCATGGCTCCTCATTGCTTCTCATTGACCCACATAGAATCAAGCGCTCAGCCCTGAACCAACTCCTACAGGCGGGAAAAAGCAATGCTGTGGATAGGCCTAAATCAAGTGCTCCACTCTTGTTCCCCAGACAAGTCACAGGGGCTTGGAAGGGGACGAGGGTACTAACAACAGGTCTTGCCAAGCCATCAGGCACCACCACCATGTGTAGTCACCAAGTCCGAAGGCTGCCTTTCAGCCCAGATCTCTCCTGGCTGCCATATAGCATTTTCCTCTCTTCTGCTTGGAAGTCTTTTCTCTTTTTGGCTTTCTAGATCAGATACTTTCCTTGAACTGTTCCTGTTTCCATCTCCTTTTTAGGATTTTCCTCTTGTGCCACTCAAAGCCTTGTGTGTGCCATGGATTTTTCCTTATGCCTCATCTCAGTCATGCCTTTTCCATGAGCTGTACCATCCATTCTCTTGCTCTTCAATACCACCCTAAATCTGTGAATTCCCAAGTCTGTATCTCTATCTGTGGTCAGCAGGATAAAACTACCCACCCCCCCAGCAAAGATGTCTATGTCCTAATTTCCAGAACTTGTAATCGAGTTGTGTTACATAGCAGAGGGGAATTAAGGTAGCTAATGAAATTAAGGCTGTGCATCAACTAGCCTGAGATGGGGAGATTTTCCTGGATTACCTGGGTGGGCTCAGTGTAACCACAAGGGTCCTTAAATGTGGAAGAGGAGGCAGAAGAGTGAGTGTCAGAATCACTGTGATGGGAGGAAGACTCAATCCTCATTTCTGGCTTTAAAGATGGAGAAGGAGCTGCAAGTGTAGGAATTCAGGCAGCCTCTGGGACTGCAAAAAGGCAAGAGAATGGATTCTCCCCTAGAGCCTCCAGAAAGGCCCTGCTGACTCCCTGTTCCTATGTTCCAATGCAACTTTATAAACACTGACATTTGGATTTCATAAAATTATTACATGACATGAGATATTCTTTTGATTTGTTTTTTAACATTTAGAATTTTAAAAATTATTCTTAGCTCACTGGCCAAACAAAAACAGGTGACGGGTCAGATCTGGCCATTAGGTACAGGCCTGCTGACCCCACCCTAGAGCCACACTCAGCAAGGCCAGATGCTCAGGCTTCGAGGCGCACCTGGCAATTGGGCCCCACTGAGGCACTGGAGGGCGGGGGTCTTCCATCTCATCCTCTGTACTAAGCATGTGCTGAGCAGAGTGGAGTGATCAACACTTTTTAAACTGTCTATTTCTTTCTCTGTGTCTCTCTGTTTGCTGACTGTGTGTCCTTAAATTTGAGTAAATGAATTATGTGAATGACAGGGGGCTCCACTATACACCCAGCTGCCTGCTGGACATCTCCACCTGAACATCTCATAAACATCTCAAATGCACTGGGTCTAAAACTAACTCCATTGAGCTCATTCTCTCTTTCTTTTTCCTCCCAACCTCTCATACCCAACCACTCTCAATCAAAAACAAAAAACCTTCTCCTATATACCTTACCCTGGTTGTTAGCACCACAATTCACTCTGTCACCCAATTTGGAGCTCTAGAGCTATATTTCCCTTTTCTGCCTCATATTTCCCAGGAACCGTGAGATCCTGTTGTGTCCACCTCTTGAGTATATCACAGAAGTGCCCTTGAACTACCCCAGGGCCAGTGCCTTCATCCCAGGCTTCATCACCAAGACTCTTAAGCACAATGACCTCCTAAAACTGACCTTGCAAATCCCAATCTTTCCCCTTCCCAATCCTTCCGATGTGTTTTGGCAGTGTAGCGTCCTCTGGCAGAGATACACAGCTATGACTGCCTTGCTGTCCAACCTCAAGCCCCTCAAGGTGCCGTTTCATTCACAGGATGACTTCTCAGCTCCTCAATGTGACACAAAAGGTCCTTTGATCTGGCCCCTACCTGACTGCCAGCTGCCACTGCTCCCAGCTCACCTCCATAAACAGCCCTAAGGAGCTACTTACAACTTCCATGTGTTATTCCACACAGCCATGCCTTTGTTATGCCACGGCTTCTTCCTGGACTTCCATACCCCTTTGTCATCTTGGCTACTCTATACCCACTCTTCAAGGCCCCACTCAGCCATCATATCTCCTGGGGAGATTTCCCTGCCCTGCCTCCTCTACCCTCCTGTGCAGAATTGACGACCCCCTCGTCTGTGCCCCCTTCCTATCTTTTACAGCTGTCTATTGTGGCCATGTGTTGAACTCCATTGACATTGTTTGCTTTCCCATCTGCCTTCCCTACAGGCTAACTCCTTGAGGGTAATGTCCCCTGGTGTCCCCCACCAGGCAGAGCATCTGGCCCTTGGTTGATGCTTCCCAGATGCATTTCCAGACTTTGCAGTGGAAGCATGCTGGTTGCTATAGGACTCAGGTGCTGGAAGATAGTATTGCTCCAATTCAGAATCTCACTGCTTTTCACCATGAAAAGACTAGAGCTGCTCAGGCCTCCAGGCCAGACCCTGTGAGGCCCACCCCACAAAAGCTTCCTCCCACACCTGGCACAGAGCAGCAATGATGGTACCTCATCCCTTTTAGGGGAAACCAAATGCCCCCTCCACTAATGGCAGGCTGCGTGCATCCTAAGCCACCCCTGTAGTGTTGCTTTACTTACGGGAGTCAGGCATTGTGTCCCAGCAGCGACACTGGGGAACTTCCCCCACTTCATCACTCTGCAGCTCACTGGGCCCTGCATCCCGCTTTTTAGAACATCTGAAGCTTCATGCGGAAGCCTCGTCACTACAGAATCCCAGGAGACAGGCTGTTCTCTAGTAAAACCCAACAAATAGCCCTGAACTGTGCCACACAGAAGGGGAAATGCCATCAGATGCTGACATCTGTGATGGAAAGAAGGACAAAAGACAGGGATTCTCTTTTCTCTTTTATGGAACTGCTTCTTGGGGGCAGGTATCTGACAGACCCTGAAGCCTGCCCCATTCAGCCAGTCTCAGCATTCAGCCACAGTAGAACCTCCTGCCCAAAGCCTCAGCCCGCGTTGTCCCCAGGACTATGTCTCTCCAGCCCCGGGTGCTTTCTGGAAAAGCCTTTCCCGCCAGGCCTGGCATGCACAGCTCCTGTGCCCCCTCATCTCCAGGATTCCCCTGCCGCAACCCCAGCATCGGTTTTCACCACCAGCAGCTGATCCCGGCTCAGCCTGTGGGCTCCCTCCCAAAGAGACCTCAGGCAACAAGACTCGGTCAGTTTAGGGTTGAGCTTAAAGTTAAGGAATCACAGAGCCCTTGGTGCAAGCTCATTTTGCAGGTCCAGCCTCGTTGTTTCTCTGAGCAGGTGCTATTGGCATTTTGTGAGAGGTACCAGCCTTTAAGACTTTTATGTGTGAGTGTCCATGTACCGTGGCTCACTTGGCACCCTTGATGACCTCCCAGGAAGTGCCAGAGGCACCCCACCCAGTCGCTGTGGCAATCCAATGGCCCCTTCCCATACCCACAGGTCTCCTGAGTGTTAGGGGAAGAGCCTCCATTAATAGCCAGCTTCAGGAAATCCCCGAGCACTGAAGTTTATGCAGTTTTCAAAAACACCAGGTCATATTTACTCACCTTTTTCCTGGCTGATAAAAAGTCCGGTCCACGATGAAAATAAATTCCCAGAGCCTTCATTCTCCTCATCTTCCATTCCCTTGATTAGGCCCTTGAATTAAAAAGAAAAAAAAAAGTCTGGATTTTAAAAAACAGCACTCACTTAAATCTTATTACTTGAGTAGCGATGGTTAAAGAAAAAAAAAAAAACTGGCCCCTAGAAAAGGAAGTTCTTTGCATTAAGTAAATGCCCTTTGCTAAGCAATATTTCTTCTCTGCCAGCAACAAAGTTTTGGGGGTCATGTTTTCCTGTGTAATAACCAAGAACAACTTCTCCCAGTTCCCTTTTCTTCCCTACCTTCCAGCCAAAGGCCCGTCCTTCCTCACCTTTCAGTGAGTCACACTCCCACTACACAGACAGAAACGCTCAAACACAATGTACTCCCAGCCCAATATTGTCCCTCAGCCCCAAGCAGTTCATATAATTTGCCAATTGACTCCGCAAACTCTTCATATATGTGCATTAATTTTCACCTGCATAACCACTGCATAATTCGCACCTTCATCACCTTACATCTGACCCACTCCAGTCATCTTTTCTCTGTCTTGAATCCATTCTCCTCATTCCTAAAATGCATATGTGCTCAGGGCAGACATCTTTTGTCTCAAAATCCTTTGTGAATCCATGGTTTCAGTGATAATGTCCTACCCAGGGCATAGGGAAGAGTCTCCCTAGGGGACAATGTTGGCTGGTAAGAGGCTCACATTAGGGTGGTGACCAGCCACTGAGGCTCAGGCACATGATCCTCGTGTAGAACTATCTCCAGATATGCAGATGAGCACATAGAAAAATAACCTCGAAGTAGAAAAGAGCCCGTGACATCCATGTCTAAAATGGGGGCTCAAACCAAATACTCCTCTAAAATCCTGCCTCACTGTATGAATGATTAGTGATATTTTTATGAGTTGATGAGTCTGGAATTTTAGAACTATCTTAGGCCTCTGCACTGGCATCAATTTTGTAGTGAAAGAAAGGGGTCCAGGGAAGCCCTAAGGAGCCTCTGGCAGCAATCTTCCAGCTTTCTGAGCCCACCCAGTGTTTTTTCCACCAACAGTAGAGGGGTGTGGGGTTACTATCATCTGTACATTTCAAACATGTGACTGGAAGCCTCTTAATACTCTTCAGAAAACATTTGCCTTCTGTCACTAAATCAGTCAATTATTTGAATATATGCCTTTTAACTAAATTATATGTACAAACAAAACAAAACAAAACAAAGCAAAACAAATGTTATTCTAATTATATTTTAGAAACATATTTTCTCACCCAAGATACCAAGTTATAATTCATTCTGTTGGCTTCTAATCTGTCTGGCTTAAAAGCTCTTTTGAGTGATGACAGATAGGTGAACTAATTCGTTATATATCCATTCATTCATTTTGTCTCTTTATTAACTGTCCATAAAATGCTTGGCATGAATTGGGTCAATGTGGTATGCACAAGGGCTCCATACTGCTCAGGAGATGTCACGGAATATATTGACCTGTGGTGGAACTTTACAGTAGATGTGTGCTTTTTAACTCCTTTTTTTAAATTATTTTTATATTTATTTATTTATTTATTTATTTATTTATTTATTTTTTGAGACAGAGTCTCACTCTGTCTCCCACGCTAGAGTGCAGTGGCATGATTTCAGCTCACTGCAACCTCCACCTCCCAGGCTCAAGCAATTCTCCTGCCTCAGCCTCCCAAGTAGCTGGGACTACAGGCACGTGCCATCACACCTGGCTAATTTTTGTATTTTTAGTAGAGATGGGGTTTCACCATGTTAGCCAGGCTAGTCTCAAACTCCTGGCCTCAAGTGATCCACCTTCCTCAGCCTCCCAAAGTGCTGGGATTACAGGCATGAGCCACCACACCTGGCCTTAACTCTTGAATCAATTGATCAATCAGGATTACAGAAACAAGGCATGCCTTTAGATTCAAATCTAAAGAATATATTAACATTGTCTTAGAGAGGTGTGCTGCTTTTAAAATATGTCTGCAAATTCTTTGACACCCATGTCACTGAGAGGTAAAGTTAACCTCCAAGGTGATGATACTAAGAGATGGGGCCATTAAAAGGTAGCCAGATCACAGGGCAAAGCCTTCACTGATGGGATTAGTGCCCTCATAAAAGAGGCCTCAGGGAGCTTGGTCTTCCCTTCCACCATGCAAGGACACAGCAAGAAGACACCATCTATGAACCAGAAAGTGGCCTTATTGGACACAGAATCTGTCAATTCCTTGATCTTGGACTTCCCAGCCTCTAGAAATAAAAATAAATAAATAAATCTCTGTTGTTTATAAGCTATCTAGACTATAGCAGTTAGTTATAGCAGCCCAAATGGACTAAGAAAGATACTCCTACATGTTTACATTTTGAAAAAAGACAGATTTAAAGAAGAAGCAGTAAATGCAGGTTTAGCCCATGGGGAAGCCTGACCATCCCTCTGGTAGCACTACACAGAGAACCAGGAGCTCTACTTCATAGCTGCACAGCAGGTGCCCAAATCAGTGTACTCTAATCACTACACAACCTAAGCAGACAAACTTCACTCAACCACAGGAAAAGTTTCCACTCTGCCTTTCTTTCTCCAAAACAGATAATGTGATAAATCACTGTTAAATTATCTAGCCAACAGCAACCATGAGTTACTCTTCACATAGTTCCATTTAGCTACAGACAATTCCATCTCTTTGTGCGACTGTGGTGTACCTTGCAACAGTGAATCAGCTGAGGGTTGATGTTCTAAGGAAACCTGATGTGCTTCTGAAATGAGATCTTCTCAGTGTGGAAATAAGACTCGGTGAACACCATGCTGGAACAGTATCAAATGCAATAAAAAAGAAATCACTCACTAAAGCATTAAGAATTCCAATAACAGGAGAGAAACACTATGCAGTAGGGGGAACAGTGGAATCACTCTAAAGAGTGAGAAAAGAAACTCTAAGACTGTAAGTTTATCTCTATTCCCAAAACAAACTGAGATCAGATCCACTCTTGTGACAGTAAGAAAACAGGTAGATGGAGAGCCTTGATATAAGAAGTGTCTAAACCAGCAACACAGTTTTCAGGGGGCAGGGCTGAGAATGAAAAGCAAGAGACATACTGCAAAAATGCAAAGGCATCTTCACATGGAGAGGTACCTTCACGTATTGAATGTCAAACCTGACCCAAGCATTGAACCAGGCTGAGAAGCACCAGGGTAGGATGAAAGAGCACAGGGACTGATGTCACACTTGGTGGCCCCTGTGTCCTGCTCTCCCCTGGACCCTGGATTTCATGCCATGTTACATGACTTATCAAATCAGGGCTTCTCATTGCAGGAGCTTGCAGTAAGATAAAACGATTGTTAGAAAGAAAAAGATGTAAAGAAAGGAACCCTACACATGGAGAAAAAAATTCCAGAAAAAGCATAGGTGATGAAGATCAACTGAATAGACCCATCTGTGGCCAGTTCTGACTGTCAAAGAGTCTGAGGTAATATATTTGAAAGCATCCAAATGATGATGAAAAGTAAAACATAACCCACATGACTGGAGCAATTTAGGCCTTACCCCTCCTTGCTGCAGGGACTTCCTGGAAACAAGTGAGATCACAGTAACTTTCAGATTGGATGTACTTATGCATAAGTCTTGGTATCATGACTGGAAAATAGCTTTAGAGATATTAGATTTACATGGTCACATACAGAAAGAACTCAAAAACTCAGATATTTGGCTATGCTGACATCAAAAGTCATGTTTAAAAAATAGTAAAATCAATCAACTGAACACTCCATGGCAGCTGGTTAATGAGTTTTCAAAATAACCATTTTTACCCACTATGGTTGCTTTCAACATCATCTCTGTGTTTTTAAAATCCATCCAACAAGCATTGCCTTTTAGCCCTGCTGGCAGTCGCCTGAAGAGCAGGTGTCTGTCATCTTAACTACTAATTGGAATGGTTCTCCAATAATGAGAGTTAATTCTGCAAAATAGAATGCTAGTAGTATTTGTCTTACATGGTTTATAGACAGACTGTGTACCTAGAAAAAAGAATGAGGAGAGGGAATATCTGTCTAGACTTTGCAAGGGTGCTGTTTGAAAATGAATATCCAACTGGAATATGTGATGAAAGAAAAATATATATATTCAAAGATATATCTTATCAGTTAATCAATTCAGCTCAAAATACTCAGTGTGTTACCAAATATCTGTACAATACTTCCTAAGAAATCAGGCATATTCCAGTTAAAAATGTACTGTACATATAAAATTATGTTGTTTTTCCCCACTGTATAGGTACTTTTTTTCTGAGGCTTAAAAAAATGCTTGAGGCTGGGCACCAGTGGCTCATGTCTGTAATCCCAGCACTTTGGGAGGCCAAGGCGGATGGATTACCTGAGGTCAGGAGTTCATAGACCAGCCTGACCAACATGGTGAAACCTCGTCTCTACTAAAAATACAAAATTAGCCCAGCATGGTGGCGCACACCTGTAATCCCAGCTACTCTACTCAGGAGGCTGAGGCAGAAGAATGGCTTCAACCCGGAAGCAAGAGGTTTCAGTGAGCTGAGATCACATCATTTCACTCCAGCCTGGGCAACAAGAGCGAAACTCCATCTCAAAAAAAAAAAAAAAGCTTGATCTCAGCCAAAGGCCAAGAAGCAATTCTGAGGCTTAATTCAAAGTTGATTCCATATCTTGTTAAAAACTAAGAATGACAACTCTGATTGCTAAAGCTTTATGTTTACCCAGCACAGTTACTAACTCACGCTTTTTGGTTCCTTTGGAAAATTCCTATACTGTGGGAAAGTCACTGTGCCCCTTCCAAGACCATGAGCAGCCCCATCTCACACTGCAGGAAGGTAAAAGACCCAGGCCAATTGAGGAACATCAGAAACACAGAAATTGGTTGACGATGGATATTTGACTCAAGCTGGGTTAGAGTCTTCTGTGCTACTTAAGGGAATACCATTTTTTCTCTTTTTGGATCATGTCAATCCAAGATTTGTCAGCAATGTAGAGAGAGGTTGTGTAAAGCAGGAGAGAATAAGTCCAACATGCAAACAAAAGACACAGAAACAAGCTGAGCTGAGAAATGAGAGGAAGGAGAGTGAACATGACAACACTGTTTGAACACTTGGATTCAGCTGTGCAAAGAAGAGAAATTTTCCCGGACTTTAAATACAATGAGTCAACAAATCCTTGGTGCTTAAGGTAGTTTGAGTTGGGTTTCTGCCTCTTACAATGCAAAGACTGATTAGTATAACTTGCCTTATTATTTTACTTTAAAGCTTCTTTAATATTATCAGTTCCATTGGATACAAAACTATACAATTTATAAGCCCAATTTTGTGAAACAATAATGTATATACTAAATCTAGTTGTAACAATAGCAAGCATTTATTGACCATTTACTACGTGCCAGGCAAGATGCTAACCCAGGCAATGGAACCCCAGACCCTGATGGTTAACCACCAAACCCAGTTGCCTTCCGCTTTCTTTGATTTGGTAGCAGACGCACTCAGTACATGTCTGCTTTCTCCACAGTGCAGTGGCACCCACAATTGTGGCTGGTATGGGAGATGGGGTGAGAGCTGGGTGGGAGGACAGGTCAGGCCATGAGGTAGCTGGACCGAGAGTCAGACAGTGTGTGTGTGCATGCATGTGTGTGTGTGCATATGTGTGTAAAGAGAAGAGAGAAGTGAGAATGTGCTATAGTAGTCACAAGAGTGGCAGGGCATACCTCCAGAAGGCTCACAGTGGGGCTGTAAGTAGAGCTTAGAGAGCCTAGAGTCAAAGGGGTGACTTCCATTTCTTTGTATATTTATCATGCATTTGTCATTCTTCCACAATCAACTATATTACATTTGGAATCAGAAAAAAAAAAATGTCCTTAAAAAAGGCTCTATTCCGTTTATCAAACCAACGAGGCTGTTTTCCGTTAATTGTTGTTTTAATATGAATTAAGAGCATTTATATAATATTGAAAAATCAAACTAAAATACATTATGTGTCATTGTATTTCATTTTGTGTGTCTCATAGCTATGCCGTCCTATTAATCTCTCTGGTATATTTGCATATGTCTTTTTAAAATTCCCTCATAGAAAACCTTTCTGTGTACTAAGTGGGAACTTGCTCTGACCCTGAAATAAAACAGTGGAGTTCTTCAGATTAGAAAATCCCTTTGGACTGAATTTAAACAATAGTTGAAAGTTTGTTGCCTGGCTGTTTATTTTAAATCCCCCAAGTATGAGAGTCCATTTGCATCTATTGTGGGACCTACTGTTCCTTTGATCTTGGGTTTTAAAGGTGTTGGGAATCACCAATGTCTTTTTCAGTCAGTTTGAGCTAAGTGAGAAAAGAAATATTATCTGGAAGAGAAAGACCAAAATGAGGAACTGAACTTATGTCTTTTTTTAGTTTTTGTTTTAGTTTTGAGTAACCCCTTATGGGTAAAGCTGCTTTGTTCAGCTCTCTGCACCTAGCCCCCCACAACCTGTCCTGCTCTCCCACAGAGCCTTCCCCCTGACCCCCAAACCATCCATAGCTGTGAGCACTGCTGCGCCATGGAGGACACAAACAAATACTTGGTGCTTCTGCAACCAAAGCGAGGAAAGGGGAAGGCTGCATGGTTTAGTGGTTAAACAGGAGGGTTCTGGGGTTCTAATGCCTGGGGTAGAACCTTGAGATTGTCATTTTGAGTGTATCCTTGAGCAAAGTGTGTCATCTCGGAAGGCCTCAATTTCCTTATCAATTTAGATAATAAGAGTAACTACCAAAGAGGTGAACTAGAGAGACAGGATGAAATGTCTCTCAAGCACTCAGCCCAGTACCCAGCCCATAGGAAATGCTCATGATTGTTGGCTACCATTATGAGCCAAGTGCTTTTACAACATGTCTCACTCTCCTCTCTCACCTGTGCTGATGTTTCCCACTCCTCTTACCCCAAAGTAGACCTGATCACACCATCCCACCCTCACTGGCACATGAGGCACTGATCACACTTCAGGACGTTTATGGCATTTACGTGGGTGTCTCTCCATTACAGCAAAACCCATGACAGCAAGGACTAGGTCTGATTTGTCTTTGTCTTTCTGCACCCAATGCCCCACATCTAGGAGACATTCACAATTTTTAAAGGAATGAGTGGATGGATGCACTGCCATCTCCCAGATGAGGAGTTTGAGGCTCATCAGCCATAAGTGACTTCTGCAAGGTTACAAGCCAGTAAGTACCAAAGTCTGGGGCTTTCATTAAAGGGTCTGAAGGAACAACGATAATACATTGTGGTTTAGTAAATAGTCAAGAAAATAGATCAGATCAACTAGAGAGGGGACAAGACACAGGAGCTACTAAAAATAAAAAAAACATTGATCAGCATAAAACAATAGCGTGCTCTGTTTCTAAGAAATGACGGCCTTGCCTGGACAGGTATGAACCAGCTTTAAAACACAAAAATGCAATCAAGTCCAGTCAAACAAGTTGACCACTTTGGAAACTATTCATCTTGTTCAGTAACAAATCCTGGAATCTCATATGAAGTAGTTTGCTTATTTTTTTCAGACCTCCTAAGTGTCATTGTTTGGTTATATATATTCCTCGCTTTAATTCGACTCGTGGTTTTAAAACTCAACCACACTGGATTTTGCAGTGTTGTTCTTTTGCAAGGATTTGAACATGAAGTATAATCACACAGGAACAGTGATCTGCTCATTTCCAAAACCATGGGTAACTTACTAAAGTTTCAGCAAATTTTAAAATGATTGATTTTCATCCATTTCTTTTTTTTAAGATAGATAAATTTTGCTTTGAAAGTAGGAGTCTTTTTGTCTCTGTGCCTTTGTTGTGCAAGAACAAAACATTTTAAACCCTTCTTTAAGAATCAAACTGAAGTCCTGTCTTGCTTCTATTTATGTTTGGTACTAAAAGAAAGGAAAGAAGCAATAGCATCCTCCTCGCCATGCTCCAACTCTCTTTTTGTCTGCTTTGATGATCAGACTGTTGCAAAGAAAATGCTGGACTGCAGAGTAAACACAGGGTTTGAAGCCCAGTGGAAGCCAATGCCAGCCTGGCTGAGTGAGCAGGGGTCACCTCCATTCCACAAGGCCATTCCTCCACAGGCTTTAGTCCATGCACACCGACTGACCTGAAATGTACAAAACTCCACAAAAGAATGACCCAAATCAGCATAGCATACATTGGTGAGTCCCTCCCCAAATTTTTGGAGCAAAGTTTCCTACTAAGTTAATAATGAAGAAAAAAATATTTATAGTTATTTTGAAACCTTGGGGAAAAAATTAGGATTTTAAAATTTTCTCCAAAACATTCTTGATTAAAAGGAAAATTTGGAGAACAATTTGAACTATGTTTACCACATATAATTTTTAGCTTAGTAGCATACAAACGTATTTATAACTTCTTTTTCCCCAGGTCATAAAATGTTTTACTCTAAATCAGGAAAGAGTAACTTAAAATAGCCACAACGTTACTGATTGAATTGACTTATAAATGTTGTGTTGTTTTCTAGAAAGGGAGATATAAACTATGAGACTTTTATTATTATTATTATTATTATTATTTTGAGACAGAGTTTCACTCTTGTTTCCCAGGCTGGAGTGCAATGGTGCGATCTCGGCTCAGCGCAACCTCCGCCTCCCGAGTTCAAGTGATTCTCCTGCCTCAGCCTCCTGAGTAGCTGGGATTACAGGC
This sequence comes from Homo sapiens, assembly GCF_000001405.40. Lineage (NCBI taxonomy): Eukaryota > Metazoa > Chordata > Mammalia > Primates > Hominidae > Homo > Homo sapiens. The sequence goes on along the minus strand of NC_000008.11, from coordinate 61,123,141 downwards.
ATGTACCACCACCCCCGGCTAATTTTGTATCTTTAGTAGAGATGGGTTTTCTCCATGCTGGTCAGGCTGGTCTTGAACTCCCGACCTCAGGTGATCCACCTGCCTTGGCCTCCCAAAGTGCTGGGATTACAGGTGTGAGCCACCGTGCCTGGCCACTATGAGACTTTTTAAAGCAGTAGATAACTCTTTTGTTTTTACCAGTTTATAAAAAGCATGCAGAAACATGAAAACTGAAGAAACCACGAACATTAAGAGTGAACGCAGAAAATCACATTTTCTGTACTTGAAGCCGTCAGAGTTGAGTGTCCTTTTTCAGCAAAGGAGCCAGAGAGCTGGGAAAGGATTGAAGCTGGTCAAAAGCACCTTGGTCTTTTGGTATTATCCACACCTGTTTCTTTTCTGAACTAACCCCTGGGCAGTTGCAGCCTCCTCTGGTGTTAATGATTTATCACTTTCATGATGCTCTGAAAAGTCAAATGATTAACTTCACACTTTTGTGTAGTCTTTCACTTCTTGCTTGCTGTTTTCTTGTGTGTGTGTGTGTGTGTGTGTGTGTGTGTGTGTGTGTGTGTTTTCTTAATATAGGCTGATGTCATTCACACGTTGTAGGACATTGATAAATAGGATTCAGCATAAAGTAAGGTGAGCCAAAAGCTGAGATTGCAAAGACTTGCCAGTAGGTCACCAGAAAGATGTGTTTGACAGATTTCCTGGCAATCTATATCCCTGGCCCGAGTACCTGGAAATAATCTGAATTTTGCAACAATTGTAAGGATCCTGAGTATGAGGCTTGAATTATTTACTATCCTGCTCAGCAATAACATTATTTATGTAGTTACTACCGGGTCCTGCATCCAAAAAGTTTATGGTTGCAGAAGCATATGACAAAAATGTACCAGTATCTGTATTATAGTCTTTCTTTCTTCTTATCTTGCTCTGTACTTATAAGCAGAGGCAGCTTGAGAGTAACTAAATCAGCTGCTTTTACCTGGGTCATTTCTGTAAGTTGTGTCTACCAACAGATCCAGATATTGCTGAAGAAAGTGGCTTTAGATCCTTCTGGGGGTTTTATAGTTAAATCCAGAAGAAATGTTCACCAAATCCAGTGGTGGTGGTGTTTAATCTACAGGTATTGTAATGCGCCAGTGGATTCTAATTCTTTACCTCCCACTGTGTTGAGTCCTCCTGTTGTATTTCAGGGTCTTTATTTTGCTGGCACTTTTTTTCTCGAAGGAAACACTTCCAATATGAATAGTTTTCACACATTCATGCAGCTTTTTATTCCTCTAGGACTCTTTCGAGAATTTCTATTCTGTGCTATCTTAAGCAAGTGTGAGCCATAGAATGTACATCCAACTGCATTAATGTCTGTGTGTGTGTGGGTGTGTTTCTGTTATGAACTGTCCTGCTGTTTTTGTGTATACTTTGCTTTGACAGTCAGCAAAGAACATACTTGAAATGTTCAGCATCTCTCTTTGATTTCACAGGCCACAATATCTGTTCACTCAGAATTTGATTCTTCTGCAAAAACCTGATGGATTGAGACACAAATTCTGTATGATAATTTTATTTCCCAGAACATTTTTATATCCATCTGTGAGTGTCACAAGACAAACATGTTTCAATGATTCTTCCTGGAATATATTCCAATACACGCAAACAGATACACGCATTCACATACACACACACACAAACACACACACAGAGTAAATCCAATAGTTGAAAAAATAAGAGTTGCCGGTGAATAAGGAGCCAAGATGGCCGAATAGGAACAGCTCTGGTCTACAGCTCCCAGCGTGAGCGACGCAGAAGACGGTGATTTCTGCATTTCCATCTGAGGTACCGGGTTCATCTCACTAGGGAGTGCCAGACAGTGGGTGCAGGTCAGTGGGTGCGCGCACCGTGAGCGAGCCGAAGCAGGGCGAGGCATTGCCTCACTTTGGAAGCGCAAGGGGTCAGGGAGTTCCCTTTCCGAGTCAAAGAAAGGGGTGACTGACGGCACCTGGAAAATCGGGTCACTCCCACCCGAATACTGCGCTTTTCCCACGGGCTTAAAAAACGGCGCACCACGAGATTATACCCCGCACCTGGCTTGGAGGGTCCTACGCCCACGGAGTCTCGCTGATTGCTAGCACAGCAGTCTGAGATCAAACTACAAGGCGGCAGCGAGGCTGGGGGAGGGGCACCCGCCATTGCCCAGGCTTGCTTAGGTAAACAAAGCAGCCAGGAAGCTGGAAATGGGTGGAGCCTACCACAGATCAAGGAGGCCTGCCTGCCTCTGTAGGCTCCACCTCTGGGGGCAGGGCACAGACAAACAAAAAGACAGCAGTAACCTCTGCAGACTTAAATGTCCCTCTCTGACAGCTTTGAAGAGAGCAGTGGTTCTCCCAGCACGCAGCTGGAGATCTGAGAACGGGCAGACTGCCTCCTCAAGTGGGTCCCTGACCCCTGACCCCTGAGCAGCCTAACTGGGAGGCACCCCCCAGCAGGGGCAGACTGACACCTCACACGGCAGGGTATTCCAACAGACCTGCAGCTGAGGGTCCTGTCTGTTAGAAGGAAAACTAACAAACACAAAGGACATCCACACCAAAAACCCATCTGTACATCACCATCATCAAAGACCAAAAGTAGATAAAACCACAAAGATGGGGAAAAAACAGAACAGAAAAACTGGAAACTCTAAAATGCAGAGCGCCTCTCCTCCTCCAAAGGAACGCAGTTCCTCACCAGCAACGGAACAAAGCTGGATGGAGAATGACTTTGACGAGCTGAGAGAAGAAGGCTTCAGACGATCAAATTACTCTGAGCTACGGGAGGACATTCAAACCAAAGGCAAAGAAGTTGAAAACTTTGAAAAAAATTTAGAAGAATGTATAACTAGAATAACCAATACAGACAAGTGCTTAAAGGAGCTGATGGAGCTGAAAACCAAGGCTCGAGAACTACGTGAAGAATGCAGAAGCCTCAGGAGCCGATGCGATCAACTGGAAGAAAGGGTATCAGCGATGGAAGATGAAATGAATGAAATGAAGCGAGAAGGGAAGTTTAGAGAAAAAAGAATAAAAAGAAACGAGCAAAGCCTGCAAGAAATATGGAACTATGTGAAAAGACCAAATCTACGTCTGATTGGTGTACCTGAAAGTGATGGGGAGAATGGAACCAAGTTGGAAAACACTCTGCAGGATATTATCCAGGAGAACTTCCCCAATCTAGCAAGGCAGGCCAACATTCAAATTCAGGAAATACAGAGAACGCCACAAAGATACTCCTCGAGAAGAGCAACTCCAAGACACATAATTGTCAGATTCACCAAAGTTGAAATGAAGGAAAAAATGTTAAGGGCAGCCAGAGAGAAAGGTCGGGTTACCCTCAAAGGGAAGCCCATCAGACTAACAGCGGATCTCTCAGCAGAAACCCTACAAGCCAGAAGAGAGTGGGGGCCAATATTCAACATTCTTAAAGACAAGAATTTTCAACCCAGAATTTCATATCCAGCCAAACTAAGCTTCATAAGCGAAGGAGAAATCAAATACTTTACAGACAAGCAAATGCTGAGAGATTTTGTCACCACCAGGCCTGCCCTAAAAGAGCTCCTGAAGGAAGCGCTAAACATGGAAAGGAACAACCAGTACCAGCCGCTGCAAAATCATGCCAAAATGTAAAGACCATCGAGACTAGGAAGAAACTGCATCAACTAACGAGCAAAATAACCAGCTAACATCATAATGACAGGATCAAATTCACACATAACAATATTAACTTTAAATGTAAATGGACTAAATGCTCCAATTAAAAGACACAGACTGGCAAATGGGATAAAGAGTCAAGACCCATCAGTGTGCTGTATTCAGGAAACCCATCTCACGTGCAGAGACACACATAGGCTCAAAATAAAAGGATGGAGGAAGATCTACCAAGCAAATGGAAAACAAATAAAGGCAGGGGTTGCCATCCTAGTCTCTGATAAAAGAGACTTTAAACCAACAAAGATCAAAAGAGACAAAGAAGGCCATTACATAATGGTAAAGGGATCAATTCAACAAGAAGAGCTAACTATCCTAAATATATATGCACCCAATACAGGAGCACCCAAATTCATAAAGCAAGTCCTGAGTGATCTGCAAAGAGACTTAGACTCCCACACATTAATAATGGGAGACTTTAACACCCCACTGTCAACATTAGACAGATCAACGAGACAGAAAGTCAACAAGGATACCCAGGAATTGAACTCAGCTCTGCACCAAGCGGACCTAATAGACATCCACAGAACTCTCCACCCCAAATCAACAGAATATACATTTTTTTCAGCACCACACCACACCTCTTCCAAAACTGACCACATAGTTGGAAGTAAAGCTCTCCTCAGCAAATATAAAAGAACAGAAATTATAACAAACTATCTCTCAGACCACAGTGCAATCAAACTAGAACTCAGGATTAAGAATCTCACTCAAAACCGCTCAACTCCATGGAAACTGAACAACCTGCTCCTGAATGACTACTGGGTACATAACGAAATGAAGGCAGAAATAAAGATGTTCTTTGAAACCAATGAGAACAAAGACACAACATACCAGAATCTCTGGGACGCATTCAAAGCAGTGTGTAGAGGGAAATTTATAGCACTAAATGCCCACAAGAGAAAGCAGGAAAGATGCAAAATTGACACCCTAACATCACAATTAAAAGAACTAGAAAAGCAGAGCAAACACATTCAAAAGCTAGCAGAAGGCAAGAAATAACTAAGATCAGAGCAGAACTGAAGGAAATAGAGACACAAAAAACCCTTCAAAAAATTAATGAACCCAGGAGCTGGTGTTTTGAAAGGATCAACAAAACTGATAGACCGCTAGCAAGACTAATAAAGAAAAAAAGAGAGAAGAATCTAATAGACGCAATAAAAAATGATAAAGGGGATATCACCACCGATCCCACAGAAATACCAACTACCATCAGAGAATACTACAAACACCTCTACGCAAATAAACTAGAAAATCTAGAAGAAATGGATAAATTCCTCGACACATACACTCTCCCAAGACTAAACCAGGAAGAAGTTGAATCTCTGAATAGACCAATAACAGGATCTGAAATTGTGGCAATAATCCATAGCTTACCAACCAAAAAGAGTCCAGGACCAGATGGATTCACAGCCGAAGTCTACCAGAGGTACAAGGAGGAACTGGTACCATTCCTTCTGAAACTATTCCAATCAATAGAAAAAGAGGGAATCCTCCCTAACTCATTTTATGAAGCCAGCATCATTCTGATACCAAAGCCAGGCAGAGACACAACAAAAAAAGAGAATTTTAGACCAATATCCTTGATGAACATTGATGCAAAAATCCTCAATAAAATACTGGCACTCCGAATCCAGCAGCACATCAAAAAGCTTATCCACCATGATCAAGTGGGCTTCATCCCTGGGATGCAAGGCTGGTTCAATATACGCAAATCAATAAATCTAATCCAGCATATAAACAGAGCCAAAGACAAAAACCACATGATTATCTCAATAGATGCAGAAAAAGCCTTTGACAAAATTCAACAACCCTTCATGCTAAAAACTCTCAATAAATTAGGTATTGATGGGATGTATTTCAAAATAATAAGAGCTATCTATGACAAACCCACAGCCAATATCATACTGAATGGGCAAAAACTGGAAGCATTCCCTTTGAAAACTGGCGCAAGACAGGGATGCCCTCTCTCACCACTCCTATTCAACATAGTGTTGAAAGTTCTGGCCAGGGCAATTAGGCAGGAGAAGGAAATAAAGGGTATTCAATTAGGAAAAGAGGAAGTCAAATTGTCCCTGTTTGCAGATGACATGATTGTATATCTAGAAAACCCCATTGTCTCAGCCCAAAATCTCCTTAAGCTGATAAGCAACTTCAGCAAAGTCTCAGGATACAAAATCAATGTACAAAAATCACAAGCATTCTTATACACCAACAACAGACAAACAGAGAGCCAAATCATGAGTGAACTCCCATTCACAATTGCTTCAAAGAGAATCAAATACCTAGGAATCCAACTTACAAGGGATGTGAAGGACCTCTTCAAGGAGAACTACAAACCACTGCTCAAGGAAATAAAAGAGGATACAAACAAATGGAAGAACATTCCATGCTCATGGGTAGGAAGAATCAATATTGTGAAAATGGCCATACTGCCCAAGGTGATTTACAGATTCAATGCCATCCCCATCAAGCTACCAATGCCTTTCTTCACAGAATTGGAAAAAACTACTTTAAAGTTCATATGGAACCAAAAAAGAGCCCGCATCGCCAAGTCAATCCTAAGCCAAAAGAACAAAGCTGGAGGCATCACACTACCTGACTTCAAACTATACTACAAGGCTACAGTAACCAAAACAGCATGGTACTGGTACCAAAACAGAGATATAGATCAATGGAACAGAACAGAGCCCTCAGAAATAACGCCGCATATCTACAACTATCTGATCTTTGACAAACCTGAGAAAAACAAGCAATGGGGAAAGGATTCCCTATTTAATAAATGGTGCTGGGAAAATTGGCTAGCCATATGTAGAAAGCTAAAACTGGATCCCTTTGTTACACCTTATACAAAAATCAATTCAAGATGGATTAAAGACTTAAATGTTAGACCTAAAACCATAAAAACCCTAGAAGAAAACCTAGGCATTACCTTTCAGAACATAGGCATGGGCAAGGACTTCCTGTCTAAAACGCCAAAAGCAATGGCAACAAAAGCCAAAATTGACAAATGGGATCTAATTAAACTAAAGAGCTTCTGCACAGCAAAAGAAACCACCATCAGAGTGAACAGGCAACCAAATGGGAGAAAATTTTCGCAACCTACTCATCTGACAAAGGGCTAATATCCAGAATCTACAATGAACTCAAACAAATTTACAAGAAAAAAACAAACAACCCCATCAAAAAGTGGGCAAAGGACATGAACAGACACTTCTCAAAAGAAGACATTTATGCAGCCAAAAACACATGAAAAAATGCTCATCATCACTGGCCATCAGAGAAATGCAAATCAAAACCACAATGAGATACCATCTCACACCAGTTAGAATGGTGATCATTAAAAAGTCAGGAAACAACAGGTGCTGGAGAGGATGTGGAGAAATAGGAACACTTTTACACTGTTGGTGGGACTGTAAACTAGTTCAACCATTGTGGAAGTCAGTGTGGCGATTCCTCAGGGATCTAGAACTGGAAATACCATTTGACCCAGCCATCCCATTACTGGGTATATACCCAAAGGACTATAAATCATGCTGCTATAAAGACACATGCACACGTATGTTTATTGCGGCATTATTCACCATAGCAAAGACTTGGAACCAACCCAAATGTCCAACACTGATAGACTGGATTAAGAAAATGTGGCACATATACACCATGGAATACTATGCAGCCATAAAAAATGATGAGTTCATGTCCTTTGTAGGGACATGGATGAAATTGGAAAACATCATTCTCAGTACACTATCGCAAGAACAAAAAACCAAACACCGCATATTCTCACTCATAGGTGGGAATTGAACAATGAGAACACATGGACACAGGAAGGGGAATATCACACTGGGGACTGTTGTGGGGTCGGGGGAGTGGGGAGGGATAGCATGGGGAGATATACCTAATGCTAGATGACGAGTTAGTGGGTGCAGTGCACCAGCATGGCACTTGTATACATATGTAACTAACCTGCACAATGTGCACATGTACCCTAAAACTTAAAGTATAATAAAAATAAATAAATAAATAAATAAAAATAAAAATAAAAATAAAATAAAAAAAATAAGAGTTGCCATTTTTTTAAATCCTTACTATTTGCTAGACATTGTACTAAATGCCTTGCATACAATATCTCATTTTGTTTCACAATAACAGTGAGAAATGGTTATTATCAGCTTTGTTTTGCTCATGAGAATACTATGATTTAGAGCAATTTGTCCAAAGTTGTATGTGGTAAGTAGCAGAACTGAATTTTGAGCCTAGGGCTCTGTCTTGCTAAAATTTTTGCCCTTGAACACTATGCTTTAATGTCCCCTCTACAAAGAGATGGCTCAAAAAATGTCTGCTGGGGAAAAAGTTATACAATCACTTTTGGAACTTACAAAAGTCCAGCTTCTATGCACCTTCAGTGATTGAAAATGACAACGCAGAAAATTGTATGGTACTTCTCAGAGCTTCAAGAGCTTTTTCTGATCTTCCAGTGCCATCTTATACTAACATGAAGACACTGGAAGCTTTTTGTTGTTATATTTGTTTTGTTTGGGTTTTCAAAAAAATAGAAGGAGAGTAGTATGTACTCAGTGACTTGAGAATGTAAGTATAGAAACAAAAGATGAAACCTGAGATTTGAGAAGGCTAAAATAAAGATTTCTATTCACTTTCATTAGATGTTTATAAGATATTTAATATATCAAGAATTCTTCTGGCCATTCTAGAACTCTTGGTAAATACCTGTTTCACTTGCAATGATGTTTTTTTAAACTCAGAATGATGTACTAGGTGATAGCTTCACCATCTTGCTCAAAGGGGAAGAAATGTAGTGTAGCAGCTAGCTGGATGATAAACATTAATTTGTCAGTATAATAAACTACTGATAGTGTAGTTGTACTTTCTTCTTTTGAACCATTAAAGGCAAGAGTGGTTTTATCTAGGAATCTGGTCTTTCATTACATCGTTTCTGTTAAAGTCACTACCTGAGAGCATTTGTCTAGAAGACTAGCTAGCTCAAAATTTTTAGGGTTTTCTGGGCAATTTGCTGTAGATGATGCTTTACTGAATTTTCATCAAGATCCTTTGCTGTTTAGTTTTATATCTATGGGTGGGATTGACCCACCAAGGGACTTAGTAAAGCAAGTGAATCTTTTGTATGAGTAAAGCAACTATAGTCTGCCACCTGTTGTAAAGCCTGAAAACTAAGGATGATTTTTGCATTTTAAATGATTGAAAGAAACACAAGAAGAATAATATTTCACAACATGAAAACTATCTGAAATTCAAATTTCAATGTCCATAATAAAGTTTTACTAGAACACAGCCATTATCATTCATTTACATATCATCTGTGGTTGCTTTTGCAAGACAAGGACAGAGTTGAGTAGTTGATACAGGGCCACAAGGCCTAAAGTATTTACTACCTGGCCCTTTGCACAAAAGTCAGCTGTCGTCTGATGTAAAGAATATACCCAGGGCCAGGTGCAGTGGCTCAGCCTGCAATCCCAAGACTTTGGGAGGCCAAGGCAAGAGGAGGGTTGCCTGAGCCAGGGATTTGAGACCAGCCTGGGCAACACAGTGGCACCCCGTCTCTACAAAAAAATATTAATTAGCTGGGCATGGTGGCACACACTCACCACACCTGGCTAACTTACCAGCCAGGACCCAGGGTAGGATAGGACTGATGGGCGGGTGTCAGTGCAGGTGCCGTAAGCAGAGCCATCCTTTCCAGGTGACACTGCATGGCATGGCTGCTAACCCTGAAACTTGCATTCTTGAAAAACTTCCCTGGGTCCAACTTGTTTTTCAGTCTTTTGCCTCTTTTGCATAGAAGGAGTGAACTATGGGCAGCTGGGTTACTTCCTGGATAATGCAACAAGAAGCCAGCTTCCTGCAGATGTATTACCAAGTTCAGGTCTAAAGCAGGCTTCTCCCACATGGCTCTGCTCACCACCACACACCTCAAAAGTAACTAGGTTGGTAACTAGTATCTTCCTTCCTTTTGCTCCCCATGTGGTTGGACCCATCTGCACCACTCAAAACATGATGCTTGTTTCATCTGGACATTCTCTAGGACTCAGCAGCCTGTGGGTTTATAGCAGGTCACTTTTACAACATTAACCCAATTTTCTATTTTTGCGCTGCTGTTCTCAAAAACTTCCATTACCCTGCATCACCCCACAACTCCCCGCCCCATGTATTTCTGAAAGTCCCCACTGATGTCCCCATGTGCCCAAGGGCCAAATTACCAGCTCAGTCACCAGGAGTGCCCACCTTGTTTCTCTGCAGTTCTGCTTCTCACATAGGGACCCTCAGGCTGCCTCTGTAGATAACCACAGTGAGGGCCGCCTCCTGTCCCACAGTTTCCAATGCTCCAGATGCCATAGCAATACAGCAGTCAATGCAGAAGTGATAGTTGGGAGGAGATATCCTCCCAAATTGCAGTACTGTCTGCACCAAGCATCGAAAACTTTCCACATGTGTTCAGAGCTTCCCAGAGGTTCCTGCAAAAATAGCTGATTCATTTATCACTTATTTGAAGATTGGCATGATTGTTCCAATCTTTTACAGATTGGAATAAAATCTTTATTTTACAGACTAAAAAAAAAGGAAACTACAGAGAAGAGCAATGTCATCTGCTGGTGGCACAAGGACCCAAACCCAATCCTGAAGCTTACAGGTCCTTTTGCTTCTCCAGTCTGAGGTTCAATCAAGGCTCCTCCTCTCAGACCTTTTAGAATCTATCTTACTGATCTCTGCTCTACATCTACTGGAATAGTGAGGCAACAAGTACCTTACTTCTAATCTCTTATAAAAATACATATCCAGTATTCACTTACAGGCTTTAATTGGCTAATTATTTCAAATCTTTAAGGAAAAAGTAATCTCGCTGCCTATTGAATTATTCCAAACTTGTAAAAATGTGGAAAGTTTCACAATTATCTGATCAACATAGCAGAGCTCTGATACAAAATCTTAGAAATGCTGAAAAGGAGAGAAAATGATAGGCCAATAGAAATGGCCTCATCTACAGTAGAAATACATGAAATTTTACATTAAATGTCAGCAAATTTAATGTAGCGTACATTAGTGAGACTAATACACCATGATCAAGTAGGCCTTATTCTATAACTTTACATATGGTCAGAGGAAAATAATATGAACCTCTCTCTCTCTCTGTCTCTGTGCGTGTGTGTGTGTGTGTGTGTGTGTGTGTGTGTGTGTGTGTAGCACGGAGAACTTTAAAATAATAACAGCGATTATGATAGGTGGTGGGAATGCAGATCATGCTTATTTCTTTTGCTTCCCTGCAACAGTCATTTGAAATAAAAGATCTTATTCACAACTTTAGTTAACTATTCATATTCCTTTGTTTAGCAAACAAAAATTAAATACTTAGGGGATATTCAACAAGAATTCTACAGTACCGATTTGAAAAAAACTTTGCTGAAGTTTACTAAAAGAAGATTATTAAAAGAAGACTGTGAATTGGAGAGATCTTCTGGAAAAATTAAATGCCAATTTTCTGCAAAACTCTATAAATTTAATACAACTTCAATTAAAATTTCAATGAAATATTTTAAAATCTATAAAAATGATGAACTTTTTGATAGAAGGACTATATAATAGCCAATTTTTTTAAAGAAGGGTAATAAAGAAAGCCTTGTTCTCCTATATTCAAAATATGTTTTAAAGCCACAGAAATTTAAACAGTATACTAATAGCAGAGAGCTAGGCAGAAAGATTTACAGAACAGAAGACCAGAAAGAGGCCCACATTTAAACAAATATGTGATAGAGATAGCATCCCAACCAATATGGAAATGATCCATAAATATAGATGGAACTACTTGCTAACTAAAATAAGTTTCAATTGAATTAAAGTTTAAATGTGAAAGATTAAATCACAAATTGATGCTGATTTCAGTTTCCTTTCCATTCCCAATTATTTTGTCCCAAATCTGAAGGATAATTTAGCATGTCAGCCTGTACCAAAAGTACAAACCAAGAAGATACCAAAGAAAATATTGACTCATCATTTTGGGAAAATGACACCCTTCTCTTCCTCCTTTTGGAGGAAGAAGACCATCTTGTTTTTGCAATCAACTGTCATTTAAAAGGGGACTCATAATCTGATAAAATAGTTTGATTTTTTATGTTTGTGAATTTTCTAATATTTTGCACAGTGAAAGCCGTATATCAATATCTGAAAACACTCTCTTAAGCGTCATTGCATTTTTTCAGGAATTCCTACTTTTTTCAGGAATCCCTACTGTATTCCACTACTGCAAACAGTATGAAGGTTCCTCAAAAAATTAAACATTTAGTTACCATACGATCCAGCAATCCAATCTCTGGGTATATACACAAAAAATGAGAAAGTGGATCTTAAAGAGATAGTTGCATACCATATTCATAGCAACATTATCCACAATAGCCAAGAAGTAGAAACAACCCAAATATCCATCACCAGATGTATAGGTATACAAAATGTGGTCTACACATGCAAGGTAATATTATTCCATCTTAAAAAGGAAGGAAATTCTGACTACAACATGGATGAACATTGAGGACATTATGGTAAGTGAAATAAGCCAGTCACGAAAAGACTAATACTGTATGATTCTAGTTATGTGAGATAATTCAAGTAGTCAAATTTCTCGAGACAGAAGGTAGAGTGGTGGTTGCCAGGGGGTAGGGGAGGCAGGAAATGGAGATCTGTAGTTTAGTGGGTACAGAGTGTCAGTTTTGCAAGGTGAAAAAGTTCTACACTAGACTTTGGTTGCACAACAGTGTGAATATACTTACTACTGATCTGTACATTCAGAAGTGGTTAAGATGGTACATTTTATGTTGCATAGTTTTTACCACAATTAAATTAAAAAACTTTTTTTTTTAAATCCCACTTTTTAAAAGATCTTCACAATGTCTTAATCATAGGAAAGGGGGAAAATCCACATTCATGGATTGCTGCCTTAGACTAGGTTTCAATCTAAGACAAAACTGGAGATGAGGATTCCATGGAATAATTGAGGAAGCCGTCTCAAAAAGGAAGAGAGGGAAGGGAGAGAGCAAGGGAAGAATTCTGGCAGGATGTGGTCTTGTCTGGAGTCTAGCTACAGCCTGGGTTGTCAGGGCAGCTCCCTAACAGCACACAGAATTTACCCCTACTTGAGAAAAGGCAGCCAATGTTTTCTGCACCTGCCAGGCAGTCAGGGTTACAGGCCGACCCCACTGGTGGTGGGAGGGGGATTAATTTCCCAAGTGAGACAGCTCCGATTCAGCCAAGGCCTCAATAGAAGGGGGCAACCGTGCACCATTAGCAGCCAACGCTCAGGGCAGCTGGGAGTCAGCGCACAGGCCCAGAGGAGGGGATGAAGTGAGGCTAATGTCTTAGTCTGTTTTCTGTTTCATAAACTACCTGGCACTGGGTAATTTATAAGAAATGAAATTTATTTCTTACAGTCCTGGAGCCTAGGAAGTCCAAGGTTGATGGGGCGCATCTTCTTGCTGGTGGGGATTGTCTGTGGAGTCCTGGGGCAGTGCAGGGCATCTCACAGTGAGGGAGCTGAGAGTGCTAACGTACTATCTCAGGCCTCTCCTCCTCTTCTTATAAAACCACCAGTTCCTCTCCCATGATAAACCATTAATCCCTTAACCCGTAATCCATTAATCCATGAATAGATTCATTCATTCATGAAGGCAGAGCCCTCATGATCCAATCGCCTCTTCAGAGCCCCACCTCTCAACACTGACCCTTTGGGGATTAAGTTTCTACCTGAGTTTTGGAGGGCACATGCAAACCATAGCAGCTACAGTTGCCATTTGAACTGAATTTGAACTTCAGATGACCAACAAATAATTTTTTAGTATAAATATGCCCAAAGCAATATTTATACTGAAGTATTTAAATTTATAAATATTTATGTTATTATATATTCTATTGTGTAATATATTTGGTTATATTTATGTATTGTATTATAGCTAAAAAGCATTTGTCCTTCATCTGAAATTCTGATTTAACCGGGTGTGCTGGATTTTTAGGTGCTAAATTTGGTGACCCTAAGTGGGACCTCAACACCATCTGCTCCAACAGTTCACAGGTGCCAGGGCCTTTGATGGAAATTACTTCATTTAGACTTTGGAACAACTGTTTAAGAGTAATATTTTCCTTACATTGCAAATGAAAAAAAAAGGAAGTGCACACAGAAGTAACTGGAAGAAGCAGAATGTGGATACGAGTATGACCCCAACCCCAGCCAGAATGCATAGCAGCCTCTACAAGCCCCTCCAAATGGAACCCCTCAAATCCCTCTCCCCGATCACACCAGCTCCTCAGCCAGCATTTAGTCAAGTGTGAGAAACTCCAAGTAGAAAATTATATATGTGAATCCCAACGGGGATGGGAAAAATCCCTCCTCACCCCTTTCCCTCCATCTGGCATCTGGCCAAGTAAAATGCTCTCTGTTGCTTGCAGGGAAAGCTGTTGTCCTGCTTAAGGCAATGTGACTTAGAACCAACAGAGCACAATCTTAAACATGAGGGCTGAACTGAGAATACCCTCAGGCCCCTGACTCAGTGGGGCTGTCTGTCTCAGTAAAGAAAAGAGATCCTTCTGAAATGTTAAAACCAGACTTAGGGCTAAGCTTTGTAATCACAGATAGAGGGGGATATAAATATGAGTGAAACTTTGAGTGAGAAGTTTGTAACTGGAAGAAACAATAAAGTCAGGATGAAATACCAACCCTTGGATTAGTATTCATATTTAGCGTGGTTGGGTCTTAAGAGATCTCTTGGAAGCCCTAACAGACTGACTTAGGCTTACCCATGGAAGTATTACATAATAATATATGTCTCTTTCATCCTTCCTTCCAAGTGTAGTTAAGGATGCACATATTATCTCAGGGTGTATATACATATAGAAAAAGAGTGAAACAGAGATTGGAATAGATTAAAACAGAGATCTATGGAGCCATTTAGAGCTTTTGGATACCAGAATTGCAAAATCGACTAGTTGTCAACAATAATGAATGGCATAGAAAAGTGCCTATTAAACATCACTCATTTCATTGTACAAGGGAAACCTAGCTGTTACCATATATTTGCAACTAATATTGCAGATTTTTGTTGCACTAAATATAGGACCCATGAGGGCAGAGATTTTTTTTTTATGGTTTTTTTTTTTTTTTTTGAGACGGAGTCTTGCTCTGTCACCCAGGCTGCAGTGCAGTGGCATGATCTTGGCCCACTGCAGGGACTACAGGCATGCACCACCACGCCTGGCTAAATTTTTTTGTATTTTTAGTAGAGATGGGGTTTCACCATGTTGGCCAGGCTGGTCTCGAACTCCTGGCCTCAAATGACCTGCCCACCTCGACCTCCCAAAGTGCTGGGATTACAGGCGTGAGCCACTGTGCCTGGCTATTTTTATGGTTTTCTCTGATGAATCCGAAGTGTCTAGAATAGTGCCTGATGTAAACACTCAATAAATATTTGTTGAATGAATTAACTTTCAGCTGATAAATAACCAGAGAACATAAAAATATGTTGGTTCACAATTTCACCAAATCCAAAGGAAAATCCAATAATTTGAATTCTGAAAACTGCAAGGAATGAGGGAAATATTTTTAAAGCAGCTCAGGTGACATTTTAGTTCAATTCAGCAAACAAAGGTGCTGTGCTTAGTAACGCAATGGGGAGACACAGATGAAGCAGCGATGCTCATCTTCACGGAGAACCAGCTGCCATCTCCAGGTTAGTCCTTGCTATGGTCTGAATGTTTGTCCTCCCAAAATTCTTATGCTGAAACCTAACACCCAAGGTGATGGTATTAAGAAGTAGGCATTTTGGGGGCAGTGATTAGGTCATGGGGGCTCCACCCTCATGAAGGGCATTAGTGCCTTCTAAAAGAGGCTTAAGGGAGCTTGTTCTCCATTTCCACCAATGTGAAGATACAGCTAGAAGATGCCATCTATAAGGAACAGGACCTCATCAGACAATGAATTTGCTGATACCTTGATCTTGGACTTGCCAGCCTCTGGAACTGTGAGCAGTAAATTTCTGTTGTTTATAATTTTCCAGTGTAAGGTATTTTGTTACAGCAGTCCAAACCAACTAAAAGGGTCTCCTAGACTAAGAACATTATTCAGTTCGATTTGGCAGTGAGAAGGAAGATTTCAGACATGAGTTCTTGTCCAGCCTTTAGATAGAACACGTCTCACTCTCTCTAATTCGCAAACCAATCCTTATAGTTTCAAATTGTCCTGGTTTGTGTCAAGTCTGCTTTCTCAGTCAGAGTAATGAGGACATAAAATGAATGGAAGTGTCTAAAATCCATCAGGATCATTTATGGGAGAGAGGAGAATGGCAGTTCACCTGCTTCCACACAGCCCTCCAAAACCACCTTTTATGGAATTTGGAACTGTCATGGCCTGAGCACTCCCAGCAGGCAAGTTGTCACATGGAACCTCATAACTGTATGTTCACCCTTTCCTGGTTCATTCATTCATTCCACCCAGCACTGAGCACCTGGCCCTCTGCTTGCCCGCCTCCAGAGATGGTAAGCCCCATCTTTTGGTCTCAATATATTGGTAAGAGCCTCCAGGCAAAGTTGGGCTGACTCTTATCTAGAAGCTTCACAGTACCTGGGAGTTTACCCAGTAAAATTTCCATAGTTGTGTCATTCTTCTGAATGCAGGGGAACAAAATCCAGGCATCTCCGTGGGTTTCCATGTAGCTGGTCCAAGCCACCTGCACCTGGGCTGTTTGTCAACTTGCCAAAGGCTCAAAGGCACAGCACCCTCCACCGCCTGCGCGGAGGTGCCAGCAACTCCTCCTGTGGCGTACTGGGCAGGCCCGGACTCCGTGCTCATTTTCCTCTCTCTAATCCTCCTACACCTTATTGTTTGCTGCCCCACCGTCCAGCTTGTGTATGAAAGCCTGTTCCAGGATTGTTTTTCCGTCCCAGCTTCCAAAATGCGCCTTAGCTTTCATTCTACGTTTCTTTAAATATCGAGTTTTCATTCCTGTGCTCCATCTCTTCAACGTTGTTGGAAATCTTTTATTTGGCTGATAAAATCAACAGCGAGCCATCCACCTGTAGTTGGTGTGTGCTTGTGTGTTGTTTTGTTTCCTGTTTGTTTTTTAGAGAATTCCATGTATGGCCTTCTCCTACCACTTTGATATTCTGGCACTGGCTTCATGCTTTAAAATACAGTTCAATTAAACAAACCTGAACTGAGAGCCTACAAAGGGCTCCTCCACCTCTTCCAGGGAAGGAGCAAAGGGAGGAAGTCGAGGAGGAAGACGTGGCGGAATCTGCTCACAGTCTAGTAGGGTAGTCAGGCAAATAACTATAGCATGATAGGAAACATGCTGTAGTACACAGGAACACACAAGTGCTGATGGCACAGCAAAGGAAGACAGAACTACAACCGGCTTCTGGCTTCCAAGGGATCCCTGGAGGCAGACAGACGCAGGGCGGGCATGAGCGGGAGAACAACTAAAACTGGAGCGGTTGTGTTCAACGGGTCCAATTTGGGCTGTGACGGGTTGCAGTCCATGACAAGTTTGTCCTTTATCCTATAGCTGCTGATTCCTAAGTTTGGGGAGTAGGAGGATCCCTTTTTAAAGTAAAAAAAAAAAATGTTCAGAGACCTCCTACCCTAACATGATTGCACTTTTAATGTCCTATAATTAAGAAAATATGTATGAAAAGAGAATACAATGATACATGCCTTGAAATTAATTTACTTATTTACAAATGACAGTCTCTACAAGTATTTGTGAGGCCTTATTCAGGGCACAGAGAGTACCTGGCGTGTGGAAGGCCCCATGTCCCTGGCCATGCACTGCCCTTGGCCCCATTCTCCACTCCCACAGCCTGAGGAACCTGAGACCTAAGAGCTGAGAATCATTAATGCTTACCTCACCGGGGTTTTAAGTAGGCAGAGTGAGACGAGTTTTATGCTTAAAGAAGTTCTCTCTGATAGGTTGAAAAAATGGACTAGATAAGAAAGAACCTGGGGTCAGAGAAATCAGTTAGAAAGCTATTAAATCCCAATAATAGAAGCTTTATGTGAAATTGTGTGTGTGTGCATGTATGTGTATGTGTGTAAGCTATAACCAATAGTTTTATATGTACTTCTAAGTGATTCAAGTTTGTTTTTCAAATTCAATTCACTCTTTTTCTCCTATAAATACTGATGAACACTACTTTAAGAAAGTCTATATTTAAAAATATCTCAAATATAGTTAGTCTTTTAAATTAAAACAGATGTGGCTGGGGGCAGTGGCTCATGCCTGTAATTCCAGCACTTTGGGAGGGTGAGGCAGGTGGATCACCTGAGGTCAGGAGTTCAAGACCAGCCTGGCCAACATAGTGAAACCCTGTCTCTACTAAAAATATAAAAAATTAGCTGGGTGTGGTGGTGGGTGCCTGTAATCTCAGCTACTTGGGAGGCTGAGGCAGGAGAATTGCTTGAACCCAGGAGTCGGAGGTTGCAGTGAGCCGAGATCATACCATTGCACTCCAGCCTGGGCAACAGAGCGAGACTCTGTCTAAATAAATAAAAAAATAAAGTAAAACAAATGTAAGCCAGCACAGTGGTACACAGTGTAGTCCCAGCTACTTGGTAGACTGAGACAGGAGGATCACTGGAGCCCTGGAGTTTCAGGCCAACTTGTGCCTCAGAGCAAGACCTGGTCTCTAAAACAGTCAATTTAAAAATAATAAGATTTTAACATTTTGATCCAATCCTTGATTTTTCCTTCAAAAAACCCATATGCTTTTGATTTGGGAAAAAAATGTATTATAAAAAATAAGCCAACTTTTCAAATGATGTGAATGGGTTCATGATTCTTAAAGATTACTAAAACTAATCAAGCATTAAGATATAACAATATACATCTTTCATAACTTGGGTGAATTTTTCTCCTACTTTATCAAAATCACATCTGTTGGAGTTAAGGACTACAAGAAATTACCCTGGATTTCCCATCACTTCTGGCTACTGCAAGAGAGACATACACGCTACCTATATATCTCTGCAGCACATCAATTTAAATCTGTTGGAACAACTTTTTAACCCTCATTTCAGCTCAAGGTCTTTGAAGTTGACCAAATGATGAATCTAGCCTGATTTCTTGTTTGTATGAACCAGGTTTCTTCTTTTGCTGTCTGTAGCTCAGGTTTTCATTCTCTATAGTAAGAAGCTTTTAAGGAAAGCTTTTTTATTCTAGGATTTTGCAAGGATGATTTTGCTCTTCAAAGAAGAACAATGAGCTAAATTTGCTTATTTTCATGCCTGCTGAAATCCAAATGTCCAGTAGATTGTTAATCACTTTCTGAATACAGGAAACATGCAAAGTGAACAACAGATAAAAGTATCAGATTTTATGATACATGTTGGTTATCTATTGTATCATGACCCTGAATACCAAAAAGCCAAAGACTTTGTAGTTAGTGTTTTGTTAAGCTTCCAGATGAGGGATGATACATTAGAATCTATTCTTTACTCATAAATCCCCACCCATCCAGGCAAGAATAGACCCCTAATGTTTGCATTCTTTTAAGCAAGCCCTTGCCTAAAGTTCACCCCTTCCTGAAATTCAGCTCAAGTGTTCAGCACATGTCGACCCTGCAGTAATGAATTGGCACAAGCCTAATTCTTATGATGATTAATGAAGCTCCTCAGATGCAGCCTATTATTTCATCCAAAGTTAAAACAGTGATTCGTCATTAATCACTGAAAGAAATGGGCTCAATGATTCATAATTCTAAACCAGCCCATTTCCTTAAGGTCCTGTTTTCCTTTTGTTATTCCAGAAGTGTCACAGTTCATAGCTATGTGCTGTCTGCATTCTGATATGCACTTTTTCTGATTAATTTTCTTCAAAAAGTCATGGACCCCAAAGATATTTACTTATAACCCCAAAACCTCTGAAGATTCATCCTTCTTTCAGATGCTCATCTTTTTCTAGATCAAACTACTCTCAGTTTATCCAGTTTAAAATATGCACCCTCACCCAGAGACTGAACAAGTTAATCATAAATCAATAATCTTCATGCCTACTTTTGGTCCTTGGCAAACAGCAGCATTTGGAGTAGGGCCATTTAGATTTAAATGGTTGGTTGCCTTTTCACTGCTATCCCTCATTTACACCTAGATCTTCACCAGTGGCCAAGGAAGAGCAGCAACTCAAACAGTGCTTCACCCTCCCAGTCCTGGCTCAAAGTCATTTCAGGTCCACTAGCAAAGAAAAGTATTGCTGCTTTCTACATGGGACCTTGTGTTACATCATTTGCCAACCTGGTGCTATTTTCTTTAAAGCTGTCCGCCTTACATAAAAAAAATTTGATATTCTTCTACCTTCCATAAATGAAATGAAAGCCTTCACTATGATCTACTATCATTGCCTACCTTTCCCGGTGGCAAGAAGATCACCCATAAAAACTAACAGCTTCACTCCTGTCACTACTGCCTTCATAGAGCTCAGGGAGGTTGCCTTCAGCCTGAGAGCTGCCTTTTTGTTTTCTCTATCCTTTTCCTTCTCCTCCTCCTCCAACTGCTCTTTCCTCTTCTATTTCCTCTTTCTCTTTCCTCTCACTTCTCTTTCTTTTCCCTGTCTCTTTTCCTTTTTCCTATATTCATAAGTTTTGCCCCTTATGGCCTGGCAGTAGATCCCAGCATGATACCTCAGCCCCATGATAGCAGTTAGGAGTGAAGAACTTGTGAGGGTCATGGAGCTTTTTACTATGGTCTATAGTACCCTCTCAAGAAGTTATAATTTTCAGCCAGGGCAACTAGGCAAAAACACAAAATAATAGGCAGCCAGATTGAAAATGAGGAAGTCAAACCATCTCTATTCACAGATGATATGATCTGGTACATAGAAATCCCTAAGAAAGCCATTTTTAGAACTATTAGAACTAATTAGTTCAACAAGGTTGCAGGATGCAAGATAAATATACAAAAATCAATTGTATTTCTATACAGTAGCAATGAACCAACCAAAATTAAATTAAGAAAACAATTTTTTTTACAATTGCATAAACAATAATAAAATACTTAGAAATAAAATTAACAAAATATGGGTAAAACTTATACCGTGAAAAACTATAAAACATTGTTGACATAAATTATGAAAGAACTAAATAAATGAAAAGACATCCCATATTCATGAATTGGAAGACAAAGACTATTGTTAAGATAGCAACACTCCTTCAGCTGATCTACAGATTTAACGCAATCTCCAGCTCAAAAATCCCATCTGGCTTCTTTAAAGAAATTTGACAAGCTGATCCCAAAATTTATATGAAAATTCAAGGGACTCAGAATAGTCAAAACTGTCTTGAAAAGAAAAAACCAAGTTGGAAAACTCACATTTCCCAATTTCAAAACTTATTACAAAGCTACATTAATCAAAACAGTGTGGTACTGTGGTACATATTGATCAACGAAATATATCGAGAGTCTTGAAATAAGCCCTCACATTTATGATACTTGATTTTTCACAAGGACCTCAAGACTAAATGATAAAAGAATAGTCTTTCAATAAGTGGTGCTGGAACAACTGAATATCTACATGAAAAAAAAAAAACTTGGACTCCTACTCACACCATATTTAAAACGTTAACTCAAAATGTAATAAAAATATAAATGTAGAGCTTAAAAACATATAAAACTTGTAGATAAACCTAAGGGTAAATATTTGTGCCTTGGATTAGCCAATGGTTTCTTAAAATGACACCAAAAGCAAATAAATAAATAAATAAACCAGACATCATCAAAGTTAAAAACTTTTACATTTCAAAAGCACCACACAGAAAGTGAAAAGACAACCCACAGAATGGGATAAAAATTTTGCAAATAGGTATCTGATAAAGAATTTGTATCATGAATACATATAAAGAACTATTAAAACTCAACAATAATAAGACAAACTAAATTTTTTTAAATGAGCAAGGAATCTGAATAGACATTTTTCCAGAGAAGATATACAAACACATGTAAGACATACAAACATCTATACAGAGAAGATATACAAACACAATAAGCACATAAAAAGATGCTCAACATCATTAACCATCAAAGAAATGCAAACTAAAATGACAATGAGATACCACTTTACATCCACAAGGATGGCTAGAATCAAAAAGTATTGGCGAAGATGTGGATAAATTAAAATCCTCATATTCTACTGGTGAGAATATAAAATAGTGCAGTCACTTTAGAAAAAGTCTTGCAGTTCTTCAAATGTTTAAATGTATATTTAAACGTATGGTCATGTTACTATATGATCCAGCAATTCCACTTCTTAGGTAAATACCAAGAACGATGAAACATTTGTACATAAAAATATGTGAACACAAGTGTCCATATCAGGATTATTCATAATAGTAAAAAATGAAAACAACCAATGTGTCTGTCAACTGATAAATGGATAAATAGAATGTATTATATCCATACAATAGAGTATTATTCAACAATACCAAAAAAAATGAAGTACTGATACATGCTACACCATGGATCAACCTTCAAAATATTATGTTAAGTAAAGGAAGCCAGTCAAAAGGACCATCTATCCATATTAAATGTCCAAAATAGGCAAATCCACAGAGATAGAAAATAGAATTGTGGTTCCCTAGGGTTGTGGGAGAGGGTGCTAGGTGGGAACAGCACCTAGTGGATTGGGAACGATGGCTAAGGACTATGAAGTTTCCTCTTGGGGTGACGAAAATGTTCTAAAGTTGATTGTGGTGAATGATTACACAAATCTGTGAATATACTAAAAGCCATTGATTATATACTTAAATGGGTGAATTGATTATGTGAATTATATCTCAATTAAGCTGTTTTTGAAAAAAGAAGGGAAGAACAATTTTTAAAAGTCTTGAAAGTCGTGTTCAAGGCAAATTGTGACTTGAAAGTTATGTTCCTTCAAAGCTTTTGTGGGGAAGACAAAGAAGCTTCAAAGAGTATCCAAAAAATGTCTGGGCATTATTCGAAGTTCTAATGTAATTTCTAGTGCTGGGACTTATTCACTAATTTAGACCACTCACTAGCTTTATTTGTATTATTTTTGTCTGCTATAAAATACTGATTAATAAAATAGTGATTAACAGCTCAAAGGGTCAATGCCTCATAATGCATTGAATGTCATGATCATTGTCATTGGTACCCATTGTCCTAATCATGCAAGTTGTCCTGCCTAATAAAAATATTAAGTTCATCTTTTTAGTTAAATTCTGTTACCCTAAGAAAATACCTTGAAAGGAGCCTTTGGTCATGGATAAAATAGATTAATCATCAGTCATCCACACACATGCAGTGGAATTCAATGGCATTAACACCTTTGGAGAGTGAAAAGGGAGGTGGAAGATGGTGTTTCCCATGTTTCATAAATGTCCCTAATTCTAGCATTCTAATTTATCACCCTCTTTTCTTTGGATTTCTATTGTGCTTATTGTCTGTGTTCCGAAGTAGCTGTAACTATATATCCGATTATATTGCTACTTGTATTTTTAAGTATATTCTGTATTTCTAAACAGATTACAATTTGCCTGAGGATTGGAATCATTTCTGATGTGTGTTTATATCCCCAGTAGCCTGAATATTAGTTTGCCCACATTAGAAGTTCAGTAAATACTTGCTGCTGCTGTAAATGATGATGTCAATCACAATAAACTTTCAACAGATAACCCTCAAAAGTTTAGTCCCAGAGACCTGCTCGCCAAACTCTCTCATTCTTTGGACCCTCCCTCCCTCTATGTAGTCTTTCAGAGATACTTTTAGAAAGATTTCTCTCAGCCATTCAAGCAAATTCACCCTGACTACACTTTGTAAATATCTCCACAATCACTCATGACTGTATATAATATTTGTTCACTTGTTTATACTCCTGCAAGATGAGTATTACATCTTATTCACCTTACAATTACTTAAATCCAGCCAATGACTGTCATATAATAAATACTCGAAAAATATTTGTTAAATAAATAAATGAATCATTAAAAAAAAGACAAAGGTCCAAGAAGAGTCCTGGCTTCCCATTGAATTTGCTACTCTACCTCTCCAGCCGCTCTCCAGAGCCCTTTGACCCCATCCCAGGCCTTCAGTGGCTCCGCAAACATTAACTCTCCTTTTGGATGCCCACCAGATCACACCACTGCCCCTCCCCTCCTCTGACTCCACTAAAACGACAATGACGTCCATGTGAAACTAGCCTGCATTCAAGTGAAACCAAGGAGAAAACATTGTTTGTCAAACTTAAAAGACAGATGTTAGCTCTTCTCAGTTATGAACTGAATCCTAACCCTTATGAAGTTCAAGTTTCATTTCTGCTTGGCCAAATGGAATTTCCTGATTCTATGTAAGAGAAGTTTAAGGGTCTATATTAAAAGATGCTGAGGACTAGGAAGGCTCTAAGTGATTACCCTATTTTGTTTTAGTGATCAATATACAAATCTCTTTCCCCTTAAAGAGCATAGGCTTTACATTTCAATAAAAAAACTTTTTTTTGCTTCATTTTTGGCAAACTGTTCAGTATATTGAAGCACATGATATGCAGAAAACAGGTAGAGACAATTCCCAAGACCCAAATGTTACTAGGTTTTGCTCCTAGGAGGAAGGAAGGTTCAGAGAGGCAGACTGGGGGTGGATATGAGTAGGCTCTGTTCTCTACCCAACTCTGACTCATACAACCCTAAGGAAGTTGCTGAAATCCTCTGTGCCTCTATGTCCCTGTCTGGTAAATGGGTTAATCATCTTGCCTCCAATCCACCTCCCAGGAGTGTTGCAAGGATTAATGAGCTAATAATGCTTGAAGAGCACTTTGAGCTTTGGATGAAAGTGATACCTAAGAACAAAGTGTGATGGTTATTATGCATAATTAAAAGCTCTAGCAGAAATGTTGGTCTGAGTTAACCCTGAATGCCACAACAATCAGAACTCAGATATAGCAGAGAACCAGTATGCAAATATATATATATATATATATATATATCAGTTTCCCTAAAAGGGAATTTTAATCTGATTTCATGGTTCCCCTAAATAAACCTGTTTCCTGAGCAGAGCCCTCCTAATCACTGTGAGTAAATGCATAGTTCCATTAACACTCTGAGGTGATGAGTATTGTCCCAACCCAGGGTTTATGTAAACCATGAGGGCGATCCTCACCTACCACAATATGAGCTGTTTCTCTGCGCTCTCTCTCCCTTGCTCGCTCTCTTTCTCTGTCTCTTTTAGAAAGACAGAGTCTCGCTCTGTCACTCAGGCTGGAGTGCAGTGGTGCGATCACAGCTCACTGCAGCCTCATACTCCTGGGATCAAGCAATCCTTCTGCCACAACTTCCCAAATAGCTAGGACTTACAGGTGTACGACATCATACCTGGATAATTTTTTTTAAATTTTTTTGTAGAGACAGAGTATCACAATGTTGCCCAGGCTGGCACAATGTGAGCTCTTTTAAAATAGCCTTTCTGGAAGAACTTTTAGGGATATCAACAAGATCCACTGCCCCCAAGCCATTCTTCCACATGATTGTAGATTATAGAAGTTCCCTTAATAGAAACAAAATCCTTTTCAAATTACAGAGAAGAGTCAAAGCACAAATACTGCTCAGGGTGGTAAAGCATAGTCGTTAGCCTGCAAATTAAGTCTACACCAACATAGATAATAGCAGATCCCACCCTCCACCCAGCACAGGTACCTTGAAGTTAATAGTGGAGATGAGGTTTTCCAAAATAAGAGGGACTTGGTGCCAAGATGAGAGACTCAAATCCAAAGCCAGACACAGCCTCCTTCACAATTTCACATGTACTATAGTCTGTAAAGCAGAGAACTCTCTCTTCTTCCACCACAAAATAGCCTGTGCTCACACCACTCTAGAGAAATGCAGAAGCAACACGTCCTAGAAACTCTCACGAGTGAAACAGCAACCTGTGCTGTCTTTGCTAGTTTCTGAGGGCAAAAAGGCACAGTACTGTGAGAACTCATAAAATAGCATCATGCTCACTCACCATACTTCTCCCAAATGACCATATACACTGAGTTTTTATTTATTATTTGTTTATTTTTTAATTAATTAATTAATTTAATTTTTTTATTTTTTTTTGAGATGGAGTCTCACTCTGTTACCCTGGCTGGAGAGCAGTGGTGCGATCTCGGCTCACTGCAAGCTCTGCCTCCTGGGTTATTTATTTATTTTTAATAGAGGTGGGATCTCCCTATGTTGCCCAGGCTGATCTCAAACTCCTGGCCTCAGTGATCCTCCTGCAGGAGGATCTCAAAGTGCTGGGATTACATGCATGAGCCACCACGCCCAGCCTATGCTGTGTTTTTAATAGTGGGTTTAGAGACCTTTAACTGTGTAAAGTGCTCTTTTTGCTACTCAAGTTGATGTCTGAGGGTGGAGATAATAGAACGCAGCGTTCACAGAATCCTGCAGGATCCATGCATTTCTGCTACAGATGCTGAAAAACAATACGATGCTAGTGGAGAGGACAACAGTGAATTGTCACATCCAGAGAAGCAAGTGGCCAGTTAGTTGGGGTGAGGGGTAGGAATCACGTCTATGAGGTGAGGCAAAGGAAGCATGCTAAAGGGCCAAACCCTGGGAGCTGTGATGACCGTCTTCATAAATGTGAAATGCTATCCTGTGAGAGAGGGAATCTGCTTTCTCTTCACCATTCCAAAACACAGATCCAGGCTCACTCACTTAGAGTGAGAAGCATTATTGACTCATGTTCTGGTATAAGAGGGGGGAAAAACTGAATAGAAGTCTGAAGTGTTTGCATTACTAGTTCAGACATTGAGTCTCGCAAATTATTTTCTCCAGGCTTCGCTTTAAATATTTACATCCTATTTTAATATTTACTATATGAGTCTTAGAGAATCTGGAGATTCACTATAAAGAATCATTTTTCCTACAGAATATGGGGTTTTCTTTTTGTATTCTAAAACAAAATCAAGAAATTCAAACAAATACATATCCTGATTTTTAGAATCATATGGAGAAGAGGGTAGGAAAGAAAAGCAGTAAAATATGAGTTCCAGGCAGGAAATAAGACAGAAAGCAGAGGACCAGAGGATGCAGTCGCCCTTGCGCAAACCCACTCTCTCCTGTAGGTGGCAGCATTTATTTATAGCTGTTGCATCCACAAGTCAATGGCGGCTGGAGGGCGAGCGGGTTGAGTGAGTTTGAGTTGAGCTGTTTCAATTTTCAGAACATCGAGCATAATCAATTAAAATTTTAATATCATTAGGTAAGTGCCTTTGCTAGAAAAAAAAATACGTGGAATTCAGTTCTGCCTGACAAAAGGGGAAGTGGCCTATTGATTATACTCAAGGTCATAGCCAATCAAGACTTGCCAGCACGATCACATTTCCTTACCTCCTGCAGACATTGACTCTTCTCTGTTTCCTCTGTTGAAATCTATATGGATGCAATAAAAACTGTTGTTTACTATTCTTTTTTGATTCCCGGGTAGTTTTTAGGAAGAAATTGATGAAGAAGTAGCTAATGCTATGAACTGTATCTGCAGCTGAAATCAGGAAACTGGGCTGATGTTGCTTTTTCATGAACTACATAAAAAAAGATATCTGACTAACAGGATAAACGTCTTAAGGCATTAAAAATAAAAATCCCAGCGTGCCTTGAAACACCAAACATCCTGATCCCTATGCTTGGGGTCTTTGTTTTGATGTGTTGATGTGAAACCCTACCATAGACCAGAAAACAGAGTGAGAGCAAGTCTTCTGGAAAACTCTAAATACATAGTTGTGTAAGATCCTCTCGGGCAAGCTTTCTCAACCAGTAGATCAGGATCAACCAGTAGGTCGCTGGCCTACCTGGGGTTGGCCAAGAAGGGCTGCAGGCACCCTTCCCGCTCAGCTGGGTTTCCATGGGACACTGCCTACCCAGCACCTCCTAGGCGCGCCCTGTGTGGACTTTCCTGCCCCAGTCCCTCACCTCTCACCCATGGTCTCAACGTTTGGAAAAATAAGAAATGCTCCACTTCTTTGAGAGACTGCCAGCCCTGCCCCTGCTCTGGGGTCAGAAAGCCCCACTCATGGGGGATTTCCAAACCTTATTGTTTGTTTGATTTCCTGAAACCTACCTCCTGCCCCTAAAAAACCAAGAGCTATTTTGCATAGTTGGTTTTTCTTCTTTAATTGAAGAAAAATTGACTAAGTTTTGTTTTGAAAAATTCACAGCTCACCTAGAGATAACTAGGTAGGGCGAGTTCAGTTCTCAGAGTGGCTTCTTTCAAAATTTGGCAGTAAATATGTTATGAATATGAAAGGAGATAGAGACTTAATCAGTATTTAAAAACACATCCTTCCCAAATATTAACTAATGCCTAAATATATTACTAAATGCTAAATATTACAAAGTATTAACTAATGGCTAAATATACATAACAAAGAATAATCATGGGGTTTACATTGAAAACATAGCTTCTATAGTCAGGTTGCCCAAGGGTGTAGCTTGGGAAAGTTACTGTGTTAGTCTGCTAGGGCTGCCAAGACCAAGCACCACTGATCGGGTGGGTAAGAACAGGAGTTTATTTCCTCACAGTTCTGGAGGCTGGAAGTCCAAGATCAAGGTGTCAGCAGGTTTCATTTATCTGAGGCCTCTCTCCTTGGCTTGGAGATGAATGTTTTTTTCCTGTGCCCTCAGCAGAACTTCCCTTGGTTTGTGTGTCTGTGTCCTAATCTACAAGGACGCCAGTCAAGTTGGATAAGAGCTCACTCATACAACTTCATTTTTACCTTGATTACCTCCTTAAAGACTGTCTTTAAATACAGTCACACTCTAAGGTACTGGGGTTTGGGCTTCAACGTGTGAATTTGGTGAGGGAGACACAATTCAGTACATAACAGTTACCCAACCTCATGAGCCACAATTTGCCTCATGCATAAAAAGGAGAAGATAATATTAATAGCCTTGGAGTTTTTCTAAGGATAAACTGATACAATGTCACGAAGCATTCAGAACTGTATAGAGCTCAGGGATTCCTAGCTGTGGTCTTCATCATCATCAATGAGGCAGCATTCAGAGGACAGTACACATGAGCACCCCCAGCGTCAGTGCCCCGAGTCCTTGCATTAGAACCATAGTGGTGGGAGGACAGGCAAGAGAAATAAGAGAGATGAAAACATGATTTCCACACCCACCTCCCGCTTCCCAAGCACTGGTATCTCAGAGCAGGAATTGCTGGGGCCACAGGCGAGTCCAGCAGAAGAGAGTCCATTCACAGGTCTGACTTCAAAAACTTGAATCAAACTTGGGCTCAGAATAAAGGGAAGAAAAGAGAGATGCATTTTCCTCTCCTCAAACAAGCGCCTGGCTGTGCACAGTGAGCCCGAGGCTCACGGAGCTGGTGATGGGGCAGAGAATAAGCCAGGCCAAATGACCGAAAACCCCATGGCTCCCAGGCACATTGTCTGGGATGAAGTTTTAAATTCAGACCTCTGCTGGCAGAGACAAAGACTGGCCTGTCTGTCCCTGCTTCTCCAGGGAAAACAGCACAGCCATTAACCCAGTCACCATAGTAGTTGTGACACCTGATGCTGGCATTGCAGCGAGCTGCTGAAAAAGCATAGCTAAGGTAGCTGAAGAGAGCTGGACGCACACATAAATGCAGTGATTTCTTGCTGGGGGGAGGGGTCCAAGAAAAAGCAGCTAAGCATGTGTGTTCCAGAAAGAAAAGTCAACGAAGATCAGCTTAGTGCCTCACTATTTTCCCCTTCACCAAGCCTTTTCACTAGTGCTTGCTTTTAATTTATGACATGCAGCACTAAAGGGACTGTCTATAGATTTAACACTGACATTTCCTTCATGCAGTAATCCTCTGAATCCCATTTGCTGTAAATTTCTGCAGAATGACAGGAAAATGACTTTTGGGGTTTTTTTGTAAGCACATTATAATGAGCAATCTTTTTCCAGCATTTGGGAAAAACCTGAATGACCCACACAGTTTTTGGACCCCCACACTCACCTCACTTGGCCTGAGTCCAGGAAGAATTCTATAGCCATAGAGGCTGCATTACAAATTGTTGCACTAGCCATTGTTATGAAAAGTGCTTAAGGAGAATGGCTCTAATCATATGATTTTTCCCACACAAACAACTCAAGGTATATAGGGGACACAGTTTTGTGTGGCTTGGTATGTCTATTTTGATTGAGTCAGTCCTTTTTCCATTATATTGGTATACATCATAAAGATGTATATAGCTGTCATATACACAGTAAGGTATAAGCAGAAGAAAATTTATTCCCTACCACCTAATAACAAGCTTTTGAGAATACACAAGAAGAAAGAAAAGGAAAGGAGTCAGATGTTTTAGAACCAGGAGTTTACCTACTGAGCCCTTCCCATTTTGCGGTGAGGAGCTAAGGTGCTTCTTTCTTTCCTCCCCCATGTTGTCTGGGATGTGTCTCGTCCTTGCACTGCTCTATCCATGGCCATAATCCCTGCCGTGGCCCAGTTTCCAATCCCAGTGATACCACTTGGGAAGCAGAATAATGGCCTCCCAATATGTTCAAGTCCTAGTCCCTGAAAACTGTGAATATGTTATGACACATGGGAAAGGGGAATTAAGATTGCAGATGGAATTAGGGTCACTCATTGGCTGATGTCAAAATAGGAAACATCATCATGGATTATTCAGGTAATCGCAAAGGTCTTTAAATGTAGAAGAGGAGTCAGAAGAATCCGTCTCTGAGTGATGTGATATGAAGCACATTTAACCTGTGAATCCTGGCCCTGGAAATGGAGAAGGGGCCATGAGCCAAGGCAACCTCTCAAGGCTGGAAAAGGAAAGAAAACAGATTATCTCCTAAAGCTTCCAGAGAAGAAGGAAACTTTGCAAACACCTAGATTTTAGCCCAGGGAGACCCATTTTGGACTTCTGATCTCCAGAGCTATAAGACAGTAAATTTGTGTTGTTATAAGCCACTGCGTTTATGGTGACTTTACAGCAGCGGGAGATGATGAACGCTCCACCTCTTCCTATGAGGCTTCAAGCACTGAGTGTGGAAGCAGAGTCCTGCTGTTGCCAATCTGTAGAAGTCTCCCCACTGTCCTTGATTGCCTACAGGTTGTCCATCACATGTATAACCTACATGCCTGGTTTCCTGACTGCACTGTTACTGATACAGGGACATAAACACCAACTGGTAATTAATGGAAAAAGTTCAAATGCAAAGGGGAAAAAAGCTAACTTATAAGTTAGTTGGCTTCACAACATAGATATTACCATGTCTAAACATAATTTTCAAATGGAAATCATTAACAATTATTTTCTAATTAAATAATTCACATCCATACATTAAGTGTAAATGAGTTAAATGCCACCCATTGGCATCTCTGATCAATCAAAAGAAGAAAGTAAACATGAGGATGAAGACCAAAAAATTTCTTAACTCCCTAAAATTGGAATCTCACACATTTTTCTTGTGTCTTGCCAGGTCTGCCCAAACTTGTCCTGAATAACCAGCCCCATCAAAGACACACCTCACAAGTTTTAACCATGGCATTATTTTCCTATCAGGATTTTATAAGAATATTAATACTGTGACCTTTCTGACATTTTGGCAAAGGTAATTTTATGTGTCATTGTTAGTTTTTTTCCTAAAAAGGCCTTAAGTCTTCCAGAGAGAGGTTTTTTATTTAGTAGGGTTAGTTTAGATATTTAGTAAAAGCTGAAGTATTATAATCCAGGTAGTATCTGCTAAATTAGAGAACATTTGTTTTATAAAGGGCTTTCGATAACTCAAGTTCTTTTTTGTAGTTTGTTTAAAAATATTATTTTGTTTGAGAAAAAAATAGATTCACCAGTTATAATGAAATAGTCCACCTAGGAAAAAGAAATCTGCTCCCTCATTCATTTTCACACAATGGCTCTAGCTAAAGTTTTTGAATATAAAAGAGCATGTCAGGACCCTGGCCCAACAGAGAATGTGTATTCGTTTCCTACTGTTGCTATGACAAATTCCCACAAACTTAGTGTTTTAAAACAACAAAACATGTTGTCTTAGAGTCTTAGAGGTCAGAAGAGCAAAATGAGTCCTCTATGGCTAAAATCAAGGTGTCACAGGACTGCTTATTTCTGAAGGCCCTGGGGGAAATCTGTTCTTTGTCTCTTTCGCCTTCTAGAGGCTGCTGACATGCCTTGGCTCCTGGCCACATCGCTCAGATCTCTGCTTTGCATGGCCTTCTCCTCTGTGCTTCACTCCTCCTGCATCCCTCCTGTAAGGACCATTGTGATTACCTCAGGCCCACCTCGATAACCCAGGCTAATCTCCCATGGCAAGATCCTTAATTTAATCACGTCTGCAAAGTCCCTTTTGCCATGTGAGGTAACGGGCACAGGTTCTGGGGATTAGGGTGCAAATGTATTGGTGGGGGGGCATGGGTCATTAATCAGTCTACCACAGTCTACCCTCTGATCCTTAAAGATTCACGCACATTCCCCATTTCAAGGTCCCCCAACATCTTAACTCATTACAGCTTCAAGTCCAAAATCTCAGTCTTCTCATCAGCTCAAAAGTCCCAAATCTTATCATCTAAATCGGGTACAGATGAATCTGCATATAATCCATCCTAGAG
Organism: Homo sapiens; assembly: GCF_000001405.40. Classification (NCBI taxonomy): domain Eukaryota; kingdom Metazoa; phylum Chordata; class Mammalia; order Primates; family Hominidae; genus Homo; species Homo sapiens. The sequence goes on along the minus strand of NC_000008.11, from coordinate 61,090,789 downwards.
GAAAATTCTTCTCTGTCTCTAGACCTGTGAAATTAGGAAACAAGTTTTATGCTCCAAAAACACAATAGTGGGATATGCATAGCAAAATTGTTATAGACATTGCTGTTCAAAACAGGTGAAAATGAAAAGAAAAAAGGAGTCTCTGGTCCCCACCAACTTCCAAATGCAACCAGGCAAACTCCATTGCATTTCAGGGCCTGGGAATGATTCTCTGTGGCTCTTGGCTCACGGATCCACCCTTGGAATCACGCTTTTTTTTTTAAAGGGTAGCACATGTTTGCAGCTGAGTCATTTTGTAAGCCTGTTTTCTGCCTATCGAATTTTGGGAGTCCAACAGGCTTCTTTCCTTCTATCCTCTCTTGTCCTGTTCAGTGCAAGCAGGCTGTGCTTCTGCTGGTGTAACATTCTCAAAAACCTGTGGGCCATTATTCAGCCTGACACAGACAGCGTGGACAGGATAATTAATAAAGGGAAGTACACGTGACTTCTGAAGGATGGACTTGACTGTGTTATAAAGCACTGTGGACACAGAACACAATCATTCAAAGTTCTTAAATGTGTGTTTAAGGTACGTCAGGTCTCTAAATCTCAAGTTACCTGCTAGGACATGATATTATCTGAAAGATCTTTCAACTGTGATATATCTCCTTACAGGAAAAAGTTGAATGAGTACTAAAAAGTAAAACTGTGGTGCCCAGAGGATGCTGAAGACTACTAAAGAATAATCAAAGAAAGGAGGGGGCTGCTCAAATAACAGCAGGAGGTATTAGGGAGAACTTCTTCATAGGCAACCAAATTAGCATTAGATGGTAAATGAAGTCATGGAACCTGCTTCCTGGGAGATTTTTTTTAACAATAAACAAACAAAACAAAACATGGTCTCACTCTGTCACCCAGGCTTGAGTGCAGTGGCAAAATCAGCTCACCTGAGCCTTGGATTCCTGGGCTCGAGCAACCCTCCTGCCTCAGCCTCCCAAAGTAGCTAGGACTGCAGGTACATGCCCCATGCCCAGCTAGTCTTTTTTATTTTTTTGTAGAGATAAGAGTCTTGCTATGTTGCCCAGGCTAGTCTCATACCACTGGCCTCAAGCATTTCTCCTGCCTCAGCCTCCCAAAGCCCTGGGATTACAGGTGTGAACCGCCATGCCCAGCCTGGTAGATTCTTCATAACTTCTTTTGAAAGTGATAGCTCCAAGGACCTTATTTCCTGAGTTAGAGTTCTCGTTGCTGGCAAGTTGAACACTAAAGAAGCAGTAATCAAACCATCATTTCACTTCCCATCCACTGACCCAGCTATAGGAAAAAAATAATAAACCAGGTAGAGACTCCAGCATGTGTGGTCAGCAGGGTACCAGAGGTCTGCTCTGGCAGGAAGAGTCACATCATGGGACCACATATGTCCCAGAACCTACAGCACCATTTCTGGAAAATCAAGTCGACTTTGTTCTAGAATAATTTGTCATACATTTTGGTAAATCATTTGTTATTTGCAGTATAAATTAGAGACAGAGTGTTCCATCTATCTGCCTTTCCATTTGATTTCTGCAATTCCAATTTGGTTAAATTATAGAAATTGATTAATTTAGAGCAATGAAAAATAGGGTTATTAGCCATTACAAAAATGCAAGTTAAAACCACAATGAGATAGCATGTTAAACCTGCTAGATTGGCAAATATTTTAAAAGTCTAGGCCGGGCCCGGTGGCTCACACCTGTAATCCAGCACTTCGGGAGGACGAGGCGGGCAGATCACGAGGTCAGGAGATTGAGACCATCCTGGCTAACATGGTGAAACCCCGTCTCTACCAAAAATACAAAAAAATTAGCCAGGCGTAGTGGCAGGCGCCTGTAGTCCCAGCTACTTGGGAGGCTGAGGCAGGAGAATGGCGTGAACCCAGGAGGCGGAGCTTGCAGTGAGCCGAGATCTCTCCACTGCACTCCAGCCTGGGCGACAGAGCGAGACTCCATCTCAAAAAAAAAAAGAAAAAGAAAAGAAAAGAAAAAAAAAAGCTTGACCATATCAAGTGATGCCTGGGATGTGTAAAAATGGACATTTCTAAAATGGGATGGAGGGGCAGAATTTGATTCAACTAATTTGGAAAAGGATTTGGTAGAAATTAAAAAGTGATACTCTAAACCCAGCAATCCCACTCTTAGGAATATACCCTGAGCAAACCCTTGCATACATGCCCTTTTAAAAATGTTTAAAGCACTGTGGCATATAACAGAAAAATGCCAGTAATCCAAGTATCTATTAACGGAAAATTGATAATTACATTGCTCCTTTTTTTTTTTTTTTTTTTGAGACAGTCTCGCTCTGTTACCTTGGCTGGAGTGCAGTGGCACGATCTCAGCTCACTTCAACCTCCGCCTCCCAGGTTCAAGTGATTCTCCTGCCTCAGCCTCACAAGTAGCTGGGATTACAGGTGAGCGTCACCATGCCTGGCTAATTTTTTGTATTTTAAATAGAGATGTGGTTTCACCATGTTGGCCAGGCTGGTCTCGAACTCCTGACCTCAAGTGATCTGCCCACCTCGGTCTCCCAAAGTACTGGGATTACAAGCGTGAGCCATCGTGCCCGGCCAATTACATTGCTACATTATTCACACAGTGGGGCACTATACAGCAGTAGATAACAAACAAATATATCTGCATGCTTCAATATGGATGAATCAGTGAAGCACACAATTAATTGAAAAATGCATACATATAGTTTGATGTCATTTAATAAAGTTCAAGTCAAGCAAACAAAACATGTTGTAGAATCCTAATATGTATAATAGAATTGTGAACAACAGAAGGCAATGAAAATAAACCAAATATCAAGATATTGATTAACGGGGAGCAGGACAAAAGATAGGATTGGGGAAGCCCACAGGGAACTTTAAGGGTTTTAGGCATTTCTATTTCTTCAGTCAAATGGTGGATTCATGGGGTTTATTAAATAATTTACATGTATATTACATATTTTAAGTGTACCCAGCATTCAAGATAAAGTTTTAAGACTCTCCCACCATCCTTTTAAAATTAGTTTATTGGGGAACACTTCCCTTCCCACCCCTGGATTAAAATGCTGGCAGGCCCATGACTTTGCTGGTCATTTCTACATGGTAGATATTCCTACAGTCATCTTATTTGACTGAAATCAGAAATTAGGGCATCTTCAACGTTCATCCAATGTTGAGATCTGTTTCCCTCACTTCCTCCCACCAGGCACGTCACAGTATGCCACCTAGGTTCTACTCCTCTTCTCTACACTTCCCTCCACAGCCAACCCCTGCAGCTCCTAACAAATCCTCCTCTGAGTTGGAGCATGAGGAGGGGGGAGAGGAAAGAAACAGAATGACCTCACTTGATGGAGAAAATCATAAGCTGATTTTGAGCTTACTGGACATGGCAAATTCTAGACCTGACTCCCTCAAGGATCCCTTTGGGGGTCTCTGCAAGAACTCAACAGTGACAGCCATGTGGTACGCCATGCATTTCCCTCCATTGCCTCAATGCCCCCTCTTCCCAGTTTCCCAGTGGTCCACTGCACAGGGATTCTGCTGGACCACTGATAGACCATAGCCCTCTGGCCTGTGCAATCCACATCTGCTCCACAGGAAACATTCATGTCTCCTTGTCCCAACTTCATTCTCTCTTGTCCTGTCCAGAACAGCTCACTGGCCCAGCCTGCTTTCCTTCTTGATTTCGGAGCTGGAGGATGGAGTTCAGGCTTGCATGTGCTAGAAGGTCCTCACCCTGGGAGTTAGCACCCAGGGCCATTGGACAGGTCTGTCCTGTTTAGCCCTGTACCTCATGCTGCTTCTCCTCAATGGCATTATACCAGCACAGCAACTATCATGAGTACGCAACAACTTTTGACCTCATTTATGAAATGGGGAGAATATTACCTGCTTCACTGAGGCAAGCATCATCTGGATACAGGGGTGAAAGCACCACACGAATACAACTTGCCTTTACTGTTAGGATTATAGTTCCTCCTTGACTACCTTGGAGATTATGTTCCAGAAAATAACCGTAGGAGACAGGATCAAGGTCTCTTAGAAAATAACACAGAATTAAAGAGAAAATAAAATATAATTGAAAGGTCACAGGAATTCATAGAAGGTGATTGCTACTAAAACATTAATAAATGTTATATTTGGGTAATGTTTTTCAAATGCCAACTTGAAAAAAAAAAGTAACCCATTTCCTGAATAATCTTCTTTAGCTATTCAGAAAATATTGCTACTACGTATGGTCTAGGGTAGAGTTACCCCATAAAATACAAGAAACCAGTTAATTTGAACTTCAGATAAACCATGAATATTGCTTTAGTATAAGTATGTTCTTTGCAATATTTGGAAAATGTTTGTGCAGAAAACTATTCGTTGCTTGACTGAAATTCAGATGTCACTGGGTGTCCTGTATTTTTATTTGCTAAATCTGGCAACCTTAGTCTAAGGAGGAAGTTTCTTTTACAACTTTTATGTTATGCAAATTGAGTCTCCTAGGTTTTCAAGTCAGACTTCACTGACTCATAAGGTCATGCATTTTATTTATTTATTTATTTATTTTTGAGACAGAGTCTCACTCTGGCTCCCAGGCTGGAGTGCAATAGCGAAATCTTGGCTCACTGCAACCTCTGCCTCCCGGGTTCAAGCAATTCTACTGCCTCAGCCTCCTGAGTAGCTGGGATTACAGTCACACACCACCACAACAAGCTAATTTTTTTTTTTTTTTTTTTTTTTTTTTTTTTTTTTTTTTTTTGAGAGGGAGTCTCGCTCTGTCGCCCAGGCTGGAGTGCAGTGGCGTGATCTCGGCTCACTGCAAGCTCCGCCTCCACGGTTCACGCCATTCTGCTGCATCAGCCTCCCGAGCAGCTGGGACTACAGGCGCCCGCCAACGCGCCCGCCACCATACCCGGCTAATTTTTTTGTATTTTTAGTAGAGGTGGGGTTTCACCGTGTTAGCCAGGATGGTCTCAATCTCCTGACCTCGTGATCCGCCCGCCTCGGCCTCCCAAAGAGTGCTGGGATTACAGGTGTGAGCCACTGTGCCCTTTTTTTTTTTTTTTGGTAGGGATGGGGTTTCACCATTTTGGCCAGGCTGGTCTCGAATTCCTGACCTCAAGTGACCCACCTGCCTCGGCCTCCGAAAGTGCTGGGATTACAGGCATGAGCCACCGCACTCCGCCAGGTCATGCATTTCATTGTTACATTCTCCTTTGTTTCTTTTCCACAAATCTCAGTAAAATGTGCAACTGCCTGAACTTTTGCTTGGGGCTTTTTTTCTCCTTATATCTAGTCTTCTAATCATAGATTGAGAGGCTGTTATTGATTTGTTTGTTTAATAAACATTGAGAGGTTGTCGGGGATGCAATGATGAGAGAGAAGAGACATGATTTCTACCGTCATGAAGATTGGGGTCTAGCGAAGGAGACAAGTATTAACCAATAATGCCATGCCATAGACCTACTTACATGTTTTGGGACAGCGGAAAAGTAATAATTGTTGTTGTACTATTTCATTAAGAACTTTGAAATAAGTCACACATATTTATTACAAGGCTATGGATTTTCAGCCTCCGGATAGTATACAGAAATAAAACAGTGACATTATTCAACCCTCTTAGAATCATGGTTGGCAAAACTGACTGGCAGGACATTGCTCCCTTCCAAATACCTGCATCATTTCTCATATTTTCCCAGGTTTCTTCAAGTTGCTGCTCAATCCCTTTCAACGTTTTGCTAATATAGCAGTTCTGATGTATTTTTTCATTCCACTAATTCCCTTTCCTGGCAAAACATTTTCCTGGTATTGACATACCAATTTTTGTACTATTATGTGAAAACAAGATATCTATGACTTTCTACTCTAAGACATCTTATACCTGGCTAGTTTCATTCCCATTCCAATAAACTGAAAACTTGGAAAATACTTGAATGCCTCACCTGTTTCATCAGCCTCTTCTATCTCTACCCCCAATGACTAGGTTTTGGGGAGACAGTTTCAAACTTTTAGATCAGTATTGGGATTTCTCTGCAGCTTGTCTCTTCTATTTCAAGAAACTTTCACAGGTTTTTACATTACACATCCCAAGACAATCTTTCATTATCCACTTACATTTAAATTTCACATATCTAAATATATATGCAAGGTTTGTAGCTTACAGCTCTTTCCACTTCTCATTGTCTTCCCCCATCTCAGAGTTTCCCAACCTTGGCACGATTGACCTTTTGGGCAAAATAAATCTTTGTTGTGAGGAGCTATCCTGTGCCTTGCAGGATGTTTAGCAGCATCTCTGGCTTCTACTCACTAGCTAGTAGTAGAACTCTCTCCTCCATTGCTCCAATTGTGACAATCAAAAATATTGCCAAATTCTGAAGGGGAAAGAGGACAACACGGGAGGGGAGGGCAAAATCACCCCTGGTTGAGAACTCCCCACCTTAAAGTCTCTATTCTTTTTCCACCTGATGTTGGTTTTCTTCAGGTGGGTTATATTACAAGTTGTCTAGTTGTCCAGGTTTGCCTGTGACTAAATGGTTCTCCAGGAGGTAGAATTTTCAGTGCTAAAATAGATAAAATAATAGGAAAACCAGAACAAATTTTAATGGACGATATAGTCTTCAATCCTTGAAAATTCACCAATATCTTTTATTCTGCCAGGTAAGTGTTATCTTGTCTGGTATTGAATTCTCAATCTTAGTCCTATCTTCTCAGTAGCCTAAGGATGTTATTATTTACCCCATTTTCTAGCATAAAGGGGAATACATTTTAAAAAATTCAGTCTAGTCTGATTGTGACCCTTTCTTAGTAATTTGTTCTTCCCAGCTGGGAACTTGTAAGATGTTATTTTTATCATTAGGGGTCAGGAAATTTACCAGAATATAGTAAATGTACATCTTTATTTCGCCCCACCCAATCAATCCCACCAGGAATTCATTTAATTCTCTCAAACTCCAGACTCATAAATTTCTTCAACGCAGGAAAATTTTCTTCTACCATGTACTCAATTATTCTTTCCTCCATCTCCATCTTTTTTCTTCTTCTGAAATTTCTTTAATCCATGTATCAGGTTTCATAGATCTATATACTCTGTTTTTTTCACTATTTGCTACTCAGTAATGGCCATTTTCTCCTTTAATTTACCTACCAATTTTCCAATGTTAAATAACATCCTGGGTTTGTTATCCCAGAAAATGTTTTCGGTACTGCACTTGAATCTCCCTAAGGCTCCTATTCTGTTCACGTTGATGCCTGTCTTCTCCCGTTGCTCAGTTTCATTAGGGTCCAGGTCTCAGTCTTTGTGTTCTCCCTGCCTCTGGCTCCCAAACCCCCTCAGTTGGGCTGCTCTTCTCCTTTGTACACTGGCCCTCAGGTACAACTCCTGGAACTCCTTGAATGGTGGAAGATGCAGTCATATTTTCCCAGGCGGCCCACTGGCTGCTAGGTCCCTGGCAAGGCACCAAGTTGATGCCTCTCTGCTCTCTGGCCTTCTCACACTCATCCAGCCTAAAAGTAGAGAAAGTGGGAACCCCTTTATTCAGGACCACCATGGCACCTTGGGAGGCAGAGGAGAGTGGCACGTATAGTTACCGAGTCCAGTGTTACACTCTCCCTTTTATTTTCCCTTCATTTTTTCCTTCTCAAATGATCTTCCTTTCTTTACATAGATTCTGTTTTCCTACTTACAACATTTTCCTTCTTTCTGAAGAATTTATTTTCACACTTCTTGAAACATAGGTTGACTGGTGACAAACCTCCTTAATGTTTGTTTGTCTGAGAACGTCTTTATTTCTTCTTCTTTTTTTTTATGTTTAAGACAGGGTCTTTCTCTGTCGCCCAGAGGCTCAAGCATCTCATCTCACCCTCCTTAGTAGCTGAGACTACAGGCATGTGCAACCATGCCAGACTAATTTCTTGTAGAGATGGGGTTTCATCATGTTGCCCAGGCTGCTCTTGAACTCCTGAGCTCAAACAATCCTCCCACCTCAGCCTCCCAAAGTGCTGGGATTACAGGCATGAGCAACTGCACCTGGCCTATCCCTTCCTTTTGAAGGACAATCTCTCCAGACACAGAATTCTAGGTTAGTGTGTCCTTTCTTTCAATACTTTAAATATTTCACTCCACTCTCACATACATGGGTTCTGAAGAGAACTATGATGTGATTCTTATCTTCTCTAGGTAAGGTATTTCCCCACCCTCCTACCACCAGCTTCTTTCAAGATTTTTCTGTTTGTCTTTGATTTTCTGCAGTTTAAATATTATCTACCAAGGCACAGTTTTTTGTTGTTGTTGTTGTTTTTGTTTGTTTGTTTGTTTCTTTGTTTTGGTATTTTTCCTGATTCATGCTCTCTGAGCTGCCTGGATCTGTGATTTGGCATCTATCATTAATTTTAGAAAATTCTCAGTCATTATTCCCTCAAATATTTTTTCTCTTCCTTTTTCTTTTTCTTTTCTTTCTAGTATTTCCATTACGTATTACATCTTTTGTAATTGTCCTACAACTCTTACATATACTGTGCCTTTTTAAATCTTTTTCTCTTTGCATGGTTTTGCAAGTTTCTATTGACATTTCTTTAAGCGCACTGACTTTTTTCCTTGGCCATGTCCAGTGTATTGAAGCTCATCAAAGACATTATTTCTGTTGAATTTTTTTTTATTGCTAGTATTTCCATTTGATTCTTAGAGTTTCCATCTCTATGCTTACCTTACCCATCCATTCTTGCATGTTGTTCACTTTTTCAATTAGAGCCCTTACCGTATTAATTGTCTTGAATTTCCACTGTGATAATTCCAACATCTCTGCCATATATAAGTCTGGTTCTAATGCTTGCTTTGTCTTTTGAAACTGTGCTTTTGTCGTTTAGTATGACTTGTAATTTTTTATTGAAAGCTGAATGGGATGTACTGGGTAAAAGGAACCCAATACTGGTTCTCATAGAGGTTTCTGCTCCTGGGTTTCTGCTTCAGTGAGCTGTGATTTTCTGTAACTTCCTGTCTGTCTCTCTAATTTGGGAAAAAATGGTTTGTCCTATGACCCAACTCTCTCATGGATCTAGAAAGAGTTGTTGATTTTCAGTTTGTTAAGTTTTTTCTTGCTGTGACTGTGGAAGGGATGACTTCTAATTTTCTTATACACCAGACTGGAAGCCAGAAGTTCTTTATTCTGTTTATAACATCATCACCAACATGCCCATCTCTGGAGACCAGGATACAATTTATTTTATTTTTCTCACCAAGGCTCTTCTCACTAACTCCAGGTTCTCATAAGGGTCCCAGGAGAAAAATCCTGCAGCAATCCTCCCTAACTGAATCAGTCAGAGGTGGGGCCATCCTTACCCCCTGTAGCTCTTAACATGCTTGTTGGCCTCAGCAAGCTTCGGCTCAGGATAGGGGTATGTGCTTGGGGGAAGCTTGGACACACTTATGTTGCCATCTCCCAAGAACTTTCTTAATCCAGTTGCACCCAATTGATTGCCAAATCATGTACATTCTGCCTCTTTTTCTTACTGCCACCAGCCCAGCCCAGGCCCTCATTCCTTCTGCTCTCTCTTCTTCAGAGGGCACTCTATCAGCTCTCTGCAGATCTCTTCCCAAGCAACTCAGTCCAGTCCTAGCAGCAAAGCACAACTTGGATCATTTCAGTGCCTCCTCAGAAACCTTCAGTGTCTTCCCAATTCTTTCCAAATTAAATACAACATTCCTAGTCCTAACACTTAAGACCAATTTTTAATCTTAATTCTCATTGATCTCCTACTCCCAACCAAACTAAGATTGTAGACATTTTCTGAACACTCAGCCATTTCTTATTCCATACATTTGTGTTATCATTTCAGTTCCGCCACCCAAAATGCTTTCTCAGTTGCTGAATTCTTATCTATTCTTCAAACACCACCTCTTTTATGAATCTTTTCTCATCCTTACAGCCAAGCGCTAACTCTTGCTGGCTCACTTCCTCTCTCCTTTGTGAACTTCCAGGCCACTTTCACTTCCAGCATTTATCAATCTTTTATTAAAGGATTGCTGTCTTTTGGGCATCTATCTTTTCTACCTATGATATTTCTAGTTCTGTAAGGACAGAGTCTGTACCTACTAATCTCCATATTCTTCCAAAACAATCAGCACAATGCTTTGCAAACAATAGTTACTCAACAAATATATCTTTAATTTAACCAAAAGCAAGTTATTTTAAGAAGGCAATCCGTGGGTTTTAGCCCATTCATTATGGTTTTGATGTATTGAATAAAGTAGATTACAGTATATCCTTGACATTCACAAAGGAAATAAATGAATCCCAAGTGCTAGAACTCAGAGATTTTCATAGTTGTTTTAAAATCGCCCTTTATTGTTAAAGGGGGATTCTGTCAGTATCTATGTGTTTACCAACTCTCCACATGAAAACTACATTATTTTCTATCTTTCTTTAACTTTTATCTTTTAAGTGATGACTGTTTTACCCAAAGAAGCAAAGTTTGTATCACCTCATGAATATTATTATACATATGTTGGCAATACATAACCAGGGGAGCTACTGGTGACCAAGTAGACTTGTAATATATAGTGTTTTTTTATCGTTCCAAAATGACTAATTACTATAAATTATGCACCTTAAGCCACTTTTGTTTTGTTTTGTTACAAATAGTGACCACCACAAATGTTAAGTCCTTACTGTTAATAGAAAATACTATATTAAGAAGAATATTCACGATATTTGCTACTTTCCATAGATAAAATTTAGTGCCCACAATAAATTATTCTGAGTTTGAAGTATTACCCCCATGCATCCATTCATTTCTTCCTCCACCTCTTTAGAAACAACACAGCTTCAATAATAATCAGCATCAATATTCTTAGCCACTAGGGTAAGGTAAACTTTTTCTACTGACTTCTTTTTATTGTGATGAAATAGACATTACACAAAATTTACCATTAGTAACATTTAGCACATTCACGATACTGTGAAACCATCACTGCTGTCTAGTTCCAGATCTATTGACGTGTTTTTTTTTTCCTAATGGCTTTTTGCTAAAATAAATTGGGACTACTTTCTAAAATGTAAGCAGCTATTAATTTTGAAGAGGTAGATGTTTTAAATCTCTGACCTTCATCAGCTTTTGTAACTCAAACAAATAAACAGCCCTCAAAAAGCATCACAGTCTGGTCCCTCTGTTAGTCTATGCAGGGCACGCTGAAAGTCACAGGTAATTGAGATTCATTTGACTTGGGAGGACCAGGCAGCAACATGGTTTCTAGCTCCTGGCAGTATGTTCCTGGAACTCCAACAAACCTGAATGAGGCACAGGAGACCCAAGACCTTGGCACATTTTCACCTAAGCCAACTCACACCATTAAACCTCAGTTAGGAAATATCAATAACTTCCAAAAAGTGGATTGCAGTTTAACATATTACCAGCTGTCAGCACCTCCGGAACTAAATTGAATGGCCAGGGAATTGAGATATGAAAAGTAAAGAAAGAAATCACACGGGCCTCCCTTAATATCATATGTGACATATCCCTTCAGCCTCACCAAACCACCCCTCCCCTGAAGAGGGAATAAAACATAAAGAGTAAAAACAAAAGGTTTTGTTTTGCTTTGTTTTTAAAGAAAGAAAGACAGTGCAATTATAAAATTCCAGAAGTATAAAGCTGATGTCTCAAACACCACTACTCTTTTTACTCTTATATTTTATAATCTAAACCAGACGGTTTTTGAGTTTTCCCCCAATAACGTCTTTCAGAGAAAGACGTTTTGATGTTTTGGTCTTGGCGTGTTTTTGATCTTAAATTATTTCTACCTATTTTTTTCTCAACATTCACAAATGTTGTTCTTGGAAAATTCTACAAATAAATATACTCTCACTGGGATAATTTGACTTTTCAGCTAACCATTTTAACATTGAACATTATATAATAAGGTAATAGTTTTTAAACACTGGAATTTAATTTAAAAATGAATTTATATAACTTCATTGTTGCAATGATATCCAATTCTTTGAAAATGATTAGGGAAACATCATTAGCCATGGAGAGCTAATAGGCAAACTCAAAAGGAGTCTCTCAAGATACAGAAGAAAGCCTTGAGGCTTCCACACTGGTGGATTTTGTTGACTAACACCCCAAAAATAAGAGAAGGAACATTAGTGGACTCAAAAGTGTCCCCCAAACTTGTTAGATTTATTATTAGAGTAAAAATCCAATCCGTTTCAGAATGAATTAGATGAAGGCTTCTGAGATTTCACATTGAATCTTAGCTTTACAGGCATTCCAGGCTCATAGAAAACCCAACAGCAATACAAATCAAGATGGCCATGAAAATAGATGTAAGCTGCAACTAGAATTTCCACACTTCTGACCAAGACATTGAAATGTCACCATGCCTGCCCTCCCACCCTGGATTGATTGCTGAAGTTGGCAGATAAACAAACACACACTCTAAGTAGCCAGGTGTCCCCGTCCAAATCAGTCCCAATTTAGCAAATAAAAGTAATCACCTGGCCCTCGTCACATCACACAAGCGGGCAATTCCGCTGTGTGTGTCAAGGTCACACAGACAGGTTAACATAATCACACTGCAGAATGCAGAACAAATAAAGCTCTCTCCTTCCCACAGCCCATACCACACAGCTTCTTTTATCAGCTGCCTCATGCGCCCCGGAGACACACAGCCCTAGCACGCAGACAGGCCTGCCTCGGATCCTGACCCAGGGAAGCCTGCACTGGGGCTCTGTTTAAAACTTCAGATCAGCGCTCCCCTCGGCTTCCTCCGCCCCAGTACTACTTGCTAAGACAATGGGACAGCAGGGGAGGTCTGATCCCAAGTCAAGCCAGCTCAGTCTATCTCAAGAACACAAAAGCCACCCGAGGAGCCGGAGCCCCCTTCCTGCCCAGTGCATGGCAACGCAGCAGCTCACACATCACGAGGCTTGCAGAGCAGCGGGCCCCCACCAAAATCCTCGCAGATGGCTCCGGCATGGCCTCGGGCCCACTCATGGGCAGCCCTGTGCTCCTCCCAGTGCTGGGAGGGAGCAGAGCATTTCCTCTCTTTCTCTTCTCCTTCAAGCACCTATTTAAAAATCCTGGTCTGCTGGCACAAGCTTTTCGAGTATTTCATTTGACCAACACAGTGAAACCTCGTCTCTAATAAAAATACAAAAATTAGCCAAGCATAGTAGTGCACGCTTGTAATCCCAGCTACTTGGGAGGCTGAGGCAAGAGAATCACTTGAACCCAGGAAGCAGAGGTTGTGGTGAGCCGAGATCGCGCCACTGCGCTCCAGCCTGGGCCACAGAGTGAGACTCCGTCTCAATAATAATAATAATAATAATAATAATAATAATAATAATAATAATAATAATACTTTTAGAGGGTCCCTTGACTTTAAGAGCTTAGGAAGAGTTGAATGATATCACTTTCAAGAAAATTAGATCGGCTGGGCGCAGTGGCTCACGCCTGTAATCCCAGCACTTTGGGAGGCCGAGGCGGGTGGATCACGGGGTCAGGAGATCCAGACCATCCTGGCTAACAGGGTGAAACCCGTCTCTACTAAAAATACAAAAAATTAGCGGGTGTGGTGGCAGGCGCCTGTAGTCCCAGCTACTCGGGAGGCTGAGGCAGGAGAATGGCGTGAACTCTGGAGGCGGAGCTTGCAGTGAGCCGAGATCGCGCCACTGCACTCCAGCATGGGCGACAAAGCAAGATTCCGTCAAAAAAAAAAGATAAAGAAAATTAGATCATACGGTTTCTAAGCTAAGTCCTGACCCAAGCCCTGTATTTCAAGGACCAAATGTAAAATATAAAACGGGAGTCCCATTCTCAGAACAAAGCCTCAGACCACGCCTCAGGGAAACGCAGATCATCCGCAACAGGCACAGAATGGCTGAGCCGGGGACTTGCAGGGAGGAAAAGGGTAATATGGGAAATATACCATTGCATTAAATGGGTGCAGGGACTCTGGCCTTTGGTGTAGGGACTCTGGCCTTCTTCCAGTGCAGCACATTAAAACCAATATCAGGGGTGGTGCAGCAGGAGCTGCAGAGATGACTCGTTCTCCTGACAAATAGCCACCCAAACAGTTGGCAAACTGCCCTGCTCCACCCATCCTGGTGATCTTACCACAAATGGAAGCATCTGGCACATTCATCATCTTCTCTGGGGCATGAATGAATGCTTAGGCTGTAGATAATTTAGCAGGAATATATGTGTGTATTATCATGCAGATAGGACAATTATATCATAATAGAAATGGAACCCGAATCGTCTTTGCCTGACTTTTGATCCTGCCAGCACTGCAGAAAAACACTCCCTGATATGTTAGATAGTCAGGAAATGGAAGCACAGAAGGAGAGAGAGATTACAGGCTACTCAGTACATTTGCTAACACGTGCTGTGATCTTAGCCCTTTCTTGTGAATATCTGATTTCACAGGGAAAAGGAAAAGGCTAAGGAGAGACAAAGAGGTCCCCACCCAGCATGCATGCGTTTTTTTCCATACCAATGTGTAACTGAAAAATAAACATAATCATAAACTGTAAATAGGGGAAAAGCATAGAACAGACCAAATGCTACAAAATGGTTCTTTTAAAAGGGAGAGAGAGGAGGAAAGGAAGAGAGACAGAGAAGGAGGGAGGGAGAGAGAAAGAATAAATAAATGAAAGAAGAAAGACATTTGTAAAACTGACTTTTGCTACAGTATTGTAACAAATGGGTAACTTTCTTTTGAGTCATGCCAGGTTACACACCTTGTTTCATTTCATGATGAGTTTATACATAGATAGACACAGGGAGAGATAAATTATTTTCTAATTTAGATTTTAAACTCAGTAAAGGCAGGGACCCTGTATTCCTTATTTCATTCCACAGCATCAACTCTTGGTAGAAAAACTAATATTAATTTTTCTAATCTAACTGGACAGGAGATGGAAGATGTAAGGGAAGAAGGAAGGAGGCTGGATAGGATGTGTGAGAAAAAGTTAGTCTCAGCTTGAACTAATAGAGCAGTGAAAGGGAGGAGGCAAAGGCAGCACAGTGGTACCAGCCTTGTATCAGCCACACTGCATGGGCAATCAGGGTGCTGCTGGGCCAAGACAGAGGAGGAAACGTAAAAGGGGGAAGGTGAAAAAGGGTGTAAGAGATCTGAGGGAAATCAGTGCCCAACCAGTCATTCATATTTATCAGACAATCATAATTAGGTGCTTATAATTCAGGAAATACTTTTACTTGCATCATGCCTGGAGTAGTTTCCATCTTAGTTTAAGGTTAGAGAGGTGTCACCAATGTAAAAGGTACTTCATTTTAATTTGGATCCATTTCATGCATTTAGGGAAATGTAACAGCCCTCTTAGCACAGCTCAGATCCTCCCCTTTCAGCCTTTGCAGATGTTGGAGCTTTGTCAACACTGGAGGGTGCTTATGGTTTTTTATCCAGATAAACTTGGGGGTGCTTGCTGATCTGTCATAATCCTTTTGAACTTTTGGTCCTGTTTTGGATCAACCCATTGCTCTTTCAGCTGTAGAGAAATGAATGGCCTCTGGGGAGAATGATCTCCACACACCTCTTTCATTTGCTGCTGACTGCTACGTGAAAATAGCCACCTGCCACCGTCTAGCATCCCACCGGCCCCTTCCCCTTGAGCAGTCCACAGTGCCCCCCATTCCTCAAGCATTGAGGCTGCTGGAAAGTCCTTCCCTTCAGCCTGGGTCACGGATGGCATGCTGCCTTCGGAAGAGGTGTAAGTAAAGATTAGAGCAGGATCATAGAAACTGTGTATGCCCGCCTGAACAACAGGAAAAAGAAATCAAAAAGCATTTAAAAGGGGGGGGAGGATGATTTTCTATTTCAAAAGTGTGCTTCCCCCCAGATTCTCTGAGATCAGATAAAACATTTAGAAGCCCTCTCTATTCATCCAAGCTGGGAGTAGTCTTTCATTTCTGTTAATTCCAAGGGTATGTATTCATTTAACATTTGTTAAATGCCTACTAAGTGTCAGGCACTTTATATTCATCTTTGTTTTTACAAACAATCCTGCAAGGTAATATTATTGTCTACACTGCCCCCACCATCCACCCACTCCCACAATCATCATTTTAAGATGGGAAAGCTGAGGTAAAACAGAATAAGTAACTTGGTAATGACCATGCTGCTAGTACACAAAGTATCCAGGTTCAAATCCAGGTCAGGATCAGATCACAGATCTTACTCATCTACAAAAGCAAAGACATAGGTTGAGCTTTCTGCCTCACAGGTCTCATGGTCTAATGAAAAGAGAGATTTTATTTGCATATATACATATATATACACATATATATATACACATATACTTATATATATATAACATATATATACACATATACTTATATATATATAACATATATATATACACATATACTTATATATATATAACATATATATATACACATATACTTATATATATATATATACACACACACACATATTTAAATTTGAGACAGGGTCTCGCTCTGTTGACCATGCTGGAATGCAGTGATGGGATCATGGTTCACTGCAGCTTCTACCTCCCTGGCTCAATCAGTCCTCTCACCTCAGCCTCCCAAGTAGCTGGGACTACAGGCATGCACCACCACACCCAGCTAATTTTTGCATTTTTTGCAGAGACAAGATTTAGCTACGTTGTGCAGGCTGGTCTCAAACTCCTAGGCTCAAGCCATGCTTCCGCCTTGGCCTCCCAAAGTGCTCAGATTACAGGTGTGAGCCACCATGCCTGGCCTTACATATTTATTTTTAGTTATAATTTTTTTTTTTTTTTTTTTTTTGAGACGGAGTCTCACTGTTGCCCAGGCTGGAGTGCAGTGGCGCGATCTTGGCTCACTGCAGGCTCCGCCCCACTGGTTCACGCCATTCTCCTGCCTCAGCATCCCGAGTAGCTGGGACTACAGGCGCCCGCCACCTAGCCCGGCTAATTTTTTGTATTTTTAGTAGAGACGGGGTTTCACCGTGTTAGCCAGGATGGTCTCGATCTCCTGACCTCGTGATCCGCCTGCCTCGGCCTCCCAAAGTGCTGGGATTACAGGTGTGAGCCACTGCGCCCGGCCTTTAGTTATAATTTTTTATAACAGTACTGTATTAGACTATGGGCTCATGAAAAGCAAACTCTATGCTTAGTAATATCTATCGTTAGATATGATAGATATTATTTAAGTTATAATAAATTATATTATTATTATAGCAAAGCAAATGGTACTGCCCACTAAACACTCAGTAAGTGGGTGATGAACAGGTATGCAAATGGGGAAAGAATAAGTGAATGAACAAACAGATTCTACAAAGAATCACTGCCCACTTTCGAAGAGACAAGTCTCATTTGTGGCTTTGTTGGTTTCCTTACAAACATATCTTCATGACAACATATCTCCATGCGTTTAAAATGTAGTCATGGTTTTAGAAGCTATTAGAAAAAGCCAATGAAAGGAAATCTGACAGCGTATGGTTTGTAGAGGCCTAAAGCTACGAACATTTTACACCACTGAATACAGTAATGTCCACAAGGCAAAGAAATTATGGTAAGAACAAGCAATATAGATAATTGTTCTAGTATCCAAGTAGATTGTAATTTTTTTTTCTGAAGAGATTTAGAAGCAGAAGATATGTATCTGATTCTTCCTAAACTTGACAAGCATTTAATTAGCAAATGAACTAGAACTTAGAAGGAGTGTAGTAAGAAATTTTTACTTCAGAATTGAAACCCAACACTATACTGCTCCCATTCCTTATCATAAATATAATAAGTGTAAAAATCAGACAAAAACAGCTCAACCCAGAGAAAGTGTTAAAACTACTGGTAATATAATATGATGAACAGAGGATAGCCACATACAAAAAAAGATTATAGATTTCAATGGAGGAAAGCCTTATCATTTCACTTGGAACTTATTATTCCATTTCACTGAGTTAGATTTTCCCAGAGACTTGAGATATTTAACCTAAAGGCAATAGCTAAGCAATTCTATTTGGAAAATGGTTTGTTCTCTAGCAAACATATACTTATGGTTCATGGTGTTATTTTATTTTATGTGAGAGTGTGAGCTGGGAAGTGGGATTTCATTCATTACATGAGCACCATAATCAAACCCCCATTGGTGTTATAAGTGAGAAGCAATGAATGGACCCATTAGCTGTGTTTACATTGGTTTTCTAAACTTTAATGCTGTAAATCAAATTTTTGTTAGTGTAATTTGCTAACTAACAAATGCATCTGTTTAGAATGCATCTTTCGTTGCTTTTCTTTTAAGTAAGGTTTGTTTTGGATGCATGCTTGGAATAAGAGAATTACCATACCAAATATTCAACCAAGATGAGCCATTAAAATATATAAGGTCTATAAATTAAAGTGTCATCCTTCAAACATCTTTAACCAAGAGAAATAAGAGGGGGTCTTAGGAAACTGTCAAAGGAATATTTACTTTTCATATTTTACACTAGAAACATGGATCTGGAATGCATCTTCATGGATGAGTGTTGAAGCTCTATAAGGGGATAAGATTAACAAAGAAAAATGCCACAGAGCGGGGAAGTGGACAGAGGACAGAGGCCTCAAGAAAATCTCTCCAGCTGGGTGTTGAAGGCAGCGGGTGAAGCTGAGGAAAGCAAAGGAGGAGCCAGGAAAGCTGGAGATGAACCGAGACGTGCAGCAGACAGATCACATGGAGAAAAGCATCCATCACTCTGGGCTTTGGGACTTCAGAGACTAGAAAGAGGTGGCCATTCACCCGCATCTAAGCAAGCCAGCGCAACATCTTTCCATGACTCAGATGCCTCCCTTGACACTTTGATGTGCCCTCACAGGGGCTCTCTTTCAACAGGCTGAATGAGGAAATAAGAGTGGCAGGGTGTGATTTGTGTGTGTGTGTGTGAAATTAAACAAAAGCACTGACAACAGAAACCACACCCTCTAAACTGGTTTTCTTTCTTAAAGATGTGTCAGTACACCTTGAAAGCTGACTTTCAAAGTCAACTTGTATGTGCATTTGCATGTACTTAAAGGAAAATGTCTTATTACCTAGCAGTCTACAGTCAGAATAAAACTCAAGAAAGTGTTACAAAGATATGTGACTGGGTAGGAAAAGGGCAGGTGAAATTTGGCGTAAGATACCATGGTATGCTAAAGAATGTCCCCCCACAACCAAAGGTATCCATATGCTCATCTGCAGAAGTTGTGTGTGTCACTTTATATGCCAAAGGGACTCTGCAGATGTGATTAAATTCAGGAACTTGAGCTGGGGAGATTATTGTGAACCATCTAGGTAGACCCTAAATGTTATTATGATGTCCTTATAAGAGAGAGGCCAAGGGAGATCTGACTGCATAGGAGGAAGTAGGAGACATGATTATGGAAGCAAGAGGTTAACGTGATGCCAGGAAGGGGCCACAAGCCTAGGAATGCTGGTGGCTTCCAGTAGCTACAAAAGTCAGGGAAACTGATCCTGCCCTACAGCCTCCAGAAGGCACCAGCCCTGCTGACACCTTGATTTCGGCACCCAATAAAAATGTTTTCAGACTTCTGGCTTCAGACCTGTCAGATACTTTCTTACAGCAGCAACAAGAAATGAACACACTTTGGAAAAATGTCTCCATTTGTAGCAAAACATGCAGTTGCATACTTTTCTCTGGTAAAGACGCGTTGGCCTCATAAATGGACTTTCCTCCAGGGTAGGCCTTTCTCTTTTTACTGCTGCTTCCACTGCATAGAACTGGGCTCACAGAATCTGCCCAAAACGTACTTAGTTACAGGTCAAGAGCGGATGTTGGTTCTGTAGACAGGAGCAGGAAGGTTTGAAAGAGGCTTAATGAAGGTGGGCAAGAGAGAAGAGGGTGCACCTACAGAAACTGTCTACATAGATCAAAGAGGAAGGACCCCAACCAGAGAACACTGTTTGAGACTCATAGGTGCTCCTTCAAGTCTCTATTTCTTTTTTATGTTAGAGACACAGGGTCTCACTCTGTCACCCAGGATGGGGTGCAGTAGTGGTGCAATCATGGCTCACT
The DNA here is from genome assembly GCF_000001405.40 of Homo sapiens. Taxonomy (NCBI): domain Eukaryota; kingdom Metazoa; phylum Chordata; class Mammalia; order Primates; family Hominidae; genus Homo; species Homo sapiens. The sequence goes on along the minus strand of NC_000008.11, from coordinate 61,070,780 downwards.
GTAGCCTTGATCTCCTGGGCTCAAGCAACCCTCCCACCTCAGCCTCCTGAGTAACTGGGACTACAGGTGTACACCACTGTGCCTGGATAATTTTTTAATTTTGTGTAGAGATGGGGTCTCCCAATGTTCCCCAGCCTAATTTTGAATTCCTGGGCTCAAGTGATCCTCCTGCCTTGGCCTCCCAGAGTACTGGGATTACAGGCATGAGCCACCACACCCTGCCAGGCCTCTGAATTGAGGAGCATTTCCTCACGTCAGCAAGAAGAGGGGTGGAAGATGGGAAAACAATAGGAAATTCTTGAAGACTTGAGGCAATGTGCTGCTTTATTGAAAAATGTCATCAAAATGCTGGTTGCCCTTAGGAACAGTATTGGCAATAAAACAAAAAGGATAACTTTCATAAAATCACAATATAATCCTCCTCGGAATCATGACTGTAGCCCAGCAAGCAAGCCTCAATGGTGGGCCAATGTTCTAGAAGGCCCTGAGGATAAAGCTAAAATAAGAGGAGTGCATGTGATATGAGAGACGCACACAAAACACAGAAAATATCCCATAGGAAGCTTGCAGAGATAGGAAAGTAAGCCATAGGCAGAAGGCAGAACCCTGAGGACAGGGCCTCAGGGGCAGGCAGAACACGAGGCAGCCAAGGGGAGATAAAAGGAGCCATTCAAGAAAAACCTGGAGAGGCCAGGCACTGTGGCTCACGCCTGGAATCCCAGCACTTTTGGAGGCCGAGGCGGGTGGATCACAGGAAGTCAGGAGTTTGAGACCAACGTGGCCAACATGGCAAAACCCTGTCTCTACTAAAAATACAAAAATTAGCCAGGCATGGTGGTGCATGCCTGCAGCTACTTGAGAGGCTGAGGCACGAGAATCACTTGAGGAGAATCACCCGGGAGGCAGAGGCTATAGTAAGCCAAGATCGCGCCACTGCACTCCAGCATGGGAGATAGAGCGAGACTCTGTCTCAAAAAATAAATAAATAAAATAAAATAAAAAGAAAGAAAAAAAGGAAAGCCTCAAGAATGTGGTGGGGAAGTCAGAGGACTTGCAAGAGCAACACTGGCAGAAGGAACAGATAAGGATGGGGCAGATGTTGACAGTGGTAATGAGGGTATAGTGTTGGGAGCAGAACTGAGAACAGTAAGTGAACTAGGTGAGAGGAAGCAGAAACACAAGGCAAGGTGCATGAGATGCAGAGGAAGACACAAGCCCAGCCACAGGGTCAAGATGTCTCAAGCACTGATGTGTCCTATCTGCTATAAGATGCACCAAAGAAAGTGTGACTGCTGATAAATACTCAAGTATGCAAATAATTTACTTTCAAAAGGAAGGAAGGGAAAACAGAGGAAGGAAGGAAGGAAGGAAGAGAGAGAGAAAGAAGGAAAGGAAAAAGTAGAAAGATTTAGTGTCGCTCTTACTGATGTGATTTCTCAAAATGTTGGAAAGCGAGGAAGTCGGAGCTGGTGCACTGGGAATGGCCTATGACCTACATTGTAAAAAGAATTCTGGCTGGGCGCGGTGGCTCATGCCTGTAATCCCAGCACTTTGGGAGGCTGAGGCAGGTGGATCACTTGAGGTCAGGAGTTCGAGAGCAGGCTGACCAACATGGTGAAAGCCAGTCTCTACTAAAAAATTACAAAATTAGCCAAGCATGATGGTGCGCACCTATAATTCCAACTACTTGGGAGGCTGAGGCAGGAGAATCACTTGAACTTGGAAGGCGGAAGTTGCAGTGAGCCGAGATCGTGCCACTGCACTCCAGCCTGGACAACAAGAATGAAACTCCATCTAAAAAAAAAAGAATTCCTCAGTCTGCACTGTGGAAGAGGGACAAATGGAAATGCAAGACAGAGTCTCAGGCTGGAGTAGAAATCTAGAAAAGGAACATTAGTGGGAGACCCTTCCTAGGCAGAGGGGGCATCGGTAGGAAGAGAAGGAACAATTCGAGAGACCCCGGGAGGTGTGTGTGTGGGGAGCAGATGAAGGAAGGGGCACAGGACAAGAGGATGCAAACCCTGGGAGAGCCAGAAAGTGTGGCAAGGAGGCCACCTTATCTCCCCTGGCTGGAGGCCTGGCTTGCAGCAGGGACATGGGTGTAGGTAAATTGTAGAAGACTGGGAAATTACCAGAAAGCACACTGATGACCTCAGCATCCCCAATGACTCATGAGATGAGGGTATCTGCTGAGAATGAGGGGAGCAGGAATTGAGAATGGGTCTTGAGAGGAGTCGGGGGAGGCTATAAATATCTCCTAATTCATCAGCCCTAAGGGGTAGGTATGTGACTCTTCTGAACACCCTGCAAGCTTGAGGGCCACCAGTTAGAGGTTCCTACGCACCCAGCACAGTGCCAGCTGCTGTGTGTGTCTCTCCTTCTTGAGGAGATATGATTAGTGGGCCTAACTCACACAGCTCTCCCGCCCTGGAGTCTTAGCCATAGTGAAACTGTGTTAAGGCCTTGAAGAAGCTGTTGATTCTGAAGTGGTAGCTTTTTGATATGTGTATGTGTATGTATGTATATATATACATATATATATATATATATACACATACATACATATATATATATATATATACATATACACATATATATTCTTTTAATTGGAGACAGAGTCTCGCTCTGTCACCCAGGCTGGAGTGCAGTGGTGCAATCAGGGCTCAGTGCAGCCTCGATCTTCTGGGGTCAAGTAATCTTCCCGCATCAGCCTCCCTAGGAGCTAGCCACCACACCTGCTAATTTTTTTTAAAATTTTTTATAGAGACAAGGTCTCTCTCTCTCTCTCTCTCAATATCAAGTTTCGTTTTAGATTTAGGGGGTACATGTGCAGGTTTGTTCCCTGGGTATATGTGTGATGCTGAGGTTTGGGGTATGGTTGATCCCATCACCCAGGTAGTGAACATAGTACCCAATAGTTGGTTTTACAGCCCTTGACCCCCACTTTCCCTCCCCCTTCTAGTAGTCCCCAGTGTTTATTGCTGCTATCTTTATGTCTATAAGTACCCAAAGTTTAGCTTCCACTTATAAGGGAGAACATGTAGTATTTGGTTTTCTGTTCCTGTATTAATTCACTTAGGATATGGTCTCTCTATGTTGTCCAGGCTGGCCTTGAACTCCTGGCCTCAGGCAATCCTCCCACCTTGGCCTCCCAAAGCACTGGGATTAAAGGCATGAGCCTCTGTGCCAGGACCTGAAGTGTTAGCTTTTTAAAAAATAGTTTGAACTATTGTGGATTTTTTGCTTGTGCTCTCATAGCTATGGCTCGTACTTATAATTATATATTATTAATATATCATTATAATAATGATCATTATAATAATATATCAACTAATAATATATAATATATCCTTATAAGTATATATACTCACATATATAATTATATAATACAATTATATATGTACACACACATTATATATACACCCACATATATAATTTAGCAACCATTTATTTAATATATATTTGTCGAGCACACTCCATGTGCCAAGAACTACGTCAGAGACTGAAGAGACAAAAGTAGATGAAGTGTCTGCCATTATGGAATTAACAGTCTGATAATTAATACAAAAAGATATTCAAACTAATGTAAAATTACAATACAATTAGTGCTATAAAAATCAATGAGAAAGTGCAGTCAATACAGGTCAGGGTGTAGGAGAAATTATTTCATCCCCCCTCATGTCACAGATCAACGTGTTAATGTCCTTCTCGTGACCCATTCCTTTCAAGGTTGAACATCATTGCCCTCCCCCCCCATTTATGGCTCCTGACTCAGGACTGTGCACACAGCACGTGCTCAGTGTGTGTTTGATGACTAGACTGCAGTCATGGAATGCTCATCAGCCGTGTTAGTTATGACAGCCGTGTGTGGCACCAGCCTGGCTTTTGCAGAAAAACTACAGATGGACATGTATGGAAATAATGGAACACTCCCAACTTTCTGGCTAATTTGGCAGGAACAACACACAGATACCACTGCGTGGACACTTTCCCCTGAAATGTTGTGTGTCATTGACATTTTTCATTTTTAAAAAGCATGAATTGCGATGTTCTTCACATTACTGTACATTGAGAATGTGTACACTTGCTTCCCCTTGTTTTTCAGGGCAACCTCCGTTGACCCACAGGGGCATTCTGGAGAATGATGCTCATGCCCCAGGGACTGTGGAGTAGAAATGTATTGGGAGGAGGTGGGGTAGAGAAGGACACAGGTAGAGGAGCAAACGGAAAAGCCATTTTATAGCCATCAATCTAGGAACACTAGCACTTTTTCTTTTTTTCTTGAGACAGGGTCTTGCCCAGTCCCTCAAGCTGGAGTGCAGTGGTAAATCATAGCTCACTGCAGCCTCAACCTCCCCAGGCTCAAGCAATCCTCCCACCTCAGCCCTCCAAGTAGCTAGGACTACAGGCACACACCATCACACCTGGCTAATTTTAAAATTATTTCTGTAGACACAGGGTTTCACCATGTTGCCCGGGCTGGTCTCAAACTGCTGGGCTCAAGCAATCCACCTGCCTTGGCCTCCCAAAGTGTTGGGATTACAGGTGTGAGCCATCATGCCTGGCCACTAACACTTTTTAAAAAATATAATGAACACATGAACATATTCTCTTGGTAAACTCTGAAAACAATATAGATGATACAACACAAAGTTACCCTCCACTTTTACCCCCTTACGTCCTTCCCAACTGCACTGTGTAAATACACTCCTGATCTTCATACATATGTTTAGAAATATGTCCACATAAAAAAGACTGTTTTTATCATAAATGTGATCATGCTGTATGTTATGTTCCAGGTCTCACTTTTTACTTAACAATGTATTTTGAGGATTATTCCATGTCACAACATGCTATGTGTATTGATCTACTGCCTGGTATTTCATAATCTATTAATCATTTTTATACTGATGAATGTTTAAGTCATCTCCAATTTTACCAACAAAAAAGCTTTGCACTACACAACCCACAAATTTTTCACCAAAAGATACCAATCTAACTAGACTGCCTTATTTGCAATGTGTTCCACACCAAAGAATTTACTCCATATATTATACCCTTACTTAGCTTTCTGAGAAAGCTTGCCTATTGCTTCTTACAGCTGCAAAATAAAATATACTCTAGTTAAAATAAGACAAAAAACAAATTTTCTTAACTCATTTTGTTCAAGAGATTAAAAAAATAGGAGCAACATAATAGGATCAGTGATTCAGTGATGTCTCTTACTATACACAACTGAAAATGTGTCTGCTCCTTAGTTTCAACCCCTACTGCTCCTGACTCAATTCAGACTCCCTTCACCTTTTATGTGGGTTACAGCAGAAACCTTTATTTGTGCCCCTCTCAAATACATCCAGAGCAGTACAGTCGGCCCTCTGTATCCATAGGTACCACTTACATGGATTCAACCAAGCAAGCATCAAAAAATTCAGGGAAAAAAAAAGATGATTGTATCTGTACTGAACATACACAGACTTTTTTCTTGTCATTTTTCCCTAGAAAATACAATATAACAACTATTTACATTATCTAATACATTGTGTTAGGTATTATAAGGAATCTGGAAGTAATTTAAAGTATACGGGAGGACGTACATAGGTTAAATGCAAATACCACATCGTTTACATAAGGGACTTGAGCATCTGTGGATTTTAGTATCCTTGCGGGTGTCCTGGAACCAATTGCCCACAGATACTGAGGGACAACTGTATTTCTAAACTACAAATCTGATCAGCCTGATGGCAGGAACATATTAGTCCTTTAAAAAATGTTAGTAATGGCTGGGCGCAGTGGCTCATGCCTGTAATCCCAGCAATTTGGGAGGCCAAGGCGTGCGGATCACCTGAGGTCAGGAGTTCGAGACCAGCCTGGCCAACTTGGTGAAACCCTGTCTCTACTAAAAATATAAAAAATTAGCCAGGCGTGGTGGCGGGCACCTGTAGTCCCAGCTACTCGGGAGGCTGAGGCAAGAGAATGGTGTGAACCCGGGAGGCAGAGCTTGCAGTGAGCCAAGATCATGCCACTGTACTCCAGCCTGGGTGACAGAGAAAGACTCCATCTCAAAAAAAAAAAATTAGCTGGACGTGGTGGCAGGCACCTGTAATCCCAGCTACTCAGGAGGCTGAGGCAGAAGAATCGTTTGAACCCACAGGGCAGAGGTTGCAGTGAGCTGAGATCGTGCCCCTGCACTCCAGCCTGGGCAACAAGACTGAATCTCTGTCTCAAAAAAAAAAAAAAAAAAAATGGGCAAAGAACTTGAATAGACATTTCTCCAAAGAAGATACTCAGATAGCTGAGAAGCACATGGAAAGATGCTCAACAGCACTAGTCATTAGGAAAACGCAAATCAAAACCTCAATGAAATGCTACATCACACCACCAGGGCAACTAGAATCAAAATGTGTAGGCAAAGTTGTGAAGAAATTGGAATCCTCGTACTTCATTGTTGAAGCATAAAATGGTGCAGCGTCTGTGAAAAACAGTCTGTTGCTCAAAAAGTTAAATGTAGAATTACTATATGATCCAGCAATTCCACTCCTAGGTATATACCCAAAGAAATTGAAAGCAGGCACTCAAAAAGATATTTGTACACCATTATTCATAGCAGCATTGGTCCCAGTAATCAAAAGGCAGAAAAAATCCAAATGTCTGCCAAGAGGTGGATGGGTAAACAAAATGTGGTGTATCCATAGAATAGAATATCATGCACCTTAAAAACGAATGAAATTCTGACACATGCTACAACATGGTGAAACCTGAAGACATTATGTTAAGTTAAACTAGCCAGACACAAAAGGACAAATATTGTATAATTCCTCTTATATGAGATACCTAGAATAGGCAAATTCATAGAGACAGAAAGTAGAAGAGAGGATACCAGAGGCTGGGGAATGGAGAAATGAGGTTATTGGTTAATGGGTACAGAGTTCCTACTAGGGACAATGAAAAAGTTCTGAAAACATAGGGGGGATGATTGTGCGGCATTGTAAATAGAACTAATGCCACTGAGTTATAGACTTCAAATGGTTAAAATGGTAATTTTATGTTATGTATCTTATACAATTAAAAAGCTCAAAAAATAAAGCTTGAGAACGTTTTTAAATTATTGGTTATGAATGTTGGAATGAATGCTGCCTTTCTCCTTCAAACCCTTCAATGGCTCCATTTTCTCAGATCAAATCCCTCACCTCCACTAGGCTTTACCTGTACTGGGTCCTGCCGTATTCTCCTGTGTCCATCCTTCTTGAAGCCTGTGCCCCAGCCAGGCCAAACAGCTTGCAATGTTCCTGTCCTGTGTCGCTTCTAGATGTCTCTGCGCTTGACGTGCACAGGTCCCTGTCTCTGTAATGCTATTCTCAACACCACCCTCCAGCTGGAAAATACCTTCTCATGCACCTCAGCTTAGCCTCCTCCAGAGAACTTTTACCAACAGCCATTTCACCCCTCACCCCCCACCAGGAAAATGACTGTTCTCTCTCTCTCTCTATCTCTCTCTCTCTCTCTCTCTCTCTCTCTCTCTCGCTTCCTCACTTTCTCCTGTGTAGATCATTATCATGGCTAATATAACATTCAATGCACTCGTTTATTTATAGGTCTGTCTTCCTGTTCTGCACCAGGGGAGCGAGAGCAAAGCCTTTGTCTTACTTACGTAGCATGGTTTTAAGATCTCTGGCTCTAGTTGTGTGACCTTGAGCAAGATATTTAACCTTTTTTAGGCCTAAGTTTTATCTTTCAAACAATGGGAATAATAATAGTTTCGATGTCATAGTTATGAGGAATAAATGACATAATGCATATAAAGTGCTTTAGCAGAGAGTCTGATACACAATAAACAATAAAATATTTAAAGAAAGGAAATGCATAGCAATCACATAATAACATAGTATTGGGTAATTTCATAGTAACTAACAATTGTTCAGTGGTTAAGAGGGTTGAACATCTAAAGTCAGGAGTTTGTAAGAAGAATGAATAACCTAATCGCAGACATTTATTTAGAAAGACATATGGAGAAGCTGAATGACTGGAAGAAAGAACAACATAAGGGCACTTCTTTTGGCCCGTGGACCATAATGCAGTCAAAATGCTTCTAGAGACTTCACAACTTTCAAGTTTCTGCCGTAAACTCTACTCCATCCAGAACCAGCCAGATCCTGCCATAGACTTCCTTATCGCTCAATACCATAGTCCTCTCAGAAAATAAAACAAAAGCAAGCCCTCAATGAAAACAGGTAAGAAAGGCTTATTGCAATAGGCTTCAAGACCAAAGCAGTGGAGGATCTTCCTATTTTAAGGAACGTAGGGTGGTCTTCCTACTGACTGTAGAGAAACTCTGGAGTAAGTTTTCTATACTGACGTAGTTACATCAACATTTTGGCAAACTGCCTTTGCTCCTAGAGATTAAATCAGTAAGTAACCCTGTCTCTACGCCTGGCTTTGGGTGTAAATTCTTATTTTATGTGAGTAGACACTGGTTATTTCAAGGTGTGCAGCTGGCTTGTGCAGTAGACACACACTCATTATTTCTTAGAAGGCAAAACTCACTGCAGTGAACATTTCCAGTATCCTCCTGGTAACTGTACAGGATTTTCATGCAGTCACATTAAGCTGACTCCATGGAGTAGCATCCCAGGGGTGGAGTTTTGACCCAGGTCTAAGCCATCAGCAAGTCTCATTTCCCTGTCCAGTGATGTTCATAGTTCATACGTGACCTAGTCAGAAGCAACGAGGCACAATGACATTTTTTCACTGCATCTTTTGAAAAAGAAACTATGACCTAAAACATAAGATAATGAATGGGTTCACAGAGACCCTTCCAGTTTCCATAAAACTCAGGGATGAAATAAACATAATAGAAGGCAAAACAAAGAAATAAAGATAAAAATGCCCAGGTGCTACGGATATGCTGGAGCCCTGAATGGAGCTATACCTCAAGCTCGCCCTCCTCTTTTCAGCTTCTGTGAGTCAATAAATTCCTTTTTTGACTAAGCCAGTTTGGGTTGGGTTTTTCTGTAACTGCAACTAGATAATCCCCCTGGCATTTGTGAAAGCCACCCTTCCCAAACAGGAGCTCCACATTCTGATTCCGTAAAAAAGATAACCGGTTTATCTAGAGAACTCCCATGTGAGCGAATCAGGGCATATTCAAGAGGCTCAGTGTCTGGGTAAGGAAATCCCTCCTTTGGGGATGCCTGTGGTTCTTATTTCTGTGTGGGCCAGGAAACTCCTATAAATTTTACCTGTTGTCACATTTTCTTTTCAAACATTAGTGCTACTTCATGGGGAGGAGCCGGAAACAGAGGTGGAGAAGGGAAAGCATGAGGCAAAATATGAATGATTGTGCAGGAAGCAATACAGCTGATGGCCTGGTAGCAAAGGACTGGCATATGGGTACGTGCGGTGCGAATTCATGGCAGAGGAACTAATCAGGCAATGTTATCTGATCTGGAACAGCAAGAAAAAGAAAGAGCCTCTTTCCTTTACCCCTGGTTTGATATGGCTGAAACCTCTTACCAAGGTGTCAAGCTGGCATTGGAAGAATCCAATAAGAAACCGTGACTTCAGCTTGTGTAAAAGTCGGGAACTGGGTTCTAAATTGTTTGCCAGTGATCAGCTGTCACTTTGTGATCACTGTGAAGCTGGAGTTCTGTTTTATAAAATCCAGGACAGGTTCTGGATTGAAAACAAAAGCCAAACATGTTGATGCTTGAATATAAAGAGGCAGGGAGTGACACAGGTTCCTCTGAGTAACAGAGTCTGGTCATCAAGTCTGCAGCTGAGGAGGCTATAAAAACACAACCTGAGTGTGTGAAGTTATTTCTCCCATGAAAAGAAAACTCCTAAAGCAATACTCTGAATAGTCCAAGTCTGAAGCTGCTCCCATGAAAGGCAGCAGAGTTTGTAGGAATGGGGCTCAGATTTTGTTATCAGGCCTGGTTTCAAACCCTGCTTCCATCTCTAGCTGGCTCTGTGGCCTCGGGCACGTTTGTTAACCTATCTGGATCAGTTTTCTCATCTGTAAACCTCAATTTATTTCTTGAAAGAAGTAAATTAGTTGAATTATATGAAGTCTGGTAGAGTCCATGCCCCGATAATAACTCAAATAAATGGAAACTACATGATACCACTTAACCTGGAAAGACTAGTACTGAATATAAGGGGTGGGAAGGGGCGCTGTGGGCACTTAGACATTGAGACCTGTTCTCATTTCACAGGTTGAGGGGTTAAAGTGCAGTTCATGTTAATGTGATTTTCTGCAGAACATTAAGAGAAAAATACCAATTTAAAGCCAAATTTCTGCATTTTTTTCAGGTTCCTCTAAGCTCAACAAAATCCCTAAACTGCTGAATGATCAGCTCTGTAACTTCAGACTGGCTAGATATGAGCCAAAATCCAAAGATTTTCACTGGACCATCATTTCCTCAAGAGCAAAGGTTGGGTTTTATTCCTCTTTGCAGGCTGATTACATAGAACAGTACCTGATTGGGTGCTCAAGAAATGTTTATTTTATTCTATAGAAAAATGAATTCATCCTCAGGCCCACCTAAAGTCCTGCTGGAAAGTGCTCCAAGTAAGAAGGAAGGAGGAAGAAGGAATGTCTTTCTTGTTGTTATTAATTAGGGTAAGGACTAAGCTGCTAAGGACGAAAAAGACACTCCAAAACTTTTTTAAAAGATAGAGGATTATTCCTCTATCATGCTACAGCCCAAAGGTGAGTGATCCTACTGCCAAGGTCATTCCGGAATCGCCAGGGCACTGTCCTCACCAGCATGATCAAAGCTGTATCATTCACTTGAGGGCATGAAAGAGAGGTTAGAGAAGCACACACACTATTTCAAGGACTGAAGGCAGAAGTAGCATACTTCACATCTGCCCTTCTACTCACATTGTGTGAGTAAGAACTTGGTCACATGGGCATACCACTTGGCAAGGGAGGCTGCAGAATAAATATACGTTCACTATTTTTTTTTTTTGAGATGGAGTTCCGCTCTGTTGCCCTGGCTGGAGTGCCTTGGTGTGATCTCGGCTCACTGCAACCTCCGCCTCCCAGGTTCCAGTGATTCTCCTGCCTCAGCCTCCCGAGTAGCTGGGATCAGAGGCACACGTCACCACATCCGGCTAATTTTTTCTATTTTTAGTAGACATGGGGTTTCACCACATTGGCAGGCTGGTCTCAAACTCCTTACCTCAGGTGATCCACTTGCCTTGGCCTCCCAAAGTGCTGGGACACATTCACTATTAAGGGAATTAAGGACAAGCCTCGTGCTATTTTCAAGATATGTGTATATATATATATATATATATATATGTATGTATGTATGTATATGTGTGTGTATATATATATATGATATAGGTCTTGCATCCAGAATGTATAAAGAACACTCAACACTCAGGAATAAAAAAACCAAACATTCAAAAATAGTGGACAGATTTGAACTTATACCAAGAAAGACAGACAGATAACAAATAAGCATGTGAAAAGATACTCAGCATCATTCATCATTAGTCATTCTGGAAATGCAAGCTACTACAACACATCTACTAGAAGGACTGAAATTACAAAGACTGGTCACATCAATTTTTGGCTAAGGTATGGAGGAACTAGAACTCTCATATGTTGCTAATGTATGAATAAAAAAATGGCACAATCAAATAGAAAACAGTGGTCAGTTTCTCAAAAAGTTAAGTGTACAGCTGCTGTTTGACCCAGGCTTTCTACCCCTGGATATCTACCCAACAAAAAAGAAAGCACATGTCCACACAAAGTCTCAGACATGGATGTTCATTGAAGCTCTATTTGTAATATTAAAAGCTCAGAAACAGCTAAATGTCCATTGAAAGATGAGCAGATAAACAAACTGTATAATATCTATATAATAAAATATGACTCATTCATTAAAAGGAATGAACTTTTGAAACACACCAAGAACATGGATGAATCTCAGAATAATTACACCAACTGAAAGAAGCCAGGACAAAAAAAGAATATACACTATATAATTCCATTTATATCAAATTCTAGAAAATGCAGCTATTATAACAGAAAACAGATCAAAGAAGGGACAAGGCAAGGAGAGACAGAAGCAAAGGGGATCAGGATAGTACACGAGAAAACTGTTTGAAATGATGAATATATTCACTATCTTGACAGTAGTGATGATTGCATGGTAGTATGGCATATGTCAAAATTAGAAAACTGTACACTTTCCACATTTGTGGTGTATTGTATGTTAATTCCACCTCAATTTAAAAAGTACATGCCCTCCATTTTTATGGATAATGGGGAGAACAGATTTTGGTGGTCAGTCAGAAGTAACTTCCACATATGGTATCTTTTTGATATTTTGCTATTAAGTTTTGTGAAATTCTGGACCAGAAAAAGAGAGACCATAAAAGAAAGGTTCCTGTCAAGAAAGAGCATGATCTGTAGCTGTAGCCCCAGCTTCTGGCTCCTGTGCCTCTGAAACACCAGCCACGTCTCCATCTCTGGTCTTGATCCATGCAGTAAACACATCCTGTCCTGCACAATCCCATCAAACCCCCTCAATAATTTACACTGCCAACTGCCAATGACTTTGCACACCAGCCTCAGCCCTGCCTGCCAAAATGCACCTGTCATAAGCTCACCAGCAGGATGCCCCACTACAGTTCAGCCTGCTGAACAAGTTTCTAGCTAGGTCGACGCTTTGGTCATATACTATATGTCTAGCTAGGTTGTACACTTTGACTGACATTCTCAACAGAAAAGTTATTGTGTCTGTTTTCCATAGAAACTTTCTTAAAGCGCCTCCCCAGATTTATCATTAGCCTCAATGGGACCTTTTCTCCCAACACTCCTTCAAAAGACATTTTCGAGTCTAAGCCCTTTTGCAGCTGTCATGCTCCTTCCTTACAGCACAGCCCACGAGGTTGGGTGATGCTTTGGAATCTTTCTAGGTGAAAGGCTGAAATATATAAAGGCATCATAAAAGAACTCTAGAGGGCTTGAGCAGGATTATTCTAAGAATTTTATCCACCCACTTCAAGCAATTTCTTCTGTTGATCTTTAGGATTACGACTGAAACAGCCAAGGCTTTTGCTGATTTATCCCAGAATATCATCCTGGTTGCTGCACAGTTGTGCAGTATCACAAATGCAAAGGTTTTTTTTTTTCTTCTGACTGGCTCAGAGTGGGATACCAGAACTAAGTACAAAATAAGCCTATATAAGAATGAGAAGATTTAAGGATTATAATTGATTCTCATAAACTTAGCTCAGGAGAACTGGTGGAAGTGATTTTCATCTTCCTCCAACATGTACTCAGGCATGGCCTAAGAAACAGAGAGTACAAACCCACCCTTCATTTAGAGGCCAAATTTTCCTTGGATGGGGTGTGTGTGTGTGTGTGTGTGTGTGTGTGTGTGTGTGTGTGTGTGTGAAGTGTGCTAAGCTTAGCCAGGCTCAATCAATAGAAATTGTGCTAACTGGAGTAGATAGCTGTTTATGAATCAAGAAAATACATGAGAGAAGAGGTGAAGCATAGAAAATGCCAGAGGTTAGCTAAGTTGACTTACACTGGAACAATGAGACGTGGGCTGTCCTCTTGACTGAAGGCCTTACCTCTTGGGTTCTTGGAGCAGAACTAGCAAAAACAAACTGCAGAAAAGCCTTTTCTGCAGCCAGAATTCTTAGTAGGCAGTCATGTGGGGGTAATTGTGCCTTTGTCTGGCTCCTACTCCCCCCTCACCCTCAGACCCTCTGATTTCTGCCTGAATGGAAAGAACCGTTGCTGCAGTTGGGTCTTCGTGGAGTCTGTGGTGTGGGGGAGGAGAGGTAGCTCCACTAGCAGAGGCACCACCATTCTGACAAAGGCCCTGGCGCTTTACCTTTCCTTGAGCGGAGCAAAGCAGGAAGGAAGCCGGTAGGGATTGCTTGTCTAGCTGTCAGGCACTGTGCTCTGTGATTTCTCCTTCAATATCTAACTTAACCCTTCAAGGTCCCAAGAGATGGGAAGTGTTAATCTGATTTTGCACAGATTAAGGAATCAAGAAGAATAATTTAAGGAATAATTTAACCTGAGGAAGGTTAAATAAGTTGCCAGAACTTCACAGCTGCAATGTGGTGGGCTTGAGATTTGTGTCAACATCAGCCCAAGGAAAGGAGGTGATTCACAGGTGTGGAGAGAGCAGGGTGGTCTATGTGAAGTCTAATGTCCTGAATTATGAGTCAGGCACTCGCTGATATGAAGGTGTTAGAGAGAGGGAGAAAGAAAGAGAGAGTAATCATGATCTTGTTTGCCTCAGACCACTAGAACATTTTGGTGTGAAGCCTGTCACTTTCCAATGATTTACAAGAAAACAGGGTCAAATAGACTTCTTTTGCTATAGACTCCATGTAGCTTTTCTGAGATATTATTGGAGACCAAGATGTTAAGATGTTTACTTCCATTCTAGAAATCAATGAGATAAAAATAGAGAAGCAAAACTGAATAGCAAAAAAGGGGAAATTAACCAAATTTACTCCGTTTTTTGGGACCTACCCCAATTAGTATTTTTAAATACCTTTGGTGTAAGAACTTGGCCACTGTTGGAGTCAAAAGCCTCTTGACTATGGCCACAGGAGGCAGAAACTACTGCCTCTTTACCCAGACCCTGGGCACATGGCCAAATGATACTTCCCAACCTCCCTTACAGGGAGGTGTGACCATGGTCCAACGTCAGTCCTACACTGGTCAGTGTGAAATAAGCAGAGCTGATAAGTCTGCACCAATCCCAAGTGTGCACCATAAAGCCCTGTGTAGTCCTCATGAGCTTTTCTCCCCCCAGCCAACCAGAATGAGACTCCTGGAACTGTGCTGGGAGCCACATGTTAAGCGTGGTGGAGCCACGCATGTAAGGAGTCCAGGCCTCTGAACCATATCATGGAGGAGAGCTGCCCAGCCAGAATGACTGGCCTTGGAGAGTTACACGGGCAAGATACATGCTTTTAGTATGGAAAGCTGCTAGGATGTGAGGACTTTTCTATTGTAGTAGTTTACACTCCCTTGACCAATATACCAGAGGCTTGGTTCTGCTCACTTCATAGAGATCATGAGTCTAAAAACACAACAGCCAGAAGAACAAAACCACTCTCAACAGAAGGGAAGGCCTGTCTGCTTCTACGTCTCCACAATATTTCTCTCTTGCAATTTGTGTCCCATCTACAGAAAATATGGAAAGGGCTTGGGAAACATTTGCTTTATGTGATTTAGAAAGGAGAATTCAATTATGGCACCAAGAATATACCTCACTGAAGGGTAAATTCATGAAGTAGAATATTCCTTTTCAGACTGATTATGGGGAAGACCAAAGTAAATTAGCAAAAAGGGTGAATGATACGGTTTTTATGTAGTTTTATTGCAGTAAATTAAAAATAGGCTAAACAACCACGGCCTGCCAGAAATCTTGGAAGACCTGCTTTTGTGACTATAGAAGATTGATGTGTACCTGGCTTATTTGGGTGCAACGTGACATTTTAAAGTGCTTGAGGGTGTTTAAGACGGTTTTTCTCTTAAACACTTTAAATTCACCCTTCCTACAAATATGTTTAGTCTAGTAATATGCACTATCTGTAATTATCTGAGCAGCAAGTAAATTTCGTTTTAGCTTCTGTCAAATGCTACAAATTCAAACTGTGTGGCACTTCATTTAATGAAGTTTTTTGAGTTGGTATCATTTCTATTCCATGATGAGAGTAAACTATATGATTGGAAGGAAGTCTCAACCACAGTTAGATAATGAAAGGGTTGGTGTGAAACATATGTCTTCTCCAACAACAAAAGAAACCCTGAAATAGAAGCAAGCAATGAGGTAATGATTTTGGACAAAAGGGATTTATACCAAGTCCTTTGGTGCATAGATATTCCAAGGCTCTATGAGGCCTTGATTGGTTTATTCAGTGTGGGTAGCTAGAAATGATCACTGGAGCATATTTTATCCTTATCGGTGTGCAGGGTGAGAAGCTCAGAGCTCTTCCCATGGGTGACTCATGCATTTATTTGCCCAGGTATAGGAGAGAGATGAGGAAGCCTGAATAACCTGTTTATCTGCACGTGGACCCAAAGAATAGTACAAAGTACTTTCCTTTTTAACACACCGAGAAGACACCCAAAGGTGGCAGACTGGATTTCTAAAGCCAAAAGCCAGCACGAATGGGCCTGTGCACCAAGTATCTTTAAGACGCTGCCATTTGTGTGTGGCTGGCCCTTTAAATAACAGCTCCAGGCCAGAGAAACATCATCTGGCAGGATTAGTCAGTTTGTTTTAGCAACCGCTTCCCCTACCCTGGTCTCCCATTACTTGGTCTGCTTTCCCCAGATGCTGACCCTGTCACCCTCCAAGCCTGCAGCAGTTCCCTGCTTGGCTGTCATAAGGTCCTGGGGAACTCCCAGTACTGATCCCTGGCAGCCCACAGGATGCCACCTCTTGGGTCACGGGTGGAATCTGATATCCTCACCCAGCTTCTCTGGTCGCAACCCTACCTTGCCCCAGATTCCAGGCCTGCGTCAGAGGCTGCTGCAGGAGGAGATAGGGAGCTGACCCTGTTTGGTCGTGCCCAGGGCGGCAGCTTTCCCCAGGCAATTGCGGCAGCTAAAAATAGTCCTGAATCCAGGGGTTGCTCCGTAAGGTTTCATGTAGGAGGCTGCACTCCCACTATTGAGGAAGCGCCTCCCACTATTGAGCAGCTGGCGTCAGAGAAATCTCCTTCAATTGGCTAGGACATTTTGGATGAAAGAGAGAGGAGATTGATTCAAACCAGCTTCAAGTAGAGAATTTATTGTCTAGGAAATGAAATATGGAAGTCCAAGAGAGCAGCAGGCCTTGGGCAGGACTGGAGCCAGAATAGCCTCAAATGCTATTGTCAGGGATCTTTCTCTCTCCAAGGAATGGTGAGTCCACCCGACAGGTAGGATGTCTGCTAGTGGCCAAGATTTGCATCCTAACACTTAGCAACTCCAGAGAAAGGAGCCAATATTTCCTGACAGCTCCAGGACGGAATGTTCAAAGAGAACCCTAATTGGCCCAGCCTGGGCCACATGCTTATCTCTAAACCAATATCACTGTGTCCAGAGAGAATTCTAATTGGCCCAGCTTGAGCCACATGTCCCGTCTCTGAACCAATCTCTGTGACCAGGGGAGGAGCTCCCTGTAAGCCAGACCTGGGCCACATGCTCATCTCTGTTGCTAAAGCTAGGGGCCAGGATCCTCAGTCCAATAAATGAATTTTCCATGCAGAAAATGGGGCTTAACAATAGCCCCCACTTTGCTATGCCCAACTGTCGTTTTAGACCTTATCATAGTTGACATGGATAACCACTCCCTCCTCCTTGAAACACTACATCTACCTTGCAGCACACAGCATTGGTTTTCCTCTTATCTGGGCCTTTCGTTCCCAGCTTTCTCTCCTCTTCCTCACTCCAACCTCCTCATGCTGGAGGCCCCAGTGCTCAGCCTTTGACGTCTCTCTCTTCTAGCCTCTACCTGCACTCCAGTGGTAATCTCATTGCATCCTGCAACCTTAAATACCATCTACTTGCTGTGGGCACCCAAATTATACTGTCCTGTCATGCACTGCAGACTCCACCCCTCCATTTAGTGACCTACAGGTGTCTGAAATGAACACATTCAGCCCTGAGCTCCTGGTCGACCCCACTCCTTGCCATTAAACATAGCTCCTTTCCTGCAGTTGCTCAGGCCAAGAATCTCAAAAACATACTTGTCTCCACTCTTTCTCTGACATGCCACATCCAGGCCATCAGTAAATCACGTCAATCCACGTTTACATCTAGAGTCCAGCCATTTCTTACCACCTCCACCATCACCAACCTGGGCCAAGTCGTGTAATGTCTCATCTGTGTGATCACAGCCGCCTCCCAGCCAGGCACCCTTCAGTGCCCTGGTCCTCTTTTGGTGTTCTCTCATGTCAACGGTCTGAATGAACCTGTCAGCATGGCCAGAGAATGACTTCCTCTTGTCAAAGCCCTGAAGTGGCCCTCAACTCACTCAGAGGGAAACTCTCACAGCAGCCCTCAGAGCCCCACGCCACCTGCTCTTGGCCACCCATCCCCATTATTTCTCCAGAGTGATCTCCTAGCCTGCCCCTCCCTCAGCTCAGGTCACATGGGCTTCCTGGTCAGCCCTCTTGCTCACCAGCACGATTATACCTCAGGGCATTTGCATGTGCCATTCCCTCTGCCTATAGTCCTCTTTTCCCAGATCTCGGCATGACTCCCTCCCTAGTCCTCTTTTCCCAGATCTCGGCATGACTCCCTCCCTGGGTCTTTCAGATTGTCACTTAAATTTCCCTTTCAGTGAGGCCCCCTCTGATTTCCCTGTCTAACCCTGCAAACCCCATCCTCAATCTGGGGATTCCTGTCGCCCTTCATGGTTTTATTTTTTCCCATCCTAGTGGGTACTTTCTACTACACATATTCATTTTATTTTAAACATCGTTTTACTTATTTAGTTAGTTAGGTTTTCAAAATGTTTTAGCTTATTTATTTTGGTCCTCTTCTATTTCCCCAGCACTGGGTGCCACAGGGGGAGGTGGAGTTGTTATGTGTTCAATGCTATAACCTCCACACCTAAGGATAGCTTGCAATGACTGATGAATGAATTAAACGGAGTGGCTTTCTCAGTCTTCCAATCTGTCTCCCACGGGGTGCGGTGACCTCAATCCCCCTTGCCCATCCCAGCCTCTGAGTCCCCCTCACTGATGGTTCCCCAGGCAGGGACCAGGAGGCAACACAGGGTCACAGCCCAGGCCAAGGCCATGGCCGGATGGCACAGTCCAGCCAGCAAAGGTGAGGTCAGACTCCAGAGGGTGGACAGGAGGCCTGGGCAACAGGAAAAATGTGGGTGGGATATCACATTCTGGGAGTGGGATGGGGCCCAGCGTGGGTGGCTGGGCAGGGCCCAGCAGTGGGGATGGCCTGGCAGCTGCAGTTGGGGGGCACTCCATGGCCACTGTCCTCAGTTGGGCCAGCACGGCCAGATGCCAGGTCCAAGCAGGGCAAATGAGGGAACAGAAAACATGAGACTCACTGAGGTCAAAATGGATGGGAACCAAGAAAGACACCCAGTCAGCTCAGCCACAGAGGCAGGCAAACTGCTGCCCCTTCCAGACAGGGCTGGCATGAGCTCTTTGCGGATGTGGGGCTTTCCCTGCAGGCCAGTGGCTCTCCATGCCTTTCGTTTGGCAGGCTGTGCCTCTGTGGGCGGGACCCCAACAACTGGTTCTGACAAGCCCAGGAGGGCATCCTCCCCTGGCCTGACACACATCCCCAAGGGGAACCTGGTGCAGAATGCAGCCGGTGCCTCCCCCAGGTACAGCCAGGCTCCCAGCTTAGAGGGGACCCCATTTTCCCAACTCCCCTACACCCGAAGCAATTTTTCTAGCTTTATAAAATTTAGAGGTGCCTTAGCAACCCTCAAGTCCAATGTCCTCCTTTTATCTGTCAGAAACCTGAGGCCCAGAGGGTTGAGTGGGTTGCCCAAACCTCCCAGCTGGCAACAGCCATGCAGGGTAGATGCTCAGCTTAGAGCTCTTTGCACAGCACCATGCTGTGGAAGTAGCTTCCATTTCAGAGTTGGCTCATCACAGACCAGGCCTGGGTGCTTTACCTGGGAATTAGAGCTCTCTAATGTTCTAGGAATCTGCAACGTGACAGGTGAGATAATGAAGCCATGCTGCAGAGGAGCCTGTTTATTTCACCCCTTGCTCTTGTCTCTGCTCCCCATTTCATGATGGGATCAGAGGAGGTCACTCCTCAGTCGGATGGAAATCTCTGCCCTCCCAAGCTGCTCACTTGCTCTAAGCTCATTATCTGACTGGCTCATACTTTCCCAGGGGTGGCAGGGAAGAGGAAAGGTAATTAAGTGTTTTGCTTAAATGGCCTTTTCAGTTGACAGAAATAGCTGCCCAGAGATACGGTGGCTCTCCTTCCCAATTCTCTCCCTGCCACCGCTGGGCTGCAGGCCACAGACAGGTGCCAAAGGCGAGGAAGGAAACCAATGACGAAGCTAAGGCCAGATGGATGAGTGGCTGCTGCCCTCTCCCAGGTAATCTCAAAAGTGGATCATCTGTAGGCAGATAAAAGGGAAGAGTGAAATGTCCCTCCCTGAGGACCCTCTGTGTGCCCAGGTCAGCCCTCTCTATGCATGGAGACTGCCTGATACGTGTGTGCACATGGGCCCTGGGCTGCTGGTGGCCGAGGGACCAGAGACAAGAGCCAGGGCTTTCTTCCTGCCTTGTGTGACTCTCTGTTGGCCCAGCACACTGTGTCCTAGTCAAATCATTGGTGATGTTTAATGTCCTTTTCCAGCCCAGAGCACTCACTGCTGCTAGAGAATGCAGTGTTTGAGAGAAATGATACTACCACATAGAGTCCTCGTAGATTGGGGGACAAAGTGGGAGATGCAAGCAAAGCACAAGGGTGCATCTCCCCCAGACAGAAAGAATGAAGAGATGAGTCAACAACCTCCTCAGACAAGCAGGCAAAATATGCATTTCCACATATCGAAGAATTTGGATGCAAATGGCATCATTATAAAAACATACAAGGAGGTAGGGAAAGGAAGGATGAACACAGTAAAAAAAATTAAAGACATGAATGGGAATTTTTGAGATTGGAAGCCACTGATGAGGCTGTAAAAGGGTGCTTAAATCAGACTCCAAAGAGTTAAGTCCAGTCTTAGCTAACAGCACCTGCTGTAAGTCCAGTGCGCATTCAGCAGTATTGTGTTAAAGACAATAGCAGCCTTATTACAACAGAGAGCACCGTATACATTAGTGCCCACACAATGTCACCTGTCTGTGAATTCAGCAGAATTTTGTTCACAGAATAATACAGGATTGCCATTGTTGCAGCTTAGAACTATACATTCATTAATAGAAACACAGTTTCAGCGCCGCTTCTATGCACACTAAGTCCTAAAAAAAAGACTCATTATGGAATGTGGCCCCAAAGCCAGTAATGGCGGTCATTATGAGAATGTGCATGAAAACCAAAGGATCTATAATTATTTTTACATTTTTCCTAGTATCATCAGTGATCCTTTAAATTGTACACCTTTCTTGGTGTAATCATGTGTCTTTGCGGCCTCTATCTATGTGTCTTTGGGGCTTCTATCTAAAATTTCACTGCAAATTTAAAAATTGCAGAAGATAGTCCCAGTAGAAAGTTTTTTGACTACCATTTTGTTTCCAACTGGACCTCAGATTGTGGTAAAGGTGACTTTCCTATCGTTTAATGATATACTAAATTTAACCAAATCAAATTGATGAAGTTCTTCATAATTTATCATTGGAACAAACACCCTAAATGCATTCTCTCTGTATATTGGTTGAGACAGTTTGAACTGGCCACCAAAACTGGAGAAAGGGAGATAAATTGATATATGCAAGAAAATTCAATGGAGAAAAAAATGATTTGGTCAGACTTGTGTTTATTGCTATAGAGATCCCTAATCTTGCCCATGTCCAGTTCTCCCCTCTTCTTGTGGGCGGGCCATGTGACAAGCTCCAGCCTGTGAAATGGCAGTGAGAGGGCCATGATTGTTTCTGGACTGTTGTAGAAAAGTGTGTGCCACTGTAACCCCATCTCTTCCCTTCCTATAATGTCCTTGTGAAAATTCAGCAGGCTATACATTACAGTTTACTTTCAGTGTATGCATTATGCTTAAATAAAATATGCAAAAGTAAGAGGTGTCCCTGAATAAATTTTGTCCTCTAAGGAACCCTTCAGTCCTCAAAATTCTGGACCCTTCTGGTGGCTCCATTCACCAGGGTATTTAATTTTTTATGGGATGATTTAAAGAATGCCTACTCTCCAGGACAGAGGACCAAAGGAAAAAGGATATCAGAGCCTCAGTCAAAGATTCAGGTGCATAGGATTGATGGAGGGAGTGCCTTACAGAAAAAAACAGTGAGGGAGGGGAAGAGGGAAGGATGGCAGGGGAGGGGAGAGAGCAGGGCAAGGCTGCTGTCTCAGGTAGAGTCTAGCCTTGTCCTGGTCCATGGTGGGAGGTTGGGGGAGCTCCATAGCATAAACAGAACTGCAGAGTGATCTTCTCCACCACTACCACCACTGCTTGATGCAAAAGGTCCTGCCTTCTATACCTCTATATCAGTTGGTCATTGCCTCTGGACCCTCCTAACCTGGAGAGACAGCTTGAATTTGCTGGGCAAAGCTGCTCCCATCAGCTGAGGGAAATTTGGGGGAGAAGGAAAGACTTGCTAGCTGTTAGCTACTGGCACACACAGCATCTGGGGCATTCAGCCCAGGAAAGTGGATTCAAGTGGTACCTGCTGCAACCCACCCTTTGCCTGTTAATTTCCACTTTCTCCTCACACTGAGTTCACTCCATGCAGGCATGGCTTCTGCGGGATTCTGTGTCATGATTCTTAAGGAGCTTACAAGAGCACTGTCAGTGAGATGAACTTCAGCTCCTTGCTGCAGTTGGTCCAAGGCCATCACTGATAGTTACCATGCCCTGCTCTGCCACACATTATAGATTCCCTTCACTCTTGGTCAGCACCTCTGTAGTTCTAGGTGACTTTCGTGCAGGATCTGAGCCCTTGTTACCTTTCTTGACCAACTATGTTTACTGTATTTGTCCAACTGCAATTTAAACTGAGCCTAGGAGCACCAAGAACCACCACAGAGGTGCATCAAAACCCCAAACATGCGCCTCCCTTTTCCTGTGTGTAGCAGCAGTCCAACTGCCTCATGATGATCAGGATCAATTGTTCCTCTAATATAGTACATTTTTCTTCTTTGTGTGTGTCATTAATGGATGATGAATTTTTTTTATTTTATTATTATTATACTTTAAGTTTTAGGGTATATGTGCACAATGTGCAAGTTAGTTACATATGTATACATGTGCCATGCTGGTGTGCTGCACCCATTAACTCGTCATTTAGCATTAGGTATATCTCCTAATGCTATCCCTCCCCGCTCCCCGCAACCCACAACAGTCCCCAGAGTGTGATGTTCCCCTTCCTGTGTCCATGTGTTCTCATTGTTCAATTCCCACCTATGAGTGAGAACATGCGGTGTTTGGTTTTTTGTCCTTGTGATGGTATACTGAGAATGATGATTTCCAATTTCATCCATGTCCCTACAAAGGACATGAACTCATCATTTTTTATGGCTGCATAGTATTCCATGGTGTATATGTGCCCCTTTTTCTTAATCCAGTCTATCATTGTTGGACATTTGGGTTGGTTCCAAGTCTTTGCTATTGTGAATAGTGCCGCAATAAACATACATGTGCATGTGTCTTTATAGTCCTTTGGGTATATACCCAGTAATGGGATGGCTGGGTCAAATGGTATTTCTAGTTTTAGATCCCTGAGGAATCGCCACACTGACTTCCACAATGGTTGAACTAGTTTACAGTTCCACAAACAGTGTAAAATTGTTCCTATTTCTCCACATCCTCTCCAGCAACTGTTGTTTCCTGACTTTTTAATGGTCGCCATTCTAACTGTTGTGAGATGGTATCTCATTGTGGTTTTGATTTGCATTTCTCTGATGGCCAGTGATGGTGAGCATTTTTTCATGTGTTTTTTGGCTGCATAAATGTCTTCTTTTGAGAAGTGTCTGTTCATGTCCTTCGCCCACTTTTCGATGGGGTTGTTTGTTTTTTTCTTGTAAATTTGTCAAAAACTGGAAGCATTCCCTTTGAAAACTGGCGCAAGACAGGGATGCCCTCTCTCACCACTCCTATTCAACATAGTGTTGGAAGTTCTGGCCAGGGCAATTAGGCAGGAGAAGGAAATAAAGGGTATTCAATTAGGAAAAGAGGAAGTCAAATTGCCCCTGTTTGCAGATGACGTGATTGTATATCTAGAAAACCCCATTGTCTCAGCCCAAAATCTCCTTAAGCTGATAAGCAACTTCAGCAAAGTCTCAGGATACAAAATCAATGTACAAAAATCACAAGCATTCTTATACACCAATAACAGACAAACAGAGAGCCAAATCATGAGTGAACTCCCATTCACAATTGCTTCAAAGAGAATAAAATACCTAGGAATCCAACTTACAAGGGACGTGAAGGACCTCTTCAAGGAGAACTGCAGACCACTGCTCAATGAAATAAAAGAGGATACAAACAAATGGAAGAACATTCCATGCTCATGGGTAGGAAGAATCAATATCGTGAAAATGGCCATACTGCCCAAGGTAATTTATAGATTCAATGACATCCCCATCAAGCTACCAATGACTTTCTTCACAGAATTTGAAAAAACTACTTTAAAGTTCGTATGGAACCAAAAAAGAGCCTGCATCACTAAGTCAATCCTAAGCCAAAAGAACAAAGCTGGAGGCATCACACTACCTGACTTCAAACTATACTACAAGGCTACAGTAACCAAAACAGCATGGTACTGGTACCAAAACAGAGATATAGATCAATGGAACAGAACAGAGGCCTCAGAAATAATGCCGCATATCTACAACTATCAGATCTTTGACAAACCTGAGAAAAACAAGCAATGGGGAAAGGATTCCCTATTTAATAAATGGTGCTGGGAAAACTGGCTAGCCATATGTAGAAAGCTGAAACTGGATCCCTTCCTTACACCTTATACAAAAATCAATTCAAGATGGATTAAAGACTTAAACATTAGACCTAAAACCATAAAAACCCTAGAAGAAAACCTAGGCATTACCATTCAGGACATAGGCATGGGCAAGGACTTCATGTCTAAAACACCAAAAGCAATGGCAACAAAAGCCAAAATTAACAAATGGGATCTAATTAAACTAAAGAGCTTCTGCACAGCAAAAGAAACTACCATCAGAGTGTACAGGCAACCTACAAAATGGGAGAAAATTTTCTCAACCTACTCATCTGACAAAGGGCTAATATCCAGAATCTATAGTACATTTCTCTATGCCTGGTTGTCTATTAGCGTAAAAAGACCAAAGTGGCCAGAGGCACAGCCATGTCTTTACATTCCCTAGGACCCTGACTATGTTCTTTCATGGAAGCAGCCACCTCCAAGAACCAGGTTACCTAAAATTGTGTGGGTGGAATATACGAATTTCCTCAGTCAGTCATGATGACAGAAATGATGAACAAAGCCACTTCTACTTCCTGGAACCATGTTTTCTACGTCTAGGTATATTAGCTACAATGGCATTAGTTCTAAAAGTTTACTGCATTCTAAAGTAGTCCCTCATCCACTTGGGGTGCCGTACTCAAGAAGGTGATTCAACTGCTTCTTTAGGAGGCTTTTCCACTATTCTTTCAGGTTGGCAACTTCTAAATGGTGTGGCATGGGGTAGAATAGGTAGATCCCATGGTTGTCTGCACACTGCCACACTTCCTTTGCCATAAAGTTTGTCTTCAGTCCAAAGAGATGTTATAGGTGATCCCTTGTCAGTGAAGCAGACACTCTGTGGGCCCTTGGATAATGAGATGGTCAAGGTCTTGTGGGCAGGAAAGATAAAGCCATATCCAGAATATGTCTCAGTCTCAGTGAGTGAATCACTATTCTAACCAGGGTGAGAAGAGGCTTCTGGAATAAATTTGCCACATACATCTTGCTGATCAGCTTCAGGATCTTAGCTTTTTTGAGCTTACAAATCTGATGTTTAGCAGCAGCAGTAGTTTAATCAGCCCTGGTGAGAGGAAGTTCTTGCTGCTGGGCTCATGCATAGCCTCTGTTTCTGCCTTCATGATGGCTCCACTCATGAGCCCATTGATCATGCCCTGGGGAAGCCAAGGACAGAGGCTGGCATCCACTGGCCAATCCATCCCATCTGTTTGGTTGTTTGTACTTTTGCTGCAGTGGCTCTTGTTGTGCATTTACATGCAATCCAAAGATCACACTTTAGGACCACTCCCATAGGTCTGTCCACATAACTCTTCTCCAAAATTTTTTGTTCCTCTTTTTCTATGCCCCTTAAAAATGAGTTGAGTCACTTCCCCAGAACCCATGCATATTCTTACCTAATCCTCTTCTCTTTCTATACAAAGTTGATGGCCAGAGGCAGTACTGGTGTGAGACTCTACCGATTGAAGGATTTTGCACCCCAATGTCTTTCAAGACCACAAGAGGGGCTATAGTGCAGCAATAGTCCATTTTCAGCTCATGTCAATATGCTCAGCTATTGTGTGCCAAGCTTGGTTTTTCTCCTCCTTCAACTGGTCTCATAAGAAGTCCCCTATGTGGCAATAGGTGTGAGATGAGGGAAAGACATCAGTGCAAAGTAGTAGATCATGTGGAGGTCTGGGCCACCTGTTCATGTAGCTTATTTGTATCCTCTGGACCTGCTCAAGCCCAATCCAGGATGTGCCACTTTCATTTTACAACAGATTGTTGCTGGGCCTGCCTGACCTCATATCTTGGTGGGGCTGATTATACCCAGTTCATGATTGGCATGTGGTCAATTGATATTACGTGTTTGGATGTTCTGTCTCTACAAGTGCCCAATAGCATGTCAAGAAATATTTTTCACGTGGCATACAGCACTCTGCCGCAGATAGTGTGACCCTGCCCCAGAACCACAGGTTCTATGCTGTAACTCCTTTGGGGGCTTTCCAGAGCTGTTACTCAACATCCCATTCTACCCAGATACCTCTAGGACCATGGCATCTGCTGGATCATATAGTCTAAACAGCAGAAATACCTGTAATATAAGGAATTTTCTTGCTTCAGGTCCAACTCCAAAGTAGCATCCTTCCATGTCACTTGATAAATGAATCAGAAATATTCTCAAGTACAGAATATACTGCCTTCAAAACCCAAAAAGAGCTAACAATTATGCATCTTTCTGAGTAGAAGTGGCTGCAAAGTATTCATTTATTCCTTACTTTCTTCCTTACTAAGAATAAGGTACTTGTTACTTACTTTAGAGGGCCTGCTGACATGCCCCAGACCCCTGGACCACCTATAACCTTCCCTAATGTAGCAGACCCCTGAATTTTTGGCAAGTTTACCTCCCACTCTCTGAAGAATTTATCTTACTAAGGCATCTAGAGTACCTATCATTAGTGGAACAATGTTCTGCAGAATGCCCAGTCAATCCAGGTCCTTTCAGGCTATCTTGTGACAGAGAGCAGAATCAACATATACCTGGGACTAGATCATTACTGTGTACTGTTGTCCATCCCAGTTAAATGCTAATTTCTTCTGTTCTTCCTACCTTATGGGAAAGAATGCATTTGCCAGATCAATAACTGCATCCCCCATACTTGAGGCTGTGATAATCTGCCCTAGTAAAGAGAGCCCATCTGACAAAGCAGCTGTAATTGGAGCCATTACTTGGTTGTTTGTAATAGTTCATTGTCATCTGCTATGATCCATCTGGTTTTGTCAGAACCAGACTGATGATTAAGATAAAAGCCACTACCTCTGCGTCATGTGTCAGTTAGTGTAGCACTTAGCCTCTGCCATTCTTTCCAGGATACCATGCTGCTTTTGATTAACTACCCTGATATGGGAAGGCAGTTTCAGGAGCCTCCATTTGGCTTTTCCTATGACAATAGCTTTTACTCCAAGGTCAGGAAGAAATATGAGGATTCTGCCAAGGTAAGTATGTTCTTACCTAGTATGTATTCAGGAATTTGGGAAGTGACCATCTGTTGGTCTGCGGACCTGGGAGACCCACCATCTCATGATGGCTCAGGGCCATGGCTCCATTGATTACTTGCCCCATAAAGCCCTCCTCTAACAGGGACATGATGATGGTGCTTTGGGTTGGGAGGAATCAACATCAACTCAGACCTATAACCAACAGCTTTTGAACAAGCTGGACATAACCTATTCCCAAGGGTTACCCAAGTAAACACCCATATGTGCCTTTAAAGGAGAACTGAGGAATTCCTACAGTATACATTTGCCTCAGTGTTGCAGAATCCTTCCTTACTGGGACTTGACCCTCAACTAATGGGCTCCACGTCTGAGAACTGGTTCATGTTTGGAATTTAGGCAACAGATCATGAGTTTCCACTGGGACCTTCCCTTCTATTCTCTTCTTCATTCTTGTTCCCTTCCAATGCCATATTTATAAAGTAATAACCTATAATGGCTGCTATAGCTGTAAGGATGAAAAAGATACAGTCCCTGACCTCCTGAAAATTTTTTCTGCCACCTTGTTATGATCTGAATGTTTCTATCTCCCCAGAATTCATATGATGAAATCCCCCAATGTGATAGTATTGGGAGGTGGGCAATAACAGAGTGAAAAGACACTGTCTACTAACCAAAGAGTGGGCCCTCACCAGATACCAAATCTGCCTTGTTCTTGAACTTCCCAGGCTCCAAAATTGTGAGAAACAAATTTCACATACATTGTTTATAAGCCACCTAGTTCCTGATAATTTGTTTTCACGGCCTGAATGGACTAAGAAGGTCTTCTCCTGATGACTTCCTCTTAACGTCACAGGCTGAAATACAAGAATATGAAGATAGAGAATATTGTGGATTCTCAGGGGCTAACATATTTGAAAGCAAAATTGACAACAATAATAATGGTTAATATTGAGGAATTACCATGTATTCTAAATGCTTTACCCAAATTATTTTATTTAATCCTCATGACCTTATGAGAGAGTTCTCCTCATTTTGTGGATGAGAAAACTCATTCTTAGAGAAGTGGCCAAAGTTTGAATTGCCTCCTTAAGGTTATTTATGACCAAAAAAATTAGGAAGCAATCAACAGCAAGAAAGGGATTCAAGCTGGTTGGAGCTTTGACCAGAGGAGGTCCAAGTTAACAAAACTCTTAATTTGCAGAGTACCCATCAAGAAATTTTTTTTCTCGTATAATTCAATGACAGGGGGTTCAAAACTCAAGAGATTAAGTTTCCGCAGCCCAGTATGGATGACAGAGTCAGACCTTCTCTCAAAAAACAAAAAACAGGAAGTCCTATCCAGGCAAGAGAAAGAAATACAAGGTATCCAAATAGAAAAAGAAGTCAAATCATCTCTCTTCACTAATGATATGATTCTCTACCTAGAAAACCCTAAAGACTCTGCCAAAATGCTCCTAGACCTGATAAATGACTTCAGTAAAGTGTCAGGATACAAAATCAATGCACAAAAATGGGCAGCATTTCTAATATATGTGCTGCCGAAGCGAGCACAGAGTAGCATTTATATACACTGATAACATTCAAGCAGAGAGCCAAATCAGGAATGCAATCCCACTTACAATAGCCACACACAAAAATAAAATATCCAGGAATACAGCTAACCAAGGAGGTAAAAGATCTCTACAAGAACTACAAAACACTGCTGAAAGAAATCAGCGATGACATAAACAAATGGGAAAACATTCCATGATCATGGATTGGAAGAATTAATATTATTAAAATGGTCATACTGCTCAAAACAATGTATAGATTCAACATTATTCCTATCAAGATACTAACACCATTTTTCACAGTATTAGAAAAGAAACTATTCTAATATTCATTTGGAACCAAAAAAAAAGCCTGAATAACCAAGGCAATCCTAAGCAACATAGCTGGAGGCATTACATTGTCTGACTTGAAATTATACTATAAGGCTACAATAACCAAAACAGCATGGTACTGGTACAAAAACAGACATATAGACCAATGGAACAAAACAGATAACCCAGAAATAAAGTAATACACCTACACCAAATGATCTTTAACAAAGTTGACAAAAATATGCAATAAGAAAAGGACTCCATATTCAATAAATAGTGCTGAGATAGCTGGCTAGCCATATGCAAAAGAATGAAACTGAACCCCTACCTTTCACCATATACAAAAATTAACTCAAGATGGATTAAAGATTTAAATTTAAGACCTCAAATTACAAAACCCATAGAAAAAAAAAACTAGGAAATACCATTCTGGAAGTCAGCTTTGGCAAAGAATTTATGACCAAGTCCTCAAGAGCAATTGCAACAACAAAAAATATTGACAAGTGGGACTTAATTAAACTAAACAGCTTTTGCACGGTGAAAGAAACTATCAACAGAGTAAGCAGATAACCCAGAGAATGGGAGAAAATATTTTCAAACTCTGCATGCAACAAAGGTCTAATATCCACAATCTGTGTGGAACTCAAAACAACTCAACAAGATAACCCCACTGAAAAGTAAGCAAAGGACATGAACCAACACTTCTCAAAAGAAGACATACAAGAGGCCAACAAACATATGAAAAAAATGCTCATCATCACTAATTGTCAGAGAAATGCAAATCAAAGCCACAATGAGATACCATCTCACACCAGTCAGAATGGCTATTACTAAAATGATAAAAAATAACAGAGGCTGGCAATACTGCAAAGAAAAGGAAAATGCTTATAACACTGTTTGTGCAGATGTAAATTAGTTCAGCCACTGTGGAAAGCAGTTTGGAGATTTC
Source organism: Homo sapiens (assembly GCF_000001405.40). Classification (NCBI taxonomy): domain Eukaryota; kingdom Metazoa; phylum Chordata; class Mammalia; order Primates; family Hominidae; genus Homo; species Homo sapiens. The sequence continues at coordinate 61,040,399 of NC_000008.11, read as the reverse complement.
TCAAAGAACTAAAAACAGAACTACCATTCAACCCAGTAATCCCATTACTGGGTATATGCCCAAAGGAAAATAAATTGTTCTACACATGCATGAATATGTTCATCACAGCACTATTCACAATTGCAAAGATATGCAATCAATCCAGGTGCACATCAATGGTGAACTGAATAAAGAAAACGTGGTACATATACACTATGGAATACTATGCAGACATTAAAAAGAATGAAATTATGTCCTTTGCAGAAATATGGATGTAGCTGGAGGTCATGATGCTAAGCAAATCAATGTAGGAATGGAAAACCAAGTACTGCATGTTCTCACTTATAAGTGGGAGCTAAACATTGGGTACATATGGACACAAAAAGGGGACCAGCTGACACTGAGGACTACTAGAAGGAGTGAGGCGGAGAGGGTCAAGGGCTGAAAAACCACCTATCCGATATTATGTTCATTACCTGAGTGATGGGATCATTTGTACCCGAAACCTCAGGATCATGCAATATGCTCATGTAACAAACCTGTACATGTACCCCCTGAATCTAAAATAAAAGTCAAAATTAGGCTGGGCTCAGTGGTTCATGCCTGTAATCTCAGTACTTTGGGAGGCCCAGGTGAGAGGATGGCTTCAGCCCAGGAATTCAAAATCAGCCTGGGCAACATAGGGGGACCCTGTCTCCACAAAAAATAAAAAATTAGACAGGCGTGGTGGTGCATGCCTGTGGTTCCAGCTACTCAGGAGGCTGAGGCAGGAGGATCACTTGAGCAGGAGGTGGAGGCTGCAGTGAGCTGTGATCACGCCGCTGCACTCCAGCCTGGGTGACAGACCAAGACCCTGCCTCTGAAAAAAAAAAGTTCAAATTATTAAAAAGAAAAAAAGAAATTAAGTCACTTGATTCAACAATTAACCGGTGGAAACCCTTGCCATGTACTGAGCCTTCAGAAAGAAACCACCATGCTACCTGAAGGAGCCTGTGTGCTCTGGACAGGTAGTGAGCCACAGAAGGCCCCATAGCTTGACTGTACAGTGTGTTTCAAATTGCGGGGCTCAACCCATTAGTGAATCATGGCACTTTAGTAGGTTTGGGCTAGCATTTTTAAAAATGAAATAGAACATAATTAAAGAGAATATTATAGATTAGAAGATACTAGAATGCGTCTCTTGGAGTAAGTAATAAATGTTGTTTTGTGAAAATTTGTTAATTCAGATGAAGTAAAATATATTTCTTATTGTCCTAGTCCTCAAAAAGGACTGCATATAACACATATAAAAATACACTAACAACAATAAACAAAATAGGCCAGCCTCAGACCAAGAGGCAAAGTCGGCACTGAGTTAGCATTATGTGAGAAAAAATTGAATGACTAAAACAAAAGTGTGTTCCTTGGCTATCTGAGACTAATATAAATATTTTCATATCCTAAGGGATCATATTAATAAAAAAAAATGTGGGTGACATTACATCAGCAACAGTAACAGCAAAGAGCTTAACCTATTTAAGTTTTCAGTGAAATAGGTTCATCCTATCTCAGAGACATCTAGTACAGACAGGTGTTCGTGAGTGTCCGGAGTCACTTCATATCACAAAAGGACCTTCGGTTCACATGCGCTGAGCACTCATTTCTCTATAAAGTGGGTCCGAGGAAATGGCTTTGATGAACAGGCCTGAGAAGACACATGCACGTTCACAATGAGGACCGGGGAGGCTGACATGGGCTTGAGATAGAAGTTTCCAAAACTGATGTCATTTTTTGTTCTCACTTTACATCCTTGTAGTTTGCTATTTGTGTTGGCTTCCTGGAAATCCAGAATCTTTTCCTTAGCAATCCATTCCACAATATAAAATTGCCTGACTTAAGACTTATTCCATTCTGGGACAAATAAATACATATTTGGGACACAGTGAGATATCACATATATATATACGTGTATATATATATATGTCATATATATATATATATATACAAACGACAGGAGGAAATGTGTAAGCTTTAGAGCACATTTCACCAAGGAAGGGCTCTGTCTGAGTGATGCTCCATATTGAAACAGCACCCTCCTTCCTCTCATATGGGAAACACCAGCAAAGATTTTTTGTTATGAACTCCCTGGGGACCCAGACCCTAAAACAGGACTGGGTTGGGAGCCACGGAAGCAGAAGGATATTCATGCTTCTATCCACTCCTGAGATGCTTCAGTTCCAAGGTTACAAAGCATGTGTCAATAGCAGGCAACTTTATGCTTGATTCATAAACCAAGACTGAGCTGCAGGAATGTCAGGAGCTCAAGTCACACTCAGCAACTAGGAGCACAGTCAGAACTGATCTACAGAGTGGGGGACAGTCCAGGTGTGTTACCCAGAACTCTCCTGTGCTGTGCTCTCACCCAGAAAGTTCTTACCTCCCACTCTGCACTGCCCTGGTTTCTTCTCATCCTCAGGCCTCAGCACAAAGATCCCCTTGTGAGAAAGCCCCTCCCTGACCACCCTGCCAGAGCAAGGTCACCCAGCCAGAGCTCTCTCAGTGCGTCCTGCTGTTTCCTTCACAGCACTGGCTGCCATGAATAATGATAAATGCCAACTGGTGTGTTTGCCTGTTTCCTATTTGCCTCCCTGGTGACTGAAGTTCTCTGACAGCTCTGGGGTTTGCCCTGGACACCAGCACCTGGCACTCGGAGATAGCGAGTGTTTGTTGAAGTAGTAAAGGGTGTCTCTATAAAATTGAAATCTTGTTACCTACTGTTAAGCAAGTGTTCTGCTATCAAATTTGAAGAGATTGTCATTATCAAAATCCTAAGTGCTTACGTAGACCCACATTCATGGCAGCACTATTCACAATAGCTGAATGGTGGAAACAACACGCATGTCCATCAATGGATGAATGGATCTTTAAAATGTGGCACATAAATACAAGGGGATATTATGCGGCCTTAAAATGGAAGGAAATCCAGTCACTTCCTGCAACATGGCTGAACCTTGAGGACATTATGCTAAGCAAAATAAGCCAGTCACAAATGATGAATAATGTATGATTCCACTGATTCCAGGTACCTGGAGCGGTCAAATTGATAAAGATAGAAAGTAAGAATGGCAGTCCCCAGGAGCTGTGGGGAGGAGGGAGTGAGGAGTTGTTGTTTAATGGGTACAGAGATTCAGTACCCATTAATTGTGCAAAAATGTAAGTGGACTTTAGACCATTGAGCTGAGCTGAACACTTAAAATGGTTAAGATGGTAAATTTCATGTCTATTTTGACACAATTTTTACAATAAAATCTAATAATATTAAGTGTTAATTACCACGCAAATGAATGTTTTTAGTTTCATGGCAGTACCTGTATAAACACTGATGTAGAAATACTGAAAATGTGAGTCACATACTAAATGAAAGTTTTGTATTCTAGCTGTAATTTAGTGGAGCTTTCATATTTCCTCTTTTCTGGTCAGAGAGGCCCATCATGTCACCCCACATCTCACCCACGATGGGTGTTTAGAAATACTCCTCGAATGGATGGCTGGAGAACACTCAAGAAGAAAGGCAGAATGATAAGCTGTGTTAAATTCTTGTATCTTGTACTTCTGAAAGAAGAGTTTCACTCCCAAAGATTAAAAAGTCATATCATAATCTTAATGGCAAACGTTAGCAAGGTGGCTACTACCATTGCCCACATTTTACAGGAAAGATAATTGAGACATAGAGGGATCCGTGTCTTGCTTAAAAGCACATAGCTAGAACTTGTCAGCACAGGCATGCAAACCAGATCTCATGTTCTTAACCAATAAACTCTACCAGTTCTCTGGAAGGAAGGAGGGAGAGGGAAGAGGAGGGGGAGGAGAGGACAATAAGCTTCAAGTTCAGCTTCTTAAAATTTAAAAGTCAAGCCATAGTCAACGATTTGGCCCCCTTTAATGCACACCTTTTAATACAAACAACTCAGTGGTGGGCCTCCGATCTTCCTCAATCCAAGTCTGAGTGCTACCAAGTGAAGTCACCTCTTGTTTCCCAGGTTGCTGCCCCACCTGCAGCTGCCACAGAGCCTGGCCAGAGGTCTCACAAGGCACAGTGCCTCACTCACCCTTCCTGTGACAGAGCATAACTTCCCTTAACACTCCACAGTTTCCAGAAGGCTGCATTGTTCTCGAATCCCATTTTTGAGTTTCAGAAGACCTCATTTCCTCTGGCTATTCTTTCTCTTTCCTTGGTAGGTAGGGGAACGAAATCAACTCTCCCATTCTCCTTTGCTCTAGTTCACTGTCTCCTTTACATTTAAAGTGGTAAGACAACCTACAATGCCAATACAAATGCTTTAATGCTACAGGAGCAAAGCCAGAATGTAAGTGTGGTGTAGATTGTGGTGGAGGCCGTGGTGGCAGGAGTGGGAAATGAGGAGGGAAGTGGAGAAAGAAGCTATAGGAAAGAAAGTCTGTGGAGGCTGTGCCTGAACAGTATCAACCTACCCAGAGCAAAATGCATCAGGTGCACGCAAAAGTGTCATTGATTTGAAATTTATTCAGATAAATATGTTTTTATTATGGATGTCAAGTTAAACCAGTTTGTATGTCAGGATAATGTTTAGAAACAGCAATTTGAAGAGGAAAAAGAAAGGATTTGAGGAGGGGAAGATTTACATTCACTAGCACTTTACTCCCTTTAAGACATAACGTATCATCATTGTTGAGGTGTCTGCCTGGTCTTTCTTCTTTAAACAAGTCTGAAGAAGACTTCCTGTGCCTAAGAGAAATGGTACTTGTGTTTCTCTGGGCAGACACCTGCAGCTTTGTGCTGGTGTTTAGATTACACTAAACAGAGCTTCCTTTTTCCCCTCTCTGAATCCTGGCCATGCCCGGACAATGCAGACCAGCTCTCTGTAACGGTGAGACACGTCAGACGCCCGGGGCCGGCCACAAGAACCCAGCCCATTGCACATCTACTCTTTAGGATCAGATTCAAATTGCTGGCAATCTCTCTCGGCCTTTGAGGCTGCAAAATCCTAAAGTTACTCTTTGGTGTCTTCTCATCATTTTACCAGTCGACTTTGTGAAAACAAAAACAAAAAGAAAATAACATAGAACATCAGACTGGAAAATGATTTTTGAGCTCTCAGGAATGATGTAGCTTTAGTGAATGAGAAATTTCAGACTCTCCCCTCAAACCCTCCCCATAATTGTATTGAGGTCAGGGTAGAAAACTAGAAGCTGCAGATCTCAAAAAAAAAAAAAAGAAAAAAGAAAAGAAAAGAAAAGAAAGAAAAATGAAAGAGCAGCAATCTCAAGTTTTATTTTGCTTGATACAATTTGCACCTCTATTTTGAACCCTAAACACAAATTTCAGGATATCAAAAAACATATGATAAGCTAATTTTTGAATAATACAGATATTCAAGTAATATACTCAATGTTTTTCTTCACCCTCAAGGACGCTTTTCTGATGAAGTATTGATTAAACTTAAAGGATTAGGCCCCAGTTGTGAATCTGAGAAAGGAGACTGTATCTATGATCCAGAACATCTGGAAACACGGGAAAGTTGTTTATTATAGTTTGATCTGATGTATCCTGATTTTCTGGATCCCTGTAATCTCTCTCTGTTTTCAAGTCCTCTGCTTCCTTCTTGTAAACACTGTATTGGCATTCCCTTGGAAAATACTGGATACCATTTTCACCGCCATTGCAAGTAAAATAAAATCTCACTCAGAGTTTTACTCAAAGTTGTTCCTGGCTTTTGCAATAGTGCTGAAGTGGAAGTTCACCAAATTACATAAGCAAGATCCTGAGAGAATTGGTAAAACTTCTGCATGATTTCATTTACACGTGGAATGTAAAGCAATCGAATGCATACAAGCAGAGAGGGGAATGGTGATTACAGAGGCTCGGGGAGGGATGGGGAGTTGTTGGTCAAATGGTACAAAGTTTCAGCTAGACAAAAGAAATGAGTTTTTTGAGATATATTGCACAGCATGGCAACTATTGTTAATAATATACTGTATATTTCAAAATAGTTAAAACAGTAAATTTCAAAGTTTGCACCACAAAAAAAAAATGATAAGTATTTGAGGTGATGGACATGTTAATTAGCTTGATTTAATCATTCTACACTGTATACATATATTATAACATTACATTTTCATTAACATATACAATTATAATTTGTCAATTAAAAATAAATAAATAAATAAATGAAATGAAATAGGTAAAACTTCTTAACCTGTTAGTTGGTGGCTCATGGGTGTCCAAGTGTTGACAGTCACATCCAGTTTCTCAAGCTGTAGAAAAGGACGTGCTGGCTTCTGAGGCCTGGAGCTGCGGGCCCAGGGTGAAAATTGAGGTGACCCTGGCCCCTAGCCTCTCCCCTTGAACTTGTGGATGGATCTGGTCCTGGCCTCTCCCGCTGAACTTGTGGATGATCAAGCAGATCTGGCAGAGCCAATGCTGCCAGAAGAGCTGGCAAAGGACTTTTCTCAATGTCATGACCAAGCCGGAGTCTCTAAGACCATGGTTATTCACAGGGTGTTATTGTCCATTCCAGAGTTTAAACATCAGTCTCTCTTGTTTCTCAATATAAATGTCATATGTTCTAAGACTTGACTCATCTGTCAGGGTTGGTGCAGCCCTGACTTGCAGCAGGAAACATAGACTCTCCTTCAGCAGCCTGAGAGAGCTCCTTGCTTGAGCAGTGGCCAGGGACACAGACCCCTCTAAAGGCAGAAGTGCCCCCCCAGCCAGGTGGTTACATCTGAGCTGTTCTGCCCAAAAGCTCCCAGGCTGTTCCAGACCATGGCCAGTCGAGGGCAATTCCCCGGGAGTGGCACAAGTCCGTGGAGGCAGGAGAGTGAGAAAGGGCCCACCCACACTCCCCCCTGACTGAGGGAGACAGGTTTCCCCCCTCACCCAGTAAGAGATTCCGTGTGAGGGGCTGTTTCTCTGGACCTTTGCCCTGTTCCTCCCCAGCCCTGTGACTTGCTCTGGATAATGGGATGACAGCGGACTTCATGCAAGCAAAGGACTTGTGACTGCTTGCTTTTCTGCATTTCTGTCATCCTTGGGAGAAGAACAAGCCAGGCTGCCCTGCTACCCCAGGAGGAGGGGAAAGACACCAGGCCAGAACCATTTCCAGCTGGAGTGCAGGTCCTTAGACTTAGAAGAGCTAAGCAGTGGCTATTGGTTTTTTGGGGTTTTGTTGTTGTTGTTGTTTTGTTTTGAGACACAGATGTGCACCACCACACTTGGCTACATCTTTCTTTCTTTCTTTTTCTTTCTTTCTTTCTTTCTTTCTTTCTTTCTTTCCTTTCTTCCTTCCTTCTTTCTTTCTATCTTTCTTTCTTTCCTTCCTTCCTTCCTTCTTTCTTTCTATCTTTCTTTCTTTTTCTTTCTTTCTTTCTTTCTTTCTTTCTTTCTTTCTTTCTTTCTTTCTTTCTTTCCTTCCTTCCTTCCTTCCTTCCTTCCTTCCTTGTTTCTTTTGACAGGGTCTCACTATGTTGTCCAAGCTGGTCTCAAACTCCTGGTCTCAAACTCTAGAGTTTTGAGAAATTTTACAGATAGTATTTTGAAGCATAGCTTGGCAATACTTCCTATTGGATTTTCCCATGGGGGCTCATTTTTACCAGCTTCATTGCAACTCTACCTATGAATAGAAGAAATTTTGAAGCCAGAAAGCACTGGAAGAAGAAATAAATATTATTTTACCTATTACCTGCTCTTCCTCTGTGGTTTCCCATACCTGAATCTCATGTGTTGGATGTTTAAATGGAAGAGGCGCTTCACAGAGAGAGAAGCAGTCCTCTGGCTTCATTCAAGGTCCTGTTTTTCTTTATAGCTTAGAGGCCTGGATATTCCCTGAAGCCCCCAAGGCCTAACTGGTAATAGAGGTCTCCTGTCGATGGCCATCAGCTCCCTGGCCAGCACCATTTTAGGGCTGGGCTGCTTTACATGCATTACTCACATAGGAGGATAGGCATTGCTTCCAAAAAGGACTCTGACACACAGAGATTATCAAAGGCAAGGCAGCAAAACCATAGCGAAGTGGCAGTTTGTTAGCGTGTCCATTCTCTGCCTTGTAGCTTAGACTGGGTGTGAGAAAGCAGAAGGAGGTGCTCCAATCATGAAGACCACAGGGGCAGGAATATTTTAACACAAGACTCAGCTCTGAAGCCCCAGGCCCCTTCCTGCTCCTGTCACCCCTGGTGCCCTGCCTGTCCCCAGGGCACAGTCTCTCCTCTCAGGATAGAAGCAGCTCTTTCCAAGAGTAGAGTTTGGTTATCGTTGGTGCTGCTACACTTCCCAGGCCCAGGCTCTACCCGCTGGGCCAGCTATTTCTGGCTGGGTTGTACAACCTGTTCCCACACTGCCATCTAACACTCAATATCTCTGAACTTACATGAAGATCCTGTTTCTTTGTCTGAAAACCAAAACTGCTACCATTATATTGCCCCCATATTTTATCTTATTTTTTCCCTTGAGTCCTTTTATCCAATCCAGAAAATTCTCAGTTCTCTATCTTCTTTATTGTAAAATCTTAATGTTGTAACTTCTCCCCCACCCCGCCCCATTTTTCCCTTTTATTTAAAACATATGCCAATTTGTGTTTTCTTGCTTCCGCTATATTTTGCTGCTCCTGAAACCCCACATGGTCCACAGAGGACATCGTTGGTAAAAGCCACTCATCGCCTTGTCCCCATTCTGTATTGAATTATTATTTATGCCACTCACGCTACTACACTTCAAGTTTTTCGATGGCCAGGAACTTTGCAATTTGTTTATTTCCTCTGCCGTGCAGTTCTGTGTTCATTTACTACTCCAAACAGAGAATAATGAAGGAATAACAATGTGAACCCCAAAGGAATAAAACGATGCTTTTCTTAAAAGGCACAGAGGAAAATGGAGGCATTGTAAATTACTCTGGTGCTTTTCACTTTTACAGTGCCACAGAAATTGCCCTTTTAGCATTTTGCTCTGGTTGAGTCTTGGTGTGGAGACAGACAGAGCTGGAGGTGGGGAACGGAGGCAGGTTAGCTCTTGGGTGGGGAACGGTTCGCTGCCGGGGAAGATGGCACCAGGAAGCCCATACGAAGGGCTCTGCAAGCACCACCCTGCAGGTGGGTTTCCTGATGACCTGGCACCATGCCAGGTGTTGTGCTGAGGGTGGCAGAGCAGGTGTGTGTCCTCTACTTCCCTGAGACTCTTCTGTCCAAATCCCCCTTTCCCAAGCCTTTTGTCTTCAGCCTGGAGATAGGCTGCCCAGGCACCAGGCCTGGCATTCTCTTCAGTTCTGTTCTTCTTGCAGAATCTTCCTTTCCTTCCTCTCACCAAAATTCTTTTCCATCAACTATAATAGCTTCAATGTACTCAGTTGCCCAGAGCTTCATAGACTCAGAGCTAATATATTCTGGAGGTTCAATAAATTGTCTCACTTAATCCTCACAACAACACTGCACTGAAATAGGTATTTTTATTATCTTCATTTTACAAATGAGGAAAGCGAAGCCCTAAGAGAGTTCATAACTCATCCAAATTTACAAACTCAGCTGTGATTTGGTCCCAGGTGGCCTGACTCCCAAACCTACACCTTTCTACTGTTCTGCCTGTCTCCCTCGTGGTGGCTGACCTCAGCAAAGTATTTAGGAATATAAGGAATTTTAGGTAGTAAAAAAGTCATCCTTTTAGGCAGGGATTTTCTCAGCACCTTGGAAACCCTGATGCCTGGCACATAATATGGGCTCAATAAATACTGGTTGGATGAATAAATGACCACAGCCACCTGTCCACAGCCACCTTCTCGGCACAAACTGCATTGCTGGGCAGATTCCTGTCCCAGTGTTACAATGTCACAATCATCTATTAATAGAAGCCTGAAGGAGACTGAGCTTTGCCCAGTATTAACCAGTGCTACACTGCAGGGTCTGAACACAGAGTGTGTAGAATATGCCCATGTGTGCAAAGATGCAGTCGCCTTTATTTCCCTATAACCAAACAATTATCTCTCTAGCCCCCATCTCCATTAATGTTGCAAAATGTAGTCTTGCCAGTTCATAACTTCATCGATTCTAGATTTGTTTTTCAAACATTTTAGGATAGATTCAGCTGATTCAGGATTTGCGCCCCCCCACCCCGCTGCCACCTTCTCTTTCCCTTCTCTCCTGCAGTGATCTAAGTTCCATGGAGAGAAACAGTTCTTCTGTTTAACACTAAAATTATTTCTGAATTAAATGTTTTAAAGCCCTCTTCCTACTTCTATTGAGTGTTCTGGTCTGATTCCCAGAGCCTTACCAGTGAGGCTCGTGTGGTCAACACATGGCCATCCCCACCAGGGTGTGCCTAGTCCACTGGCTGCCAAATGGCAGCATCAGCCCACAGGGTGCAGAGGCCGGCTGGGCCAGAGCTTCACGGAGGCCTCCAGTGGCGCCTGGGACTCTTGCAGGGATGCCTGAGATGCAACACACCTCGACTTTTCTACATAAGGGATGGCTGTAGGGCGGCCTTTCCTCCCAGAAAACTGTCACAGATCCTGACGCAACGTGTAGGAGCTATAAAATCACCCTGATGGAGCCAAGCAGGAACTAAAGCCACCCAAGACCTGCATCCTTGTTGTGTACCTCCCATTTTAGTTTAGGGAACTAATACGCCCCAATGTTTCTGTGACTTAACACAATTGAAATTTGTTTCTCCTAGGGGAGGGATAGCATTAGGAGAAATACCTAACGTAGACCTTGGGTTGATGGGTGCAGCAAACCACCATGACACTTGTATACCTATGTAACAAACTGCACTTTCTGCACATGTACCCCATAACTTAAATATAATAAAAAAATTAATAAAAAAAAAAAGAAATTTGTTTCTCAGGTGGAAAGCAGCCCATCGCCTGGGCTCCCTGTTAGCAGGTCCCATTCGTCTCGAGGTTCTACCATCCCTGGGCAGAAAGGGGTTAAGGAAGCAGAAAAGGAAGGCCTGATTCTCAAACCCTCGATGAGAAGGGGCAGCCTCTCTCCCACTCACCTGCTCACATCCCAGAAGCTGCATCTCTGCCCCGCCTCCCTCTGTTCTTCTCCCACAGTTGACCCAGTTTTCTGGGATGGCTGCAGGGAACTCGCAGTAAACCAGACTTTGGCAGGAGACCATGCCTCACCGACACCAGGTGGAACCTCACGGCTGCCGGAAAGCCAAGTGATGGTGACAAATAAACCTGGGTTAGAGTCCTCAACCCTCCTCTCACATGCTAGGTAACCTTGCACTTGTTACTCAACTTGTGTGGACTGTTTGCAAAATAGAGTTACCATCTCCCTCAGGGAGTTGTATGAAGACACACATATGACATTCAGCACAACATTTGGCTTGTGTTACTTGCTTAATAAACATTAGCTATTATGTTTATTGTTGTCTCCTAGTCAGATTGCTTAGAAACAAGAACCCTAGGCTGGGGATTTACAGATGTGTGTTCTTGGGGAAGTCCCTTGACTTCTCTGCATTCCAGCACAAACCTATCCAAAATGAGAGAGTTTTACAAAATGCCCTTGTAGGCCAGAGGAAGCTCCAGCAGACAGTAAGAATATGGCAGCAGACAGCAAGGATAAGAAGATCCACCAAAGGAGTTGGCTCTCTGTGCTCCAAGCAGAACCTCAGCTGGAGAATCTTTGCAAGTTCTTTGTTCACCGAGTCCTAGTGGTTTGCTTGGGATCATCAGCATTTCATTGGTAACAGTTTGCTAAGGAGACTGTGGCAACAACCCATCCCCATAGAAGGGCCCAGTGACCACCATAGCCACTGTCAGCTTATCTGAGCCAGCACAGCCAACATGGCCCTTCCCATACCCAACCAGAAGGAAACTCACATTGAAAGGCCCAGGAACCTACCCAATTAAGTTTGAGGTGACCTGACACCTCAGCAGTGGCCAGGGCATTTGCTACTACTCTCAATACTTTAATGCCTAGAATTCTAAATGTCCTGTCGTGGCTAATTTATTGGGTATTCATTGTAATTATCTCACTTGTAATGAATTCATTTGGTATTAATTTCGATGTCACATGTACAGTACTTTCATAAGAATTACCGTATGATTCAGCATTAATTAATCTATCTTTAAAGTGAAATGTTAACAATCAATTCATATTACTCGGATCCTTAAACCACTGGGAGAGCCTTTATTATAATCGTTATTATTTATGAACGGTGCAAGATATTTTCTAATATGTGCATTCACAGATTCCTCCCGACATCCCCTTCCACTATCTATACATCACTGCTGCCTTGCCAAATAGATTTGTCTAATCAATACCTCAGTGTCCTTATCTTTAAAGATGTCACCTTGTGTTTGCAGCTGTTAGCCCATCATTACACGTAGATTTCTGAGCTGCTTCTGAAGCAGGGAAATGTATCATATTTTTACACCACATTCATCTCAAGGACCATTCAGATAGGAAAAACATCGGGATCTTTTCTATTAAACCATGAAAATATTCTCTTGATTGCTTAATGCACCTTATCACAGAGTGGTCGATTCACCAATAAACAAAATCATGTTTCTAAGTGAGAACATTAGAATGAGATTACCTTGAGGAAAATGATATTCTTAAATCATGTGACATCATGTGAGTATATTTAGTATATCGCCTCAAATATCCTGATGACAAGTGAAAAATGAAAAATAATGCAGATGTTTGTCATCTTCTAACCAGACACTGGATATTGAAAATACACAGCCCATCAGTTCTCTGATGCAAATGGGGAGGGGGAGAGACAAAACACACCAATGCTAGAGAATAACACTCAGTAAGGAAGCATGAAGTGGTAAATCATTGTAGTGCTGACACTTCTTGAACTTGACCTTAAAGACTTCAAGAGCAAAAGAGAGTTATTTTTAAATGGGTCAGGCCATGAACTTAATTTATGCAGGGTCTTGAGATATGAACCCCAAGCAAAGATGACATACATATATAATTTTGAATTAGACAGCTCATTTTATTAATTTCCTTAATTCCACTCCAATTTTTGACATTGTCTAGCCCTCCAGTATTTAATTCCCAAATCCCCAGAGCAAATGCCTTAGGTCCACTGAATTCATTTTTATTCCATAAAGGTGGGGTGTATATATGTATAAAACACAATATAACACAGGGCGAGAATAGTTTATCATAAAATACAGGATCCATTTTAATGCACATTCTTGTTGGCTTTTATCAGGAAGACAGTGTGAGCCTCCTCAAGATACTGTTTGTCTCACTCTTGGGGGATGACAGTATGATGTATATGATCCATCATGTTCATTTCCTTCATGCATTCTTCGCCCTATTGGGATAGGCATGAGATGATGGTAATCATATGAAAACTCAACATGATTGTTTATTGCTGAAGGTTTACTTAAGTCTGTCACCATGACCTGTATCCATTAGTAATCCTGCAGGTTCTTAAAGGGACACTGCATTGATGGAAACAGCTGCAACGATGGAAAGACTAATCACGCAAGTTTCATAAAGAGGATTTGTTGATGAGGCCTCAATTTTCAAGTGCACAAGCAGAAAGCTCTCACCTGAGCCTTCTGTCTGGGTGGCATAGACAGGTGTGGTAATACCTCTGGAGTTAAATTTGCAGGTCCACAGAGTTTAACTCTGTTCCAAATCATGTTAAGGAGTTGCAAAAGAGGTGCACAAAACCCTATGTTCTTCAAGTGTTAGCTTCTCACCAGGAAAGTGCTTTTTGTGTCCAGGTACATGAAGCTAAATAGAAGACAAGTTATTTCTATGATTAGCCATGGTTTACACATGGCAGTAGCGCTCCACAGACTTCAGTACTACCTTATGGTTTGCGGAGGATTCAGCAGCTAAGTTGGGCAGGGCCAGGCTGGAATCTTCCAAGGGCCTCGTTTAATGCACCATCAAGGAATTCCCAAAGCACACCACATCTCCCTGCCTGCAGGCTCTTCTAAATAATGGAAGTTATTTTGGAATATCAAAATATATGGATGACTGAATTAATTCCCTCACCTCAGCTAGGGCTGGGGTTGCCATAACAAAGCGTCACAGACTGTGTGACTTAAACAGCAGACATTTATTGTCTCACAGTTCTGAAGGCTGGAAGTCCAAAATCAAGGTGTAGGCAAGGTTGGTTCCTCTTGAGAACTGTGAGAGAAAGACCATTCCAGGCCTCTCTCCTTGGCTTTAGATGGCTGTCTGCTTTCTGTGTCTTCTCATGAAGAGGGTCTTCCCTCTGCTCGTGTCTGTATCTAAATTTCCTCCTCTTATAAGAACACTCACCATATTGGATAAAGCCCATCCTAATAACCTTATTCTAACTTAAGTACCTCTATAAAGACCCTGTCTCCAAACACAGTCTCATTCTGAGGTACTGGGCATTAGAACTTCAACATGTGAATTGGAGGGGTAGCAGGGGGAGGGAAGGGGGGTGGGACATTCAGCCTGGAACATCTTCCTGGAGGTGTTTTGGTTTCAGATAGCACAATCTTAGGGTGATTTTGTTTCTGTTTTTCTCCATAAACAAGTAAGACAAACAGATTAAGGATTAAGTTTGGGAATGCTAGCTCTTGCCTGTGTTTCTTGGCCAACTCCTTTAAACCACCAAACAAATTATTGTATTAGGCTAGAGCTAGAAAGTCATTGTTCTAAGAAAGACAGACCAGGATGAGGTGGGTAACTCCAGGACAGGCACTGGATCAGCACGTTGGCAGGGAGGCTTGCAAACCCTGACAAGAATGCAGGTTGATCCACACTATGACAAATCTATAACAAAAGTGACCCTGATGATAAAAATGCAAAAACAACATGAACAACAAGGCCAGGATATTTCGAAGGGTTTGCCTTCAGTTAACAAGTGAAGAAAAGATGATTTCACCTCGAACTTCAACAGCCTAGCAAAAGAGTCTCTGATCTTTCCTCACACCACTGAACAACAAGGAGGAAGGCTCTCTGGAGGTCCTTTAAGAATTGGATTTTCTTTGGTAAATGCAGTCTCAGAAAAAAGACCTTCTAGCATGATTCACTCTGTTCCTCTTAAGTCAAATGGAGGATGTTACTTAGTTTTGACTCTTGCTTGAAGAGTAGAATGATCTTAAAATCTCCAGAGATTTGTAACCTAACACATGCAAAATAAATATAAATTGTGTGATTTTGCTTCCAGTCTGGCAACTTTTTTCTTACATTTCTTTTCTGCACAAACATCTGAAGAAAATGCCTGGAAACTATAGAGTGATGGTATAAGGTAGAGAGAGAGGTTTACTTTTAAGGAAAGGGAAGGAGAACTCCTTTTGAAAAATGCTTTAACGCCTGGGCATGGTGGCTCATGCCTGTAATCCCAGCACTTGGAGGCCGAGGCAGGAGTATCACCTGAGGTCAGGAGTTCAAGACCAGCTTGGCAAACATGGTGAAACCCCATCTCCACTAAAAATACAAAAAATTAGCCGGGCGTGGTGGCACATACCTCTAATCCCAGCTACTCAGGAGGATGAGGCAAGAGAATTGCTTGAACCCGGGAAGCAGAGGTTGCAGTGAGCAGAGATCACGCCACTGCACTGCAGCCTGGGTGACAGCAAGACTCTGTCTAAAAAAAAAAAAGAAAGAAAAAAAAGAAAAGAAAAACAGAAAGAAAAATGCATTAACAACACTAAATCATGGGACTCAGTGAAGTTAGTTTAATTTCTAAGAGAAAGTTGTACCATCTCATTTGAACTTATTAATGGCAGAGTGGACTTATCACCACAGTCCTCCTGGGAAAGCAAAAAAAGACCATACTAAACTCAGCAAAAAGCTTAAAACACCATCTGTTGCTATGTTGAAACACTTGACTGGGGGGAGAGAGAGAGGAGACAGCTGATCAGTTGGAAGGCACTTTCAGACACACATATCCATGCTGAGCACTCTGTTTAGAAGCTTAGAGAAGAAAAGGAATTTCTTGGATGCCCTGTTGGGATGCTCGGATTATGATATTACTTGAAAATGTGAGCAAACTTCTAAGTGTCACACTCATGGAACTTTACTGAAGCAAGATAGATCAAACAAAGGTGCCAGAGAGGTTTGAATTAGGGAATAGTTTAACTTTGCTTTGAAGGGATTTCCTTCCTTCAACACACACTGCCATTGTCTGATGGTTGTTTATTTGCTAAACTACAATCAAATTAAGCGTAAATGGAAACCTGCCACTAAGAAAACCAATGGCTTGCCATTGCCCCCACCACACCAGAATTCAACTCCTTTTCAGAAATGTTAAAGGGAAAAGATTTCCCTGGAAGTAAAATACTTTTTAAAAACATAACACATGACAAAATTTATCATTGTCTTTCCCTGGGGGACTTTTTGGCATCAGCAGCTACTGTGCCTAAACATCCAGTGTCCTCGTCTAACAGGAATGTGCGAGAGCAGAGAAAGGCTTTGAGTCATGCAGGAATGGCTTCCCAGATACGCCGGGACACAGCAGTTTAATTGGATGTCTGGGCTTTTATAAAGAAGAACGGGAGGCGCGGAACACCACCACCACACGTGTCAGCTTTGCAGCAGAAGAAAAACTCCTCCAGCCTCAGCAGCCAGTCTCTCCGGCTTCTCCCTGCGACTTCAGGCGGACCCCCAGTGACCGAGACCAAAGAAGCTGTGAGCACAGCGGCTGAGAGCTCTGTCCTGTCTCTGATGTTTTCAGGGCCAGCGCGCTGGGCCGTCCTGGCTCCCTGGGCCTCTCCCCCACCCTGGGGCCGGCGCGCAGCCTCCCGGCGGCCGTGCAGAAAACAGCCGGTAGATGGCGCTCCGAGCTGCGACTCACCGGGCCCGCCACGAGCGCTGCGGATGGCGCAGGCGAGGATCCTGATTCATAAAAAACATAAATCCTACTTGATGAACAATAATAATAAAGGAAATTGACTACTGGGCACCATAGAGATGAATTTTTAAAGCCCCGAAATCAAGTTATTTGATATTATTTAATTTAACTTACTAAATTTGAATAACTGTGGGATGTAATGGTGCATGGCAGGGCATTTAGGTTTTATCGCTTCTAAATGTTTCTCTTTAGGGCGATTGCACGCCGCTGCATGGTCGCCAGAGAACTCTGTCCCCGTCTCCAAGCTGTGTAAACAAATTGAGGACAGAATAATTACACATTGGGAGAAAGGCAGGGAAAATCTATTGAGGGCACAGAGAGCCCAGCTACAAAATGTCCCCTCTTTCAGCTAATAAACTACCTCTAAAGTACGCAAACATCCATGTTAAAGAATTTGTTAATATAAGCACAGCAACCAAGCCTATGCTAAGCACTTTCCAGGTGCTTCTTGTAGTAGTATCCTCATCTCCTAGTAAAACAAATACTATCTATAATATTTATTTTCCTCCCTAAATTTTTTAACTGATGAAAGTACATTTTTAGTAGCTTCCAAACTGACAAATTCGGGCGCTGCAACATTTAGAAACTTTGCTCATCCCTTGATCAAAGAAAAATTTTCTGCAAGCAGCTATAAAAAGTCCTTTTATTAAAATGCAGCCGTCACATTCTCCTCAGTGTAGCTCCGGCGCACACATTATGTGTTTGCACAGATGCGTGTGTATATTTGCATAAACAGAGGGAGGTGCACACACACGTATTAATTCAGATATCGAGGCGTGCGTATACATATACGGGTATATATATGCTGTCTGTGTACCACTCTCTATTGTTTTCAGCGTAACTGATTTTGGCACCAGCTCTTTAGCACTTTGGAAGGGCCTTCATTAGCACTGGGATAGTATCCAAAAAGAATCCAGAAAAATCAACACATGGCTGCTCTTGTTCTCACGATAAATGACAGCTTTCCTGGAAAACAACAACAGTCAAGAAGCAAAACAAAAACCAAAAAGCAACAAGAGTAGCAATAACATGAATAGAGGAAGTCAGACATCACTAACTTGGATTTTTTTAAATGTATTTATTTATTCAATTTTTTACAACTGTCTTCTTTGCCACTAAGCTTTCAGGTACTTTCACACAATTAAAAATATAAATAACAAAGGTCTATTAGGAACCTAGGGAAAAAACCACAATCATGCAGGCTTGTGTCTCCTTGTCGATACAAATATGCTAGAGATCAGTGTGGCATAAGCTGCTCGTTAAACTATACCAGCTCCCAAAATGAAGCAATCATCTACAACTCCTTGGAATCAGACTTCTGAAAAGAAGAGCTTTTCTTGGAAAACAGAATCTCCCTAATTACCTGAAAGTCTCCTCTTGAAACCATTAGTAGGAAGTCTTGGGTTATTCAGATGCCGTGAGGATGTGCAGGGAAATCGGTCATGTCTAAACTCGTAAAAAACCCAGTAGCATCCAGTGTGTGTGCGTGTGAATGTGCTCTGACACTCATGCCTTAAGAGGTGAATAATAAATCACACTTTGAAGAAAAGCAGTAACTAAACTATAGAAGACTTTGACTTAAAGGGTTAATGTCTAACACAGGAACAGAAAACAAAATACCACATGTTCTCACTTATAAGTGGCATCTAAGCATTGGGTACACATGGCCATAAAGATGGGAACAGTAGACACTGGGGACTACTGGGGGTAGGGGCCAGTAAGAAAGAGGGGAAAGGGCTGAAAAACTATAATAACTATTGGATACTATACTCACTACTTGGGTGACAGGGTTATTCATAACTCAAAACTCAGTATCATGCGATATACCCATGTAACAAACCTATACATGTACCCCCTGAATCTAAAATAAAAGGTAAAATTATTTTTAAAATAACATAAAATAGAAAAATTAATTCCTTTGCACTTCAGCTGTCAAAACAACCATGGAGGCCGGGTGCGCTCATGCGGTAATCCCAGCACTTTGGGAGGCGAAGGCAGGTGGATCACCTGAGGTCAAGAGTTCGAGACCACCCTGGTCAACATGGTGAAACCCCGTCTCTACTAAAAATACAAAAAAAAAAAAAAAATTAGCCAGTCATGGTAGTGTGTGCCTGTAGTCACAGCTACATGGGAGGCTGAGGCAAGGGAATCGCTTGAACCCGGGAGGTGGAGGTTGCAGTAAACTGAGATCGCGCCATTGCACTCCAGCCTGGGCGACAGGGCGGGACTCCATCTCAAAAACAAACAAACAAACAAACAAAACACAACCGTGGAAATCTAACGTATGTGGCCCTTTAAGGCTAGCAGCTCTGCCCAGGAGACCAGCCATCCAAGGAGAAAACCCCACCGAATCTCATGAAAAGAGAAGTTATTGTGCCCGACTCCTCCATTGGCCCTTGGCCTTCTCTTTCCTCAGTTTCTCAGTCAGATTTTCTCATTTAGAGCTGTTTATATTGCAGGCTCTTGAAAGTTCTCAAGAGAAGTGGGAAAAGGAACAGGAAAGGAGTGAAATGATTTTTTTAAAGGGGGGAAGCAAGTGTGTAGAATTTCTAGAGACATGCTTCAGAACAGGAAAAAGTGTGTGCAGCATGGGCTAGGAGAGCCTTTATAGAGAGCCCTCCATCATGCTGGTGGGGTAGGTGTTAAGGAGAAGATAGTTGGACATGGGTAGGTGGCAACAGAAGCATGTGAAAGAGCCAAATCCTAAACTTCAGATATCCTAGAGTGTGGCTCTGGAGTAATTCAAAATACAGGAACAGTCTGAGATTATTGATAACAGCAGAGAGGAAGCAAAGCATCTCTAAATTCATTCATCCATTGCACAAGTAGATATGAAGTGCCTTTGATGTGACAGACACCATGTTAAGCATGAGGCATGCAAAAGTAAGCAAGCTATGTCTTCTCAATGCCTTCCATGCTGAGAAACATGCTGCCATGTTGTCCAACTTCAGACTGAATCAATTCACAAAACCTTCTAACTCAGGAGGCAGGGGTTAAAAACCTGGTAAATCTGTGGGCTGAGAGGAAGTTGAGCCCCAAAGCTGAGTATTCCTAAAGTGCCACGTGCTTGGCCAGCACCTTAAACTGTCTTGGAGTTGGCTGCATGCTAAATTCACACCCTCCCTCTCAGGGGCTAAGCTGTTATTCCAAACTATAGCTGAAGTATCTGTTGACAACAGTTCAACCTTAGAAGTGGCTCAATTTCAGCCTATTGCTGATCATTATTATGAATAAGCTAACACAATCTCATGTTTGACAGAATTGTCTCTCTCTCCAATAAGGGCCAGAAAGCCGACTGAAATGTTTCCAAAAAGGGAAGAGATTCCAAGTAGAACTGAGGCTACTTCTCAAAAGCCTATTCAATAATCCTTCTCTCTTTCGTTTCCCCCAAAATGAGAATAGAAGCAGACTGGTGTTTGGCAGGGAGACCAATGTCAACACTCTCTATATTTACTTATTTATTGGCAGTTTGGAAGGCAGCCACCATTTATGGTCCTTCATTCCCAAATAGAGGCAGTGATGGTTCCTGCCAACAACGTCTCTAAGCCACCTGACTGGCCTCTCTCTGCACAAGCCAAGAGGAGAATGAGTCCAGGCCATTCATTGTTGGCCACCATGTTTATAATACAGCTAACGTGGCCTCTACTCTAAATGAACCCAACTGCAGATGACAGTGGGCTGCAAGCTCCCTGAAATTGTTTAGCTCTCACAGAAGCAAGGCTTGGAAAGGCAGAATCTGACTGTATCCATACCCAACCACATCATCCCACTCCAGTTAAGCTTGTATTGGTGTTCTGCTTGGAAGGTACAATTGCAGGATGATGTAAAGACCTTAGAGAGGGTCCCAAAAGGTTCCATGTCTACATGGATGATGATATGTTTGGGAAAATTGTCCCTCTGAGAAAAGGCCAAATAAATGGAGATTTGCTTTAGTGGAGCAAAGAGCAAAAGCTAAGATGAGGATATGGGAGCTTAAGACATTCTAGAATGATAATGGGAGAGTGAGACTCTCTCTTAATGAGAGTAAACAGCTGGTCTCAACTTCCAGCAAAGCTAGAATAAGATAAATTAGAACATTCTAGAGCTGATAGGACCTTAGTGATTGTTGAGTTTGACCCTTTCATTTGACACAGGATGAAGTTTATTTTTTTTAGGAAAATATTCTGGATGAGAAGTAGGTCTCCTGAGTCTAAATGGAGTGTGAGATTCTCACAAGTGGCTGACACCAGGCCAGGAGGATCAGTTTAGACATCATTAGAATCACAAACATTACCAAAGGTGTGCGTGCCTCAGGTTAAGTTCTAGACTGAGGTAAGTGAGTTCGTTCAGCCAGGAACACAGCATACTCCTTGCCAGGAGTTGAGAGATCTCCTGAATCTTTACGATGGGAGAAGACGACTCTCCATGGACTGCCTACTCTCATGCTTTAGAAGCCCAGCTGACTTTTAAAATAGGGCACAGGCCAAGTTCAGTCAATCTAAGGCATAGGAGAGTACAGTTTTACTAAATGCTAGAAGGAGCCTAGTTATGAAATCCAGAGAGGCTTCTAGAGAAGCAGCTCAGCCGCAGCTTCCCAGGTTGTCCATGCTTATAGGCAATTTCACGGGAAGCAGGTTGTGGACACACCATGTAAGTCACTAAAGCTCAGTTGGCCTCCACCACGGCTGCAGCATGAAATTTCCTGTTTGCTCCACAACCTCTGAATTCAGAGCAAAATTGCCACCAGCTGTGCTCTTGACTAACTTTCTTTCTTCTATTGCAAGTGAGGAGCAAAACATTGTAGACAATAACATGAATGGAGGTAAATGTAGAAAACCCCTTTTCCACTGAGTTAGTCAAGGCTGCCAAAGTCAAAGTCAACCAAGCCACTTGCTGAGATGCCGCCTGATCTCAAAGATGATCCTCCATAGCCCAGTAGATGGAATGATGAGACTAGACTGGAGCTCCAGAAAACGTACAATCAAGATATAATTGTGTCTATAGGAGAAATGTGACCTGAAATGTTTCAGCAGTTTATACATTAATCAGTGTTACACAAATGAGGTAAGTGGCATGATTTCAGTTCCTGAAACACTTTGCCCCCTTTTCACTCTATCTCTTTGCACACACTGTTCCCTCTGCCATCCCCAACCCATCTCCCATCTCCACTGGGTCAACTTCTGCTCATCTTTCAAAACTCAAAGCAAATGTCATTTTCTTAGTGAAGTCTTCCAATGTTCCCAAAGCAGAATTAGGCACTCCCTCCCTGTAATTCTAGATATAAAATATTAGATTTGTGTATATTTGAAACTTATCACATTAAATTATAAGCGACAGTAAGGAGGAGAGAAAATAACACGAAATTTGGAGTCATAGAAAAGAGACCCCATATCCCAACTCCTACATTTCCAAGCTCTTGTCCAAGAGCAAATTACTCACCCCTCCTGACTCAGTAAAATTCCATTCATCAAATAGGGGTGATAATGCATACGTTAGAAAATTCTTGCCAATGATGTGAGATTGACGAATAAAGCTCCCACACTCTGCCTGACTCACAGTCAATAACCAGTCCTCTCCCCTTCCTTTTTTCATCTTCCCTCCAAAGGCAAAAACAGGTTTTTCATCTTTCTGCCCTCAACATTGAGCATAAAACATTGAACACAGTAGGGATTTAATACATGCAACCATGCAGTGAAGTTGATCACTAAGGACGTATTGGGGCTAGATTTTAATTCATAGAATGTCAGGCCCAGAAAGAGCCCTAAACTGATGGCATTCAACCAGGTGATCAATACAGAGGAAGTTCAGAGGCAGTCAGTAGTGGGGCCCAGAGGAGCCCCCCCAGCCCTGATCTCAGACCAGGGTTCCTCACCCTCTCTCACAGCCAGTGCATGCTCACCTGCTTCTAAAGGTTGCAAACTGGAGCCTGAATGGCCTTTCTGGGGATACTTTTCAGCTGGCCTCTTTGTCCCTGGACCTGGAGGCCAGCACCAGTCCTTGTGGCAGCTTTCCTATGAATCCTGTCCAGCTATTAGTGGTTAAGGGCAATTTCTCATCATCTACACTAATACGGCTTCATTCAAATTGGAAATGATAGATGATTAACAGGCACGAGAAAACATGTTGTGCTACATTCAGAAAGGATGCAAATGACAAAAACATGTTGCCTTCTGGACAGGCAGGGAAATGGCGTATAGCAGAACGCACCCGGCTTCTTGCACCTCCGTGTCTGGCTAGACGGTTTTATGGCATTTAGCAGCACTGTGCGAAGGCACCCACGGCATACCATAATTCTCACAAAACAGCGTTTTCATGTGCTAATGGCAACCGAATCAGAGACACATGGATTTAATTTCCTTCAAAATACCCACGGGTATAAAAATCAATGCAGGAAAGCCATTTGGCTAACTCTATTTGGGGCTTTTCTGAGCCCAAAAATTGTGAGAAATTGTTGGAAATGGCTGCTGAGCCCAAAAATCCCACCAGGCTCGGCTCTCCCCCAGTGCAGCCCTGGCCTAATGTGATGCGAAGCCCCGGCTGTCTTTTTGGAGAGAAGCAGGTGCTTGCTGTGTGGTACCTTACCGGCTGCCATCTCTACAGATTTCCTGCTTTGTGCTATTAGTTCATTTGCTCAGCCGCTCCCACCACATTGCCGTAAGGGAGATCTCATTTTGGCAGCAGATCGGGATCCCTGCCTGAAAGTTGATAGAGGTTGAGCTATTTGCAGAAATAATGCTTTCCAGACGTACTAAACAGTACCCCTCTTTCCAGATGGAGTGGCATTAGTGTTGCTTCCAGCCATTTCCTCACCTTCTGGTATACTTGTCAGTTCTCCCATATGCACCACAAGCCTTCTGTATTCTGGGGAGTCTCGGAAAACTGCTCAGACCCTCAGCTTCTCACCACTTGCATGCACAAATGCAAGCACACACACATTTACGCAGCTTCCACTCTTATGTATGCACATGCAGTTTTCTTCCCCCACCCCCTGGGAGTCCACTTAGATTTTGCCAGAGTGATAATCACTGAAAGTGATAGTTTAGCTGCTCAGGGAATTAGACAGGCATGAATACATGAGACATCAGAGTAAAGTCCCTAGGTTTGGTGGATGTTCCCACTGTCAGTAGTCATCAGTGACATTGTCATTTACATTGTCTTTTGGTGGCCTCTAGTCATAATGTCAGACAGAGCCCTTGGTGAAGGGGCTGCTCCCCCACCCAAGATAAACCTCTTAAGAGTGGGATTAAGCCCGTTTGTGTTATGACCCATAAGACACTTTGGGTCGTGGGGCCTCCACAGCATCACATCCATGTGCTACAGGTTGAGTACCCCTTACCCAAAATGCTTGAGACCAGAAGTACTTTGCATTTCTGGGTTTTGGGATTTTGGAATACTTGCACATACAGAATGAGATATCTTGGGGATGAGACCCAAGTCTAAACACAAGATGTTTTTATGGTTCATATACATCTTATACACATAGCCTGAAGGTAATTTTATACAATATTTGTACTAATTTTGTGCCTGAAACAAAGATTGTGTACACTGAGCCATCAGAAAGCAAAGGTGTCACTATGTCATGTTGGCACTCAGAAAGTTTTGGATTTTGGAGCATTTCAGATTTGGCATTTTCAAATTAGGCATGCTCAACCTGTATTTCCTTATTGAGTAACCACCCAGCTCACCATATTTTATTGATTCTGGTGGTCTAATCATACTCAGGCCAGTCTTAGGGGTCAGATGAAGCTTTGGGCTGGAAGCTTTGGGCTGGAAGCTTTGGGATGGAAGTGGTGGAAGGCCGGTTGGAAGCCATCACATTTTTCTACCAATAAGCTCTCCTTTGGTTGGCCATCCCATTTTATATTCTAATTCCCTCCCGAAGCTATGAGGTCCATTTTGAGGGAACAAAAGGTAGGGGAGGGGAATGGTTTCTGTGTGTCCAACCCCTGCCCCACCCTTTTGCTCTGCTTTCTCAATTTGACTCACTTTTCTCCCACGTGTGTTCAGGATGGTGAAGCTCTTCCAGAAATCTAAGATCTGTCCTGTTGCTGCTGTCACAGAAGAAAGAACACATGACTCAGAGTGGATGAGGTAGTTTGGATCAGCTTCTGAAGAAAGCCTGACATTGGACCCTCTGAACACTACTACACACTGTGCAAGTCACATTGAGCAGCTGAGCCCAACTACTAAACACTATTAAAACAAGATAAATCCATTTAACAAATACAAACCATTGGATATAACAGATAACCTTCCTCTTCAGCTCAACTCTTCAATTACTACTCAGAATCAGTATATTCTGTGTGACTGCAAACAAGTTACTTAGCCTCTCTGTCCCTCAATTGCCTCAACTATAAAGTGGGGCTAATACTAGTAAATACCTCATAGGTTTGCTGTAAGGATTAAATGAGATAAGGCCTGTAAAGCACCTACTACAAGCTTGAAGCGCAGCCAGTGGTCACTATGTGTAGGCTTATAGCCAAACCACAAATGTTCTTTCTACCTCCAGGAAAACTTATTTCCTGCTACCTTCCATGCTTTTTGGGACCAAAAAGACCTTGGGTCTCAGCCTGGCAATTGCCACTGGCAGATTTGGTATTTCTAACACTTCTGGGTCATTGTGGCCATTGGCCTTCTTGTCCTTGCCCTGTGAACAGAGTCACTGATGGTCAGGCCATCACAGAGGAGCTACTTCTTCTAGAAAGGCACTCTCCTGGTCACCTTAAGGAACGCTTCATACCTTCCAGCCTCATTTATTGATCCCCACATCTATTGAGCCTGCCAGAATGACAGAGATAAGATTATTTTGCAGTTGTTTTGCCCAACTATGCTGTGTCCTTCCAATTAGGAAAAAGTGACCTTTGCAATCAAATAATTACCTCATTTACTCCACTGTGCATCATCCTACCTTTGTCAAGTCTTCATAAGCCTTAAATCTTCCTTATTCAAAGCTTTACAGTTTTGCCACACATTTCTTAAAAGCCCCACGCTTTTTTCTCTGATCAGTCAAAACACATAAAAACAACTAAAGACTTCTCACAAGTTACAGTAATTTCTTTAAACATTTCAAAGTGCATGTTGTTGCTTGACTGATGTGTACGTACAGTTGAAATCACCTATTTCATATTCATTTTCTTGATGCCCATACTCCTTTAATTCCTAGAAGTCCCAAAGAGCAAAATATCACCCTCCCTGATTCTTTCTGCTACTGCCGTTGATAAAAGGAAATGAAATGTATGAGTCACCACCCATCAACTCAGGCTTCCGATTACATTTGGAGACATGCTCATTAAAGCAGGTATGGGGTGCAGAGTAGAAAGGAGGAGTTTCCACGTAGCCCATGGTGATGGGAGTAACAAGTTGATCAGCGTGGCACACCAGCTCCACAAGGGGGAATATCTTAAACAATTCCATCAACACTGATTTACTTTAACCAAGTGATATTTTAATGAGCCAACCTCCATGCTCCCTGGATGACATGACTTCTCAAACTAAGAGACCACGCCACCTTTACAAGAAAGAAAAAAAAAAAAAAAAAAACACTAAAAAGTCAGAGAGTTGACACTTGCAGATGAGTCTAATTCCCTTTGTCCTGTGGATATGCACCGTGTTGGGAGAACTCCAAGTGCATCGAGCTGATTTTTGCTGTCATCAGAACTGACCCTCAGTCCCCCAGGAGGCCCGAGGCCTGTCTGCTACAATGACAGGGACAAGAGCCAAGCTTCAGCTCGGGGTCCTCAGATGTGCAGCACAACAGGCTGCGTCCAACCTTGGCGAGGGCAGCTGGATCACATGAATTTTTAAAAGTAACACAACTGATGGTGGGAGGAGGGGTCATGGAATATATTCTTACTTTTTCCCCCTGTGAAATCCCCATGGAGGAAATCCATGGACCAGCATGTTGATTTTGGCATCGGCACACACAGTGCCTCTGTTCTGAAGATGAGCTGACACGTGCAGATTTGCAGATCAGCCATTTCAAAAGGTTAATTAAATATTACCATTGTTTTCCAAGCTATCAATGTATGATCTTTTATTTCTTCATGCAGAAGGCTTCACCCCACTCAAAAATCAGGGTTTGAATTTGTTTTCCAGTCCCTTCCCCTTTTGAAAATCTGGAAAGAAAATGACCAAAGGACCGAGAGAGAGAAAGAGAGCATGAGAGGGGAGAGATGCAGAGACTCCCAGGCCAGAGGCAAAATGCAGCTGGGAGCTGGGGAAGGAGACTGGGCCAGCATTGTCTGAGGTACAGCCCTGAAACACATTCTCAGCCACAGCTGGGGACCAGAGCCATGTCATTCAAAGAAGGCTCTATATGGAGGCTGGGAAGGAGCCCCCTGCTCTCTCCATCTTTATTTATTTGTGGCATAATTGGCTGTGTTGGGGCTCAGGAACGTTGCAAGTCTTGGCCTCCAGTGGTTATGGGGGAGGGTCAGGATGTGGACCACCGAATGGCCAGGAAGGACCGAGGCAGGAAAACAGCCCACTTGGCAATGTCTGTCTGTCCCCTGCCATCTCCAAATGACATGGTTCTCTCCCTGCCTGGGATGTCCTGATGTTGGTAGCAGGAGGGCCTCAGTGCAAATGGGAGAGGGATTCCAAGATGGACGGCAAGGGATAATAAGGCAGAGGTCAGGGAGAGGACAAGTTTCCCTCCGGCAGGAAGTGCCACCCTCTGTGACTGCAGTTTACAAGAATCCTGAGCCACGATGAGCACAGCAGTCTGCAGGAAATCTCTGCAGACAACCCATCTTCTAGGGCAAGCAGGACATGTTTTGTTTGCAAAGTAATAATGCCTCCCTAGATGTGAGGAGGAAGAAGCTAGCCCACAGTGTAATGAATGAAAAACAAAGGAGCGGGGTGAAGACAGGTGATGATGGAGGCAGTGGGAGCTGGCACAGATGGAAAGAGCGGGGGAGCACAGCACCAAGCCTGGTCATGGATGAAGCTGGACGAGGACTCACACAGTGCTGCACAGGACACCTACCCCTAAACATTGGCCCTCCCCATTCCACCCATATACATGTCATGCACGCTGAAATGTCAGCCTCTGAGGGCTACATGTCAGTACAACACGACACTCACAAGTACAGACTCTGCTGTCAGAAGATCCAGGTTCAAAGCCCATCTCCATCACTCTCGGGCTGTATCTCCTTCACAGTTCTCATTTCCTAATGTTTCCATTTCTCATTTGCAAAATGGAAATAAATATTGCTACACTATAGCATTGGGAAAAATGATATAATGAAAACAAAATGTATGTAAGGTACTAAGGTGCCCAGTATATAGCAAATGTTCTTTAAATGGGAGGAAAGAGAGAGAGTGCAAAAGAGCTTGGGTGAGCGAGAAGGTGGGCAGTGTGGTCAGGACAGGTTGTGGGGTGGAAGGAAGTTAGAGGGAAGGGTACTGGGGGAGGAGAAGACTCCAGATAGAGGAAGAGGAAATGCAAGAGTGGGAGGGAAGAAAACAGGAAGGGGAAAGCTGGACATCTTTGCTCTCCAGAGCCATCTGCTAAGAAGCCTCCCAGGATGTGCAGGGTCCAGCATCCCTGGGTGAGCGGATTCTGGGTGAGCATCTGCCCTAGCGCTGTCTCCCTTGGCTAAAAGGTGTGCCTTGCCACACTGGCCTTCTCCACTCAGAGCTGAGCCCCTGCATGGGCGTGAGGCTTGGCAGTGACCAGGCAGGCGGGAATGGAAGACACTGAAGGTAAACAGACGCAGATCGCCATTCACTCAAACACAGTCACTGCTTTCCCATCATTCCCCAACACCCAATTACTTTGTTACAGTCTTCTACATTTAAGCTTTGTTTTTTCAACAATAACATGGCACCGAAATTGGTCACCACACTCATAATGGAATATTAAAAACTGAGACATGGGCTGGGCAAGGTGGTTCACGCCTGTAATCCCAGCACTTTGGGACTCCGAGGTGGGTGAATCACGAGGTCAGGCATTCGAGACCAGCCTGGTCAACAGAGTGAAACCCCATCTCTACTAAAAATACAAAAATTAGCCAAGTGTGGTGGCAGGCCCCTGTAATCCCAGCTATTCGAGAGGCTGAGGCAGGGGAATCGCTTGAACCCAAGAGGTGGATGTTGCAGTGAGCCGACACCATGCCATTGCACTCCAGCCTGGGTGACAGAGTGAGACTCCACCTCAAAAAATAAATAAATAAATAAATAAAGACATGATGCATCAGGCTACCTGCAATACGATAAAATGGGTCAAAGCACAGGCAAAATAACCCCATCATTAGAAAAATTTTTTAACGTGTTTTCTAAATTAGAGAAGAGAGGAGTACCACAGAGTTAACTATTATTTCCTGAGACAGTAAGAATTGGGAATTTACTTCTTTTTAAGAGATAGGGTCTCACTATGTTGATCAGGCTGGAACTCAGTGGCACAATCATAGCTCACTGCAGCCTCAAACTCGTGGGTTCAAGAGACCCTCCTGCCTCAGCTTCCCCCAGTAGCTGGACTACGGTAATTTCGTCTGCACAAGCGAAAACCATGAAGAAGTAGAAAGGACAAGCGCATGCATGGTCTCTGCAGATCAAAGTGTAGGGTCTCCCATTACAGCGGTGACGGGACAGGCGTGGAAGGAAAAGCATGTAACAGATACGGGGGACTCTTAGCTGAATTGGTGCGAACCAAGTGTGTCCTTCCGCCTAACGTGTGCCGGGCCCTGCATGAAATGTAGGGATGCACCGCAGAAGCCCCAGCCAGGCGCTGCGCTGCTTCTCACATAGTTTACATCATAGCACAGAACAAAGACCCAGAGAGTTGACAAACAATGACAGGAACAATGACAGGAACCTGAGAGGATTGTGCCAGAGAGTAAGCAGTATGCAGGCAGGCCAGCCTGGGGCCAGGAGAGCTGGTAGAAAGTCCATTCTGGGCAGAGAGACCAGCTGCTTTAAGTAGAGCAGGTATGGTGGATACTCATAGAATTGCCTGTTTAGTGTAATTAACCACCCCCTCATCTCCACCATTAACAAATGGGCAACAGTAAGGACATAATCTGGCCCACTCTTTAATTGATGTGAGGGTAGACAGAACCTCAGCTCCCTGGCTCTAGGTCAATTGGTCCAGGAGCAGACTAGGTTTGCCAAACTTGGCAAATAAAAATACAGGCCATCCAGTTAAATTTGAATTTCAGATAAACAATGAATAACTTTTTAGTATAAGTGTATCCCATACAACTTTTGGAACATACTTATAACTTTAAAATGATGAGTTGCTTCTGTGAAATTCTAATGCATCCGGTTGTCCTGTATTTTATCTATCAACCTTACTCATGACCTGGACTGGGCCCTCAAGAGAGTGCTTTCTGCAGGATGCAATTAAAAGACAAACGAGTCTGCCTCTCTCAGGGGAGGACAGTGCAAGATATTTTCTGTCACATGAAGAAGGCCAACCTACCAAGGGAGAAAATTAGAGGAAGTCAGAAGTCAGCAACAAGCAGAGGTGAATGGAGCAAGAGTAGGCAACATTTGGGGCCAGGTTCAAGTCTTTTCCCTGCCCTTCCTACCACCTTAGTGATTCTGCTGTCTATTTACTGATTCCCTACTCCCTCCCCATTCCCATCCCAGCCCCAGCTCCTGTGGTCAAGGGAGCAAGGAGAGGCATTTGAATTCATCAGCTCAATGGTAATAATATCAAGCAAATGCACCTTTGGCACAATAAGGCCAGGGTTGCTGTGTTGTATGGTACATGGTCAAAGCCGTTTCTTATATAGACAAGATGAGGTATTTTTCCACAGGAAGTTAATCCTCAAGATAGTGAATTATGTTTGATTTCAGAAACTTAAAGAGAACACAAGCCAGCGTTGAAACACACACCTTTCTCCCACCCCATCGGCAGTGTCTCTGCAAACCAAGTGCAAAAGCTCACTGATAGCTCATAGGATACCTAAAGTGCCTAAAATTTGCATGACAAAATATATATAACAAGTAAGAGACATTGGGTTCATGCCCCATAAAGAGGTCCTACAGACCAATAAGAAAAACACAATTGGCAACTGCCAAAATCGGGCAAGGGGGTATTTGCAAAAGAAATAAAAATTTCTAATAAATATATGAAAAAAGTTCAACCTCATTAATAAGCAAGTATATATAAACAAAAACATCAAAATACTCTTTTTAGACTCTTCAACTGGCAAATTAAGAATATCAATTTGCCAGGCACAGTGACTCACACCTGTAATCCCAGCACTTGGCGAGGCCGAGGCGAGTAGATCACTTGAGCCCAGGAGTTCGAGACCAGCCTGAGCAACACAGGGAGACCCTGTATCTACAAAAAATTAAAAGATTAGCCTGGTGTGTTGGCATGTGCCTGTGGTCCCAGCTACTCAGGAGGCTACGTGGGAGAATCGCTTGAGCCTGGGAGGGCGAGGCACTGCATTCCAGGCTATACAACAGAATGAGACTCTATCTCAGAAAAAAAAAAAAAAATTTTTAAGAGTGTCAATTTTACTGAATGCTGGCAAGAGCACAATAGAATGTATACTCTCTTATACTAATGGTATGTGTAACCCTAATATGCATATAAATTAGATAAAATAATAAATGGCAAAGAGCCTAACAGAAAAAATGACCAAAGGGATTGAATAGCCAATTCACATAAGAGGTGCAAGTGGTCAAAAGAGATTAGGTATAGATATAGATTCAGATATGGAAATTTATATTTAAATAAATGCTCCCCATCACACCCAGGGAAGATCAAAGTAAAACAAAATACTAGTTTTGTTTTACTAGGCCAAGATACTTGTCTTGTCTTATGACATCATGAGTCCTGATAACTTCTATTCCTGGGAAGCATTTGGGGAAATAGCCAGTCTTTCACAAACTTCATAGGAGTAAATATTCCTGCAGCATTTTTGCAGGGTAACTCAGCAATATCAGTTACAAGGACCTGAAATCTCTAACATCTCTGTTTCTTCCTTGAAGATAGAAAACTATTGTTTACTCTCCTCCTCTTAAAAGTGAATGCCCGCCTGCTGTGGTGGCACATGACTGTAGTCCAAGCTACTTGGGGAAGCTGAGGCAGGAGAGTCACTTGAACCCATGAGTTTGAGGCTGCAGTGAGCTATGATTGTGCCACTGCTTTCCAGCCTGGCCAACATAGTGAGATCCTAGCTCTTAAAAAAAAAAAAAAAAAAGTAAATCCCCAATTCTTACTGTCTCAGGAAATAATAGTTACTCCGTGGTACTCCTCTCTTCTCTAATTTAGAAAACACATTTTTTAGAAAAATTTTCTAACAGTGGGGTTATTTTGCCTGTGTTTTGATCCATTTTATCTCTACTGAAGGCAGCTTGATGAATCATGTCTCATTTTTAGTATTCCCTTATGAGTGTGGTGACCAATTTGGGTGCCATATTATTGTTGAAAAAAACAAAGCTTAAATGTGGAGGACTGTAACAAAGTAATTGCGCGTTCAGGGATGATGGCAAAACAGTGACTGTGTTTGAGTAGATGACGATCTGCGTCCTGCGCATCCAAGTTGCCCTACTAATAAATGGCCCATTCCTCCTCTTTCTTCCTTGGAATTCTTCCCACTGACCCATCAACTAAGCACATATTCCCTCCTTCAAGATTTCCTTCGTTCCTGGGCAGGAGTCCCTGTGCTTGGAATCCTGCCCCATCCCATCCCGTCAAGCTGTCTCCTGCAATCATTCTTGCAGCTCCTGAAATCCTGCTTCCTCCACAAAGCCCTCCCCAGCTGAGAGCAAAGTGATTTTCCTCCAGCTTCCCACCTGTTCCGAGCGCATGGCCCTGCCACACTGCTCCTTCCCTCCCCCTTCCGTTGTCTGTACCCAGGGGCGGTGCGCTTAACGACGTCCTGTCCACTAAATGGCCACTGTGTCCTGCACGTCCTTTTCTGTGCCGGTTTGTGTCCACAGTGGCAGGTGCCCGTGTTTATAAATGTGCTTTGCTTCTATCAGCAATGCGGGAGTAGCGTGGTGGCTGCTTGCGTTCTCAGGAGATGACCTTACAGAGCATCACCAAGTTCAAAGTTCCATGGCTTGGTAAACCAGGCTTGCATTTAGGGTCAGGTTGGCTCTCTGGGAGACTTACTGGAATCTTTCTATGCCTGTCTCAGGTTTCCTTAGGATAAAGTGATGCTGATTTAACTGGCAAAATCTGAAAACTAAACTAACGATAGTGACTTTAGTGCAACCAAGAACTTGACTTTTTAAGTGGTTAAAAATACTACAAATAGCCAAATCTAAATATTAGAATCCACCCTCCCACAATTCTATTTTCCTCTTCCATGGTTCAGTAACACTTCAATTGAACTGAATTCCACAGCATTAGCAATCTGGTATCTGCTACTATAAAACATCTTCACTTGCTAAAATAGATGAAAAGTTTTCTTTTAAATCCTTTGTCCGATCTCATATCTAAACACGACTAAAATTAATTTCACACTATTTTCACCTTTGGGGAAAATGCTTGCTTTTACAGCCTTCTCCTAATGTCAAAACAAAAGTTTCCTTTTACTTCTCAGAATCTCAAGATCCTTTTCTGATAAAGAGAAAAACAAATGCGCTGGAATTAAGTCCTGCATTATACATTACTGAATCAAACCAGGAACTTCAGCTTCCAGGAACTGGTAGTGCTAATGTTAACAGGCAGCATGAAACAGAAGAATGCAGGAATCACCCAATTTTCTCACTCACTTATTTCACCTTTGTTTCCTAAAGTGTTGTATAGATATTTGAAAGCCATATTTTGAATCCTTTACAGTTTAAGGTGAGATACAAAGGCATTTTTTACATTATTATATATAATTACATTCTGTAGTTAGCAGCACTACAGAAGGGCAAAGGATTTTCCCTCCTCCTCTGTCAGGGAACAAGAGAAACAGAGCAGGCTCAGGCTTCAAACCTGTGGTCCTTGTGAGTGATGTTTTTCTGTTTTATATAGACACCGACAAAAATATCCCAAGGAGTCCAAACGGTGATATACAATCAATTATAGATGCTAGAAAATGGAAGCACATTGCACGTTAGCATTTCTGCCTTCTAATAAAGCAGTGGGGATGGGATGCCCTTCTTCATCTGTCTGCTCAGGATCATTTGTTTCTTCACACCCACTGTGTCGTGGGTCACCTGCCCAGGACCGCAGCAGACAGACGGTAAAGGCAGGTGAGTGGCCGCTGACTGCTGAACCCTGCTTCCCTCCTCCTCGGGCCATCTGATCTGGTCCAGCGGCATCCTTGAGAGTAAGAAGAGATGAGGAATGGTTCTCCTTTCAATGGCAAGGAGAGGCCAGGAGAAACTACAGGTCCTAGTCTCTGCAGAACCATCAAGGGCTCCCTCCCTCCCACACCAAGCAGACAATACCTTTCCCAAATCCAGAAGATCAGCAATAATTGATTTGGCTTCTGGCCATTACCCTTCTGATGCAAAAGCAACAGCACAGTTCACTAGCTCTTTCCGATTTGTCCCTTCCCTCCCTTCAAGTGACTCCTCACATCTGATTAAAATCGGTAATGTGCTAGTCCTGGAGAGAAGAGGCGCTATTTATTTCTGTCAAGTTCTGCTTGGAAGGTTTGAGGCTTCCTCCTACCAGACATTTCACTAGTAAACAGAAAAGTCACCCATATTGTCATGCTTGCCCTGACCTGCAAGCTAGTGAACAATAAATCTTAATTATAGTTAAATGCCAAAATCTGCAAAGAATGAGGCAGCACTAGTCAACTGTGAATTGGTCCGACTCCCCCGCCTCGGCTGGGGTGCAGCTGCAGGAATACATAAATTAGTTTGTGATTTGTTTGTGCCGGAACAATCAGTCGAGGCTGTTTCTTGAGAGCATTTCCAGTATCAGTGGGCACACTGGCATTCATCCTATTGCCATGTCAGATGCAGGTGGCATCTGGGAAGTTTTATTTTAAAGGACTTTCAGCATTATGCTCGGGTTAATAAGAAAGCGCTATTTTTAAATATCTCGGCAGTTTTCCAAAGTAGCGCTCAGCCTCCTGACATCTGCTCCGTCCATACTTGTTACCTTTGGGTTTATTCGGAGAAGCGTTGAATAACCTTTTTGTTAGCAATCTCCTTTTTGCACCGTGCAGGGCCA
Source organism: Homo sapiens (assembly GCF_000001405.40). NCBI lineage: Eukaryota > Metazoa > Chordata > Mammalia > Primates > Hominidae > Homo > Homo sapiens. Next base: position 61,005,540 of record NC_000008.11, on the reverse strand, counting down.
CTGGAGTTGGAGGCAGGCGTCCATGTGGGGGCTTTTTTTTCTTTTCTTTTCTTTTTTCCCTGCTGCTGTAAAGCTCATGTGCTCCTTGGTATTCAAGCATTTGCTTGTCATAATGCTAAAAAAAAAAGCCACCCTGTTGTTCCCTTGAATGCTAAAAAAAAAAAGCCACCCTGTTGTTCCCTTGCCTGGGTCCCCTTGACGTATTCGCACCCATATGAGAGAATGAGAAAGGTGATTGCTGACATAACTCTGTTTAATGGCTTCAGGCTGTTCTATCAATTTTGAGACTGACAGGAGTTCGGAGATGAAACTTGGAAGGATGGAGTTTGGGCTGCTCCATGCTGGATCCCATGAATCAATCCGCAATCTACTCATGTTATTTTAGATGCAGATCCTGTTGTCACTGGGAGTCAGTCATCTGCAAGATGCCCCTATCGGGCAGTTTTCTAAATAATAAGGCTGGCATGGATTCCCAGCTTCTGGACTCAGCAGAGTGCAATGACAGACATTGGGATGAAATGGCATTTCATTAATTACCAGGTGGATGTGTATATCGGTAAGAAGGAGGGTTTTGTTTTGTTTTGTCTTGTTTTGTTTTAAACAAAAAACAAACAAACAAAAAACACCTTTCCCGACAGATATGGGAGATGGGAGTTGGGGAGGGGGTTACAAAATAGGCAGCTTTCTGATGTCCTTTTTAAGAAAAATGAAAGGGGAAGCTTTATTTGGTACTTGAATGGCAGGTAACCCTCACCGCGGGGCCCAGGCAGAGGCCTCCCTTCCTGCCCCAGGGTGCGTTACGGGTGCATCCCAGCTCCCCCGCAGCCCTGCTGCCGGCTCCTCCAGGCCCGCGCAGGCCCCACCCTGTCGCCAGCTTCCTGTTTGTGTCGCTGCTTTGTTGCTTCCTGGCGGTCACTCTGAGCCTGCCCTTCTGCAGAGCCTCCATCCTGGGGACTGGCTCTCTTTCCAGCTCTCTCTTGTGCTAGCAAATCTGTCTGTGCCACAGTCTAAACCTTACATTTTTAAAGACCAGGCCTGGTCCTGGAGTCTGAACTGAGCCTTCAGTCAGGGCTGGCCTCTCACATGGCTCTGGCTTTCTGGGGACCTTTCTCCCAAGAGCTGGCTCAATGCATTCTTATGGATGCTTCCTCACCTGGCTGCCTGCATTCCTTTGAGGAAGGGACAAGAGTTGTTTCCTCCCTTTACAGGCTGAGAAAGAAGCCTGGAGAGACTGCAGATTGAAGTGGTCCTGGGGAAGAACAGAATGAGCTCCCAGTCTACTCACCCAAGTTATATAAAGGAGCATCCGCTAACATTGAAACACCCACCCGAGGCTTTCTACCACGTGCAAAGCACTTTATATGTGCTATTGCATTTAATCCACATAAGCACCTTGCCAGGTCGGCATTATTAGCCTTATTTTAAACCATGGAAACTGAGGCTCACAGAACTTATTATGCGTTTGTCTGAATCGACTCCTCTCTCTCTTCAGGTACCTGGGAGCTTCCCCAGGGACACTCTTACCTCATTCAGATCCCTGCTCAAATGCCACCCCCTCAAATGAGGCTCAAATGATAGATTGCTTTGTCTGAAACAGCACTGCATTACCTCCTGACCCCTTACCTTGTCTTTATCTTTCTTTTGAGAATTTTTCACCACCTAATATTGTGTATCTATATTTACTTGTGCTAGTTTGTGTATGAGGTCAGAAACTTCATCTGTTTTGCTCACTGCTGTATTCTCCTGGTACATGGCAGGTATGTCATACATATCTGTTAAGTGAATGAACGAATGGATAGATGAATAAATAAGGCTGCATGTCTTTCCATCTTAAAGCCAAAACAGTCATAATGTTTGGTCAGAATGCCAGAAATGACAGGTAACAATCTCTCCCAGATATGGAAACCTGGGCACAAGACGGACCAGTTCAGGATTCTACCATAAGGCACTGGTAGATCTAGAGCTAAACCATCAAATTCTGTGACTAACAAACTGAGTCATTGCCAGTTATCCTTGCAGTGGCTTCCTGCACCCCAGAAATTGTGGCTGGGAGCTGCTTTATTAAGCTTCTCAGAGATATCTTCCTGCATACTACCAAACTCTTGCCTAGACCTCGCTCACTTGACTTCCAACATGTTGGTGGCTCCTGACAGGCCAAAGGTGGTGAGCCTGTTGAGTTGACCCCTGTGTTGTTCTGAGAAAAATCACAGTAACCCTTACTGCCTTCCCTCTATCCACTCCCCAGAACCATACTTTTTCTTTTAAGTCAAAAAACATAATTCCTATGTTCTCTCTAATCCTTGAAAGTGACCCCTTCCAGTGTTGGGGGACATGCAGTGACAACCTCATGCTTAGAAGATCCAAGAGGAAATGTTTGGAGCAGGACCCAACCAGAGACCCCCCAGAGCAAGTCCCTCTAGAAGTTACTCAAGTGTAACAGAATTTTCTCAGAAACCGCTCTCTCTATCTACCTATCTGTCTGCCTTTTAACTGTGTACCTCTGAGCTGCAGAGAGCCAGCAAGGGAAGAGGACAGCATATTTGCAAGTCCACTCTTGGGCTCTGCTTCTGGGCCCAGGAAAGACACACCTGCAAAAGCAAAATGTAAGGCAGCAGATTTGATATGCTAGACTAGACCAAGACACAAAACCCCAAGGCCCTGCCTTCTTATTTCCTTTTCTACCAGACCCTCCACCATATATGATCCTTTTAGCAAGGAAAACTTAATAGAGAAGAACTCAAAAAGAAGACTGACTCTTAAGATGAATGCTTTCTCTCTTTCCCAACCATGGTGGCCCACAAGGAGGCAACTCAAACTTTATTGCAGATGGTAAGTATAGGGGGCTCACAAATGTGTAAGGCATGATTTTCTACTTCAAGGAAATGAGCATCTTGGATTAAACAAGCATACAGGCTGGGTGCAGTGGCTCACACATAATCCCAGCAGTTTGGGAGGCCGAGGCAGGTGGATCATGAGGTCAGGGGTTCAAGATCAGCCTGGCCAACATGGTGAAACCCCGTCTCTACTAAAAAATACAAAAAAAATTTAGCCGGGCATGGTGGCAGGCACCTGTAATCCCAGCTACTCAGGAGGCTGAGGGAGGAGAATCGCTTGAACCTGGGGGCAGAGGCTGCAGTGAGCCAAGATCATGCCACTTCACTCTAGCCTTGGCAAAAGAGCAAAACTCTGTCAAAAAAAAAAAAAAAAAAAAAACAAGCAAGCATACAGGAACTAGAATACATGTTAAAGTGGATTGATCAGCTGGGTGCAGTTGCTCTTGTCTGTAATCCCAGTACTTTGGGAGGCCAAGGTGAGAGGATCCCTTGAGCCCAGGAGTTCAAGACCAGCCTGAGCAACATGGCAAAACCCCATGCCTACAAAAAAAAATACAAAAATTAGCCAGGCATGGTAACATATGCCTGTAGTCCCAGCTACTCAGGAGGGTGAGGTAGAAGGATTGCTAGAGCCTGAGAGGCGGAGGCTGCAGTGAACCAAGATTGCACCACTGCACTCCAGCCTGGGCAACAGAGCAAGACCCTGTCTCAAAAAAAAAAAGTGGGTTGATTGAAGGCACAACATGCTTTAAAGAGGGTTCAAAAGAAAGGAGAAATTACAGTCGACAGATTGAGAGAGTCAGGAAAGATTTCATGAAAGTGGCTTCTGAGACAAATCTTGAAGGAATGGTGGGATTTCAATAGGCAACGATGGTGTAAAGGAAGAATGTCCCAGCAGTGCAGAGCCAGAGGGGCAAAGCACTGCGGGTTGGGGAAAAGTAGTTGAGTTTAGCCGGAGCTTGGGATACATGCCAAGGAATGAAAGAAGATAAAGCTGCAAAGGAATTAGGATGCAGAAAGCCAGTCAAAGGAGTTTGCACTTGATTTAAAAGGCAAAGGGGAGTGGTCCATCCATACAATGGGAAACTACTCTGCAGTAAGACAAGGATTTGTCATTTGATTCAAATTTAATTCAGCTCTAAAGACTAATATTTGATTCAGTTATTAGAAAACTGTAAGGTGTGTTTGGACAACTTGGTTTGCGAATCTTCTCTTTCACCTGTAAATCTTATGAAAGCAAAATACAGATTAAGTATGTAATCTCCACATTGAGATGTGCTGTAACTGGTGAAACACACACTGGATGCTGAAGCTCAGTATGAAGAAAGGATAGAAAATATCTTAGTCATCATTCTGATGTGGATTGTGTTTTGAAATGATAGCATTTTGGATCTCTTGGGTTAAATAAAAATGTTATGGGAGCCAGGCATGGCAGTGTGCACCTGTAGTCCCAGCTACTCGGAAGGCTGAAGCAGGAAGATCACTTGAGCCCAGGAGTTCAAGTGAGACCAGCCTGAGCAATACAGCAAGACCCTAACTCAAAAATAAGACCAAAAAATACAATGAAATGGAAACAGCAAAAGGCGCCACAGGGGAGTCATTGAAGGTTTTTGAGCTGGGAAGTTACTTGATGAGAGATGCTCTAAAATAATAATGATAATAACTTTAAGGGGGTGTGTGAGGTAGACTGCAAGTTGGGGAGACTACAGACAAGAAAGTCCATTGAAAGGTGTTTTTAATGGCTGCACCAGGAAGAACCTGACTGAGTCAGAGGCTCAGAGATTTGAACTCCACTCCCCAAATATGGTTCAGAAGTGGACTCCCTGATGCTCCCACTGGGCTAACACCAACCCTCAATCACTTGCCAAATACCTCACAACTAGGAAAGTTCTGGGTTCTACTGGGAGGGTTCAGTCACTGTGAAGGGTCAAAGGTCACCCTGATGAAGGACCCTGGACCAAACCTGACCCCTGGCTTGACTTGCAGGAAAACCCCACAAGGTTTGTTATTACATATTGAGCTGGAATTTACCATTGGAAATTCAGCCTTTGTCACAAGCATGAGGAGAACTGTTTTGCATTAGATGACATTTTCAAAATGGTGTGAAAAATCTTTGACGTTTTTATTAGAAAATCTATAAAGCCCAAACAAATGGTTTCATGCTGCTTTGCCTCATTCTTCATAGGTTCATCGGCAATCCATCATCCCTCTCACGTCTCCTGTGCCCTCCCACTCCCCTTGAACCCGTCAGCAGCAACATCTTGCCCATGAACAAAAGAACTACTCAGAGAAGCCCTTTCAACCTTAGCTGTCCTTTGCCTCTCAACTTTTACCCCTTAAATCAACTACAATCATTCCATGTTCACTGGCTCCCTTCCTGAGAGAAACAGTGTTGTCACCTCCTTCCAGAAATCCTTTCCTTTTTGTCTCATGACACTGAATTACAGAAGCTTCACTTGCCCTCTCTTCAGTTAGAGATGGGACTCTCTTTCTCTGGTCTCTTTTATGTTTGCTTTAACTTCCAATTTGAACCAAATCATTGGATTCAGAGCAAATCAGTGAATACTGTCTCTCCTGAGAAAATTGTTAGTCTCTTCCTAAGATTGCCATTTTGAATAAAGAACTCCTGTATCTTGAATTTCAAATAAGGTGACCTGCCTCAGGCTTCAGATGCAGCTCTTCCTCACTTTCAACTCTAACCCATCCAAGCCAACTCCATCTGTCTGATTATTATGCAACTTCCTGCCTATCCCTTCAGCCTCCCTAAAACAGACAACAGAAAGTTGTTAGACTTTCTCTTACCCGCTTTCACCCAGTCGTTTCTCCCCTGTGAACCTTTCTCCCTGTACCTCCCTCCCACCCATCAGCACAGTAGCTGGTACTCCAGGTGTTCACAGCAAGAGTACTGCTATACAGCCATTGGACACTGCCACTCTCTTCCGCCATTTTTGAGTGAGTCTGATGCCTTTGCCAACACTATCACCATTTGGTTCTTTCTTACCTTCTCCACCTAGCTCCCTCTTGCTTTATTAATCATCTTTTATCTATTTTCTGTTTTATACTGCTTACTTATTCAAACAAATTTGTTAGGTGATCACAGTTGGCCAGGTGGTATGTTGGCATGGATTTGGGGTTGTGGGGCTTTAATGTTTTCATTTAATTCTCACAATATCCTTGTGAGGTAGGCAGGGTGGAGATGATCACTGGCTCCATTTTACAGATGGTAAATCTCTTTAATAAAGCTTCCCAGTTCATAAAGTGCAGAGGTCAGAGCCAGGTCTTCTGCCCCCAGAGAGCAATGCCTTTCTACCATACCCCACTGTTTCACTTCCTCATCAAATACTATTCCATGTTCTCATTCTGATTTCTGGCCTGTCACACCTCTCCCCAGGCCTCTGCTCAGTTCAGCTTTACCCAGGTCGCTTCCTCTTCTCTTGGCTCTCTGCCCATGTTCCTTTGCACAGTAACTGCCAGCCAGTAGTAGCACTGCACGCTAAGCTGAAGGGAATTAACCAGCTAGAAGTCTTGCTCCGTCTTAGAGCTAAACACCCTGGTTTGGCTCTGAGCTGGCTTTAGAGTGAGATTTGGATCTCAAATGCTATCACTAGTCCTCTCCCACCCTGCACTCCATCCTCTGTCGCCTCGATCCCACACATGCCCATCACACCCCAAGACACTGGCCCTCAATGGCAGGACTGTCTCCTGGGTTCTCAAACCACTCTGGGCTGTAAAACCTGGGAGGCTCATCTCTGTGCTTCTTTTTTTCTCATCCTCAATGTGTTTTGTAGCACTCCCTGGGGGCAAATAAATACTGAAAAAAGAAAAAGAAGAAAGAAAATCCCAGCAGACAGAGTCCGGCAGCCCAAGCCACTTTACCTGCAACTCAGCTGACACTGGGTGAGATGCTCAGCAAACCTCTACTACAGGTGCAGGGAAAAGCTGCAAAAAATACAAATACAAATACACTGCTTTGCTGTGGATTCTTCCTTTTTAAATTGAGACTTTCAGGGTCATATTTATTCCCCTCCAAAGACCCGGAACAAACCCAAATAGCAGAAAATGCAGCATTGCTCTAAAAGGCACAAATTAGCCAGAGGCAGGGGGTGGGGGAAGTAAATGGAATTCCTACAGTACCCCCAAGCTCAGCAGGAATTCTTTTTGTCCCCTAATCCATCTCCTGTGTCACCAAGTGTGATGGTAGCCAAACAGGCAGGGAGGCTCTCATGGCCACAGAGAAGACAGGACGCCCCCACCCTCACCCCTTACCCCTCACCACCAGGGCAAACACTTCATATGAAACTTAAGTCGGGTATTCCGGTGTGACATTGTGGCAGTGGAATCAAGGTCAAATAAGTTCACTGAATAAGGCTGAGGGGGCTGAAGTGGCAGATGATAGTGGGATAGGCAGGAAGTAGGTAGGGTGTGGGTAAGGACTTGCCAGCCAGCCCTCCAGCATTGACTCAGCACCCCTCCTTTCCCTCTGCATGTCCTGCTCTCAAATCGCTGCCAACTACCAGCCCCAGCACTGTCAGTAAAAGAGTGGGACGAGGCACTTTTCTCCTTTTGTCTTACATCCTCCTTGAGGGAGCACTCAACTACGAGTCCACACATGGGTTCCTTTCTTCTGAGAGACAACGGGCAAATCACAAACTCAGTGCATCTGTTTTTCTTAAAAAGAGGAAGATGACGCCTTCCTTCCAACCTGTTCCCAACCTTCCCACCGTCCTCCACAAACACACACATACACACAAACACACACACACACACACACAAGCACCTTAAGGACTAGAAAGAGTCCCAAGAGGGCTATGACCTTTTTGAGTGAACTCCACTTGAATCTTAGAACATTAGTTATTCAAGGTGATCCTGTACTGTTTAAAAGAAAAAAGTCTTAGGCTCTTCTCAGCTCAAGAGAGAGCTGCACTGCAGCCTGAGTGATGGTGGCAGCCTCACCTTTCGTTGGTGGCACAGCTTCTAGGGAGGGTGGAGAGCATGCCTCGACCTGCACTTGGCTGGCTTCGTTCATCACCACAGGAAGCCATTCCCTTCCCAGAAAGGCAGCCAGGGACTCATTCCTGATAGCGACATAGGAGAGTTCATGACAGATGGAGACTGTGAACCCTTGTGGTCAGCCACCCTCCCCCTATTTGACTCCATTCTAATCAGCATAGATTTAACAATGTGTACAACCTTTATATGTGTATATATATGATTTGTATCTGATCTATAAATATATGTGCATGCATATAGATGCTAAATATGTATATAGTTGGCTGGTCTGTGTATTTGTTCTCAGCACACACTCCAGATGCTGAGGCTGTGTTGTGCTGTAAACCTGTATTTTAGGCAAGGATGTCCTACAGTCATTTCTAGATGCTAATTGCGACAGCTCCCAGGATTCCCAGCATGTCTGCCGGCTCTCTGAAAGCTCTTTGAGGGCTTCTCATCATTAGAATTCCCCGAGTTTTCGCTCCTTCCTTACAAGCCATCTGGCCTCTCCGCACTGCAGCTGCAGTCCACCATCCCCCGCCACACACACCTGAGCCTTTGACATCCCCCACCTGAAGCAAATCCATCCATCAAGAAAATCAAAAATTGCAACCAGGAATATTTTTTCCCAAAATCCAAATTTAAATTTTTTTTATTTTAAACCTCTATTAGGTTTCAGATCTTTTTTTTTTAATTTCATTATTTATACTCTTGAAATATACATTGCTGTGTACTAAGGTGGGGACGGGGGTGAGGGTGGGAATCTACCTCCATTTAATCATGTAGTCCAATTAGCTGAGGCCTCTTGCCTCAGTGGTGTGCCTCTTGAACATTATAATTGTCATTAACTAAAAGAGCAGAGAAGGTCAGGATGTAGAGGCCTTGGAGAGTCAGAGGTTGCAGGCAATCGCGCAGGGCTTGAAAGCCTCTGTGTGCTTCTCTCCTGAAGAAGGGTAGGTGCCAATGAGCAAGTCCTTGCTCACAGTCATTAACCTCAGCTAGAGGGACATTTTGAGTGACAGAGAGCCACCAGAGCACCACACAAAGGAATACATAACTGGTGGTGGCATTCGTCACCTGGGAACCTGGGAACAAGAAGAAAGAGAATAGAGGCCCAATAGCAGTCTCAGCTACCGTTCTGAAACTGTCCAAGGTGGGCCTGGTGGTAGAGGGTCCAAGAGAATGATCCAGCTAAAAGAGAAATTTCCACTTTTCTTATATCTGGAACCAAGTAGCTCCTTCTCCCACTGTCTTCATTCTCTTGTTGTTGTGATAGCTGCTGTTGGCTTGCTTTTGTTTTAATTGAAGAGATACTGAAAAGCCATTTTGTAAAGATATTGCATGCAACCCAAATGGCTCAGGCAGACTTTCCTTTATTCATAAGATGCCAACTGTGAGCTCGTGCTCCAGTGACACAGGGCATGTGACCAGTAAAAGCAAAATCCAGACAAAAGAGATGATGTCATAATAACCCTAATAATATGTAGGCTAAGGAGATTTACCAAATAGATTTTTCCATTCAATAGCATTGCAGCCAAAAAAGAATTTTTTTTTTATTATACTTTAAGTTTTAGGGTACATGTGCACATTGTGCAGGTTAGTTACATATGTATACATGTGCCATGCTGGTGCGCTGCACCCACTAACTCGTCATCTAGCATTAGGTATATCTCCCAATGCTATCCCTCCCCCCTACCCCCACTCCACAACAGTTCCCAGAGTGTGATATTCCCCTTCCTGTGTCCATGTGATCTCATTGTTCAATTCCCACCTATGAGTGAGAATATGCGGTGTTTGGTTTTTTGTTCTTGTGATAGTTTACTGAGAACGATGATTTCCAATTTCATCCATGTCCCTGCAAAGGACATGAACTCATCATTTTTTATGGCTTCATAGTATTCCATGGTGTCTATGTGCCACATTTTCTTAATCCAGTCTATCATTGTTGGACATTTGGGTTGGTTCCAAGTCTTTGCTATTGTGAATAATGCCGCAATAAACATACGTGTGCGTGTGTCTTTATAGCAGCATGATTTATAGTCCTTTGGGTATATACCCAGTAATGGGATGGCTGGGTCAAATGGTATTTCTAGTTCTAGATCCCTGAGGAATCGCCACTCTGACTTCCACAATGGTTGAACTAGTTGACAGTCCCACCAACAGTGCAAAAGTGTTCCTATTTCTCCACACCCTCTCCAGCACCTGTTGTTTCCTGACTTTTTAATGATCACCATTCTAACTGGTGTGAGATGGTATCTCATTGTGGTTTTGATTTGCATTTCTCTGATGGCCAGTGATGGTGAGCATTTTTTCATGTGTTTTTTGGCTGCATAAATGTCTTCTTTTAAGAAGTGTCTGTTCATGTCCTTCGCCCACTTTTTGATGGGGTTGTTTGTTTTTTTCTTGTAAATTTGTTTGAGTTCATTGTAGATTCTGGATATTAGCCCTTTGTCAGATGAGTAGGTTGCAAAAATTTTCTCCCATTTTGTAGGTTGCCTGTTCACTCTGATGGTAGTTTCTTTTGCTATGCAGAAGCTCTTTCATTTAATTAGATGCCATTTGTCAATTTTGTCTTTTGTTGCCATTGCTTGGTGTTTTAGACATGAAGTCCTTGCCCATGCCTATGTCCTGAATGGTAATGCCTAGGTTTTCTTCTAGGGTTTTTATGGTTTTAGGTCTAACGTTTAAGTCTTTAATCCATCTTGAATTGATTTTTGTATAAGATGTAAGGAAGGGATCCAGTTTCAGCTTTCTACATATGGCTAGCCAGTTTTCCCAGCACCATTTATTAAATAGGGAATCCTTTCCCCATTGCTTGTTTTTCTCAGGTTTGTCAAAGATCAGATAGTTGTAGATATGCAGCGTTATTTCTGAGGGCTCTGTTCTGTTCCATTGATCTATATCTCTGTTTTGGTACCAGTACCATGCTGTTTTGGTTACTGTAGCCTCAAGCTACCAATGCCTTTCTTCTCAGAATTGGAAAAAACTACTTTAAAGTTCATATGGAACCAAAAAAGAGCCCGCATTGCCAAGTCAATCCTAAGCCAAAATAAATTTTTTTAATGTCATCAGCTCACCACTCATTTACCCCTTGCCAGTGGTAGCCCATCAGGTAGAGAGGCATTGTTGTAAGAGATCTGCCCTGTGAAACAGAAGAAAATAGGGCCTGACTGCTAATTCAGCCAAGTCAGAGTAGCAGCTTCATCCTCCTTCACAGACCACAGGTTTGCTTAGCAAAACACAGTGCGGGGACATGCATCAATATTTTTAACTGCTGTTTACCAAATGCTTGCTTTATGCCAAGTTTTAACATACAGTTTCTGGTTCAACCCTTTGTTATGTTATGTCCCCCTCAAATTTATATATTGAAGTCCTAACCCCCTCAGAGTGTGACTGTATTTGGAGATAGGGCTTTTAAAGAGATAACTGTGTTAAAACAAGGTCATTAGGGTGGGTCCTCATCCAATACAACTGGTGTCCTTATAAGAAGAAATTAGGACACAGACATACACAGAGGAAGGACCACGTGAAGATACAGGGAGAAGATGGCCATCTGCAAGCCAAGGAGAGAGGCCTCAGGAGACACCAATGCTGCTGACACCTTGACCTTGGACTTCCAGCCTTCAAAACTGTGAAGAAACACATTTCTGCTGTTTAAGCCACCTGGTCTATGGCACGTCATAATGGTAGCCCTCGCAGACTAATGCACCTTCCCAACAGCCTACATATTCAGTTTAGGAGCAAGGACAGAAAGGCTCCATGACAGAAAGGAACTAGTTCAGAATCTCAAAATCACAAGGGGCCAGAGAAAGAATAAAAACACATCTTCTGACTTTCACTCCATGGCCTTGAAAAGAAAATGGCATCTCCCAGCTCCCTAAAGACAGGAGAAGCACTGGACAAAAACTTGCCTGCCCCAGGGACAGGCAGGCATCACCTTAAACCTGCCACCCGATGGTAGCTCTAGAGAAATGGTTGATGGGGGAGGTCAGTAAGAGGCGGTGCTAGCCGCTGTGCAATGGGTCACGTTAGGGCTGACCCATCTTGGCTATTCAGGAGGAGCTGCCTTTCCACCAGGCTGGGAGGCAGTCAGAGGGGCCAACTATCAAGCAGCTTATGTGGTTAGGGCTCCCCTGAGGGTTTCCTGTGTATTAAACCAGATCATCCTCACCACAGCCCACTGGGCTCAGGATGGTTGTTATGCCCATCTAATAGATGAGAAGCCTGAGGCACAGAGGTGAAGCGATTGGCTCAGAGACACCAGCCAGCAAGAGAAGCACAGATGAGAACACAGTGGGGCCCACAGGTTTCCTTCCCACTGTCTGAAACCACTTCTAGAGTGCCCGGTGCTAGAGCCAAATTCCACACTGGAGACGTGACAGAAATGAAGCATAGAGCCATTCCACACTGGCAGTATAGACATTAACTGAGACTAGATTGTGTAGGGTGGGGAGAGGCTGAAAGTCTCTCTTCACAGTTCCAGAAATGTATTGAGATCTAGAGAGCAAGCTGGGCTGGGGGCAGCCCCTCCCACCAATCAGTGGTGACCGTCATCATCTGTACACCACTTGTGGTGGAAATGACAGACAGAACAAATTAAAGCAAGAACAAGCCCCACTGTTTTCCAGGTGTTAGGGCTCTTTCTCATCCCTTCATGGCCACATCAGGAGGCTGATAAGGAGGTAGCTTTTTAGTGCTCCAGCCCCCTTTCTTCTTCCTCACAGTAAAAGCAAGATTCAAGGAAACGAATGACCTGCTGGCAATCCAGGCCCTGACAGGGCTCCTCCACTGAGTTTCACTGTCCTTCCATGACCTTCCCTAATGCCCTCCAGACCACCTCCCCTTCCTTCACTGCTGCTCTTTCCTCTGAAACACTTCTCAAATTCACCTCCCACTTCTCCCTGCCTCACGGGTCATGTCTTGCTCTTCTTAATTTGCCTAAGCCTGACAAGATCTTTAGTTCTTAAATCTCCAGACTTTTAGAATCCTCAAAAAGCAATCGAGTTTACTCAGGAAAAAAAAATGCTTGTAGATACCTCCATGGAGCTTTTGTGCAGTTGCCAGAGCTTCACTGACCTCCCAAACAGGGACACTCTCTAAGAACCCCTATCCTAGTTGTTTCCTTTTCCTTTTGAATAAACTCCTGAAGGTTTTTTCTCTCCAGTACAAATGTTTGTCTCCATTACATTGATTCGAGGGAGACCTCTGCTTCAGATGGCTCCTCTTGTTTACGTCTCATCCACGTCTTTCTGATCATTCCAGCAGTCTTTCTCTTTCTTTGCTTCTCAGGGAAACTCCGTCTCCTCCTGAAGTCTATGTATCATGCACAGGCAAAATGATCTTCTCTTTATTTCCTATAACTGCAGCTCCCTCTCCTAAGCATTCTATATTAAACTCCACTCAATACGAAGCTTGGAAATAGGTGATAGAACACAGGAAAAAAAACGAGACATAACTGTGCTCTCATGGAGTTTACAGATGAGTAAAAAATATAAAGTCAGACAATTCTTACAAATTGGACATATTACCTTACCAGAAGAGACATGGGCCATTCTTTGAGAGCATATAGTAAAGGGACTTAAGCAAGGAGCTGACTGGGCCCAGGGGATGGCATGGGAAGGCTGCTCTGAGAAAGTGGCATCTCAACAGGAACCTAAAGAAGCAGCAGGAGGCCAGGTGTGGTGGCTCACGCCTGTAATCCCAGCACCTTGGGAGGCCAAGGCGGGTGGATCACTTGAGATCAGGAGTTCAAGACCAGCCCGGCCAACATGGTGAAACCCCGTCTCTACTTAAAAATACAAAAATTAGCTGGGTGCAGTGACACACTCCTATAATCCCAACTCCTCAGGTGGCTGAGGCAAAAGAATCTCTTGAACCCGGGAGATGGAGGTTACAGTGAGCCCAGATCATGCCACTGCACTCCAGCCTGGGCAACGGAACAAGACTCCATATCAAAAAAAAAAAAAAAAAAAAGAGTGGGGCTTGATCAGGCCAAAGGGTGAAAGAGAACAAGCCAAGCAGAGGTCCTGGTTTGTTGAATTCCACATTAGAGGGAGCATGGCAGAGCTCAGAGTCTCAGAGTCCAGCATTGGGGAGCTCAGAGCTCAAGGGCTGACAGGCACGAGACAAGAGGACACAGAAGCAGACTGTGGCCGTCCTGAAAAGCCAGGAAAAGGACTTCTGATTATATACCAAGGGTAATAGGATCTGGATCTGATAAGGATCTGCTGTGAGGAAGGAGATGAGAGTATTTTTCACTTTAAATTTGTGAATATGCAACACATTCACATGTTTTCCAAAACCAGAAAGTATAAAAGCTATTCAGTACAAAGTATTTTCTGGCTTGGTTCTCCTCTCTCCTAAATAGATAACAATTTTTCAGTTTTACATGTGCCCTTTCTGCCTATACACATATGACTAGAGCAAACAAGACTAGAGATTTTTTTTCCTCTTTACCTATACAAAAAGTAGCATACCATGCACAGTGTTCTGTAACTTCAATTTTTTTTTGTGCTAGCTCTTGACTATTTTGCATGTTGTTGACTTATGTCTTGTAGTAGTATTATTATTGTTATTATTAATATTACTTAGCTTTTCACCAATGTAGGTCTTTCCTTTCCTACCAGATGGTAAGCTTCTGGGAAACAAAAGCTGCATCTTACTCAATTTTGCATAAGATAGGTATTCAGTAAAAAAATCTGTTAATTAGTTGGGCACGTTGGCTCATGCCTGTAATCTCAGCACTTTGGAGGCCAAGGCAGGTGGATCACTTGAGGTCAGGAGTTCAAGACCAGCCTGGCCAACATGGTGAAAACCCGTCTCTGCTAAAATGCAAAAATAAATTAGCCAAGCGTGGTGGTGGGTGCCTGTAATCCCAGCTATTCGGGAGGCTGAGACAGGAGAATCGCTTGAAACCAGGAGGCGGAGCTTGCAGTGAGCCAAGATTATGCCACTGCACTCCAGTCTGGGTGATAGAATGAGACTCTGTCTCAAAAAAAAAAAAACAAAAAAAACCCTGTTAATTAATATAGGTGATGAATAAGCATCTTTGTTGAAAACATCAGTTACTATTAAAAAGAACAAATGGTTCATCTATCCTATTCTCTCAAATTTTTTACTTTTAATTTTGCCACTTTTCCAACATTCACCAGAGTAGACATAATAGACTCCTGGGTACTCATCCCAGCTTCAACAAATTTCCACATTTTGGTGATCTTGATCCTTGCCCATCCCCACCACCCATCCACCCTGGGGAAGAAGAGGCTGAGGTATTTTAGTACAAATGCAAGACATCATGTCATTTTATCTGTAAATACCCAAACGAGCACCTCTAATGGATAAAGGCTTTGTTTTAATAACATAAACGTGTGCCATCAAAATTAACAGCAGTTCTTTAGCAGCATCTATTGTCCAGACCATAATCAGACCTCCCTGATTTTGGCAAAACTGTCTTTACACAGTTAGCTTGTTGGAATTAGCAGGAGCCACACAAATCCACCGATGATACCTGAACATTGTGTTCATAGTTCTTAGTTCTCTCTCATTCCATCGTTTCCTCCTCCTGCTTTTTTTTTTTTTTTTTTTTTTTTTTTGGAGATGGAGTCTTGCTCTGTCACCCAGGCTGGAGAGCAGTGACGCGATCTCGGCTCACTGCAACCTCCACCTCCTGGGTTCAAGCGATTCTCCTGCCTCAGCCTCCATAGTAGCTGGGACTACAGGTGCCTGCCAACACACCAGGCTAATTTTTTGTATTTTTAGTAAAGATGGGGTTTCACCGTGTTAGCCAGGATGGTCTCGATCTCCTGACCTCATGATCCGCCCGCCTCGGCCTCCCAAAGTGCTGGTATTACAGGCATGAGTCACCGCACCCAGCCTCCTCTGCCTCTTTTATGCCATAGATTTAGTAGAGAAACCAAGTCATCTGTCCTGAACACTGTCCACATTCTGCACTTAGTTGACTGCTTTCTTGCAGTATCATATAACTTGTTTTCTATTGCCCAGGTTTTCCTGAAAACTGGCAAGATTTGTTTTGAAAATTTTTTCTTAGCCGCTTTGTGGAGATTTGATTATACAGTGGGATAGTGGACATTGAAACGCCCACATTACTTGCCCTGGCACAAGATAGTAGCCCCCAGACTAGAGCAATAGCACATAGCTTCAGGGGTCACGTAGACAAAGAAATGGGCCAATTCAAGAAATGTTTAGGAGGTGGAATCAACAACACTTGTGGACTAAGTGGAAAGGAGTGTGTTTCCAATGCTCTGTTAAGAATCTGCACTTTGGGAGGCCGAGGTGGGTGGATCGCCTGTCAGGAATTCAAGACCAGCCTGACTAACATGGTGAAACTCCATCTCTACTAAATATAAAAAATTAGCTGGGCATGGTGGCACATGCCTGCAATCCCAGCTACTTGGGAGGCTGAGGCAGGAGAATCGCTTGAACCCGGGAGGTGGAGATTGCAGTGAGCCGAGATCACGCCATTGCACTCCAGCCTGGGCAACAAGAGCAAAATTCCATCTCAAAACAAAAGAAAACAAAAAAAAAGAATCTGGGGCTAGGGCAGTGGCTCACGCCTGTAATCCCAACACTTTGGGAGGCCAAAGCAGGAGGATCATTTGAGCTCAGGCAAGGCCAGCCTGGGCAACATAGGGAGACCCCCATCTCTACTAAAAAAAAATTGTTTGTAATTAGCTGGCATGGTGGCCCACACCTGTAGTCTCACCTACTTGGGAGGCTGAAGCAGGAGGATCATTTGAGGCTGGGAGATCAAGGCTGTGGTGAACTTTGATCATGCCACTGCACTCCAGCCTGGATGACAGAGCAAGACTCTGTTGCAAAAAAGAATCTGAACCTCTATAAGACAAACCAAAAAAGCTACTTTCTCCTGGAAAAAACATTTACATGTTTCCCTACATTCTTTTCACAATTATCATTTATGGCAAGTTTTAAGGCATACAAAGTTGTAGTAGTATTGTTGGTGTTAAATTTTATTGCTGTGGCTTTAAAACATAAACAAAAAAAAATTCCTTCTTAAGTAGTTGGAAATTGTAATCATACTCTTGGGAATAGATTTTACTGCTATGGATACTGTAAAGCACAAAGATAATAAATTTAAATTACAGAATTAGTATTGAGAATAAATTTTATTGCTCTGGCTAGCACATTAAGAAGTAGAATTCATAACTCTTTTTTTTTTCAGCAGCTGTTTTACATAGAATGACTCTGGTTCTGGTGTGCAGGGAATATCAAAGGTCACCGGCATCACAGGTCATATGTCCTAATGAGGAACCCGGGCCCACGGGAGCAGCTTGATTCTTACAGGTTGTCTGGGAGCTGGAGAGAAGCTGTCCCAGGCACCAGTATCTGGCAGGTGGGAAGACTGGGAAGACTACCTGCACCTCCTCTTCTCAGCATTGAGGAGAGGTCATCTGGGTTGCTACTAACTTCTCCCCCAACCACTCGCATGGAGATGTCTCTGCACCCCCCAGTCTCTACAGGGTCCTTTTTTGAAAAGCTCTCCAGTTCAAGAATGGAGTTGGGTTTTGGTGTTGGATGGTCTTTCTCTTAGTGAACATTCTCTGCTCACTCTGCATCCATCTCAGTGAGGGGACAGCCACACACTCAAACAGGAATCAGAAGTCATTCTTGGCTCTCCTCTCCCTCACATCTGCCATTCACCAGCCCTGCAAATCCTACCTTCCCAGATGTCTCTCAGATTCCTGGCTCACTCCCCACCCCATTTCAGACTACCTTCATCTCTCACTAGCACTTTTATTATTTGTTAAGTTTTTTTAAGAGATTTGGTCTTGCTCTATCACCAGGCTGGAGGGCATGATCATGGTTCACTGTAGTCTTGAACTCCTGGCTCAAGCAATCCTCCTGCCTCAGCCTCTGAGTAGCTGGGACTACAGGCTCGAGCCACCACACTGGCTCTCATTGGCACTTTTATTACATCCTCTTTCCTCCATGCTTATCATGATAATGATGACCATTGTTACTGGGCATGAATGAAGTGTCAGGAACTGTGCTCAGTGCCTGATATCAGTATCTCATTTAACCCTCATAACATCCCTGTAAAGTAAGGATACATTTTTTTCATAAATGAGGAAATGGAGGTTCAGAGGTTAACTATTGAAAGATATCATTTATTTTTTTAAATCAGCAGGCCCAAGCAGAAAGTAAATCTTAGATCCTTTCCTATTCTTCAGTGACTCCCTGCTATCATTCCTTCTTTCCTTCCTTCCTTCCTCCAACAAACAGGCAACTTAGCATAAAACTCAAGAGCACTGCCAATCTCTCCAGACTCAACCATCACAACTCAAGTAACCGTAGCTCTCACAGAGTGACTGGTAGTTCTTGGGATGTCATTTGCTATTGTCTGCAATGTAACCCATTTCCATTTCATTTTCTAGCTTCTATTTATCCTTCAAGATTTATTTTAGACATCATTTCCATCAGGAAGCCACTCTTAACTATGCACTTCCAGACACATGAGCATGCACACACACAAAGCTGGGTATGTGGCTCCCCTCCCGGCTCCTCCAGTACCCTGGGCATCTCCCTATCACAGCGCTCATCACGTTCCATTGTAATCATCTGCTTTGTCTTAGAAATGCCTCTGGACTGTCATTTGCCTGAGAGCAGGGACTGTGTCTTCTGTCTGAACTCCCAGAATCTGATACCTAGCACACAGTGGCTACTCAATGGCAGCTTACTGAATGAATGCATGAGCAAATGAATAGGTTAAACTACAGTGAACTCAACAGCAATGATGAGTACAATGACACATAAGCCTTTCTAGTCTCAAAGAAATATCAAGTCATGCCTCTTATTCAGTTTGAGGAATGATACTACTATATTGTTTCAAATTCAATCTGCAATTACCCACCTGTTCTCATTCTAATGCCCAGTACGATGTTACCCATAAGCTTATGGCAGGATATAATTGATGGAGGATAAGCAGTTCCTTTCAGTGCCCTTTAGTGAGTGCATGAAAAATAGCACCTTAGCAAG
The DNA here is from genome assembly GCF_000001405.40 of Homo sapiens. Classification (NCBI taxonomy): domain Eukaryota; kingdom Metazoa; phylum Chordata; class Mammalia; order Primates; family Hominidae; genus Homo; species Homo sapiens. Next base: position 60,986,704 of record NC_000008.11, on the reverse strand, counting down.
CATATACATAAATGTTGGGAGTAATGTTTACCATGTTAACAACAAATTTGGAACGCTTCAGGTAGTTAAAGAAATCAGAAGGTTACATAAATTCTAATCTTCCGCAGTTCCAGAGTTGGCTCAATTCCTGCGAGCTTTTTGTTTGAGAGAAAACTCCTAAGTTCTTAAGTTATGTGAAGCTCTTTGCTTTGCAAATGGTCCCCACTGAGGTCATAAACTCCAAAAGTCAAAGAGTATGGAATTCGGGAATATAGAGAGTGGGAGAAGCTGACACAAGCCAGGCCTCTGACCCTGGCTGTTCATGGCTGGTTCCTGCCTCTGTTTCTGTTTCCATAGAAACAGCCATCCGATCAGCAAAAATAAGTTCAAGATTCTTCACTTTGTTTTCCTTTCTTCTTCCTTGGAGATAACTACTCAAGGTTTTGTTAATTAGAGAAAATGGGCTTGTGGCTGAAATTTAGAATCTTTTCAAAGTTTAACATTCTAGTAGAAACAAAGTGGCAAGTCTATCTGCACACTGGCCTGCCCCTGTGACAGCTGTCCATCCTTATCTAGGAAGAGGTTTTCATAACCTTTGCATCTACAATCGTCTTCCAAGTTACTTACAGCAGTTGGATAACCTTTATGACTGCACACATTGCTGGGTATTCAGGATGGTCCCTATCAAACTGAGATGAATGTGTTCCATAATGTCTGTTTTTATTACATTAGTCTGGGAAGATGAAATCAAAAGGACTACTTTCAACAAAAATGTCCTGTGTCGACAGTTCAATACTCTTTCTACAGGCCCTGGTGATTGCCCTTATTGTATGCCGGATAAAGGCTAAACGTGCAGCTACCTGCTAGTTTGACAAAGCTGTTCTCTCGCCAGCAGGTTGCTCAGGCTTTTTTTTTTTTTTTTTCACAGCAGCCCTCTAATTCCACCAAACCCACTGGATTAACAAAAACCTGAAAGTAAAATAGCACAAAATGATATCCCTGCATGAGCTACTATTATACTTTGCAACCTACAATTACACGGGTTCAATCTAAATGCCCCAAAACATTATTTCATTAATTCAAGCCATTTCAGAACTGGTAAATATTTTCTTTTCTTGGGTTTTTTATTATTACTCTGTTTCAGCAGAGAATTATGAGGCAGGCAAAGGCCACCTGAACGAGCGTAGTGTGGAGCCAACTGCACAGAGTCAAGATGACAGGAAAGGGAGGGGCTGGCACAAGGATGGGAACCAGAGTGGACAAAGTCCATTTGGAGGGAAAAAGAGAAACAATGAGCAGAAAGAGAGAAAGAGATCAAAGAGGAGGACCAGTGGCGATCAAGGTGGAGCTCTCAGGCTGGTAGATTGAGGTCATCTATTGCCCGTGGCTGGTGCCAGTTATCCCGACAGCAGGGTCTGGCACAGCTGTGTGCCGTGGACATTGGGCATGCACAGAAGCTGGGGACTCACAGCGGATTGAAAGCCCCATGTTGGAGGTGTCCTGAGGTCTCTGAGTCGAACCTTTTAAAGAGATTTCCTCCCGTGACAGAATCCTTGGACCAATATAGATGCACAGTGTGTAGTTAATTGACTTTCTGAGAGAAGAAAAAATAGCCTTAACATTCTTAGTTGGTCCGAAATCTTCCTTCTGTAAAATAGCTTTCAGGGTTGGAAAAGAGGATTTGGAGAGGACTTCGCTTGGGCAAAGGGTGCAAATGAACTCATGTGTATGGGTGGGCAGCGCTGTGTTGAGAGGCTTACAGAACACTTACAGACTATTTCTCCACCACTGATTCATTCCAGAGGCAGCAAGGGGGTTAAGAGGAGGGATTTGGGAAAGAAAGGAACCTCTATTCCAGGAGCAGCTCTGTCACTTCCTAGCTGTGACCTAGGGGAAGTTATTTAACTTCTGAAGCCACCATTTCCTCATCTACAAGAAGAAAATAAAAATAGCACCTACCTCATAGAGTCCCTAGGAAAATTAAATGTGATGATCTGGGTACCATGCTTAGCACACTGCTGGGCACATATTTGACCTTGGATGAAAGGTAGTATTAGTTGAAGCATTTTTAATGGTGTGAATAGAACTAGACTTTATGGGCCAGGCACGGTGGCTCACGCCTGAAATCCTAGCACTTTGGGAGGCTGAGGTGGATGGATCACCTGAGGTCAGGAGTTCGAGACCAGCCTGGCCAACATGGTGAAACCCCATGTCTGGTAAAAATACAAAAATTAGCGGAGCATGGTGGCGGACGCCTGTAATCTCAGATCTCAGCTACTCAGGAGGCTGAGGCTGGAGAATCACTTGAACCTGGGAGGCAAAGATTGCAGTGAGCTGAGATCCCGCCATTGCACTCCAGCCTGGGTGACAAAAGCGGAATTCTGTCTCAAAAAAAAAAGAAAAAAAAAAAAGAAGAGGAAAAAAAGAAAAAAAACTAGACCTTTTGACTCTTTGTAAGTGAGGACAAGCAGTTAAAGACAATAGGGTCTTAATTCTCATTAGCAAATACTGGGACAAGAAGCTACACACAGGTGGAAAGCAGGTGCTGGAATGAGAAAGATATCCTAGGGAGAAAGTGATTCCTCCAGGGTCATCCTCACCACCCTTTCCCATTGGTGAGGAAGGAGCAGGGGAGGGAGGGACCCAGGAGGTGCTGGGGGCAGGGTCAGGGTACAGGCTAGGCTGGGGCTGCAGCCAACCCAACTGGCTGGAATGCAGGTCAAGCCAGAAGTTCTCCTTTCCAAAAAGGAAAATCCTTCTTCTGGAAAATGTTCATGTTCTGAACCTCAGGGCAGGGCAGGTGTTGGTGGGGGCTGTGGGAGGGTAGCTCTACCAGGAAAAGGAAGACCTGCCCAAAAGTCCTACCAGGCTTTAGGAGGAAGTGGGGGTCTCTGGTTATTGTTCAGGCAGAGATGAACTGCCAGCTGCAGCTCATGGTCATTGTGCTTCCACGGATTTCACACTGTGTGCACAATTACGTAACAGCAGACAACACAGCAAAGGTGCCAATTCCCTCTGCCAAGGCACCTGGATATGCTTCTTTCCTGGGACTGGGTGCAGCACTCAGACATCATAAACCTTGATGCTCCCTCCCTTCTCCCTGCAAAACCTCACTGAGCTTCCAGAGTCTTCCCTGGGGGCACCTCACACCCTATCCTTTGGATGGAGAAATAATTCCTTGCTGGTTAGTGTCTAGGACAGATGATCATTGAAAACCTCTGTGGCAGCAAAGGCTTTTTGAAAATGCTGGCTCCTTGGTTCCCTTGCCCTCCCTGGCTGCTGGGGAGGGAAACCAGCTGCATCCCGGAAAACAATTCCACTCAACAAACAATGCAGTGCCCCGAATACTCATAATGAGGTCTGGTTCAAATGTTGGCACACATACAACATATTAATTAAAATAACGTGCATGATAAATAATATTGAGATCCAAAGCACAGAACTCCTCTGAAATCGCAGTTGGTAATTATGTGAGCGCCTGCTAACACACACTCAGAATTCCAGTGTTGCTTATGTGACAAAATTAGTCTCAGAGAGGTGACCTTGAGAGGTGTCTTGTGTGAGCATCCTCCTGCTCATAGACTGTACGATGTTTAAATATCCCCGGAAACAGAGTATCCATCCTAATTTTCAAGCCCTCAGGGAAGAAATTCCTTAAGAGACCTCAATAATTCAATTTAATAATAATTATATGAGTACCAGCTAGCGTAAGTCTTTCTGCTTAGCCCTGGGGATGGGGTAGGCAGAGCATGATTCAGTTTGGGGTGTGGGGGGTTTGTTTGTTTTTTGAATCAAGTTCTTACTCTGTCACCCAGGCTAAGTACAGTGGATGTGACTGTGGTTCACTGCAGCCTTAAACTCCTTGTCTCAAGCCATCCTCCCGTCTCAGCCTCCTGAGTCACTGGGGATTACAGGCATGAGCCACCATGCCCAGCATCACATTTTCAAGGAGTAGTAACTGGTTATTGGGTAATATCTGTCCCAGACAGGAAGTTCTTCTAGATGCCTCACCTAGATCTTTCAGGCTGCAGTTAAAAACCTCACTGCCACTTATTTAGTCAAGGATTCCAGTTCTAAGGCTTCTAGGGTCTTTATTAGGTATCAGGGGCTGGGGGCAGTGGTGACAATAGGCAAGTGTCCTAGAACTTCCACTCACCACCAAGATCCTGACCTAAAGGTTCTCACCAATTCCAGCACAGTGAGGCAATTATATGCTGTCTACTTTACATAGGCCTTTTAAAGGATTACCAAATTTGACATTTATTGGCCCAGTTAGTACAGAAATCTAACTGAGAAAGGAAGAGACCCTATTATCTTGATTCCAAAATCATTTTCTATTTGTGCTTCAGTCAACATTCCAGCATCTGGTTAAATGTATTTAATTTCATTCCCTCAACAATAACCCACGTACCACACCAGTGACCACAACTTTGGTGTCCCAGCTCCTAAATTCTATTAGTGTTCAGAAAGCCTCTTGGTTTCAACATAATGTTCAATCAGTGCAAAGAAATTAATTAAATTAAAATTATTTTTATTGTGATTTAATTAGCTTGATTTAATTACTTTGTTCACTGACTGAGCATTCTGTTGTTACGGCCAGACCCTTGCTCTCATTCGTGGCATGAATGTTCCCACAGAATTACACATTTTCTCTGTTCAGCCATTGGAGCAGGCTGGCGGAGTTTGCCAGAAACTCATGATTTATCACAATCAGCATCATCACAAATTATAGGAAGCATCCAGCAAAATGATAACTTCTAAATGAAGTGTCTGAAAGCAGGTCACACCACCAGCCTTGGCTGTTAATCTGTCATATTTCACAGTCAGCCTGACACCCCATCTAATTCGTCGCGCCTCCTGCTTCGCAGGGTGCCCTCATGAGGGGTCCCGCTCTTGCACAGGCCTCCATCCTTACAAACACCAAGTCTTGCCATCCTCGGCCTCCCGGCAGACAGGACTCCACACCCACCCTGGCCGCTCAAGCTGCTGTTCCTCTGTACTTTCTGCCACTCAGAGGTTCATGAACTAAAATTTAGCATCTCCTCCAATTATGAATATAGAACAAACCACAGAGCATCAGCAAACCCCAGATCTTAGCCACCAGGGAACACCAGATATTTGCACAATGACATTGCAGTTACTATAACTATCCTGGAACACTGTCTACTATCTTCATGCCTGCAAAGCAACAGCGAGTATGAGTCCCCTCCGTGGACAACACGTGATCCCCACGTTTCTTCCTGCAGGCCACTCCACACAGTTCAGTGTGCTGAGTCAAGCTGAGCAGCAGCCTGTTTTGAAACATGCTGATATCTTTCACAAATAAAATCATCTTTAACTTGCCTGTATGTGAAATGCACCATCTTGATTCATGTGCTCAAAGCTACATAAATTCATTTTCTTATGTTCTAGCATCTGTATTTCAATATATTTGGCTTGTGGCATACTCCTATGTATTTTATTGTGTGATTTAAAACCATTGTTCTGAGAAGGAATCCATAGGCTTTGCCAGATGGCTCTAACAGTAGGGACCTAAGTTTTTTGTTCCTGTGTTAATTTCCTGTGGCTGCTGCAACTATTACTACAAACTTGGTGGCTTCAAACAACAGAAATATATTCTCTTAAATTCAACATCAGCATCACTGGGCTGAAATTAAGGGCCCTCCTCCATTTGGAGGCTCTAGAGAAGCCATCCCCAGCCTCTTCCAGCTGCTGGTGGTTTCTGCATCCCTCCCCCTGTGGCCGTGTCACTCCAGTCTCCGCCTCTGTACCCACATGGCCTCCTCCTCTTCTGTGTGTCCTCTCCCTCTGCCTCTCTCTTATGAGGGTGCTTTCTTGAGTCTTTTTGATGGGCATTTAAGGTCCATCAAAAGGATGATCTCATCTCAAGGTCCTTAATTTAATCACATCTGCAAAGACCCTTTCTCTTTTTCTTTTTTTGAGATGGGGTCTCACTCTGTCACCCAGGCTGGAGTGCAGTGGTGCAATCACGGCTCACTGCAACCTCCACCTCCCGAGTTCAAGCAATTTCTCATGCCTCAGCCTCCCCAGTAGCAGGGATTACAGGCATGTGCCACCATACCAGCTAATTTTTGTATTTTTAGTGGAGGCGAGGTTTCACCATGTTGGCCAAGCTGGTCTCAAAATCCTGACCTCAGGTGATCCGCCAGCCTTGGCCACCCAAAGTGCTGGGATTACAGGTGTGAGCTATCCCACCCGGCCCCTTTTTCCAAATAAAGTAACATTTATGTGTTCCAGGAATTAGAACCTGATATCTTTGGGGCCAGCATTGAACCCACTACCGTTTCTATGCTTAATTCTTTATTGACCATACAATTCTAGCCCTGAGTCTTATGACATAGAGACATAAAATGCTTTCAAAGATGTGACAAGATTGATACCAAATTAAATTAAATACACATCCATGCCAAAGCCCATTAAAATAATTAGTTAAGGATTGAGGTAATGGTTAAAGAAAAGGCAAAGCCTTATAAGTTTTCCCCAAGACCTAGAAGAGGACACAGGACTGTTTGTTTGCCTCTAGATGAATAAAATACACGCTTTGCAAACCTGGCCATTAGAACTTGTGCAGTTCTTGAGCCCTGAAGATCTCACAGGGCTTGGGTCAGCAGTTCTACTTCTCCCTCCTAAGCCTCTCATCCTGCCCCAAGGGTGTTGTATTTATGTCTTCTACAAAGTGTTGAATGAGGAACTTACGCTGTTGACCAGAAGTGAAAAAGGGCAGAGATCATGTCTTTTTCAATTAAATAGAACAAGAGGAAGTAAGTGTTAACTTCGACCTGATAGTGATTAGAACAAAATCCCTATAGTAAAGTGCACTGGACCAGAGTTTATTTTCCAAAAGAGTTCTACAATCACCTCTTCTGGACCTCATGAAAAGGGTGCATGGGTTGAACCCAGGCAGGCTGACAGTGTGACAACCTCTCCCTAGAAATCAGACCTGCCTTCCCACCCCAGCTACAACTCTTCTTGTGTAATTTTATTCACAAAACTGTCTTTCTAAGCACCACTTCCTCACCTGGGGTTGGTGGACCATGTGGGCTCCTTAAATGCAGGACTCGCTCTTATTTTTCTGTGTGCAGATTTGAGCACATTGCCTGGCACACACACAAAACCCTCAATACACAGTTGTTTACTTCAGTTGAATGTCTGCCTTACCTAACTCAAGACTCAAAGCAGATACCGGGAGGGATGCCTCTAGAGATAATTCTGAAACTCTCCATTAGACAGGAGGAATCAGTATTGCTGCAGATGTTGTTGCTCTTCTACTAAGTCATTTCTCAAGGTTCCCTCCAGCCATGTGATATTTTTGTCTCTTTTAAAATTAGCCTCAGAGAGTGCTCATCTGTGCTGGAAATGAGTAGAAAGAGGTCTTGGTTACACAGACTCTTCAATTCAGAGGGCAGGCCCCATCGAGGGGAGCTGTGTGCAAACCTTGATGCTCATCTTCTGACTGGAAGGGACCTTTGAGACTGTCTAGTTCAACAACCCCCCTTTATAGATAAGAAAACAGAGTTGTTCAATGTCACCTGGCTTGCTAGCACAAATAACTCAGGCAACTAGAACCCAGTCCTACTGGCTTCTAGTCCAATGCTCTCTCCACTCTGTTATGTTCTTTCTTTAACATAAGGTCTACACTTGGCCTTGTAAAACTAGCTCAATGTGCTACCTCACAGCTAAATTTTTCAAGTTGTCAAAATATAGAGTATGTAGGTGACTCCTCTCACACAGGCTGGATTGTGAGAATCCACTAATAAAACCATTAGAAGATATTCTGAAACAGTTTGGAATGGTTTTAGTTTGCTTGATTTTATAGTGTTATAGTGTACCATTTTTATTCCTTTCTTTCCCTGTATTTTTTTAGTTATTTCTTTTTTTTTTTTTTTTTTTTTTTTGAGATGGAGTCTCGCTCTGTCACACAGGCTGGAGTGCAGTGGTCTGGGCTCACTGCAACCTCCACCTCCCGTGTTCAAGCAATTCTCCTGCCTCAGCCTCCTGAGTATCTGGCATTACAGGCAGGTGCCATCACCCCTGGCTAATTTTTGCATTTTTAGTAGAGACGGGGTTTCACCATGTTGGCCAGGATGGTCTCAAAATCCCAATCTCAGGTGATCCGCCTGCCTCGGCCTTCCAAAGTGCTGGGATTACAGGCATGAGCCACTGCACCTGGCCTTTTTTAGTTATTTCTTAGTGGTTACCTTGGGATTACAATTAACATCTTAAACTTATTACAACCTAGTTTCAACAAACCAACTTAATTTCAATAATATACAAATATTCTGCTCATATATATTTCCATTCTTCCTTGTTTATATTGTTTTTCTCACAGATTACACCTGTATACATTGCATGCCCATTAACATATAATCATTGTTTTATGCATTTGCCTATTCAATTATCTAGGAAAAGAAAAGAAGATACATACCATATCAAAAGCATGATGTTGGACTTCATATTTACCTATGTAGCTACCTTAGCCAGTGCTCTTTCTTTTTCTTATGGCTTCAATTTACTATTAATATCTACTGTCCTTTCTTTTCAGCCTGAAAGATTCCCTTTAACATTTCTGTACCAGGCCTACTGGTAATGAGCTCCCTCAGCTTTTGTTTATCTGGAAATATTTAGTTTTCCCTTTATTCTTAAAAGATAGTTTTGCTAGATATACAATTCTTGGTTTCCAGTTTTTTCTTCCAGGACTTTACATAAGGAATTCTGGTCTCCATGATTCCTGAGGAGCAATTGGCTGTTAATCTTATTGCAAATTCCTTGTACAGAACAAGTTGCTTTTCTCTTGTTGCTTTCAAAGTTCTCTCTTTGTCTTTGGTTTCAAGAATTTGACTATAATGTGTCTCTGTGTAGATTTCTTTGAGTTTATGCCTCTTGGAGTTCATTGAACTTCTTGGATTTATGTATTCATGTATTTCCTCAGATTAGGAAAGTTTTCAGCCATTATTTATTCAAATATTTCTTTCTTCTACATCTGGAAATCCTAATTTGTATGTTGGTGTGTTTAATGATACCCAACACATCACTCATACTCAGTTCATTTTTCTTCATTCTTTTTTCTTTCTGCTCCTTAGACTGGATAGTCTCAATTGTCTCAAGTTCATTTTGCCTGCTCAGATCTGCCGTTGAGCACCTCTGGTGAGTTTTTCATTTTAGTTTTTGCACTTTTCAACTTTTCTATTTGGTTCCTTTTTATAATTTCTATCTCTTTGTTGATATTCTCATTTTGTTCATACATTATTTTTCTGATTTCCTTTGTTCCTTTGGCATGGTTTTCTTTAACTGATTTCACATATTTAAGACTGTCGATTTACTGTCTTTGACTAATCATTCCTGTGTCTCAGATTCCTCAGGGATGATTTCTGTCAAATTATTTTTTTCCTGTGAATGAACCATATTTTCCTATTTCTTTGTATATTTTGTATTTTTGTTGTTAGCAACTGAATATTTTGAGTGTTATGTTATGGTAACTCCAGAGATTTAATTCTCCCACATCTCAGGAATTGCCAAATCTTGCTTTTGGAGGACTAGGGTCAACCATTTTGAACTTTTCTAAACAAATTTTGCAATTGTATATTACTTGTTTTTTGTGGTCAGTGAAGTTTCTGCTCCATTGCCTCTGCAGTCAGCCAATGACTGACAGATATTTCCAGACTGTCTACCTCCCAAAAGTGTCTGAGGGTTTGGAGGAGTGAAACTAGCAGGTAGGGAATAGATCCTGTCTCTTTAAATCCCCTCGGGAGCTGCTTTAGCCCATGGGGGTTGAAACAATGGCCAACCTCTGTGCCAGCCCCTCCACAATCAAAAGCAGTGATCAGCAATCAAAACACACAACCCCAATTTTTGGAGGATAAAGTTTCTATTGCCCCACTGGGCGGCAGAAAGCCGCATCAGGAATGCATACCACCGCCCCCATGGCAAGCAGATGCAGGGCTAGGGGATGAGGGCGGTAGCCACTGCTAGACAAACAGCTGAAATTCACTGAAAATTGCCAGTCTCTTTATCAAGCTCTCACCTGAATGTTCAATTGTTCTATTAGACTTCAGAGTTCCAAAATAGTTGATTCAGACCGTTCCTAGCTGATGCTCAAGTCCTAAATTCCTAGAGCTTCCTACTCCACCGTCTTCCCATGACATTACCCAGTAGTGCTTAATTTTGATTTAGAAACAAGATAGACAGCAGGGCTGGTGGCAAACACCTGTAGTCCCAGCTACTCAGGAGGCTGAGGCAGGAAAATTGCTTGAGCCCAAGAGGTGGAGGCTGCAGTGAGCCATGATTATGCCACTGCACTCCAGCCTGAGCAACAGAGTGAGAACTTGTCTCTAAAAAAAAAAAAGAAAGAAAGAAAAGAAACAAGATAGAGAAAGTAATTATTAATTCCAAGTTCAAAGTACATGTTTTCCCAAACATGAAAAAGCATTTTTTCAATGTGGGTCATCACTTTTTCATAGTCTCTCATCAGGGATTAAACAACCCAGTGACTTTTGTCTGCCATCTTTAAGTCACAGATATTCTTTAAAAATTCCTTTAGGAGGCAGGAAAAGTATGAAATATGCTGGTAACTTGAATTGAAAAAAAATTTAAAGCTAGAAGGTCAGAATTGAAAGATCAAAGTGATGGCACTCAATGAGGTACCTCTTCTAGGGAATCAAAAGAGAAAACGAGTTTTCAAAATTAAGGAAAGTTTGATCAAGAGAAACATTGGGTCTCAGGGCAGAGAAGCCCCCGGCCTCCTTGTACTTATTGTATGTACTCTTCACTTAGCTCTTGGCTCCTGGTGGCTTGTGGTATCTCCATCTTATGGTCCTCCTTGACCATTTAACTTTCACATCATTTAAGTTCTGCTGGGACATGGGTTCTTTACTCCAGCACAACTAGCTCCCTCTTAAGAACAATAATTATTTCTTAAATATTATAATTAATGTGAAAGAGGAAGAAGACAATGCAGGAAGAGGGGGTGAGGAAGGATGTCTTAGTTTTCTAGAGCTGTCATAAAAAATTAACACGAACTTGGCAGCTCAAAACAAGAAATTATGTTCTCACAGTTTTAGAGACCAGAAGTCCAAAATTAAGGTGTCAGCAGGGCCATGGTCCCTTTGAAGCTCCAGATACTGCCTTGCCTCTTCCTGCATCTGGGGGCTCCAGGAAATTTTTGTCTTGTGGCAGCATAACTCCAACCTCTGCCTCCATCTTCACCTGACCTGTTCCTCTGTGTGTCTGTGTGTCTGTTTGCCAGTTCCAGTCTCTGACTGATAGGGATATCAGTCGTTGGATTTAGACCCACCCTAAAACCAAGATAATCTCATCTCAAGATCCTATACTTAAATGCCACTACAAAACCCTAGTTTTTAAAAATAATAACAAACACTTGCTTTCCCAGACATGCAATTTTGTCTTGCATCAGTGCCATGAAGTAGGCAACATTAGTGCTCTTTTACAAAGAGTGAAATGGGGCTCAAAAAAATAATGCAGGATTATGCAGGCATTCAACTGTGGCACTGGGAATCAGACACAGGTTCTAAATCCTGTGCTTTTTTCTCTCATCTATGATGTCTTCCCTCTTACTCCTGCTATTTCCTTTTCCTCCTTTTTCCCCATTCCAAGGGCACTCACAGGGTTAGGATATGCACCCATTACCCTATGATCCATGGTTCTCAGCACTCTGAGTACCAAAACCATCGAGGGAGCTTTTCTCAAAGCTGATGACTGGGTTCCAGTCCAAGCCACTCAAATCATAACCTCTGAGGGTGTGCCCTGGACATCAGCAATTCATCCAAGCCCCTCCAGCTGATCCTCATGTGCAGCCAGGATTGAGAGCTACTGCTGTAGATGTTTGTCTCTCTTCTAAGCCATAACAAATAAAATATTCACTCTTTCAAATATCATCAAATTTTTGAAGCAATTCTTTTTTTTTTTTTTTGAGATGGAGTCTTGCTCTATTGCCCAGGCTGGAGTGCAGTGGCGTGATCTCGGCTCACTGCAAGCTCCGCCTCCCGGGTTCATGCCATTCTCTTTGGAGCAATTCTTAATAAACCAGTTGACTAAAACCAAAAACAAAGTGGCCAATGACACTTAAGCTGACATGTTTAGTGTCCCTCCCTTCCCAAATTCCACTGAAAGAATCAGAGAGTCATACTAAGTGGGGAGAAAACTGTATCACATCAAGGTAAAATAAGCATGGTATCAATGGGCTAGAAACTTTGAGGAAGTCAATGTTTGTGTAATTTGGTGCCTGTGAAGGGATGGATCAAAGTACTGACAGCCCTGTTCAATACTCACAAAGGAAGTACCCTGTGGGAATCAAGTAGGTGATTCCCCAAAGATCTGGGAAGTTCTCAAACTTGAAATGGAAGAGGATGGGACTCTGGAGGGTGGCAAATGAGAGCAGTTTGGCAGCTCCACCAGGGCTTCACAAACAGAGCTGCTGGCCTCCGGGAGGGACTCGTGGAGGCAGGGGACTTGGGGAGTGCCCCCATCTCACCTCCCCACAGAGGCTTAAAAAAAACTATTTGAAAAAAAGCAGTGAATTCCTCAGGGAAAACTGCCTTCCAACAACTTCTCCCAGCTGAATATATCCCTACACAAGGAAAATAAAACTGCCAAATAAATAAAAACATAAAATTTCCCCTTTGGGAGTAAGAGAACAGGAACCAACACAATCACTGACAAAACCATCTCAAGTCTCCAAACTGAATAAATATAGATCTCCTTCCAAAGGAAAAAGCAAATCAAAAGAATAAAAATAAAATTACAGATCATCTTGTTACAGTGGGCAGCTAGTCAGACATGAACAGGACAGGAGAGGGCCGCCACCCTCCACCTCCCCCACCCAGGAGAGTCAGGTGACCATCAGGTGATAGGAAACACCTGAAACTGGCGATCAGCAGCTTCCCAGTAAGATCTCAGGAGCTGGGCGAGTGAGCTCGAGCATGAGCATTATGAGGCAAAAGAGTTTAACTGGTATATGTCCTTCCGGGGGCATTCCATGGGAAAAGGGATGCAAGACAGCAGAAGCATGCCAACATATAAAACCCCAAGTCAAAAGGCAACCCCACACTTGACCTGCAAGATGCTCCCTTGGCCCTCTTCCAGCTGTACTTTACTTTCTTTTCATTCCTGCTTTAAAGCTTTTTAATAAATGTTCACTCCTGCTCTAAAACTTGCTTCGGTCTCTTCTTCTGCCTTATGCCCCTCAGTTGAATTCTTTCTTCTGAGGAGGCAAGAATTGAGGTTGCTACAGACCCATACAGATTAGCCACCAGTAACTCAGATACCCATCATCAATGACAATATGAAAAGATCAAGTACACAAACAGAAAAAAATTTTGGAAACTCATAGCAAATGTTTATCTCTGAAATATACCTATTTCCAAAAGCAGAAGGTAAGTTTAACACAACCTTTAATTTTGTATAAGGAGAAAACAATTGATAAATATTCCTACCCAATGAAAATCATGCTCACTAAACATTTTTTTAAATCAACTTTAACTTGCGCAGTGTGACAGCTTAGATTTTTCTAAAGATGGCCAATCTTTCAACCCACATGCTCATTTGCAACGGGTCCTTTCTCTTCCAACCCAAGGAGGAATCTCTTTCTTCATACCCTTGAATCTGGACAGACCCCCATGACTTCTCTGACCAACAGAAGCAACACTGTGCCAGCTCTGGGCATAGCCCTCAACCACCCCAGCACTGGCAGCATTCGCCTCCTGTCCACTGGAAGTCAGTAGCTGGAAGTCAGAACCCAATGGGTTCATCTTGTCCACTGCCCAAACACAGCTGATTTATCAAGATGAGGAATTGCAATAGAGAGAGTTTAATACACATAGAGCCAGCTAAAAGGGAAATCAGAGTTTTATTACTATTCAAATCTGCCTCCCTGAATTTTTGGAGGCTAGAGTTTTTCAAGGATTGCTTGATGGGCATGGGGCTAGTGAAGAGGAAATGCTGATTGATTGGGGCTGCAATCATAGTGTTGTGGAAAACAGTCCTCCTGCACTGAGTCCACTTATGGGTGGGGGCCACAAAGGAGTTGCTGGTCCAGGTAGGGCCATCTGGTCATCAAAAATGCAAAAGCCTGAAAAGACATCTCAAAAGGCCAACCTTAGGTCTACAATAATAATGTTATTTACAGGAATAATTGGAGAAGTTGCTAATCTCGCGACCTCCAGAATAATGGCTGGTAATCACTTAACTATACCTATATCTTAAGGGAATTCAGGCCCCTCTCATCCTCCTAACCTGGTGTCTTTTCATGAGTTTTAAAATTAATAAACTTATTAATTTTAAGTTTTTAAGTTTAGTTTGAAGAGGGCTATTATTACTTAAACTATGCACTAAATTTTTCCCAGAGTTAGTTTGGCCCATGCCCAGGAATGACCATGGGTACTTTGGAGGTTAAAGGCAAGATGGAGTTGGTCAGATCTCCTTCACTGTCATAATTTTTTCACTGTTATGATTTTTGCAAAGGCAGTTTCATGACCACACTGAGACCACCATGCTGTGAGAAGCCCAAGTCACACAGAGAGGCCCTAATGGGTGAGACAGCATAGAGAGAGAGAGAGAAAGACAGTTACAAAGACAGAGACAGAGAGGCCAAGGCACACCAGACATGAGAATGACAAAGCCAGCATAGAAGTGAACCCTCCATCCCAGCTGCACCAGTTGAGGCCACGTGATCAGACCCACCACCCAGCCGAGCTTACCAAATTCCTGACCCTAAGAATCATGAGCAAATACAATTGCTTGCAAGCCATAATGTTTTGGGGTAGTTTGTTACACAAAAATAGAAAACTGACAGAGGCAGCCAGTAGCAGCCTGGGGTATCTTAAAGAGAAACGGGGGAAGGTGGGGGTGGGGGTGATGTATACTTCCTGAATGTTGAAATCCCAAACTGTCTTCTCGATTCAGTTCTCAGAATGCTGGCAGCCAAGGTATTACCCTCTGGGCAGGAGACTGGCAAATTCTCCTCTGGGAAATATGAACAGCTCTAGAAGACCTAAAGCAACTCACTCAGGGATTCCTCACAGCCACCCTGCTGAGAGGCTCATTTTCACAGGACCCCAGCTATAGGCAGGCAACCCCCATGCCAATAAACATGTGTAAACAACCCAGGTTTACTCTGCACCTCTGGAAGCCTTTATCATGAAAGAGAGAGACCAAATACACAGAAAAAAAGGGGATTTGGAAGAAACAGACACTATGCAGGCAAGAGAAAAGTTAAAATCAAAGTGAGCATTACTGTCCTTGGGGACAAAGATGTGGAAGATACTGCACCCACAAAACAAAGAAGAGCAGGATGCTATTAAAAAGGAAAAGTAGGCCGGGCACAGTGGCTCTCATCTGTAATCCCAGCACTTCGGAAGGCCAAGGCAGGAGGATGGCTTGAGCCCAGGAGCTCCAGGCCAGCCTGGGCAACATGGCGAAACCCTATCGCTACAAAAAATACAGAAAAATTAGCTGGGTGTGGTGGTGGGCGCATGTAGTCCCAGCTACTCGCAAGGCTGAGGTGGGAGGATCACCTGAGCTAAGGAGGTCGAGGTTGCAGTGAGCTGTGATTGTGCCACCTGCACTCCAGCATGGGTGACAGAGTCAGACTCTGTCTCAAAAAAAAAAAAAAAAAAAAAAGGAAAAGTCATCAAAGAACAAAAAAAAAAAGTTGCTAGATTGTTAGACATTTAAAATATAATAATATAAATAAATAACTCAGCTGAAGAGATGGAAGATAAGTTGAGGAAACGTTTTAGAAAGAGGAGCAAAGGACTGAGATGGAAAATAAAAGAGAAAAGATAAAAAAATTAGAAGACCAGTGCAGACTAACAATTATCTGTTTCATCCAAATAATAGAGTTCCAAAGAGAGAGAACTAAAGAAATAGAGGGGATGAAATCACCAATAAAATAATTCAAGGAAATTTCCCAGAATTGAATGGCATGACATATACCAAGTCACATCATCATGAAAGTTCACAGCATTGGTGAGAAAAAGAAGATTCTGCAAGAGGGAATGGAGATTTCAAAGGAAAGGTCATGTACAGAGGTTAAGAAGTCAAATGACTTAGAACTTCTCAACAGCAATACAGGGAGATAGAAGACATGGGTGCAATGCCTTCCAAATTCAGAGAAATTATTTGCATCCTGGACTCACCTACCCAAACTGTGCATCAAGGGCACGTGATTTTCACACAAATTTTCAGACACATAAGGTTGCAAAAAATTAACCTCCCACACGCTTTTCTTAGGAAACTGCAGAACATGTTTCATAAAACAAAGGAATTAACCAAGGAGGAAGAAATGAGATCCAGGAAACAGGCTTCAACACAGTAGAACAATAAAGGAAATTCCCAGGACATTAGTGAAGAGGGATCTCAGGATGACCAGCAGCCGGTCCTGAGGAGAGCTCAGCAGAGGGCTCCAGGGCAGACCTCTCAGAAGATGAGGAGACAGAATGGCGGATGTGAATCCGCATCTCAAGAGAAGATCCAGATCACAGGCATAGAATCAGAGTTGAAAAGTGCATGGAAAACCAAATAAATAAGCCAAGAACAACTTTAATCCAGAGCAGCCCTCCCCAGCAGAACCAGAATGTGAGCTCCATGTGTAATTTTAAATGTTTTATAATCACATTTTTTAAAAGAACTCAAATTCATTTTAATAATACAGTTGCTCCTTGACGTATCGGGGGAGGCGACTTTGATATATCGGGTTCCAGGACCCCCTCAAATACCAATATCCATGAAAGCTCAAGCCCCTTATATAAAATGGTATAGTAATTGCATAGAACCCATGCACATCCTGTTGTATATTTTAAATCATCTCTAGATTACTTATAATATCTAATGCAATGTAAAGGCTCTATAGATAGTTGTTATACTGTATTGCTTTTTTATTTGTTTTATTTTTAATTTTTTTCTTGAATATTTTTGATCCTAGGTTGGTTAATTCATGGATGCTGAATCCATGGACAGGGAGGGCTGACTGTGTGTTATATTTAATTCAATATATCCAAAATATGTCAACATAAAACCAATAAGAACTAAAAATAAAATCCTAACAGCCCCCGCCCCTGCCAACTGACTGAACTGACCCCCTCTTGGCCAAGGGGATCCCAGAGAAACCTTAAAAACTGAGTTCCTGGCCATGATGGGATAGGACGTCAAACACGTATAACCCCTTTCTTTTACGGTTTAGACACAACCACTGACAAGCATTAATATTAAAACAGAGATCGTAAGGCTGACATAACAGACGCTTTGTGGCAGTAAGATACCGAATTGGAAACAGAACCTAAGGCTATGCTAGGCAAGGGTTAAGTCATGCACCCCTACACTTAAAGAGTATACTATGTCCTAAGGGCTACAGGGTTTTTATTTTTCTCTGGCAGCCAAACAAGCAGTGGCCCTGAGATAAGCAATATTGAAACAACTGCAGCTCACCAGCCACCAGACACTGCCTGACTAACCCCCAACCCCTGTTCCACAGCCATAACTACAGCTTTGATTGGACAAGAGCCTTATTTCAGTAACTTTCTCCTGATAAGAGACCACTGACTATAGACTGGTTCTGGCTGGATTACAGAGGCTGTACACTGAGTGCCTTGGTGTCCCTGCTTCACCTTTTGACGTATAGAGCTTGATTGTGATACACTTCATTGTTGTCTCCACCACAAGGTGAACATGGCTTGTATGTAATATACATGTTTGTTCAGAACACATGCATTAGGACCCCCTTTGTGAACATCCATAGCACCATGCCTGGCCTCCTAGTTTTCTTTTTCTTTTATTTTTTTTTATTTTATTTATTTATTTTTTTTGAAACAGGGTCTTGTCCTATTACCTAGGCTGGAGTGCAGTGGCATGACTGCAGCTCACTGCAGCCTTAACCTGCCAGGCTCAAGTGATTCTCCCACCTCAGCCTCCCAAGTAGCTGGGACTACAGGCACATGCCCCCACACTCAGCTAATTTTTGTATTTTTTGTAGAGATGGGGTTTTGCCATGTTGCCCAGGCTGGTCTCGAACCCCTGGCCTCAAGTGATCTGCCCACCTCAGCCTCCCAAAGTGCTGGGATTATAGGTGTGCACCACCATACCAGCCCCAGTTTTCCTAACAAACATAACAATATTAGTTATTGTTAATAATATTGATTAAACTCATACAGGTTATAAATTTGATTTTTTTTTTTTTTTTGAAACGGAGTCTTGTTCTGTGGCCAGGCTGGAGTGCAGTGGGGCAATGTCAGCTCACTGCAACCTCTGCCTCCCGGGTTCAAGCGATTCTCCTGCCTCAGCCTCCCTAGTAGCTGGGACTACAGGCGCACACCACCATGCCAAGCTAATTTTTTGTATTTTAGTAGAGACAGGGTTTCACCATGTTGGTCAGGCTGGTCTCGAACTCCCGACCTCAGGTGATCCGCCGGCCTCGGCCTCGGCCTCCCAAAGTGCTGCGATTACGGGCGTGAGCCACTGCGCCCGGCCTTGCACAGTGGGTCACACCTATCAGCCCCGCAATTTGGGAGGTCAAGGTGGGAGGTCACTTGACCCCAGGAGTTTGAGACCAGCCTGAGCAACATAGTGAGACACCATCCCACAAAAAAATACGTAACAATTCGCCAGGGGCAGGCCTGTGGTCCCAGCGACTTGGGGGACTGAGGTGGGAGAATCGCTTGGGCCCGAGAATTTGATGCTGCAGTAAGCAGAGATCACACCACTGCACTCCAGCCTGGGCGACAGAACAAGACCCTGTCTCTAAATAAATAAATTAAATTAAATGATCTCTGGAAGATTAGTCCACGGGTGTGTGGAGAATTTTCTAGAAAATACTATCAATGTAGGATTGTCACTTTAAAACGTCACCCGCTCTCATTGGTCCGTGGATAGAGCAATTAGGCAAAGCTAGGAGGCAGCCCTGAGTACTCATAAGAGGAAAAAGAAAGCAAAAGGGATGCCGGTGGTGGCAGATGCTTCCTCCTGGCCAAATCCCAAATCCCACCCTCAGCACCCACACCCTGAGCAGTGGGCAGGAGAGGCCTGAAAACGTCTGTACAAATGGCTTCCGAGAAGCCCTGGAGATAAAGGAGCCAGAGGCAGCCACACATGGTTCCCAGAAGCTGAATGCTGCGCAGACGACAGGGTAAGTATGCACTGCACCCTGCTTCACCCACACCTCAAGCCGTCCCCTTCTGCTGGGGTCTGGCTACTGCACTCGTGGTCCCCTTGGTAGCTTCACGATTTATGTCTCTATGCGGCTTCCGTTCCCCTTCCCTCTGCCAAGCCAGTACCACCATCCTTCACCGCCCAGTGCAGAGCTTCTTTCTCCAGTGAGTTTTCTCTGACCACTCCTGTCCTCACCAGCCATCTTTGTTTTTAATTCTCATGCACCTCTTTGTGTATGTCTTACACAGTTTGGGCATTCATTATATGCTATTTTAAATTGCATGCTCTTGTTTCATATGTAAGTTCCAATCTGCATGGTAACAAGGACAATACCCTATGCTCTTGCATGTTCCATCAGACCTAGCGCAGGACTACATCCATAGTATAGGTTTAAAGAGTATTTGATGGTTGATTATTGACAGTGAGATTTCATATGCATTTATGCATTTCTGTGATACTTTTTATCACAGAAACTATGGTATGTTATAGATATGTAGATAGATGAGAAAGAGACAAAGAGAATTTCCATTTCCATAGATAGGAATTTAGTGCAAAACTGAGTTGTTTCTTCAGTTCATGGCATGTTAATTATCATAACTGGGCATTTTAAACCCCCTCTATTCTTTAATTTTATTTGAATTTTTTCCCTCTAACCTTGATCCCCATGGCATGTCTCCTTCCTCTCTCTCCACCCAATGTCATGTATAAGAAATTTGTGCCTGGAAACGTAAAAATACAATATTGTGTGTATGTGTATGCTTCTGTTAACATTATTAAAATGACACCATGCTATAAATACTGTCCTATTTCTTACATGTTCATTCAACAGTCTTGCTAAAGATTTGTGTTCATTCATTACTTCAGCTGCTGCATGGTATTCCAGCATAAGCTCCCACCACATTTTCTCTATTCCCCAAATGATGGGTACCTAAGTTCCCTCCAACTCCCTGGGACCCAGAAAGATATGTAGGACATCTTTACTATGTTTATTTCCACATGAATCTGTGCAAG
This sequence comes from Homo sapiens, assembly GCF_000001405.40. Taxonomy (NCBI): domain Eukaryota; kingdom Metazoa; phylum Chordata; class Mammalia; order Primates; family Hominidae; genus Homo; species Homo sapiens. The sequence goes on along the minus strand of NC_000008.11, from coordinate 60,966,538 downwards.
AGTTTCTCTGGCATATATTGGGATGCTGGGTCATGGCATATGCAAATATATAATTTGGCTATAATTTACCTTGTTCTCCAGAATGACTTCACCCATCCTGCTTCCACCCGCCATAGCAGTGACCAAAGCAGCACTGGGACCACAGCTGAGCACCTCAGAAGATAAGTCCTGGGGTGATTCTTGTCATCTCCGTGAAAAGGAGAAGACAAAAAGGCAGAGGCTGCTGCTTGAGGATCCCTTCACCTGGGCTGCATAGCTCACCCATGCTGACCAACTTCCCCATTTCAAGCTTCAGACTCACAGCCGCGCTAGTTAGGGTACCACTTGTTCAGACAGCTGTTTTCATTCACATCTCCAAAGGTCCTCTACCTTAGAAGAAGAAAGAAAGAGGGAAAGAGAAATAAAAGAGATTAATTAAGAACACTGGGGCCAGGCGCAGTGGCTCACACCTGTAATCCCAGCACTTTGGGAGGCTGAGGCAGGCGGATCACCTGAGGTCAGGAGTTGGAGACCAGCCTGGCCAACGTGGCAAAACCCCATCTCTACTAAAAATACAAAACTTAGCCAGGCATGGTGGTGGGTACCTGTAATCCCAGTTACTTTGGAGGCTGAGGCAGGAGGATGGCTTGAACCTGGGAGGCAGAGGTTGCAGTGAGCCGAGATCATGCCATTGCACTCCAGCCTGAGTGACAAGAGACTCTGTCTCAAAAATAAAAACAAAAAACAAAAAAACAAAATCACACACATCTGAACCCGCAGTTTCATAAATGGTAAATAAAAATGCCATGCACCACGAATCAGAAATAACGTGGCTCTGGGTTGGCGTCTCTCCCCCACCAACCAGGGAACGAATGCACCCCTTCGCCAGGGGCAGCAGAGAGAGGTGGCTCTGTCTTCCTGCCTGCATCCTCCTGTTTCATCATCCAGGTTCTGTGTGGCCCAGCGGCCTGGGGCTCTTTTGTTTGCCCCCTCCCTGCCCTCCATCAGGGGTGCCTAATGGGGCTCCCGAGTGCTCTTCCACTGTCATCTATCCCCCTCCTTTGTGTCCTGAGCCCTCCACGAGCTCATGTGTGAGCTTGAAGATCAGACACCACAGACACTCTTCCCCACTCTGCCTCAGCTGCCAAACCCGGAGAAGGAAGGACGGATCAGACACCAAGACAGAAAAACAGAGTACCTGAGAAAGGCAGAGAGCTGTCTCCTGCCTCAGCCCCCAGAGGCCCGTGTGCCCCTCACTTCCCTCCTTTGATTCCCACCATCTGGGGTCTACCTCTGAATTGACAAACTCTTGCTCGGTCACATCTGGTTCAAGAGAAAGAAACAAGGAGTTTGGAAACCTAAACTAATAGGCAGCACTTGGCACGCACAATAGAAGCAGCTGCTGTTTATAGCCCTTTTTAAGGGTGGCCTCAGGCCGGACCTCACACTTCCCTCCCTGTGGGGCATTGTTTTACACAGAGCATCTGCAACCTCACAATCTTGCAACTCAAAAAAAAAGAAAAAGAAAATTCATGCATCCCATGAATCTATGAAGCTATAACAAATTCTCTTTCCTGGGAAAACTTCCCAGGCCTGCTCCTATTTCCCTCTCAGAGTAAGGCAGGTCCATATGGTTCCTAATGCCTCAATTTCTCTATCCATTAAGTGGGAATATAAAATCAGCCAGTCAGCTATCCAGTTAAAATGCTATCCCGGCCAGGCGCGGTGGCTCATACCTGTAATCCCAGCACTTTGGGAGACCGAGGCGGGCAGATCATGAGGTCAGGAGATCAAGACCGTTCTGGCTAACACGGTGAAACCCCGTCTCTACTAAAAATACAAAAAAAAAAAAAAATTAGCCCGGTGTGGTGGCAGGTGCCTGTAGTCACAGCTACTTGGGAGGCTGAGGCAGGAGAATGGCGTGAACCCGGGAGGCGGAGCTTGCAGTGAGCTGAGATCGCACCACTGCACTCCAGCCTGGGCGAAAGAGAGAGACTCCATCTCAAAAAAAAAAAAAAAAAAAAATGCTATCCCATGAAGGCTTTTCCTAAATAACAGCCTACGAAGTTTGAAACACTTCCAATGTCTAAACTGGGGGAAAAAATCAGCATGAATTCAGGTTGTCAGTTCAAGACTAATACCACATTGCAGAAGAGGCAAGTAGCAAGGCCCATCCTGCTTGGTATTGTGATCCATGCCTCTTTTCTGACCCCAGGGTTTCTTTCCCCTGGTCTTGTACCCATAGAAACAAGCGTGGACTTGGCAGGCAGGAGGAATCATCAGACTCCATCAGCACCCTTCCAATCCCCATCCTTGATTTCAGACACCTGAGCAGGCTCCATTGGGCAAGGTGGCGCCTAATTACCTCCCTTCTGTTTTTTTCCTCCTCTCCTCTCTTGCCTTCTTCCCTCCCCACCCCCTCAGAGGACAGCCTTTCCAAGAAATAACACACACACGCACACCTGGCACGGTGAGATAGGGAAGCTCACCATGGATACCGGGCTACCATTCCCACTCCGGCAGCGGCTCCTGGGAATAAGTAACTATCTCTAGAATGCTAGAAACTCCAGATGTGCACCGACTAGTGCCTTGAGACCCAGCATCCCTGTCTCATTATGCATATTTTTTTCCACAAGTTTCATATATGCATATCAAGCTTTCAGAAGGGGAAAAAATTGGAAATGGTAATCTTCCTTTTATTATGCTACCACATGCCAGCCCCGAACAGCTGTGCACACACAACATGTTGGACTGGACATGAAATATAGCCCACGACCATTTTTTAAGCATTCATTCCCAGGACTTACAAAACACATTTACTTGGAGGGAGGTCACACAGTCTTCCTTCTGCATAAAAAGGTGGCTTTGAAATAGGTACAGCCATCTGGAAACAGCCTCCTCTGCTATTGATATGTAAAATGCACATATTACACCATCTTGCTCAGGAGCATGCAGCAGGAGGCTGAGACACACACAGGCCGTAATTGTTTAAATATACAGGCCTCTGGGTCTCTGCAGGGCTTACCTTGCTCTGAAAAACCATTTGCCAGCAGCGTAGGTGACTCTGAACAGGCCGGGGAGGCAATTTGCTCACAGGGGCATTCATCTGTGTGCAGGAGGACTGTCCTAGAGCCCAGGTTTGAGAGAAATTTTTTCAACACTCCACTGCTGCTCCAAGCTTGCTAATAAGAATGTCTCAGGTGCATGACTAAAAGTAGGCAGCAAACACACTATCAAAATAATGACCCCAGCTCTTTTGCTCATTATAGCCAAGCATTTGCCTCTCACCCCAAGAAGACTAAGATCCCACTCTTAAGAATGGGTTTTGTTCCACATTTACAGACCAGGAGCAACGAGTCCTATATTCCTCACTGATCTCCACGTAGTCAGGGGGATGACTGACTCCGTCAGTTTACTAACATTTGCTCCTTAAAATTAGCATCCTCCCCCTCAGGAGTATTTTCATTGCCAGAGCTTTTCCAAATACATTTTTTTTTTTTTTTGAGGTGGAGTCTCACTCTGTTGTCCAGGCTGGAGTGCAGTGATGTGATCTCAACTCACTGCAACCTCTGCCTCCTGGGTTCAAACAATTCTCCTGCCTCAGCCTCCTGAGTAGCTGGGACTACAGGCACCCATCGCGACAATGGGCTAATTTTTGTATTTTTAGTAGAGACGGGGTTGCACCATGTTGGCCAGGCTGTTCTTGAACTCCTGACCTCAGATGATCCACCGCCCCCTTGGCCTCCCAAAGTGCTGGGATTACAGGCGCGAGCCACTGCACCCAGCCCCCAAATAAATTCTTGACCTCTGGAGGTATTTAATTTTTGTGTTGTTTCTGCCATTTTTGTTTCCTAAACTTGTTTTTTAATCTTTGCCTTTTTTCTAAATATAAATATGTAAGGTAGCTAAATTTAAATATATATATATATATTAGCTAAATCAGCACCTAAAATTTAAAATGACTAGCCAAAGGGTACCAAGTTTCAGTGAGACAGGATGACTAAGTTCTGGAGGTCTATTGGACAGCATGATGACTATAGTTAATCGTATTGTATTGTATCCTTAAAAATTGCTAAGAGGGTAGATCTTCAATGTTCTCACCCCACACTCACAAAACGATAACGACATGAGGCAATGGCTATGTTAATTAACTTCACTCTGGTCATCACTTCACAAGGTATACATATATCAAAACACGATGTTGTACACCGTAAATATATACAATTTTTAATTGTCAATTATACCTTAATAAAGGTGGAAAAATTTTAATTGTATCCCAAAGAAATCTTAGAAAAAATACAGAGCTCTGAAGTAACTCAAAAGGTTAAGCAGTTAAATGTACAAATAGAGCTCCTGTTACACAGAGAGAGGAGAGGGGAGAGAGAGGGGGGAGAGAGAGGGAGGGAGGGAGGGAGTGAGGGGGAGAGAGGGAGAGCCTGTTGGAAGGAGGAGGCCACTGTAGGTCAGCCTGTCCTTTACATTGTGAAGAGTTTGAAAGAGGCTAATAAACCCAGCAGCCTATGGCAAAGGTAATTTATTTTATATTCCTAGTCATCACATGCAATATTTTTTTGCAGGGGGAGAGCAAATATAATTCAAAGAAAGTGATAAACAATAAAAACAGTACCTAGTGATGCTTCCACCCCCGTTCTGAGACTGTGCCTTCCTAGTCCCTTTTGTGGTGCGTTTCACAGCCTGTTTGCACACCACCATCTTGGAGGCTCCTACCTGACAGGCTGAGATGCTGGGAGTCAGTAGCCCTTCTTGGAGGCGACAAAAATCACATGAGATAACTAACTTCCAGGTGTGGGCACACACATGTCTGCACCGGCACCTCCCAGCCCCAGCCCCTGGAAAACACATCTTCTTGGCTCCCAATCGGACCCCTGCTGGGAATAATTACTAAGTGGACAGATCTCCACCTGGTGGATTCCCTGAGTCCACGTGGAGGACAGCTTCTCCTGGGCTCGAAGTGAGAGGCTGAGCCTGCTCCACTCCCAGCTTGCACTCGCTACATTCTACATGGATGAGGTCACGGGACTGCAGATGAGGTAACAGTGCAGCCTGCCCAAGAGCTGTAAGAGGTTACCATATGACGAGTCGTGTAAACACAGCGAGGTCCCCGTGGGGCCTGAGGACAGCTGGACTCTGCTCCTGGCTGCAGAGTGATGGGAGCTGCGGGACTCCAGGAGACTGTCTGCACTCTTAAAAGAGCCAAATTACTGCCTAAGCTCATGTCACACCTACCCGGACATCAGTCTCCCAGCCTCAGTTGAGAGCAAGATTCCTGCAAGAGGAGGGCTGGCTGGCCCTGTGGAAGGTGTGCATGAGGGCATGCATGTATAAATGACACAGCCCCATGAAAGAAAAGCTTTCCCAGGCAGAAAGACACTGCACTGAGGCCCATACAGCACTCTGCAAGTATAGTGCTCCACCTCTCTTCACTCACCCGGTGGAGGTGGGTCCACCTTTCTAACATCTAGACACACCTCCTAATAGTCTCTAAGTTAGAAACGTGCTTGGGAAACAAGCATTTTTTTAAAAATCAATAAAGAAATTCACATATTAAAGATCTTCTAAACAACTATAGAATGACAGATGCATTTCCACAGGTGGAACAGTCCTGCTCAATGGTTCCAGGGTCCTGTATTTCTCAAGGTCAGAATGTTCTTTCCAGGGTCAAATTGGATTAACTAAATTTGGCATCTATCTCATGTATTCCTTATTTATTTCTTTTATACTGAGCCCTACCAGGTACCCAACACTGTAGAAATCCCTGGGAATGTTGTAGAAAACAGAAGGTAACATGCTAACAGACAGTCTAGGAATGCTTACAATAGAGGGGCACATGTGTCATGGAGGGGAAATGTGGGAGCCACAGAGGCAGAGGGCATGGGGAGGCCATCCAGAGAACCTTATTAAGTTGAGACCAGATCAAGAGAGTCACAGTAAGAGTCACAGCAGCAGTGGAGAGGCTAGCTAACATTCACAAGGGGTTAGGGGTTTCTCAGTCCTGGGTGTTACAGGGCACATCACACACCTTGTAACGATTCTGTGAAGTGAGGTCACTGTGATCCCCATTTTACAGATGCTCATGGAGCTTACCAGAAGTTAAGTAACTTGCCTGAGGAAGTAGTAGAATCAGGATTTGAACCAAGAGGGTGAGACCCCAGAGCCTGCACTCCAGAATCACTCCACCCCAAACACTATCAAACGGCCACAAAAACAAGCAGACTCTCATAGCCACGCATGGGGCTGGTGCCCTACCAGCAACAGAGGCAGCTGGGTAGGCAGGCAGGCAGGGAGGGGAGACCCTGGCAGAGGAGAGCTAGATGATGGGGAGGGTATTTTATGTGTGTGTGTATATGTGTGTGTGTGCATGAGTGTGCATACACATGTGTGCATAAGATTGAAAGACAGAGAGATTTTGCAAGCATACCAAAGAATTTGAAATTTCTCCTAAGGGTCATGGCAAATTGTTTGCTATGGGTTGAATGCGACCCAAAAGTTCACGTGTTGGAAACTTAATCCCCAATGTGACAGTGTTGGGAAGTAGGGCCTAAAGGGAGGTGTTTAGGTCATGAATAGATTAATGCCATTATACAAATGGGAGTGGGTGCACTCTCTTGTGCTCTGGCCCTTCCACCATGAAATGACACAGCAAGAAGGGCCTCACCAGATGCCAGCACCTTGATCTTGGACTTCTCAGCCTCTAGAATTGTGAGCCAATAAATTTCTGCTCACTATAAATTACCCACTCTCAGATATTCTGTTATAGGAGCACAAAACAGACTAAGACATCATTGAAGTACTTTAGGCACATTAACAAGATGTTCAGACTTGTTTGAAACATGGCTCTGGCTGCCATGTGGAAAATGGGTTGGAGAGCAGTGAAGGGTGTGTTTGCAATAATTCAACTGAGGGATGATGGCCAGGATTGAAAAGGAGTGGTGAGTACACTACCAACACAGGAAGTCAAGCTCTATGCAGGAGGTAGAATCTGCAGGTCTTGGTCATGGATTGGACCTGAAGTGGTGTGAGGGTGAGAGAAGAAGGAAGGTGGAAGAGGGAGAAAGATGTTTTCTGATGGAGCTGCAGGATGCTGGAAGAAGATCAGGTTTGGAGGTGCCCATTAGGCACTCAGACATGCAGATCTGAAGCTCAAGAACAAGATCTGGTCTGAAGATAGAGATTTAGGAGTCATCAATATGACCTTATTGCTCAATGAGAACCTTGTTCCTTAATGAGACAAAAACATCACTAATACCCCATTCCTTTAACTTGCATTTTTTGTGATGCTATAGAAAGGCACACTCTCCCCCACTGGAATACAAGCTACATGAGGACAAGGATTTTTTTCTCTTGTTCTCCTCTTATTTCCCAGTGCATGACATATGGGACATAGAAAATGATCCATAAATATTGTAGAATAAAAGAACTAAAGGAAAATGCTTTCTAAAATAAACATGTAAAAATGATACAAGAAGAGTTTTAAAAGTTTTAAAGCATACCCAGAAATTGAAGATTTAAATTCTCCCTCAAACCTTTGCCCCTCAGACCCACCACATAAGATGAGGAGATAATCGTCCCTGGGGCTCATCATTCTCCCATCCTTGGTCACCTGTGTGCTCACTTCTACAGCATCAAGATTTATAACTATATTTGTCCATATGCTGTATTGTTTATAACTATATTTGGGTCTTTATTGTTTTGTTAGCATAGATTGACTCTAAAACTTTGAACTTGGAAACCACATCTATAATACTACCTTTATTGCATAAATATCATCTACTGCAGTGCTTAGGAGTGTGCTTTTTCTCATAGGAAAGTCAGTACATAACACACACACGAATGGTAACAATTAGAAGTAATGGATACATTAATTGGCTTCATTGTGGTGGCCATTTCACGATGTATACATGTATCAAAACATCAAGTCATACATCTTAAGTATATACAATTTTATGTCAATATCTTAATAAAGCTGTTTTTAAAAAACCTCAATATAGTAACCATACCATATATCACTAAGCCTGTACTGTCTATAGAAAGAAGTACCAGACATCAAGATCAAATACTTTCTGTTTAATTAAATTAAATCAACTGCTGTCATGCCACATTTCAGCTTACTTCATATTTAAACTATAAATTTCTTCTGAATATTTATTTTTCCCACGATTGCCATTACCTTACTATTTTCTGATTAACAGAAGACATATGTCCCCATCTTATCATGAAAATCTCCCAGGTTCTTCATTATATCAGGTGTGCCATGTAATCCCCTTTCTCATTCAACCCATTCTTGGGCCCTCAGCTCTCCTGTTCTAATTTGGACCAATTGTTTCCTAAGACTGCTGCACAGCTGTCATCCCCGGGCTCCTTTTCATTGCACTCCTAGGCTAGTCCCACTGTTTCTCAGATTCTCATTTTCTTTTTTCGTTGAGACCTTTTCGTTTCAATTTTGCTATGCCGTATCTCAGCCACACTCACATTCTCTCTGACTTCTGAAAATACCAAAAATGTTCCCCTCCCCTGCCTCAGATCTTTCCATAGCTTGTTCCTTTATATCATTCAAGTCAGGTTTAAATGTTGCCTCCTCATCCAGCCCTCTATCCATCTAAAACAACAACAATAAAAAAAAAAAAAACCTGTTTGTCATTCCCTATTAAAACAACTTCTTTCATCTTCAACATAACACTCTCATTATCTAATATTTTTATAATTTTATTCGTGGTTTTTTTTTTTTTTTTTTTAAGACAGAGTTTCATTTTCGTTGCCCAGGCTGGAGTGCAATGGTGCGATCTCGGCTCACTGCAACCTCCACCTCCCAGGTTCCAGCGATTCTCCTGCCTCAACCTCCCGAGTAGCTGGGATTACAGGCATGTGTGACCACACCCAGCTAATTTTTGTATTTTTAGTAGAGATGGGGTTTCTCCATGTTGGTCAGGCTTGTTTCAAACCCCCAACCTCAGGTGACCCACCCGCCTTGGCCTCCCAAAGTGCTGGGATTATAGGCATGAGCCACCGCACCTGGCCTATTTATTTTATGTCCCTTTCAATTAAAATACCAAGTCCAGGCTGGGCGCGGTGGCTCATGCCTGTAATCCCAGTACTTTGGGAGGCCGAGGCGGGCAGATCAGGAGGTCAGCAGATCGAGACCATCCTGGCTAACACAGTGAAACCCCATCTCTACTAAAAATATAAAAAATTAGCCAGGCGCGGTGGTGGGCACCTGTAGTCCCAGCTACTCGGGAGGCTGAGGCAGGAAAATGGCGTGAACCTGGGAGGCGGAGCTTGCAGTGAGCCGAGATCGTGCCACTGCACTCCAGCCTGGGTGACAGAGCAAGACTCCGTCTCAAAAAAAGAAAAAAAAAAAAAAAAAATACGAAGTCCAAGAGAGCAGGTTTTTTTTTTTTTTTTTTTTTTTTTGGTTGTTTCCACCTGTGAATTCTAGGCCGTAAGACAGTAAGAGACATATAAAAGAGGTTCAATGAACACAACTGAAAAGGCTCTCAGATGGCCACATTCACACACAATACCCAAGTCTCTTCTATGTATCCTCTGAGATGACAGAAGGGAGGTCAGAATCTTAGTATCTCTATTCTGAAATCTTGCTACCCTGAGACCATAAGCTCTCAGAGAGAAGAGTAGCTATAAATTGGTGTGACAGGATGCTAAAGGACTAGAGAAGATGCTTAAAGAAAAACAGATGGTTGTCATTTAGCTAATTGTTAGGTTTTGTTTAGCTAAGAGGGTATGTAAGCCAAAAGAAAGAGAGAAATTGTTGGGTTTTGCTAGTAGAACTATTTGTTTTTAAAATCCCTCCCTTGCAAAGCATTAAAATGCTGGATACATTGCAATATTAAGTGAATTGGTTAACTCTCAAGATAATAAGGGAAATCCCCAGAAACATAAAGTAAGACAAAACAAAATAAGCCATGAGCAAAAAAGTAAGAAAATCAGGAGTCAGGGCTAGTTAGGAAACAAAGGCAATATCAGGATTCTAGAGCAGTGTTGGCAAGCTACAGCACACAGGCCAACCACCTGTTTTTGTAAATAAAGTTTTATTGGCACATAGCCATGCCCATTCATCTATGTATGGTCAGTGACTGCTTTTGTGCTGCAACAGCAGAGTTAAGTAGTTGCAGCAGAGACCATATGGCTCACAGGCCTAAAATATTTACCACCTTACCCGTTCTGAAAACTTTTAATAGTTGTTCAGGGAAATGAAGTCTTTTGGGCCTGTACAAAGAAAACGAGAAACCCGAGACTCACATATAGTTTAGATCTTCAAAGGGACACACCCTCCAGGGAAAAAGTGGACTAGAAAAAAAAAAAAAAACTGTTGGTAAAACAATCCAGAGGGAAATCTACCTTCACCACAGCTTCAAGTAAAAAATATTATTAATAATAGTAATAGTAATAATAATAATAAAAACAATAATGATGGTCTCCCCTGAAAAGTTTTAACTATGAGACTGCTAGTTACAATTTTTACATAGGTCTCAGGTTCAAATTTTTACTGCCCAGTGAATCTTGAAAACTCCAAACACAGAAAATAAATGTCTGGCAGAGGGAAGTGCACATCTCCAGAACAAAGCATTCATTACACAGTTACATGAGGATTCCCAACAGTTTAAGTTCAATTAAATATGTTTTAAAAAGAGAAAAATTTTACCAAACCTCAAGACAGCCAATGACTATAAGTGGAAGTCAACAGAAACAGCAAGTATGATTGAAACTCCAACAACTTCAAATATTAGAATTATCAGATATAGAATATAACTATATATGATGTGAAGGTAATTAATGCCACTGAATTATATACTTAAAGGCTAACATATTAAATTTTATGTTATGTATTGTCTTAGTTTGTTATCTGCTCCTCTAACAGAATATCATGGACCGGGTAATTTGGTTTTTAAAGTTATTTGGCTCACAGTCTGGGGGTTGGGAAGTCCAAGAGCATAGCACTGGCATTTGGCAAGGGTCATCCCATGGAAAAAGGCAGAAGCAAGCACACAAGACGGAGACCAATCAGGCCAAATTTCTTTTTAACAGAAACCCACTCCTTCCATAACTAACCTCCTCTCACAATAATGGCATTAATCCTCTTCATGAGAGAGAGCCATCATAACCTAACACCTCTTAAAGGCCCTATCTCTTAATGCTGTTACAATGGCAATTAAACTTCAACCCGAGTTTTGGTGGAGACAGTCAAACCATAGCATATATATTTTACCATAATAAAAACACAAATATACTTGTGTATTTTTGTATCAATTTTTTTCTATCACTTTTTATTTCTTTCAACATTTATAAATATAAGCATAAATATAAATATATATTTTACCATAATAAAAACACAAATATATGTATATATATTTGTGTATATATATATTTATGTGTATATCTGTATATATATATTTGTATATATATGTTTATGTTTTTATTATGGTTATATATATGAGAGAGATATTAAAAGAAATAAAAGATGATAGAAAGAAATTAATAAGAAAAAGAAGACTATCAAAAATGATCAGATTTAACAAAGAACCAAATAGAATTTATAGAAATAAAACTATATCTAATTAAAATAACATGCATTAAACTACATATATATGCGTGTACATGTGTAGATGAAAGATACATAGATGAATGAATGCAAAGATAAATAAACTAATAGATAAGTGAAGCAGCAAAATAAACATGAATGACTAAAGAATTTGTGAACTGAAGACAGATCTTAAGAAAACACTCAGAATGCAGCAAGAAAAAGATGAGAGAATACAATGAGTAAGAAAAAGGGAGGAATGAGAAGTTCTAACATACACCCGGAGTCCCAGAAGAAAGAATAGAAACAATGGGAGAGACATTCCAAAAAGAAAGTGGCTAAGGAAATTCTAGAACTAATGAATGACATGAATCCTCAGAGACAGGAAGAATAATGCAGGACAAATTTCCAAATATAGCTACGCACCTCAGCTCACACCTGTAATGTCAGCACTTTGGGAGGCTGAGGCAGGAGGATTGCTTGAGCTCAGGAGTTTGCGATCAGCCTGGGCAACATAATGAGATCTCAGCTCTACAAAAAAATTTAAAAATTAGCCAGGTGTGATGGCATGTGCCTGTGGTCCCAAATACTCAGGGTCTCAAGGTGGGAGGATCACTAGAGCCCAGGAGGTCAAGACTGCAGTGAACCTAGATCATGCCACTGCACTCCAGCCTGAGTGACAGAGTGAGACCCTATCTCAAAAAATGATAATAATAATAATAATAATAGTCACACACACTAGGCACATCAGGTGAAACTGTAAAACACCAAAGCAAAAGAGAAAATGGTTTAAGTCACATGAAATGAAAGATAGCTCATCTACTACAAAATGACTATAGTCTGACAGCAGACCTCTGTCAGAAATAACAAAGCACAAAGACAATGGAATCATGTCATCAAAGGCTGAAAAAAATAATTGTCAATCTGGAACTGTGTCCTCAGAAATGTTACCTTTCAAGAATGATAGCAAAATAAAAACATTTTGGTGAAACAATAACCAAGACAGTTTACCACTCATAGCTTCTCATGAAAGAAACATCTAAAGGATGAATATGTGGAAGAAGGAACATGATCCTTGCAGAATGCTCTGTTAGAACAAGAAACACTGAGCTGAATTGCTCAGAGAATAGAGTGTTTTGAAGCAAGAAAAGAAAGGGAGATAAGAAAGCTGGTAAAGAAAAATGCTTTTTGAAAATCAAGAAATATGTGTAATGGGGGTGTTTTACTGTATTTTTGCAGTGTGAAATGCATTGTGGATTCTTCCTGTTGATGTTCACAATATCTTCAGTAAAATATATTGTATTAGTCTGTTCTCACACTGCTAATAAAGACATACCTGAGACTGGGTAATTTATAAAGAAAAAGAGGTTTAATGGACTCACAGTTCCATCTAGCTGGAGAGGCCTCACAATCAAGGCAGAAGGCGAAAGGCACGTCTTACATGGCAGCAGGCAAGACAGAATGAGGACCAAGCGAAAGGGGAAACCCCTTACAAAATCATCAGGTCTCATGAGACTTATTCACTACCATGAGAACAGTATGGGGGAACTGCCCCCAAGATTCAATTATCTCCTACCAAGTCCCTCCCACAACACGTGGGAATTGTGGGAGCTACAATTCAAGATGAGATTTGGATGGTGACACAGCCAAACCATATCATATACATTTCTCTTAAGTATTTTGTGGTGTTGAGTCTCTTTCTTGAGATGGCATCAAGAGCCAGATAAACATTCAATGTGTACATAAAGCATGAGCAGGGTTAACAGGTCCTATATGTTGGGTACTGATAAAGAAAGGGGCATTTTCTAGATGTGTACCCTAGCTCTAATAGGCACAGCCTAAGGGATTTCTGGTGGGAGCTACTGGCATTATTTCCACAGTGCACTTTCATGTTTTTCTCTCCATACCACTCACCATCAGCAAAAGGGATTACTCACTGGGTTGGATTATGGAGCAATCTTGTTACTCACCAGGATGACTAGGGTTGTACTATGTTTTGGAAGAAAAGTTAAGCAGCACCTCCATTTCCACCAAGGCCAGGCCTCGGCATTGCTGATGGCAGATTCCAAGCAAAACCTTAGAAGAAAAGGGAAGTGAAAACTCATATGACTAGGCACCAGGCACTATGTTATGTCATTTAGCCCTCACATATAAGGTATATAGGACTACAAGATAGGTATAGCTATTACATAGTGGGAAGGAGGCATGGAAAAGAGAGACAACAAAGTGTAATACACCTTACCAATTGAAAATAAGTTTGTTCCTAATAATTACATTTAAAACCAATACGTATTTGATGAGATCAATGATCTAAGAAGTTTTCTAGCTAGAGGCGACCTGACTATTGCCTAAATCAAGGGTTAGCAAACTACAGCCTGTGGCCAAACCCAGCCTACCACCTGTTTTTGTACAGCTATGAATTAAGATTGGTTTTTATATGTTTATAATGGTTGAAAAAATCCACAAGAAGACTATTTTGTGACAAGTGAAAATTATATAAAATTCAAATTTCAGTACCTGCTATGGTAATGAATGGATAATGGAAGGTTATGGCCACCTTTCAAGCCCCAGAGGTCGTTGCCCTCACTCTAATTTTGATGATTCATGTGTGACTTATTTAATTGTTATCTATTGCAGATATATAAAAGAATGCTTTTATTCTTTTTTTAAGAATCTAAATTCAAATCGTCTTTCATATCACCAAGTTTCTACTCCCATCACCCTTCAGAACATTGACATTTTAACTTTTTGACCTACCCCAAACCCTCCTGCTACTTCCCAGGATACAAAAAGCACATCTGCCACACAGCTGGGTGCAACAAGGAGCCCCCACGCAACAGTGCATTGAAAACTGGTTTGGGAGAACTGAGGGTTAAGTGAAGTCCCCCAGGAATTCCAATCTGTTGCAGGCTGCTAATTCAGAAGCTGCCTGGGGCCTAGGTCTGAATATTTGTATCCCTGAAAATTCACATGTTGAAGACCTAATCACCTCTGTGTTGGTACTAAGAGGTAGGGTCTTTGGAAGATGATTAGGTTATGAGAGTGGAGCCCTCATAAATGAGATTAGTGCCCTTATAAAAGAAGGCCCAAGCCAGGTGTGGTGGTGCACACCTGCAGTCCCAGCTACTCAGGAGGCTGAGGAAGGAGGACTGCTTGAGCCTGGGAGTTCAAGGCCACAGTGAGTGATGATCACACCACTGTGCTCCAGCCTGGGTGAAAGAACAAGACTCTATCTCTAAAAAGGAAAACGAACAAAATGAATAAATAAAAGAAGCCCCAGAGAGCTGCCTTTCCTGTTCCATGATGTGAGGACACAGCAAGAAAAAAAACCAACCATCTATGAACCAGGAAGCAGGCCGTCGTCAGACACTGAACCTGCTTGTTCCTTGACCTTGGGCTTCCCAGCCTCCAGAACTGTACAGTACATTTTGGTTGTTTATAAGTCACTCAGTTGATGGTGTTTTGTTATAGCAGCTGGAAAGTACTAAAACAATACCATAAAAATTTTATTGGAACACAGCCATACTCATTCATATACATATAGTCTAGGCTGTTTTTGTACTATAAGAGCAGATTTCGGTAGGTGTGGCAGAAATAACAGAGTAAGGGATGAGCAAGGCATAAGGAAAGAGGTGGAACTATCATTCCAATAGAAGTAGTGCCCACATGGAAACAAGCACCCCAAACACCCACACGCACTGCATATGCCCCAGTGCTCACCTCCTGCTTCTGCTGCTCTGTCTTCCTAATCCCTCCCTTTAGTTCTGAAGCATGAAGTGCTCCCATGACTTCCCCATATTTCTCATGCCTGCTAGAAGGCCTTGACCACAAACCTACATATTTGCCTTGACCATGGCCACAAGCCCCGTGTGGCTCCCACTGACGCAGCTGACTCAACCCTGGTCTGGATGGCCCGTTTGCAGAAGGCACTTGGTTTGGCCGCAACATGAGTCATTCTGGATAATTATAAGAATTGATAAACTCTGCAGGAACCAAATTCTGCTCTCCCATGAACTAATGCTTCTGTCCTGGTCAAGGTGGATAATGGAAGGTTATGGACACCTTTCAAGCCCCGCAGAGCTCTGCAGCTCCTCTAGCCACTTGTTCCCTTCAGGAGGCCACAAATATGCCCACTCCAAATTTGCACTCCAGCATACCTTTCTCTCCTGATATAGCACATTCAGTGGATTAAGACGGACCTGGTTTAAATCGTAGCTCTCTCACTGGACTGTGTGACCTCGGAGAAGCCACCTCACTTCTCTGAACCACAGCGTCCTCACCTCCAAACTGATGATGGCAAGCCCCCTCTCTAGACTGTTGAAGTTGGCATGGCAGGCAAGGCTTCCTGGTGCTTTACCTCAGCCCCACCTCCCCACACCCTCCCACTTCCCTGCCCACTGGAACTGCTCCCTATGCCTCTGCCTTGCTTTGGTCACTTCCTTTCTTGTTTGCATTCCTCTGCTTTTCCTGCCTTCTGTCCTTTCAGTTCCGCTTCCCTGGGAAGTTTCCAACACCCAGGATTTCCTGAGTGCCATTTCCCTGTACTGTGTGGCCACCCTGCTTACCTATCTCATAGCCCTCACTCCAATGCTTCAAAATTATTTCCACGCCTCCCTGCCTGCCTCATGAGGTCCTCCAAGGTGGGAAATTTGATTCCTTGTTTGCCATTTCCAAACTCACTGCCTGGCACATTGGACTCTAATGAAGGCGGAGGGGACTAGGATAGGAGTGTTCAAGTCACAGCGTTCTTGAGTTCTGGAAATCGAGACAATTTGTCCCTTCCATTGTCTATAACTCTGCAAAATCTGACCTCTTTGAACTGAAAACTGCCCTTAAGGGCACTGTGACACAAGCCATGGCAACTCAGCAGGAAGCCTTGTGAGCACCCCACCTACGGGCACTGGCTCTGCAGCTCCAGGTTTCAAAGGCTGAAAACTGGGGGCTGTCTATCCTACAGCCCCCGTCACGTGTGTGTACAATTGGCGACCTCTCCAATACAAACAACCCAGGAAAGACAATACCAGTCTGTTCCAAAGAGAGAGGAATTCTAAGCAGTTGCTACTTCCTGGATGACTGAGTATTCTCTACCCTGACAACATGGACAGTCTGAACAGAATTTATTCAAAACAGCTTTTCCCCCCTAGTTTCAAATTAAGAGGTGCAATGTTACCTCTGACCAGTTTGCAATAGTGGTATTGCAAACAGGGAGGCTTGCCGGAGATATTTCAGTACTGCCACCTCCATGAAGTATGCAAATTCAAGTGTAAAAACCTGAAATGAGAGTGCAGGGAAGAATGCCAACTGCATGCTCACTGTTTTCTGGGAGACCTATAGGTATAATTTCTACCTCTGATCAGTGTCATTGTGCAAATGATTTTGCATGTACCATACAGACATTTATTTTTTTAGCTTGACTATCAGGCAAAGGAGGAAAACACTATGGCCTTTTATAAGGGGAAGTGTCTCCCTAAGGAAATAATTGAAGGCCTCAATTGCTCAAGTCTTTCAAAAGACACTGTACAAAGCACCCCTGAAAACACTGTGGGGAATAATTCTGTGTTCACTGGGGAACTGGCTAGATGATCTAATAGGTCGTTGCCCTCACTCTAATTTTGATGATTCATGTGTGACTTATTTAATTGTTATCTATTGCAGATATATAAAAAAATGCTTTTATTCTTTTTTTAAGAATCTAAATTCAAATCATCTTTAATATCACCAAGTTTCTACTCCCATCTCCCTTCAGAACATTGACATATTAACTTTTTGACCTACCCCAAACCCTCCTGCTACTTCCCAGAATACAAAAAGCACATCTGCCGCACAGCTGGGTGCAACGAGGAGCCCCCACGCAACAGTGCATTGAAAACAAGTTTGGGAGAACTAAGGGTTAAGTGAAGTCCCCCAGGAATTCCAATCTGTTGCAGGCTGCTAATTCAGAAGCTGCCTGGGGCCTAGGTGTAACCACAGCTAGGAAAACAATGCCTTAGCTGCCTTATCCTGAGCAGCATTTAGCATTTATCATGGTCAGAAAACCACCTGTTACTTGGGAGAGATTCAAAGGAATTCTGAGCCATAATTAAAGCAATAATGAATAAAAACATATTGTGAATTGCTACCCAAACCCCAGGCAGATGTGTTATTTAACTGTGGGCTTGATCTGCACTATTAATTTGGAATAAAAATAACAGACAACAAAACATATACAGAATCAAGACCCTGCCTGCCCCGGGGTTTTATTTCTTTTCAAGTCCTTGGCAGTTGTGGTTAGTAACCCAAATGCAAGCAGAGCTGACTTTCTTGCAAACTGCAGTGGTGTCTGACAACACAGTAGAACAGAGCTGGCAGCCAATCGGAGTCAAATGAATCGCTGGATCCCTGTACAGATCCATAAATGACAGTTGAAGGAGATGGGCTAGTGGCATGTGCCAGTTGGGTTTGCATCCTCCCACTTCTGAGGCCTTTTGACCCGGCTGAAGCCAGGAGCAGATTTTCTCCCCCAGGGGAATGCACACCTGAGTACTCGGATCTGGCCAGGAGATAATCCTGGTTGTTTCACTGGGAAACATCTGAAAACACATTTCTCTGACTATCTGTAGAACTGCAATTAAACACAGAAACTCGACCAGGCATAGTGGCTCACCCCTGTAATCCCAGCATTTTGGGAGGCTGAGGCCAGCAGATCGCTTGAGCCCAGGAGTTCGAGACCAGCCTGGGCAATATGGCCAAACCCTGTGTCTACAAAAAAATACAAAAATTAGCCAGGCATGCTGGCAATTAGCACCTGTAGTACCAGCTAATCGGGAGTCTAAGGTGGGACGATGGCTCGAGCCCAGGAGGTGGAGGCTGCAGTGGGCCAAAATCCCACCACTGCATTCCAGTCTGGGCAAGCGAGACCCTATCTCAAAAACAAAACAAAACAAAACAACTCACAGGTAAGGAACAGTGGCAGGGAGAGGTCATCTCCTACTTAAAAGTTCTGTTCTGTTTGGCAGTGACTAGTTTGTTATTAAGGCTCTGACTCCATCTCATTAAGCTCTTTCCAAATCTTCTGAGAGGAACATGCTCTTGAGAGGGTGAGGGGAAGGACATGGGGCTGTGAACTGAAGAAGAGGGGGCAAAGCAATTTTGTGGTACGCGGGTGTTCATAACTTTGTACTACACTTTACCCTTAACAAAATTCAGATTCAGTTGACAGATCTATGCAAATGTATGAAAAGTGGAAAAAGACAAGCTAGCATTTGTTTCAGAGGTTGAAAGCATCACTTTGATTTGCAATGATTTCCAATCTACCTCTTTTTCCACAAGGAAAAATTGCAAAGACAAGATCCCTAAATGTCACAAAATAAAGCCTGCCAATGTTCTGTTGGCATATAGTTTAATTCTTGAACAATTACCCTGCCATATACATTTATTCTTAAATTTTATATATTGACACATTGAATTTTGAAACTGAAAGAGAAAATGACACATGTAAATACCCTCAAACTCAGAACTGACTTTAAAATTCGATCTATTACTGTGTATGCATGAGTGTGTGTGTACTAAATCTATGACAAGTGCAAGTTGCTGGTTTATTGCAATTGACTTAATATCACTCTCAAAGACTGAGTGTACATTCTCATGCCCTGAAAAAGTTTTGAGTAGATCTCTTCTGGGACAGGCTATCGTGTATATTTAAGACATGATCTCTACAATAGTAAAAATACATTGCACTATTATGAATTCCTAGCTGAGAGTGGTCTTTGTGTGGCTGCAGGCATACTACCACCCTGCAAAGGCTCTCCATTGCCATTCACGTTAATTGCAGACTGTCCTTCAAGACTGCCCAAGTATGACCTCAAACACCTTTTCTGGATTCCCCTTCCATTACTCAACAAACTTCAGACCAGCGATAGTGGACTCCTGGGTGCTCTATAAAGTTTGCTTATCTGGCCGGGTGCAGTGGCTCATGCCTGTAATCCCAGCACTTTGGGAGGCCAAGGTGGGCGGAAACCACCTGAGGTTGGGAGTTCAAGACCAGCCTGACTAACATGGAGAAACCTCATCTCTACTAAAAATACAAAATTAGCCAGGCGTGGTGGTTCGTGCCTGTAATCCCAGCTACTCGGGGGGCTGAAGCAGGAGAATTGCTTGAACCCGGGAGGCGGAGGTTGCGGTGAGCCGAGATCGTGCCATTGCACTCCAGCCTGGGAAACAAGAGTGAAACTCTGTCTCAAAAAAAAAAAAAAAAAGCTTGCTTATCTTCTTCCTCTTTATGTTTTTGCTCACCCGATTTCCTCCTGTTGAAATGATCTTCCAAACTATCCCCATCCCAGCTGAAGCCTGATCCCAAAGACCATTTCCTGAGTGCCATGACTATGCCTTATTCATGGCTATATTCCCAGCAGCCAACACAATGTCTGGCAAGGGGTAGACAGTCAATATGTATTGAATGAATGCATTTTCACAGCCTTTTCCAATATTAGTTTTTCAATTAAGTCTTTTCTGATCCTTTCCTCTACAGGACTCCAGAGCATGGTGCTAGAATTCTTTGGTGGGACCTTCCATGTTCAATCTGGTATTACAGTGACTTGTCTACTCCTCCTCCCAGCCCCTCCCCCACCCTGCCCATCCTAGCCTCCACGACTTGCTATCTGCTAAAGCTATTAATTCATCCACCTTATACATGTACCTTACATGCATAAAAACAATAATACTGTCATTTGAGTAATGCAGAAATGTTTACAAAGCACTTCACATTCATCATCTTATATCATTCCTACCATAAGTATATCAAATAGGAAGGGCCACCATTTAATAGATAATAACAATAGGTAACATTTATGGAGGGCTTACTACCTGCATTAAATACACAACCTTGTTTAACCCTCACAATTCCATGAGGATAGCTGTTTTTGTCCTCCTTTTACAGAGAAAGAATCTGTGGCTCAATGGGCTAAGTAAAAGACCAAGAGCACCCAGTTGGTAAGGGCCAGGGTGGTGGCAGGTGGGCTAGCTGGGTCTGGCTCCAGAGTCTATGCACCTAGTCATTTCACCCCACTGAAGCTTAGAAGGCCTATCTCAAAATCTCAATGCTAGGGACAGCAGAATCAAGGCAGGAAGTCAGTTCTTTCTACTACATGCTACTCTTCTTCCTCTCTGGAAAGACTCCTGAACAAAGAACTGGATTTAGTTTGAGAGCTGAATCTCAGTGCATAGTATAGCAAAGTGGGAAGAGCACTGACTCTGGAACCAGATTTCCTGGCTTCAAAGTCCAGCTCTACCATTTACTGGCAGAGGGGTATTGTGCAAGCTGGTTAATTTCTCTACCCCATAACTTCCGCTGTGGAGGCAATAATAGTATCTACCACATAAGGGTTTTGTGAGCACTAACTGACAATATTTGAAAAGCGCACAGAGGCCAGGCACAGTGGCTCACACCTATAATCCCAGCACTTTGGGAGGCTGAGGCGGTGGATCACTTGAGGTCAGGAGTTTGAGACCAGCCTGGCCAACATGTCAAAACCCCCTCTCTACTGAAAATACAAGAAGTAGCTGGGTATGGTGGTGCATGGGTAATCCCAGCTACTTGGGAGGCCGAGGCAGGAGAATCACTTGAACCCGGGAAGCAGAGGTTGCAGTGAGCCGAGATCACACCACTGCACTCCAGCCTGGATGACAGAGCAAGACTCTGTCTCAAAAAAAGAAAAAAAAAAAACCGAAAAGTGCACAGAATAGTGCATGCTTTATGCACACTTGGAGCCTTGCCTCATTTAGAGGGAGTTCTGAAGCCAATGAACACTCAGAAAAAACCTTGTCTTTGCCTTTGTTTGGGTATCCAGACTCTCTGCATGCTAGCATCACCCCTAAGCATTCGAGAGAATGATTTCACTCCATGCAGAACTGGCTCTCACATCTGAGGCCATCCTGGCCCCAGTATGACCTACTCAGCCTCACACGTGCGCATGAGAACTGACTGGGATTGAGGGTAATGCTTCCTGCCATGGACACACATGTCTCCCAGTCTAATCCCACCCCAGCCCAACTCCCTCTCGGAATTCACTCCTGGCCCATTAGGAATACACTAAGGACCATATAGATGCTCATTTTGTCATTATTTCACACATGGTCCTCCAGATGGGACTGACATTCTACACTATCTCATTTTCCATTTGTGTGCACTTAACCCAACTAAAAGGCCACCAGTGGTGCCTGTCTGTACCAGCTCCAAAGCCCTCTTATCTGTCCATCTCTCTGCTCCCAGCTCTCTGCTTCTCTCTTTGTTTCCTTCTGTTTCTCTACCTCTCCCTTTCTGAGTCTCTCCCTCCATCTCTCTTTCTCTGTTTTTCTGCATCTGAGGTTTTTCTCTCCCTTTTTTCTCTTTTCTCTCTCTCCCTTTCCCTCTCTCTCTTTCACACATGCACACAGACACACACACATACACACACACACACACACACTCACCCCCCAACATGACATGCTAATTGGGCTCCCAAGTGAGTTTGCCTCACCCCTAAAGGCAGAAGTAAGTCGAGATGGGTTAGAGAGGACACACTTCACACCTGTCAATTAAGCTCAATTGCTTGCTGCGTGAAACCAGACCCGAAGCCCTGGGCAGGCCGACCTGGCTGGACGAGGCCAAGCCTCAGCTGTCCCTCCAAAGTGGGCTGAGGGAACAAATGCTCCCTCTGTTCTCAGTGGATGAGAGCATCTCTTGGAATGTCCGGGGAGCAGCTGTGGGCCCCTCCATAGGGTGGACAGAGGAGACTGTTCCCAGCGAGTTTATAGAACTATATGTACTGCAGTTGGTCAGCTATTTTTACAAAATTCCAATTACACAGCAGAAGGACAAACACTGCATAAGGAGGAAATAGATGATGTCCCAGCTCTCATGTCGCTGGAGTGTATCAGTAGCAAGTAAAGGTCTTGAGACTGGACTGACCATAATAGGAAGGAAATATTACCCAAAACAAAGGTGCCTCTATTAATATATTACTTTCTACTTAAAAAGATCTGCCAACTGGAACAGAGCCCATCAAGAGTGAACCCTGGACGTTGCTGCAAGCCAAGGGTGGAAATATTTTTAAGGGTGGGCTAAGATCCAAGGCTTCATCTGTCATTTTCTACACTTGACAATTATTTGCAGACTTACAGTGTTGAAAGTATGAGACAGGGGATGTCCCCCAGCCTCACAGAGCTTACAGTTTAGAGGAGAATAAGGACAAGTGAACAAGAGGTGATCACTCTGTGTGCTGAGTGTGGGGAACATGGAAATCCAGGGTGCTGAGTGTGGGGGCCAGCGGTGGCTAATATAGGTGTGCAGTCAGGAAGGGCCTCCTGAAGGAAGCAGCATGGAAGCTGGGGCCTGACTATGGGTGAAGGTAGCTCACAGAACTCAGGGAAACACAAGGAAAGGGAAGCAAACAACAAGCAAAGGGAGGGAAAGAGTGTTCCAGGCAGAAGGGACAGAACATGTAAAGGCCAGCGTGAGAGAGTTTGGCAAGGAGAGGGAAGCCCCATGACAAAGGATCTCATGGGCCACGTTAAGGAATTTGAACCACATCCCAAGATCAATGGAAAGTAATCACAGAACTTTAAGTAGAATGTAAGGGTACAATGTAATCAGAATTGTATTTCAGCAAGATGTCCCTGGCTGCTGTAGGAAGAAAAGAATGAAGGCAAGTGGGTGGCTGCTGTAGTAACCACAGTGGAGAGAATGAAGGAATCAAGAAGCATTTAGGAGGCAAATCATTAGGGCTTGATGGTTGATTGTATGAAAGGCTGGCTAGAAGAAGGAATTGGAAGCTGGGCATGATGGCTCACACCTATAATCCCAGCACTTAAGGAGGCCAAGGCAGGTACATCACCTAAGGTCAGTAGTTCGAGACCAGCCTGGCCAAAATGGTGAAAGCCCATCTGTACTAAAAATACAAAAATTAGTGAGGCAAGGTGGCACATGCCTGTAATCCCAGCTACTCAGCAGGCTGAGGCAGGAGAATCACTTGCACCCGGAAGGCAGAGGTTGCAGTGAGCCGAGATCACAGCCTGGATGACAGAGTAAGACTCTGTCTCAAAAAAAAAGCAATCGGGGATGACCTCTTGGCCTTTGGTTTGAATGGTGATGCCATTCCCTCCTGCAGGGACCCATGGAAGAAGAGCAGAGTGGTCAGGAGGTGATAAGTGCCACTTGGGGGGTGTTGATGATGGACATCTGTGTCACTCAGACTCTAGGGTGGCCCCATGGTCCATCCTCCTGGTGTTCACCCCCTTGGATAATCCCTTTTCCTTGAGTGTAGGCAGGACTTGTGATTTCTTTATAATCAATAGAATGTAACTCCTATAAGACTTTTTCTTAGCCTGCTGAAACTAGAGGCTCTACTGAGAGCTTTATGAAGCAAAAGCTGTATTGGAAAAAGCCACGTGGCAAGGGGCTGTGAGTAGCCTCCAGAACCCAAAGATGGCCCTAGCTGACAGCCAGCAAAAGTCTGGGATCCTTGGTCATATAGACACAAGGAAATTAATTCTACCAACAACCTGAGTGAGCTTGGAAGCAGATTCTTCTCCAGTCAAGCCTCCAGATGAGCACACAGCCCAAATGACACCTCAACTGCAGCCTCATGAGAAGAGGCAGAGGACCCAGTCAAGCCATGTCTGGACTTCTGGCCCATGGACACCATAAGATAATAGATATGTGTTGGTTTAAAATAACACAGCATCTAATTGTAGATAGCCAACAAGCAACTGGATATTGTGTCTGGACCTCAAGACAGAGGTCAGTCTTGGAGTTTATTGGCAATTATTCGCACAGAGATAGTAGCCAAAGCCATGGGAGAGCATGCAGTGACAAGGGGAAGGTCTAGGACAGAAACTAGAGGACTCACCAACATGAGTAGATAAGAAGCCTCAAAAGATTCTGAGTAAGAATGCCCAGAGAAACAGGAGGAAAACTAGAAATACAGTTGTATTCATAGTAGCCAACATTTACTTAAAATGTTCCCTGTGCTAAGTACTGTTCTAAATGGATAGGAGGTGTTAACTCATTTCATCATTACAGCCCCCCTTTGAGGTAAGTACTATTATGTTAGTATCCTTCTATTATAGATGAGGCAACTGAGGCAAAGGGAGGATAAGTAACTTACCCGAGGCCAGGCAGCTAGTAAATGGCAACTCAGGTGCTGTCTCCAAGCCCACATTCTTACCCACTTAAGCAAAATTGACTCCTTCTGTTATAGGAGCAGAAGCCCAGTGCAAATTGACTTAACCATAAGACAGAATTTACAGGTTCACCATAACTAAAAAGATGAGGGGTGGAACAAACAACATATAATCTTTCAGGCACACTTGGGGAAATTGGTGCAATGCCATCCTTTCTCCCGCCCTTGCCATCTTCACCCCTGCCTCTCTCCATTTCTCAGATCAGCTTTCCTAGCATTGCCTTTATTCTCAGACAAGCTCTATTGACAAAGACAACTCCTGGCACATCCAGCCTGATATTATCTTCAAGGAAGAAGCCTTGCCTGTTGCTTACTTACCTTACACCAATCCTAGGGGCCAGGGAGATGAGTTCCGTTTGTTTGTGTGTCCTCCAAATTCGAACATCACACACCGGGGCCTGTTGTGGGGTGGGGGGAGGCGGGAGGGATAGCATTGGGAGATATACCTAATGTTAAATAACGAGTTAATGGGTGAAGCACACCAACATGGCACATGTATACATATGTAATTAACCTGCATGTTGTCCACATGTACCCTAAAACTTAAAGTATAAAAAAAAAGATTAGAAGACTATATACCAAAATGTTATCAATAATCCCTTGATAATAAATAATTTTAATGTTTAAAAAAAAATTCATATGTTGAAACCTAATCTCTAACATGATGGTATTGGGAGGTGGGGCCTTTGGGAGGTGATTAGATCGTGAAGGTGGAGCCCTTATGAATGAGATTAGTGCCCTTATAAAAGAGACTCCAAAGAGCCACCATGGCCCTTCTTCCATGTGAGAACACAGTTTGAAATACTGTTTATAAACCAGGAAGTGGGCCATCGCCAGATGCCAAATCTGCCAGCACCTTGGTCTTGGACGTCCCAGCCTCCAGAATAGTGTGAAATAAATTTCTATTGTTTATAAGCCACCCAACCTATAGTACTCTGTTATAGCAGCCTGAAAAAACTGGGACAACTCTCCCCCACCCCAAATTTAGAATCAATTGAGAGATAAGTGTAGAAGGCAAACAGAGTCCACAGAGTCCACATGTCAGATTTAAAGGTGATGGGGAGGGGAGCTATAGTGGAGACATGACTTAGGTGTTTGGCAAAAAATTAGGTTTCTAATATTGCACCTAAGAATAAAAGTTACCCAAGTCATAGGCCACACTGGACAACTGCCAGCTGCCCTAGCAGGGGCACATCCTGGGAACACAGGCTACCCAGCTATGCTGGCCACGTGGCATCCTAACGTATTTTCTCATCATAATGCACCTTCTCTTCAGGCAGAAGAGTAGGAGAATGAAGCTGAGCCACACATGCCTCCTCCTAAATTTACCTACCTCTTTACCATCCTTCCCACCCACTCCCACCATCCCCTAGGGAATAATGGAGGTGGGGGGGAATCCCAGATACATTGTCATTAGAATGGCTTAAATTTTAAAACCTGACAATACCAAGCACTGATGAGGACATGGAGCAACTGGAAGTCTTATCCATTGCTGATAAGAACACAAAATAGTAAAGTCACATTGAAAGACTATTCTTATGAAGTTAAATGTACTTTACCATATAACCCAGCAATCCCATTCCTAATTATTTACCCAAAAGAAATGAAAATCTATGTCCACACAAAGATCCGTAAGTGAACAGTTATAAAAGTTGTATTCATAGTCACCAAAAACTGAAAACCATCCAATATCCCATCGACAGGTGAATGATTAAACAAACTCTAGTATCCACACAATGGAATACTACTCAGCAATAAAAAGAAACACATTACAGACACACGCAACAACATAGATGAATCTCAAAAGCATGGTGATAAGTGAAAGAAGCCAGTCTCAATCTGCCATTTTCTGTCCCTGAGTGAGTCTCTGGCATCCCATATTGCCTGTTTTTCTCACAGGCTCTATTCCATTCACTGGTTTGCCACCTCAAGGGAACGATGGCCACGGAGTCCACAGCCACTGCCGCCATCGCTGCGGAGCTGGTTTCTGCCAACAAAATTGAAGATGTTCCTGCTCCTTCTACATCTGCAGATAAAGTGGAGAGAATCGAGAATGGTGTATTGGGAAACACCTTGGATGGTGTGCATGTGGAAGAGGAAGAAGGAGAAAAAACAGAAGATGAATCTCTGGTAGAAAATAATGATAGCATAGATGAGGAAGCAAGGAAAGAGTTGAGAGAACAGGTTTATGACTCCATGGGAGAAAAAGAAGAAGCCAAAAAAACAGAAGACAAGTCTTTCGCAAAGCCTGAAACTGATAAAGAACAGGACTGTGAAATGGAGAAGGGTGGAAGAGAAGATATGGATATAAGTGAATCTGCAGAGGAGCCACAGGAAAAAGTTGACTTGACTCTAGGTTGGTTAACTGAAATCTCTGAAGGGGCAAAAGGAGGAGGAGCACCAGAAGGACCAAATGAAGCTGAGGTCACTTCTGGGAAGCCAGAACAGGAAGTACCAGATGTTGAGGAAGAAAAATCAGTTTCTGAAACTGATGTCCAAGAAGAGTGCAGAGAAAAGGAGGTTGGGAGAAGCACAGAGAGGTAATTGTGAGCATAGAGGAGAAGCCAAAAGAAGTTTCAGAAGAGCAGACTGTGGTGATTCTAGAAAAGCAGGGCACTGCAGTGGAGGTAGCAGCAGAGTCTTTAGACCCAACAGTCAAGCCAGTAGATGTGGGTGGGGACGAGCCAGAGGAGAAGGTAGTTACCTCTGAAAAGGCAGGAAAGGTGGTTCTTGAGTAACTGGTAGGTCAAGAAGTGCCACCTGCTGAAGAGTCACCGGAGGTGACAACAGAGGCTGCAGAGGCCTCAGCCTTAGAGGCTGGATCAGAAGTCTCTGAAAAGCCTGGGCAGGAGGCTACAGTTCTCCCTAAGGATGGTGCGGTCAATGGACCGTCAGCTGTAGGAGATCAGACTCCTACTGAACCACAGACTTCTATAGAAAGACTGACAGAAACAAAAGATGGCTCAGGACTAGAGGAGAAGGTCAGAGCAAAGCTGGTTCCTAGTCAGGAGGAGACTAAGCTGTCTGTAGAAGAGTCTGAGGCAGCTGGAGATGGGGTTGATACCAAGGTAGCCCAGGGAGCTACTGAGAAATCACCTGAAGACAAAGTTCAGATAGCTGCTAATGAAGAGACAAAAGAGAGAGGACGAACAGATAAAAGAGGGTGAAGAAACTGAAGGCTTGGAAGAGGATGATAAAGAAAATGATAAGGCTGAAGAAATGCCAAATGATTCAGTCCTTGAAAACAAGTCTCTTCAAGAAAATGAAGAGGAGGAGATTGGGAACCTAGAGCTTGCCTGGGATACACTGGATTTAGCAAAGATCGTTTTTAAAAGGCAAGAAACAAAAGCCCAGCTTTATGTTGCCCAGGCACATCTTAAACTCGGAGAAGTTGGTGTTGAATCTGAAAACTATGTGCAAGCTGTGGAGGAGTTCCAGTCCTGCCTAAACCTGTAGGAACAGTACCTGGAAGCCTACGACCATCTCCTTGCAGAGACCCACTACCAGCTGGGCTTGGCTTATGGGTACAACTTTCAGTATGATGAGGCAGTGGCACAGTTCAGCAAATCTATTGAAGTCATTGAGAAGAGAATGGCTGTACTAAACGAGCAGGTGAAGGAGGCTGAAGGATCGTCTGCTGAATACAAGAAAGAAATTGAGGAACTGAAGGAACTGCTACCCGAAATTACAGAAAAGACAGAAGATGCAAAGGAGTCTCAGACTACTGGGAATGTAGCTGAACTGGCTCTGAAAGCTACTCTGGTGGAGAGCTCTACTTCAGGTTTCACTCCTAGTGGAGGAGGCTCTTCAGTCTCCTGATTGCCAGTAGAAAGCCAACAGATGGTGCTTCCTCATCAAATTGTGTGACTGATATTTCTCACTTTGTCAGAAAGAAGAGGAAACCGGAGGAACAGAGTCCCTGGAAAGATGATGCAAAGAAAGTCAAACAAGAGCTGGAGGTGAACGGAGGCAGTGGAGATGCTGTCCCCAGTGGAAATGAAGTTTTGGAAAACATGGAGGAGGAGGCTGAGAATCGGGTTGAAAGCCGGGCGGCAGTGGAGGGGACAGTGGAGGCTGGAGCTACAGCTGAAAGCACTGCATGTAAAGAGAGGGCACAGCCCTCCTCCCAAGGGAAAGTGTTTTTGTATATAATGTATTTTTTCACTTTTGGAGGATTCTTTTTGTATAACTTCAATAAAGATTGTAAGCAAAGGTTGAGGCTTTGATGATTTTTTTCTTAATTATTGGCTGAATCTGCCTTGGAGCACTCCTGGTTTTATATAGTAGCCAAAGGTTTTGTTTTGGCCTCTGTACTGATCTGTGTTCCTGATCCTAATTCCTATCTGTCTAATGCGGAGGTGATCAAGTGTGGCTGCAGGCCTTTGTTTTCCAATGGTGCTATATTCTGCTTTCAAATACTTCACTGAACCCAGCTATCTTGCAAACCTTCAGTGGTGCTGTCCCTGGATGGGGGCTACCAAAGTGAGACTTGGTGAAGATCTTGCTCTTCGGTGCTGAAAATGGATGATGGACTTTGGCTGTGATCCAGGCCTAAGATGGTGCTTGTCCTATATCCACCTAGTCTTCAACTGGGGCTATAATCCTGTCCTGGAAAAAGAACTCTGAAGAAAACCTGGGTCGGGGGAATGATTCATAAGGAAAACGGTCTGCATTTAAGTTCTGGTTTGAAAGTAGCCAAGGGACTGATGGTGGACACTCCAGATGTGGTTGGAAGCATAAGTGGGGAGACTGGCTGGTTGAGTTTTATTTGTTATTTTCTGTATAGAAAGATTCAGATATATCAACACTTGGAATTGTTACCCATCTGCAGAACTGACTTCTCAAATAAAGATGCTAAAAATAAAAAAAAAAAAAAAAAAAAGAAAGAAGCCAGACTTAAAGGGCTGTATGCTGGATGATTGCATCTGTATGACATTCTGGAAATGGCAAAATTATAGGAACAAAACTCAGATCAGTCTTTGCCAGGGGCTGAGAGTAGAGTGGGAGATTTAATACAAGGGGGGATGAAGAGACCTTCTTGGGTAATAGAAGTATTAGATAGCTTATTAATAATAGCAATTACATGACTGTATGAATTTGTTAAAATTTATAGAAATGTGTATCTTAAAAGGGTGAATATTACAATTTATAAGTTAAACTTCAACAAACCTAAAACAAAACAAAAACAAAATAGGAGTGTTATGGTAGTGCAGTGGTTCTCAAACTTTAGTGTGCATCAGAGTCACCTGAAGAGCTTGATGAAACAGACTGCTGAGTCTGACTGGGAATCATTGTGATTCAGTGACTTTGGGTGAAGCCTGAGAACTTTCATTTGTAGCACATTCCCAAGGAATGCTGACAGCACTGGTGCAGGGGCCATGCTTTGGAAACCAGTGGTCTAGTGAAATCCCTCCACATGGAAACAATTAGCAGGAAACAAAGAGCAAGAAACAAGCATTCCTCCCTAACCAGGCATTTGTGCCAGTCCAGCGCAAGTGGTGGATTGGTGAGGGAGATCAGTGCTTTCATGTACAATCCCACCAGTAAGGCAGGGGAAGTTTCCAAAAGGAAAAGGGGCTCGTTTTCTAAAGGAGGAAGATCAGAAGATAAGTAGCTGTATTAGACTGGGTTCGCAGAGAAATAGAAACAATAGGATAGATACAGATGTAGATATAGATATATAGAGAAAGAGAGGTTTACTATAAGGAATGGGCTCATGTGATTACGGAAGCTGAAAAGTCCAAGATCTGCAGTCGGCAAGCTGGAGACCCGACAGAGCCAATGTTGTAATTCCAGACAAGATCTGAGTCTGAAGGCAGAAGACAGATGTCCCAGCTTGAAGACAGGCACAGAGAGTGAATTCTCCCTTACTCGGCCTTTTATTCTGTGAAGGCCCTCAATGGATTGGAGGAGCCTCACCCACAATGGGGAGGACAACCTGCTTTACTCAGTCCACTGATTCCAGTGCTACTTTCATCCAGAAACACCCTCACAGACACACCCAGAAATAATGTTTAACCAAATATCTGGGCACCCCATGGCCCAGTCAGGCTGACACATAAAATTAACCGTCACTGTAGTGTACTGGAAAGAGTCCTGATCCAGACCCCAAGAGAGGGTTCTTGGATCTCATGCAAGAAGGAATTCAAGGCAAGTCCATAGAGTAAAGTGAAAGCAAGTTTATTAAGAAAGTAAAGGAATGAAAAAGAATGGCTACTTCATAGGCAAAGCAGTGGCCTGGGCTGCTCAACTGAGCATACTTACAGTTACTTCTTGGTTATGTGCTAAACCAGGGGTGCATTATTCATGAGTTTTCTTGAAAAGGCATGGGCCACTCCCATAACTGAGGGTTCCTACCCTTTTTAGACCATATAGGGTAACTTCCTGATGTTGCCATGGCATTTGTAAACTGTCATGGCACTGGTGGAAGTGTTTTTTAGCACGCTAATGTATTATAATTAGCATATAATGAGCAGTGAGGACGACCAGAGGTCACTTTTTTCTCCATCTTGGTTTTGGTGGCTTTTGGCTGGCTTCTTTACCACAATCCGTTTTATCAGCAAGGTCTTTGTGACCTGTATCTTGTGCTGAGCTCCTGGCTCATCCTTTGACTTAGAATGCCTAACCTCCTGGGAATGCAGTCCAGTAGTCTCAGTCTCATTTTACCCAGCCCCTGTTCAAGATGGAGTCACTCTGGTTCAAATGCCTCTGACAGTAGCCCAAAACAATGCTGACTTTGGAGGAGCACTAGAGAAGGCAAAAGAAGTGTTTCTATAAGAAAGGAGTGGGAATGCTGTCAGATGCTCAGTTAGGCAAAGGAGATAAGGACTCAGGTGCGTTCACTACATCTAGCAGCAAGGAGGCTACTGTGACCTTGGAAAGACCAGATTTAAAGGGGTAGCAGTGGTGGAGCCAGGTTGCTGAGAAGTGGTGGTGCAAGGTGGGAAGACAAATGCAGGAATTGACACGACCCATTCAGTAAGCGTAGAAGACACATATGGGGAGGTAGGCACAAGGGTTTGGGTGGAGCATTGCATTTCCTTTTCAATATGGGAGACACTTAACTTAGGAAAGGAGCTAGTAGATAACAAGAGGTTGAAATTATAGGAGAAAAAAATATGGTCATGGAGTGAGGTCCCTGAGAAGGCAGGCAAGGAGTGCAAAGAAAGAAGATGGGGTGCAGATGTAGGTAGGTTTGTAAGTTTAGTGGAGGGAAATTGAGTGTGTTCTCATCTGCAGGCTTCTGTTTGTTCTGGGGAGGATGTCCTAGGTCAATCAAGGGAGGCACTGAAACCCTGGATGGCAAAGTTAGTCTCTGGAGTCAGAGCTCAAATTTGCTGCATAACAGTGGACAAGTTTCTCCAGTGCTTGATCAATGTCTATGAAATGGGAATGTTATAGGACCTTTCCAAACATAACAGTTTTTCCAGCTGTGCCTGAAACACAGCAAATGCTCAGTGTTTGCTCACTGCCAGTGAAGAGTTTAAGGAGTGAAGAGAATATCTGAAGTACAGACTGTTAACCATAGAACTTCGAATAGGTCGCAGCTATCAGAGACGAACTCTACCAAAGGAAAGAGAAGCTTTGTTAATCTAGTCAGCTGAGAGTCCAAGCAATCTGGGGAATATTACTAGCAACCCTCTTCAAATTCTCACAAGATAGTTCTCATTTGTAAAATTATGGGAGACAATGTGCATGCTGGGGAGGGATTAGAAACTCCCAGATTCTACTACCCCCTGAACTACCACCAGCTATGGGAATGTGAGTGATTTGTAGGCAAGGCCATTATTAAGGTCACCTGCAAAGTTGCATCAAAACCCAACAAGTTGGTGTTTCAGAGGTTCAGAAATTAGTCACCTTCTTATAATTGACACCATCAGATGGATTGATCGTGTAAGATACTCTGGATAAAAAGAGTCGGGGTAGTGGGACCTTAGCTAACCTGGAGAGACTGAAGGGGACTCCCCCACCCCCCAGCTCAGTTCACCAGCCACCAGCCAAGTCTGCTGGGTGAATGACGCTGCTTGCATTCTGCAAGGTAAGCAAAAAGATAACAGAGCTTTTTTTCCCCAAAAACATTCCATCTTCCATTGTGTGTGCCAGGCTGAGCTTGCATTTCCAAGGGTTTTTTCCCCTTGAATTCTTTGGACAGGAGTACATAAAAGTGCTGACCCGGATGTGGTCCCAATTTAATCACAGGAAAAGCAGAACTGCTCCAGTTCCTTTGCTCCTTTTCCAAAAGGTGAGGCAGTTTCCAAACTTCTGTTTTTCCGTGTATGGCCTTTTCCTTAGGAAGTCACCAAATGGCAGTTACAGTATTTCATCAGTTCTAATGCATGTATTCTTCACCTGTTAACATCTCTGATATGGAGATGCATTTTATAGTCCACGGCACCTCAGCTTTGTGTAATAACTAAGTTGGCCCGTCTTACAATTAATGTCTTTGTTTTGATGGACTGTGGAAATTGTCCTTCAGCAAATGCTTTGGTACAGAGACTTTCTGTTTTGCCTAACTCCACTCACAGCTCCATGCATTTGATACGATATCTCTATTATGGCAGAAAACAAGCATTAGACAGATGTAGTGACCTCCTGAAGGCCACAAGGTTAGTAAGTAGCAAGTGGGATAGTGCAAAGTCATGCTGCCTCCTGAAATATTTTAGCTGGACCAGCATCATCAACAAACTATTGAAACACCAACCTCCATGAAAAGCAGAGAGGAGATGAACAAGATTCACAGGAGGATTAGACCTTAAACTGTATATCATGGTAATGTACATCAAAACTTCAAAACCAGCTATGGGATGAAGCAACCATAGAACTGTTATGCTTTCTGGGCCTCGGCATCCTCATCTACAAATGTGGTCACAAAAACAACAATGGCTACCACTTATTGAGGATTTCCCTGTAAGAGGAACTGTGCCAAGCATTTTCCCACATTGTCTTACTTAATTCTCATGATAGCTTTTAAAAGTAGATATCGTTTTTCTCATTGGAAATGGTTGCTTTGAGTGTTTAGGTAACTAACCCAAGATTACAGATTGGAAGCAAGGGAGCTGGAACTCAGCCCTGCCTTTCTGTCACCAAGGAGTACCTAACCCTTGTCCTATTCAGCCCCATCAGGAGAGGTAACTGAACCTGATGACCCTTAATGTCCTATCTCTAAGAGGAAATGGTCCTGCTTTCACAAATAAGTACACAATGCCCCTATGACTGGTGACCATGCACTATGATGAGGTGTTTAAATCTAATCTGGTTTTGTAAGGACTTCAAAAAGTTAAACGTGGAATTACCATATGATCCAGCATTTCAACCTCTAAGTATATACCCCAAAGAATTAAATGCAAGGACTCAAACAGATACTCGTATACTAATGTTAATAGCAGCCTTGTACATAGCCAAAAGATAGAAACAATATCACTGATAGAAATGTCCATCAACAGATGAATGCACAAATGTATAGACATACAATGGAATGGTATTCAACCTTAAAAAGGAATGAAATTCTGACACATGGTATAATATGGATAAACCTTAAAAGCATTATGCTAAGTGAAATAAGCCAGTCACAAAAGGACAAATGTTTATGATTCCATTTATATGAGGCAACTAGACTAAGCAAAGTCATACATACAGAAAGTAGAATAGAAGCTCCTAGGGACTGGGGACGGGAGAATAAGGAGCTCATGTCTAACAGGCAGAGTTTCTACTTGGGATGACAGAAAATGTGTGGAGATGGATGGTGATGATGGTTGCACAACATTGTGAAAGTCCTTAATGCTACTGAAATGTACACTTAAAGCTGGCTAAAATGGGCCAGGCATGGTGGCTCACACCAGTAATCCCAGCAGTTTGGAAGGCTGAGGTGTGAGGACCACTTGAGTACAGGAGCTCAAGACCAGCCTGGGCAACATAGTGCAACCTCATCTTTACCAAAAATTTTAAAATTAGCCAGGTGTGGTGGTGTAATACCTGTAGTTCCAGTTACTCAGGAGGCTGAGGTGGCAGGGTGGCTTGAGCCCAAGGGATCGAGGCTGCAATGAGCCATGATCATGCCATTGCACTCCAGCCTGGGTGACAGAGCAAGACCCTGTCTCAAGAAAAAAAAAGAGTGCTGAGAGTGGGCATCCTTGTCTTGTTCTGATTCTGAAAGGAAATGCTTCCAGTTTTTGCCCATCCAGTATGATGTTGGCTGTGGGTTTGTCATGGATGGCTCTCATTTTGAGGTATATTCCTTCAATGCTTAGTTTATTGAGAGTTTTTAACATGAAGGGATGTTGAGTTTTATCAAAAGCCTTTTCTGAATCTATTGAGATGATCATGTGGCTTTTGTTTTTAGTTCTGTTTATGTGATGAATGACATATACTGATCTGTGTATGTTGAACCAACTCTGTGTCCCAGGGATGAAGCCTACTTGATCGTGGTAGATTAGCTTTTTGATGTGCTGCTGGATTTGGATTTGTTGAGGATTTTTGCATCTATTTTTATCAAGGGTATTGGTCTGAAGCTTTCTTTTTTTGTCGTGTCTCTGTCAGGTTTTGGTATCAGGATGATGTTGGCCTCATAGAATGAGTTGGGGAGGAGTCCCTCCTTCTCAATTTTTTAGAATCATTTGAGTAGGAATGGTACCAGCTCTTCTTTATATATCTGGTAGAATTCAGTTGTGAATCCATCTGGTCCTGGGCTTTTTCAGATTGGTAGGCTGTTTTTTTTTTTTTTTTTTTTAAAGACAGAGCCTCACCCTGTCACCCAGGCTGGAGTGTAGTGGCACAATCTTAGCTCACTGCAACCTCCACCTCCCAGGTTCAAGCAATTCTCCTGCCTCAGCCTCCTGAGTAGCTGGGATTACAGACATGCACCACCGCGCCTGGCTAATTTTTGTATTTTTAGTAGAGACAGGGTTTCACCATGTTGGCCAGGGTGGCCTTGAACTCCTGACCTCGGGTGATCCACCTGCCTCAGCCTCCCATAGTGTTGGGATTACAGGTGTGAGCCACCGCGCCTGGCCTGGTAGGCTTTTTATTACTGATTCAATTTCAGAACACATTATTGGCCTGTTCAGGGATTCAATTTCTTCCTGCATGTTCTCACTTGTAAGTGGGAGCTAAATATTAAGTCCACGTGGGCACAAAAAAGGAAACAGCAGACACCAGGGCCTACTTGAGGGTAAAGGGTGGGGGGAGGGTGAGGATCAAAAAACTATCTATCATGTACTATGCTGGGTGATGAAATAATCTGCACACAAACTCCTGTGACACGCAATGTACCTGTGAACAAACCTGCACATGTACCCCTGAACCTAAAATAAAAGTTTAAAAAATAATGAATTAATTAATTAATTAAAATTCAATATTAAAAATTAACAAAAGAAAACTAGGTTTTATGGACACAAAGATGGAAACAATAGACACGGAGGACTGCTTGAGGGTGGCGGGTGAGACAGTGTGTGTGTGGGAAGGCAACGTACTTGGTACTATGCTCACTACCTTGGTGGTGGGATCATTCGTACATCAAGCCTCATAATTACCCACATAACAAACCTGCACATGTACATTATGAACCTAAAATAAAAGAAAAAAAATGGTTAAAATAAAATTTTATGTTATGTACATTTTACCACAAATTTTAAAAATTGCTCCTGAAAAGCGATTTGGGATGAATTGTGCTATCCCAAATCAAGAAAAAGGAAAACTTTGAGACTTGCATAAATGTAGAAGTAAGGAATTATGTTCTGGGAGTATGTTCTGGAGAAGCAGGTAAGGGCAAGAGGGGGAAAGTTGCATATTCCGAGAAGAGACAAGAAGTGGAAAAGGCGGAGGACATGAGTTCTACTAGACAATCCTGGGCACAGACCCAGAGTGTCTCTGAGCAGATGGCAAGTTTGGTCTTGACAGCAAGGAACGGCTGAGGGATTCCATGTCATTGAGAAATAAACCATCTAGCTCAGGACTCAGGGGAATGACTTTAAAAACACACACACACTAGCCCTTCCACATATCAAACAATACAGTATCCTTCCTCAGACCTATAAACAAACATCTGTGCATCCTAATGGTAATTGCAATAAGGAAGTAGTTGACTTAGGAAATCACTAGTTGGCCTTCAGGAGACATTCATGCAACCTGAGATGTTAATTCCCATCAGACTCCGAACAGAGAGTGTGGTGCTGCTCATGATAAATGTGTGCTGACGGGCAGTTCCTGTGTTGCAGGAAGTGTTTCCCAGGAGGGCTGTGGTGGAACAGTGGGAAGCCATGAAGGACCAGCTCACGCCACACCTGCCTCCTGTTGAAACAAGCAGCACCCAGATCTGGTGCTTTCACATTGTTTTTACAAAGAAAGGAATAAACTACTATGTTCAGAGAATCAGGAAGGACTCTAGTACTCACCCCGTCTCAACTCTTGTTTGTGTGGGCGTTGCGGGCAGAGATGAGAAGGGAGATGAGACAATGCATGTCTCACCTGGGTATTGTGGAGGCTGCGGAAGAGTCTGCACTGGTTTCAAGATTTATCAGAAAAACAAACAAAGGAAAGTATTCTCTGAAACAGTAGCAAAAGTCCCAACTCCGGATCAGAGGATGATCATCTCATGTAATAACTCCAGTCTATTTCCGTCAGCCTGTGTGAATCTAAGAACCAACCCAACTACATCCATGCAGTCAGGGGGTTTCACCTGCCCAGTGTGGGCAGATGGGGGCCAGGGGTTGGGGCCTGGTCATGGCCTTGGCAGCTCACTCTGTCTTTCTGTGTCTCAACTTATGCTAAAATGAAGAGGTAGAAATAAGTAGTTTCTAATGTGTAATGTCTCTATTCACTCTGCATTGCCAACGTTTAATAATAAGAGTGATGGGGCCGGGCGCGGTGGCTCACGCCTATAATCCCAGCACTTTGGGAGGCCGAGGCAGGCGGATCACGAGGTCAGGAGATCGAGACCATCCTGACTAACACGGTGAAACCTCGTCTCTACTAAAAATACAAAAAAATATTAGCCGGGCATGGTGGCCGGCGCCTGTAGTCCCAGCTACTCGGGAGGCTGAAGCAGGAGAATGGCGTGAACCCGGGAGGCGGAGCTTGCAGTGAGCCGAGATCGCGCCACTGCACTCCAGCCTGGGTGACAGAACGAGACTCCGTCTCAAAAAATAAATAAATAAATAAATAAATAAATAAATAAATAAATAAATAAAGATAAGGGTGATGTAATACATACCAATAGAATTAATAAAATAGAAACAAATTTAATGACCCAAATTCTACCACCCTAACATAAATACTTTAGTTTTATATTTACCTGTCTTTATTCTGCAGGATAAACAAAGCATAACTGGTTCTGAAAAGTACTAAAATGTTTTTGCTGTTTTTTCTTTCTTCTTCTTTTTTTTTTTTTTTTTTCTGAGACAGGGTCTCGCCATATCACCCAGGCGGAGTGAAGTGACGCAATCCTGGCTCACTGCAGCCTCGACCTCCCAGGGTGAAGCATTTCTTCTTTTCAGAAAAAAAAAACTTATTAATACATTTTATTTTTTTCATGGTTAAACCCCTATAACCTTCTAAACTCCAAGAACCTATTCTGAACCATGGTGACTCTTCATGTGCATGGTATGGGCCGAATTGTGTCCCCCCAAAATTTATATGTTAATGTCCTGACCCCAGTACTTCAAAATGTGACTGCATTTGGTGAAAAAGTTTTTAAAAGAGGTGACTAAGTTAATCGTATTAATGGGGCCATTATAGTAGGCAGTAATCCAATGTGACTGATGTCCCTAAGGAAAGAGGAGATTGGGACACAGACAGATGTGTACACAGGAAGACCGTGTAAGGACACAGGGAGAAGACAGTCATGTACAAGCCAGGGAGAGAGGCCCTGGAGAAGCCAACCGTGCTGACACCTTGATCTCTGACTTCCAGCCACCAGCACTGTGAGAAAATAACTTTCTGTTGTTTAAGCCACCTAGTCTCTGCTACTTTGTTACTGCAGCCCCAGAAAACTAACCCAGTGAGATATGATTGTCTTTCTGGGTAAACTATACCAATCACACTAACAGTCATTGACCACAGAAGTGTATTGTGACCAAGACCTTCCATATAATACCAAGGCAAACACCTACACACACACACACACACACACACACAAGCTGAGCTGTTTTAGTAGGTACACACCTATTAAATTGTAACATAAATGTGTTTTGCAACAATTTTTTTTGATCCTGTAACAGAACTAGGGTCTTGCAAAGTAACCACATCCTCTGCCTTCAGCTGCTTCTCCCTTCCTGCCAGCCAGCCACACTCACTAGATATTTTGAGAGGAGCCCGGGACAAGGGGTTAAGTGGACTGTGTCCTTCCAGCCCAGCCTGCCTCTTGAATTCCCTCTGAGAAGGTTTGGCCAACAGTCTACTTTTCCAAAACAGAGACCAGAAACACCCCTCACACTTTCTTCAGAGAGGGTGTAAGCATCTCCAGGGATCAGATGGCTCACTTCTACAGACCTAAGATGATAAATGCTCCAGGGACTCACCAGCAGTAGCCAGAGCAGCCCCTTTACCTTC